>NC_000002.12:223114618-223739618 GCF_000001405.40 Homo sapiens | reverse complement strand
GCTTAGTAAAGAGCCTGGCATGCAGTAGGGTCCCAAAAGGTCCTGATATGGTTTGCTGTGTCCCCACCCAAATCTCAACTTGAATTGTTTCTCCTAGAATTCCCACGTGTTGTGGGAGGGTCCAGGGGGAGGTAATTGAATCATGGGACTGGTCTTTCCTGTGCTGTTCTCATGATAGTGAATAAGTCTCATGAGATCTGATGGGTTTATCAGAGGTTTCTGCTTTTGCTTCTTCCTCATTTTTCTCTTGCTGCCGCCATGTAAGAAGTGCCCTTCACCTCCCGCCATGATTCTGAGGCCTCCCCAGCCATGTAGAACTCTAAGTCCAATTAAACCTCTTTTCTTCCCACTCTCAGGTATGTCTTTATCAGCAGCATGCAAATGGACTAATACAGGTCCCTTTTCTACCTGCCTGAGGATACCTTTTCATCTTTAGTACCCAGCATCACTCTCTCAACCTTCCCAGGTAAAGGAGGGTGCTGCTTCTTTTTTGTTCTGCTAACTTAGTTCTTAAGTAGCTGTTGTGTCAGTGTATGTATCTAATCCCCCACTAAACTCTGAGGCACCCCAGAAGGCAGGAACTGGTCTCTCGGTACCCATAGCTCACAGTAGGGCATGTCCTAGGGGCAGATTTTTATTGCATGAAAGAACAAATGAATAAATCCATAGTAGTTTTCCAATTAATACTTGTTGTATTAATATGTTGAGTTGAATTGACTCTACAATTTCTAGATTCTTTTTTCCCAAAAACAAACAAAAACCTCTCAAGTATATTTCTATTGCTATATCTATTATTCTAATATAATTTTTTTTCTGAAGTTTAAAAACATGTCAGTTTATGGAGAAGGCTAGCTTGGTTTATATTTGGTTTTTGCTTTTTCTCTCCTTTCTCTCTCTTTCTTAATTTGGTAGACAAGCAAAAAAATTTAGAAATTGGCTGGGTGTGGTGGCTCATGCCTGTAATCCCAGCACTTTGGGAGGCCAAGGTGGGCGGATCACGAGGTCAGGAGTTCAAGACCAGCCTAGCCAACATGGTGGAACCCCGTCTCTACTAAAAATACAAAAATTAGCCAGACGTGGTGGCGTGCGCCTGTAATCCTAGCTACTCAGGAGGCTGAGGCAGGGGAATTGCTTGAACCCGGGAGGCAGAGGTTGCAGTGAGCTGAGGTTATGCCACTGCACTCCAGCCTGGGCAACAGAGCAAGACTCTGTCTCGGAAGAAAATAAAAAAATAAAAAAATCTAGAAATCATGTGAAGGCCTTATACTTCTGGCCATTACATCAATGTGCCCACTTCTTCCCCTCATGTTAGAGATATTTACAGTGCCACAGCACAATGGAGTTCTTGAAACTGCTTCCAAGGATCCCTTTCATAATTCCAGTGGATGAGATTGTATTTAGGCCAGACACCTCACACACAAAGAACTAGGAGTTAATTAAACCAGGGCTGGATCATGGTTAACATTTTTCAAATGTTTGAGTTTAAGATCCAGGAAAGATGGAAAAATTGTTCTTTTATTTAGTCCTTCATCCATTTGTCTGCTCATACATCCCTTATTTAGTAATACCTTAAGTACAGAAAGGACCTGGGTGAATTACGCTAATGGAAGAAATGAATGAGTTTGTAATAGAGCAGCAACCTTGGGATGGGAGAGGTCTGCAGGGGGCTCAATTTCAAGCCAAAACTGACCCTAGGAAACGACCACTAGAGCAGTGTTTTCTCACTTGCCTGCCAGCTGGTGAGGCAGCCAAATCACTGGTCGGCAGCTTGGTATTTGGCAGTCTCTTGAAGTGACGCCTGGAGAAATATGGTGGATGATTGACTTAGGTGAAAACCTTTTAGGTAAAAATAAGGCATGTCAATTTAATGAGACCAGCTTTGTGTGTATGATTTATAAAGTGAATTTGAAGGTAATTTTAAAAGATTAGTTTCAGAAGAATCGGTGGAAAAAATATCTCAAACACCAAGATATACTTGACATGTAAACTCAAACCTAAATAGTAGTATTACCCAGGGTTCTTGATAGCAAGCAATGGCTCTAATATAAAAAGGAAAGAAAGAGAGAAAGGAAAGGAGAAAGAGAAAGGAGAGGGAAGAAGAACTGAAACGACATTAGCAAGCACATCACGTTGATGAGGAGTCAAGAAAACCAGACTGGGAAAAGGGCAGGGCCCAGGGCAGCTCTAGAGAGCTCAGCTGCAGGTCGGCAGCCGAAGTCACTCTACAGAAGCAGTGTAGCTAGGAAGCTGCAGCCAGCACAGATGCCATACCACGTAATGTAGCTTCTGCTACCCCTGAACTGTAGCTCCCAAAGCACCACAAGATTTGATCTGAGATCACCCATGGTGTCTAGTGTCCTGAGGTCAGTGAGCTTAAATCGGAATGACTCTGGTATGGTGTCATGCCCAGCCCTGGCCATCCAGGGTAGATGAAGGCACTCCTCCATGTCTGTGGAGGGAGGCAGATGCCCAGAAGTACCCTACTGCCAAGTGCCTGCCCCACACCCCACAGGTCAGAGTAGGAGTCACCCTCAAGAAAATGAGAGTGCTTTGGGGAAGGGAGATGGATCCTGGGAATGAAAACAGAATGAAAAGAATCCAGGGAAATGCCCCAGACTGCCTCAAAAAACTGAATAGAAGAAAAAAAATCCTAAACCTTTATGTATTAGTCCATTTTCATGCTGCTGATAAAGACATACCCGAGACTGGGTAATTTACACAGAAAAAGAGGTTTAATGGACTCAAGGTTCCATGTGGCTGGGGAGGCCTCCCAATCATGGTGGCAGGTGAAGGGGACGTCTCACATGGTGGCAGACAAGAGAGAATGAGAGCCAAGTGAAAGGGGAAACCCCTTATAAAACCATCAGACCTCATGAGACTTATTCCCTACCATGAGAACAGTATGGGAGAAACCGCCCCCATGATTCCATCACCTCCCACCGGGTGCCTCCCACCACACATGGGAATTATGGGAGCTACAATTCAAGATGAGATGGGGTGGGTGCATTAATTTTAGAAAAACGAGCACAGGGACTAATGATTGTTACAATCTACAGACATAGACTAGTCTGTCACTGAAAGGGCTTTCAGTATGCATCTCATAACCCCATGCCTCTGTTTTAAGGGAGAAAGGGGCCCAGTGAGTGACTTTGCCACTGGAAAGCAAATTGTAGAGTTGGAACCGGAACCCGCACCTCCAGATTCCCAGTTCAGCATTGGAACTGGACTAGGATTTCTTATTTAACATCCTGTGTAAGGTTGTGCACTTGGATCTGGGTTAGAATCCCAGCTCAGGCACTTACTCTCTGTGGGAACTTGGGTTTTTCCCAACTTCACAGTTTTCTCATCAGTGAAACTGGAAAAAAAATTACCTCCTCCTTTCTTTTTAAGTTTGTTGTGGGGATGTGGGAATTAAATAAATTAAGTAAAGCATGTCAGAGCTTGGTTCAATGCCTGACAATTAGAGAATTTTCAACACACGTCAGCCAGATCCAGTGATGAGCACTTGATTGAGTGGAATTGAGCTGATGCAGTGATAGCAGACATTCTTCTGAAGCATACACTCTGCAGTCACAGAAAAAACTGGTTCAGGAAAGTGGTGAGTTGGTTGATGACAAACATGTTGAGGAACTTTGCCAAAGAAACATCTGAGTAAAGGCCAAATTCCTGGCTCATGATGTTTTTAAAATTGATTTTTGTGTGTTTTTAGATTGGCCAAGAAGATGCTCAAAATGGAGGAATGGAAGTTTGAACATGAGGAGGAGGGCAAGACAGAGATGTGGGTGTGTCTTTCGGGAACTTCAAAGTCCTAGGTGTCCTTAGAGGTACTGAGGGTCCTGCACAGGGCTCCTCTATGAACACGTGACCTACAGTAAGAGGTTAGAGCTTCAGGCCAAGCAGGGCTAACCTCACGCAACAGTGAGAAACAAGTTATTCATCTTTGGGGTCCTTCAATGGCCTCTGAGCATTCCTGCTTGGATCCTACCTCCCCTAGCCTCTCCCTGGGGCCTCCACATGTTTGGTGCTCCAAAAGAGATACCCCTGGCACGAACCCATTTCTGTCCAGTTGGCAAGTCCATGCAAACATCTCAATTATCTAATCAGAACTTGCCTCTTCAGGCCCTGCCCCTAGCCCAGATAGAACACGCCAAGGATAGGAGGAAGAGGGCCACGTTCCCACAGTCACAATATTTGCTTTGAACTAAGATTGAACTTCCTTCCTTTTTTATTGGCCTCTGTTCAACCATCCTTTCCATTCTCCCTCTTCTCTTTTGTTGTGCTGTTTCTACATTTGGGATTCTGGTTTCCCACCTCTGCTCTCTGGCCTCCAACGCCAGACTCCCTGCTTGCCTTCTTTTCTCAGTTCCATGTTGCTCAAGCATTTTTGCCTGAAATTTGACCCCTTAGACTTGGCCTCAGATTCCACTTTTCTGAACTGCCACTCCTGGCAGCTCTGAAGGTGGGGACTGGATCCTGTTACATGCACTTCCCTTCAGAGAGGGCAAGTGGCCCAATGGCTATTTCTGCTAAACACTTGGGGCTTGAAATACAAAGCTTTTATACTGACCGGGAGTGGTGGCTCATGCCTATAATCCCAGCACTTTGGGAGGCTGAGGCAGGCAGATCACTTGAGGTCAAGAGTTCAAGACTAGCCTGGCCAACATGGTGAAACCCTGTCTCTACTAAAAATACAAAAAATTAGCTGAACATGGTGATGGGCACCTGTAATCCCAGATACTTGGGAGGCTGAGGCAGGAGAATCACTTGAACCCAGGAGGTGGAGATTGCAGTGAGCCAAGATCATGCTACTGCACTCCAGCCTGGATGACAGAGTGAGACCCTGTCTTAAAAAAAAAAAAACCCACAAAGCTTTAACACCACTATTTTCCAAGATGTGAAATGTCCAAGTCATCTCAGGAGATATTTAAGAAAATAAGGGTCCTATGAAAATACCTGAGAAACATTCAGCAAATTTGCATACTTTCTTCTTTCTCATGGAGAATCACAGCACATCTTTAGCCCATTGCAGATTCTGGAAACTCCTATTGTAAAGAGACCTTTGAACTTGGCATTTCATAATTGTATTTGAGTGCCAGAAATATTTTTCCAGCAAGTACTTATTAAACAGCTCACAGAACTACTGATTCCTGGAGATGGCTGCCTTCATTCACTTAATGGTGGTATCCAATGTGGGAGAGTATAGGCATCCTGGTAGGTGCTTGTCTATAGAGTTTTTCAACTTAGTCCTCGCAATGGACCTGCGAAGTAGATTGTATTACCCCTACTTTATTGTATTGTAGATTGTATTACTCCTACTTTAAAGAGGAGGCTGGGACTCAGTGAGGTGAAGCTTTGCAAAGCCCACACTGCTGGTAGCTGGGAGGGACTGGATTCAAGCCCAAGACTGCCAACCCTTGAGCCTGCTCACATCTTTTTGGGCCCCACTGGCAGCCAGGGGTGAAGAATAGGCCATCTTATATTGAATCTGCTGGTGACAGCTGTCAGAGTGGCAGAACAGGGCAATGTCACTTCTCTGGGCAACTCTCTGGTGGCAACCAAGGAAATCTACTATATGTTGTTGTAGGGGTGCCTGGCAAGTCCAGCCTACAGAATCCACTTCTGGGGCTGGATTATCCTCTCCCTTACTGACCCACCTGCAGTCCACCTTTAGGATCTGCTGGATGTATCTTCAAACTATTTTTTAAAAATCTGACTATTTCTGGCTGGGCCCAGTGGCTCAAGCCTGTAATTCCAGCACTTTGGGAAACTGAGACGGGTGGATCACCTGAGGTCAGGAGTTTGAGACCAGCCTGACCAATATGGTGAAATCCTGTCTCTACTAAAAATATAAAAATTAGCCAGACATAGTGGTGGGCACCTGTAGTCCCAGCTACTCAGGACGCTGAGACAGGAGAATTGCTTGAACCCAGGAAGCAGAGGTTGCAGTGAGCCAAGATCGTGCCATTGCACTCCTGCCTGAGTGACAGAGCAAGACTCCATCTCAAAAAAAATAAAAATAAAAAATAAAAAACTGACATTTCCGTCACCTCTGCCTTTGCTACTCTAGTCTAAGCCACCAACATTTATTGCCAAAATATTGCCTTTGTAATAATAAAGGTCCCTTAGCTCGTCACTTCCACTCTTGACTATGACCTATCCTGTTGTTAAAAAGGTGATCTTTTTCAAACAATAATCACATCATGCCTCTTCCTTTCTCAAAAATCTCCAAAAGCTTCCCATCACACCTTAACTCACATTCCAATTCTTTACCATTCCCTATGTTAATCTAGCTCCTGCCACCCTCTCTAGCCTCAAGTTGTTCTCCCCTGTGTCGGTCTTGCTCTAGCTTCATTGGTTTCCGTCAATAACTTGTGTGTGAGCCCAGCCAAGATCAGCCAAGATCAGCAGAGCCACCCAGCCAAGCTCCCTAAACGTGTGGGCAGTACGAGCTCAGTGTTGTACCTCACAGAGGCTTCTGGATGGCTTGTTACAGACACCATTTGGCAATAAAGAGCTAATGATTGGCCAGGCTTGCTGGTTCACGCCTATAATCCTAGCACTTTGGGAGGCTGAGGTGGGAAGATTTCTTGAGCCCAGGAGTTTGAGACCAGGCTGGGCAACATAGCAAGATCCCATTTCTAAAAATTAAAAGAAAAAGAGCCAATGGTTGACTTCCTTGTTTGACTCCATTTTATGCTTGAATGCCTCCCACTGAAAGTGACTGTTCCTGACTGTTTCATCATTTTCTATTTCTTTAGTTTTAAACTTTTAAATAAAATGCACTGTATTTTATTTTATGTTCTTTATCTTTCTTTACTTTCTTGCTTTGCTTTAGTTGCTTTTGGCAGTTATCACTACCTAAAGCTATATTATATAATTATTGTTCCTTTTTTGTCAGTCTCTTTCAATAAGCTCTTCTAGGGCAGGGATCTTGTCTTATTCATTACTGTCTCCTTAGGGTCTGTAACAGTGCTTATGCAAAGTAGGTGCTCAGGAAATATTTGTTGAATAAAACGCTGACATTAAATTCTTTTTATCTTCAGGAGGCCTTCCCTGATTCCTGCTGATATGGTTTGGCTCTGTCCCCATCCAAGTCTCATCTTGCATTGTAGCTCCCCTGATCTCCACATGTCATGGGAGGGACCCGGTGGGAGGTAATAGAATCTTGGGGGCGGGTCTTTCCTGTGCTGTTCTCATGATAGTGAATAAGTCTCAGGAGATCTGATGGTTTTATAAAGGGCAGTTCCCCTGCACAGGCTGTCTTGTCTGCTGCCATGATGTGATTGAGGATGTGATTTTGCTCCTCATTTGCCTTCTGCCATGATTGTGAGACGTGGCAGAAGTTCCACAGCCATGTGGAACTGTGAGTCCATTAAACCTCTTTCCTTTATAAATTACCCAGTCTTTGATATGTCTTAATTAGCAGCGTGAGAACAGACTAATACACCTGCCTACCAGCACTTAATGGTTAGGTGCTTCCCTACTATTCTAGTGCTTTCCTATCTCAGCTCTTTAATATTGACTGCTTATTTATCTGTATTCTCCTCTAGACTATGATTTTCTTGAGATCAGGAGCTCTATGTTGATTATCATTGTATCCCTAGAGCTTGGCATAAAGGCCTGGTGCATGGCAATGGTCACTAAACATTTTCTGAAGGTATGAGTACGTAATCAGGATCTGGTGAGCCCATTCTGGGATGAATGACTATTACTATGTGCTAAAGGAGGAAGCAAATAGAGAGAAAGAGGCCCAAAAAGGAGAATAAGATGTCCTTATGGGCATTGGTTTTATTTGTACAGGAGCTATTTTATGAACATTTTAAATTTTAGTTGGCTGAACTGTCTACCCACAGATGATTTAAAATTGTCCCTGGAGAGTGAGTGACGCAGAAAAATGGGAATGACTGGTATTGATGTGTGAATTATACCCTTCAAAGATACTCAGCAGCCTGTATGTCAGTTACATCAGGCTCCTCCTCTTAGTTACTGTATTTAGGGCATAGACTTGAATTCAGGAGGCTAAATATAGTGTCGAGAGCCCCAGGCAATTTATAGAAGACATGGCCAAAAATTTATCTCATATTTTCTAACAAGCTTTCATTTTGGCCTGTCCCTCTTGTACTGGCTTTTTTGATCTGCTTTTATCTGGGTGAACCAGGAACAAGGAACCTTTTATTAAAGGTATCTTTACCTAAGGTTAAAAAACACCCTCACTTGTGACTCCCAGTGCAGAGGACATTTAAAGCAGAGTTTTTTTGTTGTTGTTGTTTTCAGCCTTCTCTTTATTTTCTTTCTTCTTTTCTTTCCTCTTCCTCTCTTCCTTCTCCTTCTTCTTGTTTAAATGGGCCTCATTAAACAAATGAAGGCCCATTTCTTGTTTAAATGAAGCCTCATTAGAAGAGTGGAAACAGCATCTGTGACAGTAATGAGATCACCAGACAGTGAACTTCTCGTCTGAGGTCGGTACTGAAGTCAGTCCCTATTCTAAAGGGCAAAGTAGTAAAAGCAAGACTGGGCTGCCTTTGAGGAGTTTAAAGCTTTTGTCCAACTTTGGGAGAAGGCTCAAACTCATGGTGTTAAGATGTAATCTGTGCCACTCTTTTTTTTTTTTTTTCCCGAGACGGAGTTTCGCTCTTGTCGCCCAGGCGGGAGTACAATGGTGCGATCGTGGCTCACCGCAACCTCTGCCTCCCATGTTCAAGAGATTCTCCTGCCTCAGCCTCCCGAGTAGCTGGGATTACAGGCATGTGCCACCATGCTCAGCTAAGTTTTTATATTTTTAGTAGAGACAGGGTTTCTCCATGTTGGTCAGGCTAGTCTCGAACTCCTGACCTCAGGTGATCCGACCTCCTCAGCCTCCCATAGTGCTGGGATTACAGGCCTAAGCCACTGTGCCCGGCCTGTGCCATTCCTATATAAAATGCTCCTTGCCACTTAATTTTGTACTGTATTACGCCACTTGATGATTGTGTTACAATTTATCTGTCTGCACTTACTTCTACTTGTCAATCACTCCCAGCAAAAAATCACTCGAGGGCAGCTTCCTTGTCTCATGATCTTTTCTTTTTTTACTCAATGCCCCATATATAGTAGATTCTCATAAGATAGAATTATTGTTTGATTTGAACACACACACACACACATCACACAGTTACAAGTATATACTCTAAGTATTCCTCTAAGCCTTTTTCCAAAAGGACCTCAAGGTCCTTTTGGAAGACTTGTAAGATGCAGGGGTGGTGACATTTGTCATATTCACATTTACTTTGCCTTGTGCAAAAGAAAGCCAGATGTTAGAAAATGCCTGTGGATTTTCATAAACTTACTCAGATGGTGAATCCAGTTGTAGCATCTGTTCCAGATACACTACATTTACTAATAAAAACCTTGTAGCCCCTGGAATTGGATATGAAGTGATTGACCCAGCAAATGCTATTTCCTCCACACCAATTTGCAAAGACTGCCAGAAGGAGTTTGTTTTTTCCTGATAGGGCAAAGAGTATACTTTCTTAGTGTATGCACAGGGCCATGTCAGCTCTCTTACTGTCTGCCATATTGTATCTGCAGCGATTTTGATTATTTTGACATTCCAAAGAATAGCATGCTAGTCCACAGCATTGATGACATTGTGCTGACTGGATTGAGATGAACAGGGAATATCGCATACTTCAGATGCCTTAGGAAGACATATGTGAGCCAGAGGAGGGCAGAGAATTCCAATTCCTTATAACCATTACTGTATAGTTAGGATCCTGTCATAAAAACAGATATCAGTTATTTTAACAGAATTTAATATAAAGAATTGGCTAAACAGAATAAAGGATTAAAAAAAAATTTTGGTTGAGGTGGGCAGATCACCTAAGGTCAGAGGAGTTCGAGACCAGCCTGGCCAACATGGTGAAACCCTGTCTCTACTAAAAATACAAAAATTAGCCGGGTGTGGTGGTGGGCGCCTGTAATCCCAGCTACTGGGGAGGCTGAGGCAGGAGAATTGCTTGAACCCAGGAGGCGGAGGTTGCAGTGAGCCAAGATCATGCCACTGCGCTCAAGCCTGAGCTGGAGACGTTGTCTCAAAAAGAAAAAAAAAATTTTTTTTGCAAAAATGAGGTCTTGCTATGTTGACCAGGCTGGTCTTGAACTCCTAGCCTCAAGCAATCCTCTCATCTCACCTCTCAAATTGCTGGAACTACAGGAATGAGCCACCATGCCTGGCCCAGGATAGAGAACTTAAATAGCTAAAAGGGAATCCTGATGTATCACAGAGGCATTGACAGCATAAAGCAGTTGTCACTTTTAGGACACAAAGGCAAGATGTTGGGATTATTGGAAACTAGAAACTTGGAGCAGGAACCTTCCAGGGGTGGCCTCGGCCTCTGAGGAGTTTCAGGACTAAGACGAGGGCCCTAAAGAATTGCCATTCAGACCTCTGAGAAGAGAAGAAGGAGAGAAAGCACAGTGGGAAGTACGTTGGACAGATGGTGGGGCCAGAAAATGAAAGTTCATTCAAGGCGGTAGGAAGATCAGCTTATACACACTATGTTGCAAAGTTTAGTTGACTTGATTTATTTCAGGAATGGGATAAGGAAGTAAATACACAAGAGGAAAAGACATTCAAGAAAATTGAAGATATATTTCATGCAGATAACTCTCACTTTTCTTATTTTACTTTAAAACCACTGTTGACAGAGATGAAAAACCTACCGAAAACAAACAGCTAGTCCATGGAAATATGTTTGCTGGTTCCTGGAGTTGAGAGGCAGCAACACTTGGGCCCAAGATAACAGCGGGAAGTGCAGAGAAACTTCTGAGCCAGACTGAACTTAGTTCAAATCTTAGCTTTATCACAAGCTGTGATATTACTCAAGTTATTTAACTTCTCTGTACCTCAGTTTTTGTAATTGGGATTATTATTACTACCATCACAAGTTGAGTTCCACAGAACTAAAATCGAAGTGCCAGCATGCCTCCAACACTTACCCCATGCTTCATCTGGGGATTTACTGCACCCAAATTATAATCCCCTGTATTATAATAACCAAGAACAATCTGTCTATTTCTGATCCACAATAATTATTTATAACACCGCCTTTTTTCCCCCAGTAGATGCCTGGAGTTTGAATCTGTTTAGCATGAACTCCTAGAAATCCCTCACTTTCTTGGTGTACACCCGAATTTGGGAGACTCCGGGTTGAATATCAGAAAGACTTAAAAGGCTATCAGACAAACGCTTGATTGAAATTTTCCCCAGGATTAAAACAGGCAGAGTCTCAGTATGAGTGATAATAATAACAGTACAGGGATGTCCCCTTAAAGACAATGGGGAAAGACAAGGAGATTTGAAATAGATGAAAATGTGGAACTCAGAAGATGTAGGTTCATATAAACTTTTTTTTTTTTTTTGAGATGAAGTCTCGCTCTGTCACCCAGCCTAGAGTGCAGTGGCACAATCTTGGCTCACTGCAACCTCCGCCTCCCAGGTTCAAGGAATTCTCCTGCCTCAGCCTCCCGAGTAGCTGGGACTACAGGCGCCTGCCACCACGCCCGGCTAATTTTTTATTTGTAGTAGAGACGGGGTTTCACCATCTTGGCCAGGCTGGTCTCGAACTCCTGACCTTGTGATCCACCCACCTCGGCCTCCCAAAGTGCTGGGATTACAGGCGTGAGCCACCGTGCCCGGCCGGTTCATATAAACTTTAGAAAGGGAGTCAGAGAATAAGAATTTATCAGCTTACTCTAAGCATTTCCCAAAGGACTGGGATTCCAATTCCAAGTGAGCAAAGATTTATCCTTCTAGAGAAGGAAAGGGCCATTCATTTGCTTTCCATAGCTTATTGGAAAATATCTCTGTGTAACTCGTATCCAGCAGTCATCAGGCATCTTCTCATTCTAATTTGCTTTCCTTAGCCGACTTGCATGCTAGAAGGAAGTGCCCTCTGCTGGTGTAAGAGTTCATAGGCCAAGTCCTTCTCGCATTCTAATTTGGTACCTTATAATTGGTTTCCTGTTACTGAACAGTCCTGTGTGAGTTTGGGTGATAATATTACACTGAGGCCTGAATTGGGGCAGGACCAGCATCAAACTAATTAGGGCCAGCATTCCACATCAATAGCATATATGTGGCTATGTTTGGGGGTTCCAAAAGTCCTTGTAATCTCAAATTATCTTTGCTGCTCATCTGCTATAACGTCTGAAATGCTACCATTAAATTTATCCCATTAGACTATAGTTCCAAGAATTACCAAAATGTAAGTTCATTTCAACCTAATAAACTCTTACTGGGTAAACCTTTAGTTTAGGGCATTGCGATGGGTACTCGGAGTTAAAAACCAAAAGCAAAAATTAAGATGGTGATTAAGTAAGTTTATCTATCACCCTCAACAGCTGCAAAACAAATTGTACGATGCAATGAAAAGTTAATATATCCAAAAATGCCCAAAAGAGGGATAAGGACTCTTATGCAATAAAAATTCAAAGAACTGAGTGATTAGTAGGTGCTGGAGTAGCCAGACATATGACTTGCATCAGGACTTCAGAGGTAAATAGCCCATTTGTGGTGGTCGTAAACAATTTAGGTTTCGCTGGTGAATTAGCTATCCAGGCTCCTTGAAAAGAGAAAGATTTAGAATGAATTCGATGACACTGCTCAGGGGCTTACTAAATTAGAGAATAGCTTACATGGGAGACCCCAGGACAAATACCTGGGGGCTGAATTGTGTGACAACCAAAAAGTTTCCAAGGACAAATTTGAAATTTGACTATTTGCACAGGGATGTCAGAGCTTTGTTGGATGATGGTACCCCGTGGGTGCCCTGACATACCTGAAGCTCTGTTTGAATAACGAACACAGTGAACAGTGAAATGGCCCTTTGCATAATCTGGGAAAGTCCTTGGAAATCCTGATGTGAAAGGCAGACTGGAAAAGGTCATTGTTGAGATTTTCCCTCCCCTCCCCTCCCCTCCCCTCCCCTCCCCTCCCCCCTCCCTCTCTCTCCCTCTCTCTCTTTCTCTCTCTCTCCCTTCCTTTCTCTTTCTCTCTTTCTTTCTTTCCTTTTCTGAGGCACAGTGTCACTATGTTGCCCAAGCCAGTCTCAAACTCCTGGGCTCAAATAATTCTCCCGCCTCGGCCTCCCAAAGTGCTGGGACTGCAGGCATGAGCCACCACGCTCAGCCACTGTTGAGATGTTGTAAGCAAATTGTTATGGAATGCAACCCCAAATTCATATATTGAAACCCTAACCTCCACTGTGATGGTAGTTGGAGGTGGGACCGCTGGCGGGTAGTGAGTTGATCATGAGGATGGAGCCCCCAGGATGGGATTAGTGTTTTTTATAAAAAGAGATTAGTGTGCTCTCCTTCCTCCCAACCCCTTCTCTGTCAAGTGAGGATACAACAAAAAGATAGCCACTTGCCAACCAGAAAGAGGGCTTTCACCAGACACGAAATCTGTCAGCAACTTGATCTCAGACTTGCCAGGCTGCAGAATGATGAGAAATAAATGTTTGTTGTTGAAGCCACCCAGTCTATGGTATTCATTATAGCAGCTCAAACAGACTAAGATGCAAATCAATATAAAACACTCTGTGAAAAAAAAGAAATGCTTTCAATATTTTCCAGTGAAAAAGAACTCATAATAAGGATTTGACATTGTTTGACAGGAAGGAAGGCTTCTGTTTCTAGTTTTTTAGTTAACTTGACAGTGAAGTTCAAGTTTGACAGTTTAAACTTTCTTTGGTTTGAAATCATCATTGCCAGGTGGGGGAAGAGGAAGCAGGACCCACACAGGACTCAGGAGGGCATTTAGGTCATTCTACCCAGGCCATTGCCATTCTCTTCCTACTCCTCTGAAAGAAAGGGAGGCTTTGACGTCAGGCGTGGGTGAGTCATCTTTCCTCCCAGGGCCTCCGGCTGGAATTTGCAGGCTGTCTTTGCAGCAGCTATTCTGTTAGTCATTCACAAAAAAGCATCCTGGAAAAGCTGAAGGGAAATGCTTGGATGGACAAGTGATTAAATTTCTATTTTCATGGCAGAGAACCTGCTGGCTTGCTCACAAAAGCAGCTGCATCCAGTACCAGGCACCCCAAGGGCACCCGGTAAATACTTGTGGATTCATTGACGAAAAGATCTGCTGGGTTCTCTTAAATCTTGGTGTTGAAACTGAATTTTCAGATACGATTATGTGACTGGTAGATAAGGTTTTGTGCCTATTTACTTCTCCATGCTCAAATGTCAAATCAAATTTATTGGGTTTACATAAAGAGGTTAGTAACATTGCTGGCCCTACTATCATGAACATTGTGAAAGGAAAATGAATAAGGCCCTTTCTGAAGCTTTATCTGCAGGGGTACATGTGTGGGATTCAATGGAAGGAAAGTTGAACTGTGAGCTAAGAATGATTGTCTCTTTTGCTCCAGGAAGCCCTCAGCAATCATTTGATCTTTTTTGAGAATCTGTTAGGGAAAAGAATAAAAATATCTCCTTACCTGCCAGAAATGCAGGGAAACAAGAATGAAGCAAAAGGAAGAGTATGAGTCCTACATCCTTCCAGCCTGAGACAGGATGTATCCTTATTGCTTTGCCTGCAGTGAACTGACAGGGAATCTGAGATGCACAGAGGCATGGTGAATTAGCCAGAGAAGTCTAGCAACTGCAGCCTGAGCCCTCTTCCCTTTTCCGTCTCTTAGGCGATCTCCACAGCTTTATACACGATCTACGTCCATGACTCTTAATTAGATTTCTATCTCTAGTCCTTCTCCTTCTTCACATATATAACTTTGTGCTTTACACTTTTATGTGAAGTTCTGGTAGGTATTTCAAACTTCACATTCGAACTCAAACTCATGACTTTCACCTCAAGCATGCTCCTCCCTTGTCTCCCTTAGGAGGGACTACCGTTTACAGTTATCTAAGCCAAAAAGTCTAGGCGTCATCCTTGAATCCTCTGTTCTTTTCATCCCCCATGAGATACAATTTGGTATTAAGACAAATTCTTTCTCTGTTTCTTTCTCTCTATTTCCACTGTGAATACCCTAGAATAAACCATGCTCCTTTCTCACTGGGTGGACAGCAGTCACTCTAGTCTCTCTTATTTTACTCTTGACTTCTATTGATATAGGAGTTAAGAAGAAATTACTTAGGCAGATAGTGAGGGTACTGGAGTCCTCGATAAGATTTTCCTTTTTAATGAAAAGCAGCCCCAAATCATTTTCTAACAAACAACAGCTTGTAAAATCAAGCTGCAGACATAGACAAGCAAGCTGGAAGATTGCAGGGATGAATCCCAGTAGAAAAGCACTATCTGGGACTAGGCATGTTCAAAATGGCAGCTTCATCTTCCCTTCCCTTTGCCAGCCACGTGTACAGTAAGGAGCAGACAAGATGGCACCAGCCAAGTTGAAAGCCCATTTGCATAATAAGATAGGCAGGATGGGGGTGGTGACCAGCCTTCTCCGCATGCCATGTAAACATCACACCTGATCGAACCAATCTGTGAGCCCTATGTAAATCAGACACTGCCTTCTCAAGCCTGCCTATAAAATCCAGTGAACTCTGCTGCCGACCAGTCTTTTCTCTCCGCAGCACTTCTCTCTCACTGGAGAGAGAACTGTTCTCCTTTCTCTTTCTTCTGCCTATTAAGCCTCTGCTCCTAAACTCCTCATGTGTGTCTGTGTCCTAAATTTTCCTGGCATGGCAGGACAAACCCCGGGTATTTACCACAGACAACAAAACCGCTTCACTATGATGTATGCATGCTGCAAAGGAAGGTTCGTATAAAATTCTTCTTAAAAAATTATTCAGGCAGCCGGGCGCGGTGGCTCACGCCTGTAATCCCAGCACTTTGGGAGGCCGAGGCGGGCGGATCACGAGGTCAGGAGATCCAGACCATCCTGGCTAACATGGTGAAACCCCGTCTCTACTAAAAATACAAAAAAATTAGCCGGGCGTGGTGGTGGGCGCCTGTAGTCCCAGCAAGCTACTCGGGAGGGTGAGGCAGGAGAATGGCGGGAACCCGGGAGGCGTAGCTTGCAGTGAGCCGAGATGGCGCCACTGCACTCCAGGCTGGGTGACAGAGCGAGACTCCATCTAAAAAAAAAAAAAAAAAAATTATTCAGGCAATTTATTAAATATTACCTATAAAATATTATGTATCTGTATTTTACATAAGAAAACAATGATTTATTGGTCTTCATAACAACTGGTCCATGCAACAATACTAAGTAGTCAACACTAAGCTCAACTCTATTTTCAGACCAACGATGCAACTTTAGATTAGAGGACATGTGGGATCTTGCATCCTAATTCCTAAATTTACAGTCAAAATGTTTTCAGAGATAAGTATTATGAAATCCATGAGAAGCTAAAATAATTTATTTATTTATTTATTTACTTTGAGATGGAGTCTTGCTCTTGTCACCCAGGCTGGCATGCAATGGCGTGATCTCAGCTCACTGCAACCTCCGCCTCCAGGGTTAAGCAATTCTCCTGCCTCAGCCTCCAAGTAGCTGTGATTAAGGCGTGTGCCACCACACTGAGCTAATTTTTGTATTTTTAGTAAAGCCGAGGTTTCACCATGTTGACCAGGCTGGTCTCAAACTCCTGACCTCAGGTAATCCACCCACCTCGGCCTCGCAAAGTGTTGGGATTACAGGCGTGAGCCACCGCACCTAGCTCTACCTCTTCTGAAGTTGTTTCTTTTCTGTCTCTTAGATCTCAGCCCTAAGGTCCCTTCCCTGAGAAGGCATTTCTGGGTACCCTTTCTAAAGCAGCGGTCTCTGTGGCTCCCTCAGTCCTTGTGCATCATATCATTGTTTAATTCGTTTGTAAAATTAACCACATACTGAAACTATCCATCTTATTTATTTACTTGTTTATTATATCTCCACTATCTCTTGCTTCTTTCCAAGTAAGTTGTGACCTCCATGTGAATGAGGGCTTTGTCCTTCTTAAAAGAGGCAATTATGGAGCAGTGATTAAGCTCTCACACTCTGGAAGCAGATTTCTTGGATTCATAGCCCAATTTTGCCACTTGCTAGGTATTTGACCTAAAATAATTGTTTGACCTCTCTGTTCCTCTCTCTTCTCATTAGTAAAATGACAGCAGTAAAAAGACCTGCCTCATGAAATTGTTGTAAAAAGCTCACTCCCTGCAAGTTATCCCTGGCGCAAGGCACATACTCAGCAAATGTTGGCTGCCACTGTTGATGACTGTACAGTACCTGCTTAACACGTATTAATAGCGTGAACAGGCCGGGCGTGGTGGCTTATGCCTGTAATCCCAGCACTTCGGGAGGCTGAGGTGGGTGGATCAACTGATGTTAGGATTTCGAGCCCAGCTTGGCCAACGTGGTGAAACCCTGTCTCTACTAAAAATGCAAAAATTAGCTGGGCGGGGTGGCGGGTGCCTGTAATCCCAGCTACTCGGGAGGCTGAGGCGGGAGAATCGCTTGAACCCGGGAGGTGGAGGTTGCAGTGAGCCGAGGTTGCACCATTGCACTCCAGCCTGGGTGACAGAGCGAGACTCTGTCTCAAAAAATAAAAATAAATAAATAAATAAATAGAGTGAACAATAAATTAGTTTTATTATTCAAGGAACACTTCTGCTCTGTCATGGAACATTTTTGGGAATATGCATAGGGGCTGAGAGAACAGGCGAGCTGTCCTCGGAAACCTCTTTGGATGATGGCTGGGCAGAACTGCAGCTCTGCAGAGAGAGATGCGAGCCAGTGTGTGGAAATGGAAAATGATCATAATAGAAGCCAGAGTTTGTATTTTGTACCGATTCTGTGCTAAGTGCTGTGACCCATTTTTCTATTTTGCCTTTCAAAAATTACTAATCCATTTGTGTGAAGTTTATTATGAAACACTTCTTAGGGCTCCTGGTTACAGCAACCTTCCTGATACTACAGAAACGGCACACGACCCATTCCCTGCTGGAACATGCCTTAGCTTCTACTCCATGCCTGGTTAGGAACTGCCCATCTTCAGCTCCCAACTGAAATGGCATTGCCTTAGTGAAGCCTCAGTTGACCCTGGCAAGATGTTCCAGCTTTCCCTGGAATATTAGTTCTTCATGCCTTCTACCTTGCCTTTCTGGCATATATCACACCTTACATTAATTCGAATGACTAATTAGTCTCTTTCTTTCTTTCTTTTTTTTTTTTTTTTGAGACAGTCTCATTCGCTCTGTCGCCCAGGCTAGAGTGTAGTGGTGGGATCTCTGCTCATTGCAACCTCTGCCTCCTGGGTTCAAGTGATTCTCCTGCTTCAGTCTCCCAAGTAGCTGGGATTAAAGGTGCATGCCACGATGCCTGGCTAATTTCTTGTATTTTTAGCAGAGATGGGGTTTCACCATGTTGGCCAGGCTGGTCTCGAGCTCCTGACCTCACATGATCCACCTGCCTCAGCCTCCCAAAGTGCTGGGATTACAGGCATGAGCCAGGGCGCCCGTCCCATTGGCTTTATTTCTTCAGAGTCTGGTTCAACAACAACAACAAAAGCCAGGAAATTCAAGATAAAAGAAACATTAAGCAGAAGTATTTTAATGACCACTTGATGAAAAAAGTCATTCAGCACTTCGTTATTCTTATTAAAATGAGAATGACTTTTTCATTTTATTTTATTTTTTAGAGACAGAATCTTGCTCTATCACCCAGCTGGAGTGCAGTGGCACCATTGCAGCTTACTGCAGCCTCAAACTCCTGGCTCAAGGGATCCTTCAGCTTCAGCCTCCTGGTTAACTAGGACTATAGGTGAGCACCATCATGCCCTGCTAATTTCTTAATTTTTTGTAGAGATGGAGTTTTGGTATGTTGCCCAGGCTAAGAATAACTTTAATCCATCATGAGCTATACTACTGGTTTACAATTTTTGATTATTTATGCCAATGTTTTCCAGTAGGGCTTCGTAGAAAATTAACTGGAAGTCTGATGAAATTCAGAGAGTAAAAAAAAGAAAAGAAAAAAATCACACTGATGATATCTTGGCAAAAGTAGGGAAATGACCAAAAGAAGCTATTGTTTTACCCACTCAATTTATGGTCTATGAAAAGCAGAACTGCTTCTGAAACCACCTTTGCAAAATTATGACTGAGACAGTGAAAGAGATCTAACTTAATTGACTCCATCTTGCCTCTAACCTCCAAGCTGTTCTTGTTCATTCCTGGGTGTAGGCTAAACTAACTTTGGGACAGACTCAGTTTATAGTTTATAGTTTAAAACAAAGATGATAACAGCCCTTTCCCAAAGCAGACCTCCTTCTTGCCTGGGGACTAGACTGCCTTTGTAAGACTGACAAATTAGCCACAAGATTAGAAATTAAGGTTTAGGAGTCATGCAACTGGAGGCTACAAGATTCTGACCCCCACTAAACTGCTCCTAAGATCAGGGCTTGAGATATTTTGCAGACCCTGCACTTGATGGATCAGCTGGCACCACCCAGATTGATTAACTGGCTCATCTGATCTTGTGGCCCCCACCCAGGAACTGACACAGCACAGGAAGACAGCTTTGACTCCCTGTGATTTCATTGCTGACCTGACCAATCAGCACTCCTGGCTCACTGGGCTCCCCCACCCATCAAGTTGTCCTTAAATACCCTGCTTCCCAAATGTTGGGGAGACTGATTTGAGTAATAATAAAACTCCAAAAAAAAAAACAGAAACAAAAACAAAAACAAAACAAAACAATCCACCACCAACAAAAAAACCCTCCAGTCTCCCGCACAGCTGGCTCTGCGTCAATTACTCTTTCTCTATTGCAATTCTCCTGTCTTGATAAATGGGCTCTGTGTAGGCAGCAGGCAAGGTGATCCCTTGGGCAGTTACACTTCTGATGGGAGAGATCAGAATAATCAATGAGAAGTTTTAATTCAAGGACAAATTGTAAGACACTTATTAAGTCCAATTGTGAAGAGACCTATTTCAAATAGAATGTAATGCCACATCTCTTGTCTGGAATTTGATTTTTTCCTACCTTTAACAAATGAATATTTCAAGGAGGGATAAGATTTTTCATAAGTGTGTATGAAAGGTATATTTACCATTTGAGATTAGATGTTAAGAAGAATAAACTGAAATTACATTATTGATAAAGTTACTGCAAGATCTTTTAATATGAATTGAGTCATACGGGAAAGTTTGCAAAAGAAAAATCTTGTGAACCAATGTTCAGCTTGAAAAATATGAGCTTATCTGAAGGGCTGAAAATGGAAGAAGAGAGTAACACATGAGAATAAAAATGAAACAAAAAAAGAACTTTAGAATGAAAGGGAAGTGTATTTTAACATCTCCATCCTTTCAATTTTTTTTTTTTTTTTTTTTTTTTGGGACTGAGTCTCGCTCTATCACCCAGGCTGGAGCACACTGGCATGATCTCAGCTCACTGCAACCTCCGCCTCCCAGGTTCAAGCAATTCTGGTGCCTCAGCCTCCCAAGTAGCTGGGATTACAGGCGCCCTCCACTGTGCCCGGCTAATTTTTGTATTTTTAGTAGAGATGGGGTTTCACCGTGTTGGCCAGGTTGGTCTCAAACTGCTGACCTCAAGTGATCCGCTTGCCTCAGCCTCCCAAAGTGTTGGGATTACAGGTGTGAAACACCACATCCGGCCTCCATCCTTTAAATTTTTTTAAAGTCTCCTCTTTTGTTCTTTTTATGTCTTTAACGTTTTAATTTATATATGTAACTCAATAACTTTATTTCTTTTACAGAAAAGCATCTTTTTGAATTCTGTATCTAAAGCAGTCAGTTTTGGTAAACTATATTTTCCTAGAAAATTCTCCATTTCATCTAGTTTTTCAAAGGTATTTGTACAGAGGTCTGAAAAGTAGTCTCATTAAAAATTTTTTCTATTTGAATTATTATTTCTGCTATGTCATTAATTTTATGTATTTGTACTTGGCTTTTTTTTCCCCTCAGTTAGGTTAGCTAGTGCTGTAACCATCCAACGGATTCACCTTGCCTGCAGGTAGCCAATTTATCAAGACAGGGGAATTGCAATAGAGAAAGAGTAATTCACGCAGAGCCGGCTGTGTGGGAGACTGGAGTTTTATTATTACTCAAATCAGTCTCCCTGAGCATTTGGGGATCAGAGCTTTTAAGGACAACTTGGTGGGTCAGGGGAAGCCAGTGAGCCGGGAATGCTGATTGGTCAGGTGAGAGATGAAATCATGAGAAGTTGAAGCTGTCCACTTGTGCTGAGTGAGTTTCTGTGTTAGGGCCTCAAGATCAGATGAGCCAGTTAATCAATCTGGGTGGTGCCAGCTGATCCATCAAGTGCAGGGTCTGCAAGATACCTCAAGCACTGATCTTAGGAGCAGTTTGCGGGGGTCAGAATCTTGTAATCTCCAGCTGCATGAGGCCTAAACCGTAATTTCTAATCTTGTGGCTAATTTGTTAGTCCTACAAAGGCAGTCTAGTCTCCAGGCAAGAAGGAGGTTTGTTTTGGGAAAGGGCTGTTATTGTCTTTGTTTTAAACTATAAGCTAAGTTCCTCCCAAAGTTTGTTCAGCCTACACCCAGGAAGGAACAAGGACAGCTTAAAAGTTAGAACCAAGGTGGAGTTGGTGAGGTTAGCTCTCTTTCACTGTCTCAGTCATAATTTTGCAAAGGTGGTTTCAGTGCTTTGTCTATTTTGTTGATACTAGAAACAAACAATATTTTGTTTTCCTAATTAGATCCACTGTTTTCTGTTGTCTCGCTCATCGATTTCTGTTTTCATATTTGTTAGTTTTATGAAAGAAGTTAGAATTAAAATCAAGCCACTTATGTCAGACCCTGACAAAATGGAGCCAGGGAAGGCCATGAAGGGAGGGTTCTTGTGCCTGATATGAAGACTTTCACAAAAGACTGCAAAAACCACACTTTGCACGAAGGCCATTGGAACCTTACACAGAAAATATTTTTGTGAGAACATCTTCCCAGCAACTGCTTGTCCCACCTCGGACCAACACTACCCTTGTTATCGATCCTTGTAGCCAAGGATAATTGTTTCAGAGACACAGATGTAAGT
The DNA here is from genome assembly GCF_000001405.40 of Homo sapiens. Classification (NCBI taxonomy): domain Eukaryota; kingdom Metazoa; phylum Chordata; class Mammalia; order Primates; family Hominidae; genus Homo; species Homo sapiens. Next base: position 223,717,618 of record NC_000002.12, on the reverse strand, counting down.
GTTTTTGATTTAAAAACCCTTCTCTTCCTTTACCTCTGTGAATACGTTCATAGTTTACTATGGCACAGTGTTCCACATTAAAATGCCCACTCCCAAATAAACTTATGCCTTTTTAAAAATAAAATAAAAAATAAAATAAAATAAAATAAACACAAGTTCTCACTCTGTCACCCAGGCTGGAGTGCAGTGATGTGATCATGGCTTACTGCAGCCTTGACCTCCCAGGCTCAGGTGATCCTCCCATCTCGGCCTCCCAAAGTGCTGGGATTACAGGCATGAACCACTGTGTCCAGCCAAACTTATCTTTGGAGTATTGTAACCGAGCGAGTTATAGAGAAATGCCACACTCTGAGACTAATTCAGGAGTCCTTTATTGCTGGTGACCGAGAGACGGCTAGAGCTCAAAATTCTCTTGGCCCCAAAGAAGGGGCTAGATTTTCTTTTATACCTTGGTCTAAAAGGGGAGCGGGGAGCCTAGCTGAAGCAATTTTTACAGAAGCAGAACAGGCAAAAAGTTAAAAAAAAATTAATGGTTACAGAGATAGTTACAGAAAAATAAGCAGTTCCAGGTGCAGGGGCTTTAACTGTCACAAAGAGATAATGCAGGTGCTTTGGGTACCATCCACCGAGCACATCCCCAGGAGCTGCTGGTACAGCTTGCCTCAATATCTTATCAGTAAGTGCATCCTGGGTGTGCTTGGAGTTAGCTTGCACTAGTTATGCCCTTAAGGGAGGGGGGTAAGGGGGACTGCAAGTGACGAAACTAAAATGGGTCCAGCTTTCTCAGCTAAGGGAGACAATCAGGTTAAAACAAGGTAGGGTATCACAGGAGAATCTCTATTATTTAGGTTGACTTTTTTATAAGTACTGTGTGCTAACCAGTTGCACCACTAGAGCCACTGACTTGTGCTATATTTTAGTTTACTTTGTTGTTGTTGTTGCTGTTATTGTTTAGCTTTTATGAGTTGGGAATTTAGTTTTAAAGCAAATTCTTTCCTTTATATTGATAAAGCATTTGAGGCTATGAATTTTCCTCTGATAACAGCTTTAAATATAGCCCATAGATTCTGAAATGCAGCATTTTCATTATTATTAATTTTCATTATCATAAATTATCATAAAATGTATAATTTTCATTATCAATAATAACAAAACATAATTATCTCAGTTGCAAATTTCCTTTTTAACTAATAGCTGTTTAGAAGTATTTTTCAGTTTAAAGTTTTTATTTTATTTTTAAAAAATTTTATTGAGATGTGACTTACAAATTAGAAATTGTGTATATTTAAGTTATACAACATGGCATTTTCATATAAGTATACATTATGTAATGATTCCCACAATCAAACTAATTAATACATTCATCACCTTGCATAGTTATTAATATTTGTGTGTATGTGTGGTAAGAACACTTAAAATCTACTCCCTTAATAAATTTCAAGTATTATATTTATTATTAACTATGTTTGCCATGTTATACTGTACTCTAGAACTTTTATTCATCTTATAACTGAAACTTGTACTCTTTGACCAACATGTCTCCATTTATTTTGAAATTATTTTTATTTTTATAAAAAAGTTGCAGTGATAGTACAGAGAGTTTTCATATACGCTTCAGCCAGTTTCTCCTATTGTTTATAGGAGACTATCTTATGTTATCATGGTACATCTGTCAAAACTAAGAATCAACATTGGTACATTACTGTGGACTATTCTCAAGACTTTATTTGGATTTAATTTTCCCATTAATGTTCTCTTTCTGTTCTGGGATCTAATCCAGGGTGCCAAATCGCATTTAATTGTCAAGTATCTTTAGTCTACTCTGGTCTGTGACAGTTAAATGGTTTTTTAATGTCCCAAAAGAAGGGCCTTTTAGCTTTTTTTTTGAGACAGAGTTTCGCTCTTGTTGCTTAGGCTGGAGTGCAATGGCGTGATCTCGGCTCACTGCAGCTTCTGCCTCCCGGATTCAAGTGATTCTCCTGCCTCAGCCTCCCGAGTAGCTGGGATTACAGGCTCCTGCCACCACGGCTGGCTAATTTTTGTATTTTTGTAGAGATGGAGTTTCACCATGTTGGCCAGGCCGGTCTTGAACTCCTGAGCTCAAGTGATCCACCTGCCTCAGCCTCCCAAAGTGCTGGGATTACAAGTGTGAGCCACCGTGCCTTAACATTCAATATTAAGTTGGAGCCATCAGTTTTAGATAATTGTGGCTGGAGCTTGGAAAAGAATTACTAACAACTTTTAGATTTTTCTGTACTTTCATCTTCTTCTAGTATCAATTTCCATGGAAATTCAACCATTCATACACCAATTAATTCTACCATTCATTTATCTATCCATACTATGATTATTAAATCTTATGCGGTACCTAAACACACCACACCCTTTTGTGTTATTTCTGTTCTTTTCTACACGCTCTTCCCACTGATTGGAGCACCCCTCTGACTCACTGGCTAACTGCTACTTTTTGTTCAAAAATCAGCTGAGAGGGCAACTCATCTGTGAATTTTTTCTTGACTTCCCTCCTCCCAGGCTGGGTTAGGTGCCTCCCTATCTCTTTTTTTACTTAAATTTTTTTTCTTTATTATTTCTTTATTTTTTTGAGATGGAGTTTCACTTCTTGTCGCCCAGGCTGGAGTGCAATGGTGCGATCTAGGCTCACTGCAACCTCTGCCTGCTGGGTTTAAGCAATTCTCCTGTCTCAGCCTCCCAAGTAGCTGGGATTACAGGAGTGCACCACCATGCCCAGCTAATTTTTTGTATTTTTAGTAGAGACGGGGGTTCACCATGTTGGCCAGGCTGGTCTCAAACTCCTGACCTCAGGTGATCCACCCACCTTGATCTCCCAAGGTGTTGGGATAACAGGCGTGAGCCACCAGGCCTGGCCTTTTTTCTTATTTTCATTTTACATGCATAATCTTTTAAAGTGCCCTTCTTTATACCATCTCTTTGCATGACATTCAAAGCTTCCTAATAAATCTGATCAAAAATTATTTTCCAGCCTAGTCTCTTACTGTACTCTATCACAAGTTTATAGGCAGAATGGCATAGTAGTTGAGAAAGGGCTCTGATATCAGACTGCTGCGACTAAAGTCTTGGTTCTACTATTCCTAGTTGTGTGACTGTAGGCGAACTACCTAACTCTGAGCCTGTTTCCTGATCCACAGGAGATTATAATATCACCATCCTCTTGATAAAATCAGGCGCTATGATAAAACAAGGTAATCCACTTAGGAAGTTGTCCTACACATAGTAAATACTCTACAGATTAGCCATTGTTGTTGTTAGTAACAGTAATAGTAATAGTGAATCTCATGTTGGACTTTGCTTGTTTTTTCCTAAACTCTAATTGACATTGGAAGCCCCAAATCTGAAGTACAAGAACTTACTACCATGTTAAAGTTCAACCTAGAGATTAGCACATTTGGCTCAGGATATCTGTGGATTCTGCAACTGTAGATTCAACTAATCATGGACTGAAAATATTAAGACTAAAAGAACAATACAACAATAAAAATAATATAAATTAAAAATTACAGTGTGATAATAATATAAATTGAAAAATATAGTATGACAACTATAGGCATAGCATTTACATTGCATTACATAGTATAAGTAATCTAGAGATGATTTAAAGTGTATGGGAGGATGTGTGTAAGTTATATGCAAATACTACATTTTTTATATAAGGTAGTTGAGCATCCATGGATTTTAGTATCCTTGGGGGTCCTGGAACCAATCCCCTCCCATACTGAGGAAGGACTGTACACAGAAAAAATCAAGATTTACATAGTGATATAGGGGAGGAGGCAGTGGACTCAAACCTGTGAAAAATGTCAAAAATGGGTTAGAGCTTAGAAAAACACTGAAGAATAAGAATAAGGTTTATTTTTATGTTTGCAGAGATCAATCAGGCCAGAAAAGACATTGGAATCAACATAGGATTAGCATAGATTAGAAAATTACATGAAGAACTATTTCAAGTTATCCTTAAACAAGGCACTAAATTAGATTATATGGAGATTTATTTTAAGGGACTAAAAGAAAACATCAAAATGTATTGGTTGCTTTATTTCATTTCATAAATCAAATTACGGATGTAGTATAGTACATGTATTTTATGTTTCAGCTAAGGAAAAATCCTTAGGTAATTCACATATTCTGATGTGAATTTTATTTACATTTTTTTTTTTCAGATGGAGTCTCACTCTATTGCCCAGGCTGGAGAGCAGTGGCAGGATCTTGGCTCACTGCAACCTCCACCTCCCAGGTTCAAGCAATTCTCTTACCTCAGCCTCCCGAGTAGCTGGGATTACAGGCACGTGACACCATGCTCAGCTAATTTTTGTATTTTTAGTAGAGGCGAGGTTTCACCATGTTGGCCAGGCTGGTCTTGAACTCCTGACCTCAAGTGATCCACCCGTGTTGGTCTTCTGAAGTGCTGGGATTCAGGCGTGAGCCATCACGCCCGGCCTATTCACATATTCTGATGTGAATTTTATTTCACAAATGCCAAGTATTTGTGAAATAAAATGATTGGATGGGCTGAGCTCCACAGCCGACTATGATCTTTAAGATTACCTCTACCTCTGATATTCTATGACATTAAAAAAAACCTTCATTTCCCTAAGAAAATTTCTATGGTAGAGTAGGAATAGTAACACAGCAATATCCTTCTTAATGAGCTTTCCTCAGTGGAAGGTCACTTAGAGTTTAATGGGATTAATTTGGCTGACATGTTCAATTTTAAAAGGAATTTCTGTGCTTGTGCCAGCCAGCATGGATCTTGATAGGCAGAAGAGCTCAGATCCTGCCAATTTCACACAGGAGTACAGCTCCTTAAGTCATGACTCTGGCTGAGAAGTTGCCCACAGATGTTGGTTGCTGAGATGAAGAATCCATGGTGCAAAGAGAGGTTCCTGGGCTCCCATGTTGAGCAAATCCTGCTTGTTCTTCAGGCTGTACCAGCCCTGACTCTGGGATCCTCTTCCCAATCTATAATGAAAGGGTAAACAGATTTAGGGGGCATCAGTGTTTCTCTACCTTGGAACTTACGCAGAGGTAAAAACAAGTTTTGTTTTGTTTTGAGACAGGGTTCACTCTGTCACCCAGACTGGAGTGCAGTGGTGTGATCTTGGCTCACCACAACCTCTGCCTCCCAGATTCAAGTGATTCTCCTGCCTCAGCCTCCTGTGTAGCTGGGACTACAGGCATATGCCACCACACCTGGCTCATTTTTGTATTTTTAGTAGAGATGGGGTTTTGCCATGTTGGCCAGGCTGGTCTCGAACTCCTGGCCTCAGGTGATCTGCCCACCTAGGCCTCCCCATGACCCACTGCGCCTGACCTGAGGACAGATTTTATACTAAATAGTTTCATTCCAAAAGGTAAAGCAAAATCTTTCTATCACAGATGCAGCCTTGGCAGCCCCGTCATGTCCCCTCTCCTCTCTGACCCTTCCTGCATCTTCAGGATCAAGTGGGGATCAGCTTTCTGTTGGTGGTGCTCGTGTTCTCAGCAGCAACTGCTCTTTTATCTTCCCTCCTAAGAGGCAGGGCCATTCCTTTTTTAACTCTAGGAGCTTTTAAGTTTTTGCATTTTATGAGCAAGGAATGGCCTTGAGGACTGAGGACAGGGAAACTACAAATAATTCGGGTCAACCCAGTAGAAGCAGATCCCACTGGGGTTCCAAATAGCTTTTGCCCTTGCACTAGAAAATATCTCCAACTAGCTAGGCAGATTCCATTTTTATCTTTTCTCTAAAGCTGTGGGTGAAGGACAGCATACCAGAATAGACCAGGTATTGATTCACGGAACGCATTTCTGTAACTGCCGTGTTTTTGAACATTGAACTTAATCGATTTGAAAAGGCCTTGGCAAGAAATAGAGGCATGGTAATGCCATCAAACTACCTACTGGCCTGGAAGTAGGTAGTACCTGGCTCTGGAAGGCAATATTGAACTGGTTAAGACTTAAGCTGTAGACTCAGACTCTGTTTTTATTGAGACCCCACTTATTATACATATATGTGTTACCTAGGACAGGTACTTAATTTCTCTATACCTTAGTCTTCCCACTGTATGTTCTCACTTGTAAGTGGGAGCTAAAAAGTGTGTACACATGAACACAGAGAGTGGAAAAATAGATACTGGAGACTTGGAAAAGTGGGAGGCGGGGTGAGGGATAAGAAGTTCTCTAATGGGTACAGTGTACACTAGGCAGGTAATGTTTACGCTAAAAGCCCACACTTTATGACCACGCAATATATCCATGTAACCAAACTGCACCTGTACCCCTTAAATCTGTATTTTAAAAAACACCAAAAATCCCATCCCCAATAGTATCTACCTCACAGAGTTATGATCAGGATTATTTATTTATTTATTTTGAGACAGGGCCTCAGACACCCAGGCTGGAGTGCAGTGGCACAATCTCAGCTCACTGCAACCTCTGCTTCCTGGGTTCAAGCGATTCTCCTGCCTCAGCCTCCCCAGTAGCTGGGATTACAGGTGCCCACCACTACCTCCGGCTACTTTTTGTATTGTTAGTAGAGACAGGGATGTCATTATATTGGCCAGGCTGGTCTTGAACTCCTGACCTCAAGTGATCCACCTGCCTTGGCCTCCCAAAGTGTTGGGATTACAGGCGTGAGCCACTGCAACTGGCAGATGAAGTAATTTAAATGTTCAATACACATCAGTTATTATTAAGGCACAGACAAATCTTCTTTACCTCTGTACTCCTTATCCTTGGATCTAAGCTTCTTGGGGCTCCAAGTTAAATATTTTATAGCCTACATTAGATTGGAGGAAGGGGTGAGGGAAAGAAAAAGCAAGCTCACAGACACTTTGCGAAGAAAAAAATAGTCAGGGTAAGGTAAATCCTTTGATGAGGGGTGAGGGTGGAATCAAAGATAATTTTTAGGTTTGGAACTTCAGAGACAAAGAAGATGGTCATACTATAGAGTGCACAGTGCAGAGAGAAAAATGTTTTGAGATAAACATACGGAGTTTAATTGCTGATATGTTGACATTGGTGCATTGATGGGGCATCTAGCTCAAAATAACAAGCGGGCAAATGCAGAAATTGGGAAAATGCATTTTTTTGTTTACTTCTAGAAATTACTAAAAGAAACAATATAATATAACTTTATTGACTTCATTTTTAGATACTTTTCTCTGGATTTGGAGTAGTGTATAATTTCTTTAATTTTGCCCACCAGCATTTGAAGGCATTTTAAATTAAACTTTTAAATTATGATTTTGGAGGAACTTTACATTATAATTTTGGCAAGGGATACATTTTGTTGTGTTCCCCTAAGAATTTTACCCTTATCTAAATATGTTTTGATCTTTATTTTAACTTAAATAGCAGAGTTTACATTTTCTTGGCACCTGGGCATTCTGACTACGAAGCAGTGTGTTCATTTCTTATTGCTTCATTGATTAGCAACTCAGAAATCTCCCAAAATGGAAGTCCATTAGGAAAATCTGCCCCTTTTAAAAGAGATGTTCTGAGAATAATCCTATTAGGCTAGAAGCCTGCTAAACTTACAACTCTAAACACATATTTCTACAAAGGAAAAAAATCCAAATAGAGTGAATGACAAGTAAATGTTGATAGAAAATGTATATTTAACTTCAGGAAATAATAATCACATTCTATTCAAAAGTCAGTTTTATGCCAGCAAATATTTGATGACCTTTTAAGATCTAATCTTGACATTTAGATAAAAAGTAAAAAAAAATCAGTCAACTTTAAATATTAGGATCAAAGTGTTCTTTAAAATAGTCATATACTTTTTTTAAAAAAGAGGAAAAGTCATCTTTTATATATTTGCATACATTTAGTAACTCTGATGCTCTTTATTATTTCCTAAAGATTTAGATTTTCATCTGGTTTCATTTTCCTTCCACCTAAAGAAATCCTTTTAGCATTTTTGACAGTGCAGGTCTGTAGGTTATGAAATCTTTTCTCTTATCTGAAAGACAATAGTTTCATCCTAAAGAGATATTTTTTCCTCTTATCTGAAAATGTCTTTATTTGACCTTGATTTTTTAAGGATATTTTTGCTGAAGATAAAATTTTGCATTGAATTAAAAAAATTGTTTCAGCATTTTAGCCATACATTGTCCTCTGGCCTCCAGTGTTTCTGATGAGAAGTCGGTGGTTTGATTCTCGTTCCTTTGTATGCAGAGCGTGCTATTTTCTTTGTCTGCTGTTAAGATTTTCTCTTTTTGGCCGGGTGTGGTGGCTCACGCCTGTAATCTCAGCACTTTGGTAGGCCGAGGATCACTTGAGATCGCGGAGTCAAAATGACGTTTCACTTCATTTTTTTTCCCTGCTTTTCTCCCCCTCCAGTGCTCTCGGTTGTTTTTTTGTACCATGTTCAGAGTTTATAGTTGTTAATTACTGGAGGGTTGGTCTGATAGGAGCTAGTCAATGATACTGAAAGATGAACTGTACTGCCCCTTTCCTCACTCCCCAGAAAAAGGAATGGTTGTTCGCATTAAATCCATCATCTTGAGCACTCTCACTCTTCTTTTATCTAATGTTCCCCTTTTTTTCTCTGTTGCTTTCCTGAAGTAGAGAGTGATTTTGTATAAGTGTAGGATAAAATGTTTGAGCAGATGACAAGAAAGTCTCCATTCTGAGTCTCTGTTCTTTCCAAATTATTAAACTGCAGGGAATTTGCCCATATCCCTGGGCAGGTAACACTACACAAGAGGGAGTGGGTTGAGCATATTATGTATATAGATGTGAAATACAGCTGGAGTTTGAATTGCAGAGATTCTTTGAAATCTGCTGCTTCCCCTTATGCCAGGAAGACTAACATTAACTCTTTTATTGGACAACCAAAGGTGACGAGTATAAGAAAATAAATTTATAAAAAATATTAAATTAAATTGGTATATGTAGAGCATTTTCATTTTTACTTTTTATTTTTTTAAATTTCCACTTTTATTATAGATTAAAAGGTAAACGTGCAAGTTTGTTACATGGATAAATTGTGTGACGCTGAGGCTTGGGGTTCCGACGCTCTTGTTACCCAGGCAGTGAGCATAGTTAAATTGTGTTTAGATGAACATGTACTCCAAGAAATTTCTTAGAAAAAGGGACATGTGGCTGGGCATGGTGGTTCATGCCTGTAATCTCAGCACTTTGGGAGGCTGAGGCAGGAGGATCACTTGAGGCCAGGAGTTCGAGACCAGCCTGGCCAACATGGTGAAACCTCATCTCTACTAAAAGTACAAAAATTAGTCGGGCATGGAGGTGTGCACCTGTAATCCCAGCTATTTGGGAGGCTGAGGCATGAGAATCGCTTGAACCCGAGAGGTGGAGGCTGCAGTGAGCCGAGATGATGCCACTGCACTCCAGCCTGGGCAACAGAGTGAGACTCTGCTTCCCCCCTAAAAAAAAAAAAGAAAGAAAAGTAAAGAAAAAGTGCCATGTGGTTTAATAAATTTGAAAAAACGTTTGGGGAATAGAAATATAGATTATTGCTGCATACAAATTATAGATTTATCAAGATTAGGAAAACAATACAGTCCTGTTAGCACTGGTAAACTATGCTGAACATGCTTATTCTTTCTTGGATGATTCAGAAGTCACGTTGAGATCCTTTTGAGTCTTGGTTTCTCTTTCTACATTCTGTGGTTAGATATTTTCATCTATTTCCATGCTTTAAATGGCATCTATAAGCTGATGTCTCCCAGATTTATCTCTTTGGTGTAAACCTCTTCTCTGAGTGCAACAGTCTATAAGGCAGTTCTACTTTTTTTTTTTTTGAGATGGAGTCTCACTCTGTTGCCCAGGCTGGGGTGCAGTGGTGCGATCTTGGCTCACTGCAATCTCCGCCTCCTGGGTTCAAGCAATTCTCCAATTTTGTCCTCCCGAGTAGCTGGGATTATAGGCATGCACCATCATGCCCAGCTAATTTTTATATTTTCAGTAGAGACACTGTTTCTCTATATTGGCCAGGCTGGTCTCAAACTCCTGACCTCAGGTGATCCACCTGCCTTGGCCTCCCAAAATGCTGGGATTACAGGCATGAGTCATCATGTCTGGCCAGGCAGTTCTACTTTTATGTTTCATAGACATTTCAAAAGTAACATTTCAATCCAGAATTTTTAATTCTATCTTTCATCAAATATATTCTTACCCAGTCTTTCTCATTGCAATAAGTGGCATCAGCATTTTCTCATGCTGGAAAACATGGAGTTGACACTGATTCCCCACTTATATCTAATCTATTAGTGGGTCCTGTTTGCTGTCGTTTCTCTTTCAGAACATATCTTGAACTCATCTATCAGTCCAAGATACTAATATCAATTATAAAGATGGAGGGAAAATATTCATCACGTTGTTTTCTGAGAAACTGGAGTCTTAAAAATTATTCTCATGCCTTAAGTTTGCTGTTTTATATTGTTCACTCCTTCATTATTATCTGCATTAATGAAGTATAGGAACTGTAAGATGCCTTGTGATAATTTAGATCAGAATCTGGTCAGAAAGCTATGGCCGTAGTAAATAAAGTTTTATTAGAGCACAGGAAAGCCTGTTCTTTTATATGTGGTAACAGGTTGTTTTCCTGTTACAACAGCAGAGTTGGTGAGTTGTGACAGAGGTTGTATCATCCACCTTGCCTGAAATCCATACTATTTGATTTTTCATAGACAAGGCCAATTTGCCAATTCTTGATTTGAATAAATGTGATAATACTTTAAAAATATGAAGCTGTAGTGTAAAAATTAAATTAGTGAATGTTTGGGTCATTATCATTTCTTTTTTCTACACCAGATCAGCTTATACTTCTCAGGGGATATCAAGGCATGAGAATCATGAATGGAAAATAAGAGATGAACATCTATTTTCTCTTTTTTTGTTGGAGTCTTGCTCTGTCGCCCAGGCTGGAGTGCAGTGGCACGATCTCGGCTCACTGCAACCTCTGCCTCAAGTGATTCCCCTACCTCAGCCTCCCAAGTAGCTGGGACTACAGGTGCACGCTGTAATAACAGCCAGCTAATTTTTGTATTTTTAGTAGAGAGGAAGTTTCACCATGTTGGCCAGGTTGGTCTCTAACTCCTGACCTCAGGTGATCTGCCCACCTCAGCCTCCCAAAGTGCTGGGATTACAGGAGTGAGCTACCACGCCCAGCTGTCTTTTCTTTTTTTAAAGGAAAGCATTTGACAATATTATTATAATTGTGTTGGATATAAAATATTTAATTTCCTCTGGATGGCCAAATCTCCCAGATATGAAACCTGCGGAAGGCAGAAGTGAGCTTGGAGGACTAGGATGGAGAGAGGTTACTATCCACCAGCATCTGGGGAGCCCAAGGCTTCCCCCAGGACTCTCCTGAGCCTGTGTATCCCTGGAGACCTTTTGAGTATCTTCTGCACCCTTTAACCCCACCCCTAAGTCCTGGGAGAAACGGGCCACATTGAGACATGGGACAGGACCAGATATGCTTGACAGAAAGGCTAGGGGTGGCTTTGAGGCCCAGTTAATATTCCAAAGTAGTAACTTTAGCAAAATTGTATTGGTGTTGAGAAAAATAAAAAATTTCAAGTATGTGGTGCTGTGGCACGCCTGCCTCTGCCACGCAGCACCGCAGCCTGTGGGAACTGAGAAGGCAGGAATTGAGAGGGAGGCTGCTTTCCCAACACCAACAGAGCAGAGGAGGAAGGAGGTGATGGAATATGAGGCTAGGAGAAGAACCTGGTAGCCTTGCCCTGAGATGGCCAGAAAACCCTTGGCCTCACCTTGGACTGAACGGGCAGCCCTAGTTTAAGCACAAGGTAGTCAGTCTTTCACTCTTCATGGCTGTGGCAATATTTCTTCTTACTCTTTTTCTCCAGCTACTGCCAAAATGGCCAAACTTAGGCCAAATGTTGCCCAAGAGACCAAAACAGAGGCAAACAGTCTCCAAATATATGTAGATCATGAGCAGAAATCTGAGGCTTGGAGAAAGGGCTGAGAAGCCGTGAGCTCTTTGAGGTGTCAAGGGCAGACTCCCATCCCAAGGACTTCCATGGGGAGGGGAAGGACTGGGTAAGTTTGAATTTTATGGTCAATATAGTAAATTAATCAAAAGCTTTCACAAAACAAACACCCCAGCCCTTCTGAAGATACAATGGGGCTGAAAAAACACAAACACCAAGCGAAACTGACCAAGGTGAGCTGTTGCAGTTCAGTCTCATGGGTCCAGCTGCTCAGTGGCCAAATAGAGACTCAAGGGCCTCTTGTTTGCTGTTCTGCAGGTTTACAAGAACTGGTCAGTAAAGCTGGTTTTTCAATTGGTGCTGGATGCCAATCACGATCTCCCATGGCCTGTGGCTTGCAGTGCTCCTCAATCTATCTGAAGACACAGGCTGACAGCTCCTAGAAGTTGGTCACAGAGATGAAGACATTGAAGGACTGGAACAGGGAGTTCGTGATACCTCGAAACACACTGACCTTGACTTGGTCAGAGGCCTGGTCCTCCCCTCATGGGGGTTGTCCTGGTGTGCCTTCACAATCTGCTTATAGTTCCCTTTCATGATCTTTAGGGCTGTGAGGTCCTTGCATAGTGTGGACACCTCCTCCTCCTGCATTTTCTTCTCCTTGTGCAAAAACTGAGTGTAGTCAATGGTCTTTTGTAGAACGATGGCTTTGCTGAGCTTTCGGGAGCCAATGCAGGAGTCCTGCTGCTGGCATGTGGGGATGATGGTCTGAAGGTCATCACAGCCTCTCTTGATGACATCCTTCCTCTTCTGCTCAGCCTCAGTGTGTGCTCACCACTACTGGTCCTTGTAGGACTCTTGGTGGTAATCACTGTCCTCCTCATCTGTGTTGGGGATGGAAGAGGCACTGGTGGAACCGATGCTATTAGCTCTAGACACTACTGTCCCATTGTGGGTGCTTTCTATAAAATACGTGAGGTCTGAGCTTTTGTAGCTGTAGATGTACTCCACCTTTACCCAGGGGTCTTTGGGAGAGGCACCTGGCTCCATCGTCTTGGACCTACTGGACCAGAAACAAGCCCTATTTTATTTTCTACCTGCCGAAAAGAACTATACATTTTGCTAACACCTCCAGGTGATGATGGTTGATCAAATATTGTAAATAAACATAAATATATTCAATGTTTGATCTTGCATATTGAAACTAATTCTTCTCTCTTTTTCTAATTATACTTTCTAATTATACATAAGACAATAGTTGATGGTAGAAAGTATGAGTGACATGGGTCAAAATATCTACGTACCAGGTTCAAATATGTCTCTCATTAAATTTATGACCTTGATCAAGTTGCTTAAACTCTCTGATCCTCAATTTCTCCATCAGTGAGATTGAGACTAAAAACATTGAATCATAGTTTGTACAAAGAAGTGCTGGGTAAGATGGTATGTTTGTGGAATCTTTTTTATTTTATTTATTTATTTAGTTAGTTTTTTTTTTTTTAGAGACAGTCTTGCTCTATCCCCCTGAAGTGCAGTGGTGCGATCTCAGTTCACTGCAACCTCTGCCTCCCAAGTTCAAGTGATTTTCATGCCTCGGCCTCCCCAGTAGCTGGGACTACAGGTGCCTCTCACCACGCCTAGATAATTTTTGTATTTTTAGTAGAGACAGGATTTCGCCATGTTGGCCAGGCTGGTCTTGAACTCCTGACCTCAAGTGATCTGCCTGCCTTGATCTCCCAAAGTGTTGGGATTACAGGCATGAGCCACTGCACCCAGCCTGTTTGTAGAATCTTATACAGATTTTGGCTCCTAGTATTATTTCTTGGATTACATATAACATTTTGTATTGTAATAAAAGGAAGAACTCTAAAATTTGACCAGTGTTAATAGGTACGAATGGAGAGCCACAAAATTAAAAACGCAGAGCTTTATCTCACAGGCACATACACATCCACTCCAGATATATTAAACAATTGTATTAGTATGCTAAAATAATAAAACAGTAGGGAAATATTTTTATAAATATTGAAATGGGGAAGACCTTCCCAGGAAAAGCCTCAAACACAGAAACCATAAAGGGAAATATTGATGTATTTGAATACATACAATTTTTAAATTTTAGAATCATAAAATATACCATGAACATAGTTAAAAGACTTTGAGAAAACTGGAGAAAATATTTGCAGATGGAGACAGAGAATGAACACCCACGAAATAGAAGGTGCTATTAAAAATCAGTGAGAGAAGAAAAATAACCCAATACAAAAAATGAAGAAAGGATTTGAACAGAATCCCACTGCACCAAATGTCTAATAATAATGATCATAAAAAGATGCTTAATTCACTCACAAATAGAAATACAAATTAAACTGAATTATCATGTTTCACCCAAACTAGTGAAAACATAAGCGTTGATAGTATTTAGTATTTAGATGTGGGGAAAGGTCTTATACTGTGTGGGAATGTGAGTTGGTATGGGAAATTGGTAAATTTCCCAAATGGTAAATTGAGGGAACTTTGTCAGTTACTGGTAAAATTTAAAATGTGCATGCTCTCTAAAGAACAATTTTTTTTTTCTTTGAGATGGAGTCTTGCTCTGTTGCCCAGGCTGGAGTGCAGTGGTGTGATCTTGGCTTACTGCAAGCTTGGCCTCCTGGGTTCACGCCATTCTCCTGCCTCAGCCTCCCGAGTAGCTGGGACTACAGGCGCCTGCCACCACGCCCGGCTAATTGTTTTGTGCTTTTTAGTAGAGACGGGGTTTCACTGTGTTAGCCAGGATGGTCTCAATCTCTTGACCTCATGATCTGCCTGCCTTGGCCTCCCAAAGTGCTGAGATTACAGGCGTGAGCCACCGCACCCTGCCTAAGGAACAATTTTACTTTTAGAAATCTTCCCTTCAGAAATACATAAAATAAAAATAGTAATCACTACCTTAATAATAACTTCCATTTCTTGAACACTTGATGCGAGTCACGGTACTGTGTACTTTGCATGCTATCTCATTCAAATCTCATGACAATCTTGAGAGACACTGAGAGGGAGACAGAAGACAAACCAAAGCATAAGTATAGTGATAAAATAAGTAATTTTTGTGTGTGCATACTTTAATTCTTAAATTGCTATCAAGAATGCATATTGTTATTAGCCGGGTGTGGTGGCAGGTGCTTGTAATCCCAGTTACTCAGGAAGCTGAGGCAGGAGAATAGCTTGAACCTAGGAGGCGGAGGTTGCAGTGAGCCAAGGTCACACCCCTGTACTCCAGCCTGGGTGATAGACCGAGACTCTGTATCAAAAAAAAAAAAAAATGCATCTCGCTTTTGTGATTATGTATATTAATTGTTATATAATAAAAGAATATTATGGAAAATGAAATTCATAAAGAACAAATGTGTTAAATACCATTTTGATTTTAACAATGGATGGAATATGTTGGGAGATACCCAAGGACAATACAAGTTCAAACTTTGGATAAGTTACTATGTTATTGGGAAGAGAAGATGAAATGTTTTGAACAACCTGAGACAATTTATACCAATTGCTAAATCATCTGGTGTATATAGCTTGTTGCCATAGCAATCCAGAGTAGGGAGCCCAGTATATACTTGTTTCTGTGACAGGCAGTCTCTAATTCTTGCTACCCTGAATTTCTCTGGTTGATATATCTGATGCTGCCCATATAGTCTCATTCCATTTGTCTGCTTGAGCAGCTGACTCGTCAGTTTCTTCTGGTTTAAATTTAAATCTGTATTGTTCCTTTCCAATTAAGATCACCACCTAGAGTAACTGCTGACTACATGGAGATTATAGAAAAAAGTGGTGCTTTTAACTGTAAGGTTTTCTGACCCCATTTCTAGAAATACACTTCATCAATAAGTAGAACTTTCCTTTATTGTCTATAAATGGCAGTACAACATACTGGTTAAGAGCACAGACTCTGAACTAGACTTGAAATACTGGCAGCGCCACTTTCCAGCTGTGTGACATTGGCAATTTACTTAACCTCTGACTTTTAATCTCTTCATTCTTAATATGGAGATAATAATAATGGTATCCTCAGGCCGTGTGCAGTGGCTCACGCCTATAATCCCAGCTCTTTGGGAGGTGGAGGGGGGAGGATCACCTGAGGTCAGGAGTTTGAGACCAGCCTGGCCAACATGGTGAAACCCTGTCTCCACTAATAATACAAAAATTAGCCTGGCATGGTGGCACGGACCTGTAACCCTAGTTACTTGGGAGGCTGAGGCAGGAGAATTGCTTGGTGCCACTGCACTCCAGCCTGGGCGACAGAGTGAGACCCTGTCTCAAAATAAATAAAAATAAATAGATAAATAAATAAATAAAACAATGGCACTCTTATGTGGTTGAAGATTGAGTCCATATATGTAAGGTACCTTAAATGACAATGTATCTGGCACATGGTAAATGTTCTATAAGTACTTACTACTAGAAATAGGCACCTTAATTAAATATTTCTACCTCTTTTGTTTTATTTTATTTTATTTTATTTTTTTTTGAGACAGAGTCTTGCTATGTCACCCAGGCTGGAGTGCAGTGGCATGATCTCAGCTCACTGCAACCTCTGCCTCTTGGGTTCAAGCAATTCTCCTGCCTCAGCCTCCCGAGTAGCTGGTACTACAGGCGCCCGCCATCACATCCGGCTAATTTCTGTATTTTTAGTAGAGATGAGGTTTTGCCATGTTGGCCAGGCTGGTCTTGAACTCCTGATCTCAGGTGATCCACCCACCTTGGCCCCCCAAAGTGCTGGGATTACAGGCATAAGCCACGGCGCCCAGCCAATATTTCTACCTTTTGGGGTTGCTTCCTCATCATGGAATTAATACTTGCTTATGGAGGCTGTTTCCTCTTTATAAACAGTACCCCTCACTTGTAGCTCCATTCTGAAAAATTCTGACAGATAATTCAGCAGACTAAACGATCAAATCACCCTGGCACGTTCCCCTCAGCTGGGCTCTGCAGGGCAGCTAAGATTGGGCACTGATGTTCCTGGCTTCAGTCCTACCCGGGTTATGCAGCTACGGCTTCATACATACACCAGTTGCACTAACTTGGGATGAAAATTAAGTTAAAACCAGTAGAAAATTTCATCCTATGTTTTGGTGGTAAAAGAAGCAAATGAACAAATGAATAGAGGCTGCCAAACAGTTGTCTCACCAACTGTTCCGACTAGCTAACAAGATTAGCTAGGTCATACCTAGTCGTAAAAGAATACTATAAGAACTCAGAAATTCGACATATTTCTACTACTTGCTTGTCATGTAGATAAACAGATTAAAAGAACCATAAAAAAACAAAGAGAAAATAATAGTAGGATTAGAGAGCATGTTATCATCTCATGGGCTCACTTGGCCTTAGAAAGAGGTGTTTATCCATCATGAATATGAATCCAGGGGTCTGAATGGATATAAGAGAACCAAATGTAACAGAAATTTAATATCATTTTTTCCCCTGAGATGAAACATTTTACATTTTCCAGTTTATTAGATAAAATTACTAAACATGTTCTAGACCCTGGAGTTGTAGATTTTATGATGTTGGCTGCTGTGGAGTGGCCATGACTGGTTTTTCAAATTGTTAATTTGATTTCTTTTTAATACATATGGATTTACGTGACCCATGGCAAGAGATTGTAGATTATTTCATTGTATTTATGAGTTTCCTGTAATTTTAGCAAGTTCCATTGTCAATGCAGATGTTTACTCAAAAGAAGAAGAAGAAGAATAAAATCTAAAACCAAGAAAATGCTTTTGAGAATGAATTTCACTATAAGTTTGAATTCAAAGTCATGGAGTTGAGAAATGTATTTTATGTTGGAAAATAAAGATCTCAATAATAGACATAGCATTCACTAACTTCACTTCTCCATTTTCAATAAACAATGTCAGATTGGCTGAGTGTGATGCTGAAGCTCAAACAACTAAATACACCATCTTATGACTCATTTCCTTTAGTGAGTCACTGAGTCATAACACGTCTTTGTTCATTCAGTTCTACGCAAAAGGTCTCAATAAACTCCAAAGTACCTTATGTTCTTTGTGACTAGGTAGGGAGGTATATAATGACATTCCCATTTTCTTTATTCTTTTCTTTTTTTTTTTGAGATGGAGTCTCACTCTGTCTCCAGGCTGGAGTGCAGTGGCCCGATCTCGGCTTGCTGCAACCTCCGCCTCCTGGGTTCAAGTGATTCTTCTGCCTCAGACTCCCGAGTAGCTGGTATTACAGCCATGTGCCACCATGCCCAGCTAATTTTTGTATTTTTAGTAGAGATGGGGTTTCACCATGTTGGCCAGGATTGTCTCGATCTCTTGAGCTCGTGATCTGCCCGCCTTGGCCTCCCAAAGTGTTGGGATTACAGGCGTGAGCCACAACGCCCAGCCCCCATTTTCTTTTAAATATATATTAAGTAACTTTGATGGGCAGCCCATAAAATACCATTAAATGTTGACTAGATAGTTTGGGTGGTACAACTTCTCTTTTTTCTCACTTTCCTTTCTTATAAACTCTTTCTCCTTCAAACTCTTTCTAGCCTTCACATTAACTTTTCTGCCTCCAGTATAACCCAAGTAAACAAATCTTGGTTGGAACCAGTTTTGCCTATGCCTGAGATCAAGTTTTAAAATGGGGTCAAAAATATACTGCCTTTCAATGGTTACTTTCCTTTACTTACCTGACAATTACTTCACCTGCTTCCCAAATTCAGTTTCCAAATCAAAATAATAATTTTCTCCTCTGTGCTTGTGCTTGTTTGTCATGAGCAAAAACTGCCCCTTCATCAGAACGAATCCATTTGGAGGTAAGAAATAACCTCTGGGAAAGGATAAGCTCTGGGCCAAAATAGCTTCAGCCTTGGCTTGTTCCAAGAGTCTATACAAAGTCATTTTGGAGAATACATCCCAGAGTTTCTCCTTCTTTAGGACAGGGATGACATTATTTTGTGAACCTGTAAAATCCTTGAATGACAATCAGAAGCATAGCCAGGGGAAGATGAGGGAGGATATGTAGTTGTTCTCCTTAGCACATTGTTCAAATGTGGATTCTTTTTCAACAACACATTTCTGAAGAGTAACATGTGAATAGGTAAGGCTATGCTGAGAACATGTTAGAAAAAGCAAGACTGTGAGGTGGAGAGAAGGTAGTCATGGGGGTGAGGGGATATACTTATGTTGTTCTACCTACCAAGGACACAGATCGCTTGCCCTCAGCCCAGCCTGGCCCCAAGAATAGCTCCCCCTAAAGTTAGAATCTAGTTGTGCTTTAAATGACAACATGGTTGCACAAAGTCATAGATGATCTACTGCTCGTATCAGACAAGTGGAAATCTCTGCTCCCAAATGCAGGTGGTGAATCACCCCTGGAAGCTGCTATGTCAAAAAGAATGACCCTCCAGGCCCCAGACCCAAGTGGGTGCTCTGCTTTGTTCTTTGTCGGACAACTCCCATCGTCCTCCTGTGACTATTTTCTCTGCTTTTGTAAAATGCACTTTTGTGTGTGTGCTGGATAAAACCAGTCTCCCAGCTCCTCCTGAATGATTCCAGTATTGATGAGAAAGTGGTTTATTTCTAAACCCCAGAGGTCAGATCATAGCGTTCTCGAGACTGAGTCATAAAATCAAAGTTAAATGCGTTACCTGTTCCTTAATGAAAAGCATGGGTATGAGACCTCCCAGTAGTTCACATGATTCATGAGAAATAAATGAAAAGGACAGCCTTATGGAATAGTACCAATTCAAATGATCTTTCCTTCTCCTGGTAATTACAAGGCCTCAATCTCATTAAGGCCAACATATTCAATGAAGGAAGATCAGTTTCTATGGAGAGTCATTTCCTTTAAATAGATGAGCTAATAACTGGTACTAATGATAAACATCTTTTAGCTATGGAAATTATACTTTTCATTTAGTAGTTTTTTTCCAGTGTGCTACACTCTCTAACGTATCCAGTGTCTCAACGTGCTCATAAGGTTAGCAGCCATGTGGATAATCACCCTTGTTCTAGAGAGCAGGAGCCTGAGAAAAAGAAAAGTTGGAAAATATTATCTAGGGATGACATACATGGGATGGAAAGTGATAAAATATTAGGTCTGTGACTTTATAATTAAAATTCACCAAATTCTTTCAGAGCCTTTAAAAATAACACATTCTTTCTATTTGACATGTTGCCATTACCTCATGATGGCATTCACCAATAATTTCATCTTGCATCTGGAGATCCTAAGAATAGTTCTAAAAGGTAAAGGAGTTTCATTAATAATTAAATTTCATAATAAGAAACAGACTAAGATATTTCTTTCTTTCTCTCTTGGAAACAGATCAGCTTACAATGCTAAGTAAAATGTGGTCCAAAGATACAATCAGAACTACTATGCATAATTATAGTGTCTATGTTTGTCAAGTTCTGAAAATGTTTGAATGAGTCTGAAGAGTTTCAGTCTCTTCAAGAAGTATTTGTTCACTATAAAAATTCAGTTTGACTGCTAGCCAGGGTCATTTATCAGAAGTAATTTGTGAATAAAGTAATATGATTTGATATAAAAACACCAGAAGACTAGGCCATGCTTGCTTGGTGCTAAAGTATTTATGTGAGAAAGATTCTAGGGGAACCAAGGATGGAATCCACATTTTCTGTCAAGTTGAAAGTTCTTTCTGATTAGGTAAAATGAAATCTCACTGAACAGAGGGCTGAGTACTACCTTAGTCATAGTTTGAATGACTTTAAGTGGAGAGGAGAGGAAAGGACAAGATTTCCTTGTTTAATTGAGAGTTGCTGTTGACAATGGAGAGTTGTTTCTCCAGCTGTCGTCTACTACCTGGGGTTATTGACCTTGGCTGCTCATCAGTCATCTGGGAAGCTTTTAAAAACAGATGTCTGAGCCTCACCTAGATCTATTGAATCAGAATTTCTGGATTCTAGATCTATTGAATCAGAGTTTAATCTGTAATTTGGAAAGCTCCAGTGGTTATTAGGAAGGGTAGCCTGACTTTAGAACGGATGTGCTAAACTTTTGTGGATGAGTGTGGGCAGCGGCCTACTGCTCTCTCCCCTTAGCCTTCAGTCCTAGGACATCTGAGTCTATGTGTTCTGAAACACTGGGTTTTCTCTGTGAACAGTTAAAAATCCTTCATGTTAAGGGTCCACAGCTTTCCCACTCCCCTGTTCTCTGCTTAGCTTCTTCCTGCTTCGTTCTCTTCTTAGAAGAGAAGGGGGAGAGTGCATTCTCTCTGGAGGGAAGGGAGAGCACTGGGGAGAGGAAAGAAGGACTCGAGGAACCTAGATGGTGGAGCAGGAGGACCTGGGTGAGACAGTTCTTTCTGGGATGGGGGTCTGGGGGCTGCAGAATGTGGGGTGTGGAATGAAAGGCTTCCACGATTAGACAGAGTGAAGTGGAGGTGGAGGTAGAGACTTGGGTACAACAGTTCATGCATTAGGCTTTGTAGACTAATCCTTGGACAATATTAAATATTTGAAAAGGAAGAAAAATGGAGACTTCAGTCATGCTTCTTTAAATGTGATTTCTCTCTGGAGTGGATAATGAGGAAGGTGGGATGCTTTATCAGTTAGAAATGCTGAAAGCATGTGTGGGCTTCTTAACAATATCAAAGATCCAGGTTTTTCCACTCTTTTACTCCATCAGCCTTAGCGTGTTGGCCTTTTGTGGCTATCCTTGCCCTTACACGGTCAGAAGAAGGCATCACAGCCGGTTTCAAGGCAGGAAGAAGAGGAAAACGGTAGCCAGGAACATGGAACTTGCAAAGTCCTTTTATGAAGAAACAAGATATTCTCAATCCCATTGGCAGACTACCCCTTTGAAGACTGGCTAAATTGGGTCCTGTTGCCCTTACCAGCTGTGAGGGAGCCTGCAAGAGGGAGTGTTGAGCTTTTCCAGCAGCTATAGCGGAAGGAAGGAAGGAAAGAAGGAAGGAAGGGGAGAAGGGCTAGAATTGCCTGTTGGGTAAGCTAACCAACAGTGCGTGCTATCAAGGGCTAGGCTGGGATGTCACAGCTTCATGGCCTTGCTCTGGAGTGACAGAAAGTGAGCTCCATCAAAAAAAACATGGAAACTACTGTTTCAGAACAGTGATTTTTGGGCCAGGCATGGTAGCTCATGCCTATAATCTCAGCACTTTGGGAAGCTGAGGTGGGAGGATCACTTGAGGCCAGGAGTTCGAGACCAGCCCGGCCAACATGGCAAAAACCTGTCTCTACTAAAAATACAAAAATTAGCCTGACTTGTGGCACACACCTGTAATCCCAGCTACTTGGGAGGCTGAGGCACAAGAATTGCTTGAACCTGGAAGGTAGAGGTTGCAGTGAGCTGTGATCATGCCACTGCACTCCAGTCTGGGTGACAGAGTGACAGCCTCCCCCTCCAAAAAAACAAAAAACAAAAACAAAAACAAAAAACCAAACAGAATACTGATTTTTAAGTTTTCAGTATCACTTGGAATGTATAGAAAGATGTCTGGGCCTCCATCCCACAGAGTTTGATTTAGTAGGTTTGGAGTAACACCTGGAGGTTTACATTGATTGATTGTTCATTAGAGACAGGGTCTTGCTCTGTTGCCCAGGCTGCAGTGCAGTGGAGTGATCACAGCTCACTGCAGCCTCAAACTCGTGGGCTCAGGTAATCCTCCCATCTCAGTCTCCCAAGTAGCTGAAACTATGGGCATGTGCCACCATACCTGGCTAATTTTTTGTAGAGATGGGGTTCTCACTGTGTTGCCTGGGCTGGTCGCGAACTCCTGGGCTCAAGTGATCCTCCCATTTCTGCCTCTGCCTCCCAAAGTGTTGGGATTGCAGGTGTGAGCCACCATGGCCAGGCATTTTACCCTTTTAGTAATCCTCTTAGATGATTCTGATGCAGCAGGACTGCGGCCCACTCATTCATAAAACTGGGAACACATTAGTTCAGTGGTTCTCAAACTTGCTGAATATTAGAATCACCAGGAGGTTTTAAAAATATCAATGGGCCCTTTTCCCAACTAATTAAATGAGAAAATCCGAGGTTGAGAGGTCAGCATCATTTAAGGCCTCCCAAGGTGATTTTAATATGCAGTCCGGGATGAGAATCATTGACAGACAGATTCTATTGACTAACAAGCTTCTTGCACAAACAGAGCAGCCAGGGACAGCTGGGGTAGCAGGAAGAAGGCACCAAATTCTCCATGCTGGCTCTTGGACATCTTTGAGAAGAGTGGATAGAGAGGAGAGAGTCAAACACACTCGCAAGCTTGGATAAGGTACGTAGCAACTGATGTGCAAGAAACAAATGGTGAAAGGTGAGGCATCTCAAAGTGGCTCAGTCTTTCATATGTTTAAATACTAATCTTTTGCTGGGCGCAGTGGCTCATGCCTGTAATCCTAGCACTTTGGGAGGCCGAGGAGGGTGGATCACCTGAGGTCAGGAGTTTGAGACCAGCCTGGCCAACATGGTGAAACCCTGTCTCTACTAAAGTTACAAAAAATTAACCAGGCGTGGTGATGGGCACATGTAATCCCCGCTACTTGGGAGGCTGAGGCAGGAGAATAGCTTGAACCTGGGGGGTGGAGGTTGCAGTGAGATGAGATTGTGCCACTTCACTCCAGCCTGGGCGAAAAAGCAAAATTCTGTCTCAAAAAAAAAAAAAAAAAAAAAAAAAAACAAAAACACACAAAAACAAAACAAAACAAAAAAAACCCCAAACCCAATTTTTTTATTTATTAAAATATTTTTTCTTTTCATTCCAAAGTAATTTCAAACTTACAGAAAAGTTGCAAGAATAGTACAAATAACCCATGTACCCTTTACCTAGATCGTCAATACTAAATATTTTACATCAACTTTATCCTGTCTCTCATCCCCTTCTATGTATATTTTCCATGTACATATTTTTTTCTGAACCATTTGAGAGTAGATGGCATATATCAGACCCCCTTTTCCCCTATGTCTTCAGTGTGTATTTATCTGAACTACAGTTCAGCTTCCAGTTTTGCTGTCTCAATACCCTTGGTACGAATGTGCTTTTCCTAGTACAGCTTCAGTCCAGGACCGTGTATTAGATTTAGTCATCTTGTGTTTGTAGTTACTTCCCTTTAATATGGAACAGTGCCTAAGCCTTTCTTTATCTATCAAGACATTTACATTTTTTTAAGAAAGAATAAGGGCCAATTTATTTTATAGAATGTCAATTACTTTAGATGCATGTGCTGTTTCCTTCTAATTTGCTTCACGTTATGCATTTTGGGCAGGAATGCTATGTGAGAGCTGTTATATTATTTTCGAGTATTACAATAGGAGATGTACCATGTCTGTCTGCCCCTTAGGGGAAACACAAAGGATACCTTTCCTTGCGAAGAACTATTCTGCCTGCTCTTAGGTCAACGTTTTCTTGCATTTTGATGACTTGGTTAAGGTGTTGTCCAGTTTCTTTCCTGTACAGATTTTTCATTGTAAAATATGTTTTATTTTGTTTTTAGTTGACACATAGGAATTGTGACTGGGGTACAGTGTGAAGTTTCGATACGTATACAGATTGTGTTGATAGACATGCTAATTATCCTCATTTCAATAATAATTTTGAAGCCGGGTGCGGTGGCTCACACCTGTAATCCCAGCACTTTGGGAGGCCAAGGTCGGTAGATCATTTCAGGTTAGGAGTTCGAAACTAGCCTGGCCAACATGGTGAAACCCTGTCTCTACTAAAAATACAAAAAAACGAGCCAGGTGTGATGGTGTGCACCTGTAATCCCAAGCTACTCGGGACAGTGAGGCACGAGAATTGCTTGAATCCAGGGGGCGGAGGTTGCAGTGAGCCAAGATCGCGCCACTACACTCCAGCCTGGGTGACAGAATGAGACTGTCTCAAAAATAATAATAATAATAATAATTTAAAAAATCACATCATTTGAAAAATGCTAGTTTTAGCAGGCATTTAAATATGGCTTTCAAGGTATTATGCCATGTGCTGTAATTTGTTCATAGAGCATACATTTGTTAATATTTATGTATATGTTCTGATTAAGTGCTTACTTTGCTCAGGAATACTGAAATATCGTTAAAAGTGAGAGTCTCTGGAATCCTCTGCGGTTCCCGTCTCTCTAGAGAGAAACTTCCCAGTTGGCTGCGATGCCACCTAGTGTAGACTGGATTATGCTGCATAACACTGGCTTGGAGGGATGCGAAGAGCCTCTCGCCTTCAGGGGCAGGTTTAGCAGATTAAAGAGGAGAATGTCAGATTCTCAACAGTAAATCTAGTGTCCTTCTGCTGGCAGATTGAGCATTTAAAAATATATGTGTAACTATCTATATAAGACACCTGCCTGGTATTCGGGAACAAGTGGCTTTTTGTGTGTGTGAGATAAATGTTGTCTGCACTGATAAGCTGAAGCTTCCAAAATGTCAGCCAAAGTGTTGAGAAATGAATTAGCTTGTGCCTGCTAAGTTTTAGTGTTCAGGAAGGCATTTGTTTATGCCTGCTACTGGCCCCGCTCTGTGGGGATGCACATTGCTAGGGCAGGAACACACTTTGGGGTGTTGCAGGTTGCAGCTTATTGGCAAGAAAAAAAAGCATGAAAAAGTGACTCTGCAGGAAGAAATTAAAAGAAGTGATTACAATTCTATTCCACAAACACAGTGAAGGCGCCAACTGTGTGCAAGGTAATGATCCTTGAGGAGAATGTGAAGATGAATAAGAAATACATCCCACCTTCAGTAGAAAAACACACATGGTGAATAATTAGGGAAAACAGAAGAGTTTTAGATATCATAAGGCATTTGAAAGTCATTCTAGGTAAATGACTTGCAAATTCAGAGGAGAAAAATTCATATTTCATCTTGGAATTTGGAGATAATTTTATTTATTTATTCATTTTTGAGACAGAGTCTTACTCTGTCACCCAGGCTGGAGTGTAGTGGCATGATCTCAGCTCAGAGAAAAATTCATATTTCATCTTGGAATTTGGAGATAATTTTATTTATTTATTCATTTTTGAGACAGAGTCTTACTCTGTCACCCAGGCTGGAGTGTAGTGGCATGATCTCAGCTCACTGCAACCTCCATCTCCCGGGTTCAAGTGATTCTCATGCCTCAGCCTCCTGAGTAGCTGGGATTACAGGCACATGCCACCACACCTGGCTAATTTTTGTATTTTTAGTAGAGACAGGGTTTCACCACATTGGTCAGGCTGGTCTTGAACTGCTGACCTCAATTGATCTGCCCGCCTCAGCCTCCCAAAGTGCTGGGATTACAGGCATGAGCCACCGCACCTGGCCAAGAATTTGGAAGTCATTTTAAATAAAGTAGTAGTCTTGGATGTGAGAACTGAGGCATGAAGTTATGCGCTGAATTGTGTCCCAGTTCCCAACTCATATGCTGAAGCCATGACCCTCAGTACCTCAAAATGTGAACCTATTTGGAAACAGGGTGGTGGCAGATGTAATTGGTCAAGAAGTCGTACTGTAGTAGAGTGGGCTCCTAATCCAATAGCACTGGTGTTTTATGAAAAAGGAAAATTTGGGCCAGGTGCGGTGGCTCATGCCTGTAATCTCAGCATTTTGGGAGGCCGAGGCGGGTAGATCACTTGAAGTCAGGAGTTTGAGACTGGCCTGACCAACATGGTGAAACCCTGTCTCTCTAAAATTATAAAAAAAAAATTCACTGGGCGTGGTGGCAGGTGCCTGTTTATCCCAGTTACTCAGGAGGCTGGGGCAGGAGAATTGCTTGAACCTGGGAGGCGGAGGTTGCAGTGAACCGAGATTGCGCCACTGCACTCTAGCCTGGGCGACAAGAGTGAAACTCCATCTCAAAAAAAAAAAAAAAAAAAAAGAAAAAGGAAATTTTGGAGACACACACACACAGGGAGAATTTCATGTGAACACGAAGGCAGGAATCAGGGATACATCTAGAAGCCTACGAATGCCAAAGGTTACCAGCAAACCACCAGAAGCTGGGTGAGAGGCAGGGAACAGGTCTTTCCCTCAAGCCCCCAGAAGGAATCAATCCTGCTGACATCTTGATCTCAGATGTCCAGCCTCCAGAACTGTGGGACAATGCGTTTCTGTTGTTTATGCCATCCGGTGTGTGGCATGGTGTTACAGCAGCCACAGGGAATCAATACACATGGGTATTGTTTGGACAGACAACAATTAGCAGAAAAGGTACACCTGATGGAGAGAACAGCATGAACAAAGACATGGGGGTAAAGGTATGGTCTGGTAACAGGTGTGAGGTAGCATGACAGAGGGTTAACATATGTTCAAGGGGGGAAGGTTAAGAGTGGCCAGAAAAGTAGGTTTGGGGAAGATTGTGAAGAGCCTTCGATTTTTTGTTAAAGGTTATGGCTCTTTTTTCTTTGGGTATTGAGGAACTGTTGAAGGATTCCAGTAGCGGGTGGGGTGGGATATTTAGACTCATCTAAGTTGCTTTTTTTTTTTTTTTTGAGATGGAGTCTTTCTCTGTCACCCAGTCTGGAGTGCAGTGGCTCGATCTCGGCTCACTGCAACCTCTGCCTCCCAGGTTCAAGCAGTTCTTCTACATCAGCCTCCTGAGTAGCTGGGATTACAGAGGCCCACCACCACCCCCAGCTAATTTTTTTTTTTTTTTTTGTATTTTTAGTGGAGACAAGGTTTCATCACGTTGGCCAGTCTGGTCTCAAACTCCTGACCTCAAGTGATCCACCTGCCTGGGCCTCCCAAAGTGCTGGGATTACAGGTGTGAGCCACCACACCCGGTCACATCTAAGTTATTTTTATCTACACAAAACACTTTTGGAGGAAAATATCTGAGAAAATGTTCATGTAACCTGGTGAGGAAACTGACAAATTCGCTTTGGCCTGTAAATGAGGGAGCCTTCTTTCTGTCCAATCCTGTGCGATTACATGGAAAACTGTTGTCTTACATCTCACCTTTAGCAAATGTCACTGTGCTGCTTTGCAGGTGTTTTCTAGCAGACCCACTGTCCCTTGACTGTACCATAAATGAATCACTCAAACATCTCAGACTCCTAGCTTCCTGCATATAGTTTGCAGATGTATAGAAGGGTTGGCCATCATAAGAGTTTAAAAGGAGAGTAATCATTTGAAGGACTGAAAGAAACATTTTTGCCTGTGGTACATCGCATTGTTCTTCAGTTCTCCTAATCTGTAAAACCAGGGTAATGGTACAGTAGGACATAGATGTGTTAGTCAGTGTTCTCCAGAGGAACAGAGCAAATATATATACTCATGTACATAGATGAAGAGATTTCTTATGAGGAATTGGCTCATGTGATTATGGAGGCTGAGAAGTCCCACAATCTGCCGGCTGGAGACCCAGGAAAGCCAGTGGTAGAAATCCCAGTCTAAACCCGAAGGTCCAAGAAACAAGGGGGCCAATGGTGGGAATCTAGTCTAAGGGCAGGAGAAGACCAATGTTCCAACTCAGGCAGGCCAGTGGGACAAAAAAGAGGCACATTCCTTTTTCCTCTGTCTTTGTGTTCTATTCAGGACCTCAACAGGTTGGATGATGCCCCCTATGTTGGAGAGGGCCATTGACTTTACCGAGTCCACTGATTCGAATGCTCATCTCATCTGGAAACACCGTCCCAGACACACCAAGAAACACTGTTTAATCTGGGCACCCCTGGGCCCAGTCAAGTTGACACATCAAGTTAACCGTCACACTATCTCATATGTTTGCTGTATTTCATATCTCATATTGAGCACTTAAAGCGTGCTCAATAAATATCAGGTATTATTATCACTGGTAAAACAAGTGGAGCTGGGATCCAAATCCCTATTTCTTATGCTCCAAATTTTGTGTTTTTTCTACCCCTCCACCCTGCCTCTATAAGTGGTGCTGATCTGTAACAATTATAGGCTTTTTGCTTCTCTCATTATCATTGCTTTTCTCTCCTGACACATGTTCAGCAGCAGCTTTCCATGCAAACCCCTCATTTGTGACAGACATTGACAACACTCAAGGGATCCTCCCGGCCTCAGAGAGGAGCAGTTGAGAGCTTCCAGTGCAGTAAACAAGCAGGAGGTGGGCTGACAGGGCGGGCAGCTGGTATCTCACACAATCGCAACAGTGATGGGTCTGAGCTGAGCAGACTGCTCTCTAGAGAGGCTGGAATCCCTGGGAAGTGGCAAATGCTTGCATGCAGTCAGGGGATTGCACATCGCTGCAGACAGCCTATCTGTGCAAGTGGATGAGAGAGGCTTTCTCTTAGGTGTCTCAAGAAGATCTCATCCTCAACACAAATTATGGCTTGAAAATAATAGCAACAGAACTGGTTAAAAATGAAACTTAACACCTGGCAAGAGGTGTATTCCTGCCAGAGGCTCTTTAAGTTGGCCTCTGCAAGTGACATTTCTAAGTAGGAGGATCTGTGCTTGGCATCCTTGCAGACAGTTGATTGCTTAAAGAGTTTCATATCCACTGTGACCAAAGTTCATAGAGAAAGCTGTACCTGGTAGTTCCATTATTTAAAAACAAAACACTCTATCATCATTTGAAATCTTTATTAGTCAGGAAAAGCTAGGTTATACAGCAATAGCAAGCATTCCCATATTAGTGGCTCTTACAATATTTTGTTTTGTTTTTGTTTTTCATTTGTTTTTTGAGACAGAGTTTTGCCCTTTTGCCCAGGCTGGAGTGAAGTCGTGCGATCTCGGCTCACTGCAACCTCTGCCCCCGAGCCGCTGCCACCCAGTTCAAGCGATTCTCTTGCCTCAGCCTCCTGAGTAGCTAGGATTATAGGCGCCCACCACCATGCCCAGCTAATTTTTTGTATTTTTAGTAGAGATGGGGTTTTGCCATGTTGGCCAGGCTGTTCTCAAACTCCTGGCCTCAGGCGATCCACCCGCCTCAGCCTCCTAAAGTGCCAGGATTACAAGCGTGAGCCACGGCACCTGACCACATGGTTTTATCACTTTCAGTTGACATAAATCCAGTAAATTTATAGCTCCTCTCATTCTTAGTAATATCTACTTTTTATTGAATATCTACAGTGTGGTAATCATAAGACAAATTTTATACACATACTATCTCCTTTAACCTAACTCTGGGAAGTAGGTATTAATCTCTTTTTTGAAGATGTGAAAATCGAGACTCAAGTTCAGTGAGTAGGTGGCTGACTGGGTTCTAGAACCAAGTTTTTCTAATGCTAACCTGTTATTTTACTACCACGTTACGCTGTTCTCTCAAACTCTGAGATTTTTACTTTTAAATATATATTCACTAATGTTGTCTCTTTAATATTCCTAGGAGAAAAGGAGATACAAATATCATTATTCCACCATAGAGACTTGCAAATCAAGGTGTAAGAGATTATATACTTTATCTTGGCTGACCCAGGATAAAGAAGATAAAATCTTGATCAGTGCTTTTACATCAGAATCACCTTGTGGAAATGCAGATTCCAAGGCTCCCTGAATTGGGCCTGGGGGATTCTCATTCTGCTATTAAAAGAAGGGCACTTTGGGACTCACTGACCTGGGCCTTCAACTCCTATCTCAGGACTGTTGCCACTAGGCCCTGCTGTCAGCTGAAAACCCCTTGGGGAGGGCAAGGTTGAAACTCAGTAACATCGCTGATGCTTTTGCCCAGAAAGAATGCCTGAATTTGAAGGTTGAATGTGAAAGCATCATAGAATTGCTGATTAAACTCCAATTGCAGCATCAGCTATGTGGGAATAAACTGTCAACATCTACAGCATATTCAAATCTACATTTCTGAGAAGGCAATTAGCCTAATTAGTTTAGTAATGAATAATATTAACCTTTAAAATATCATAGAGTCCACAATGCCAGTTTACTTCTGTTTCCTAACTAAATATGTCATTTGATATTGAGAAGAAAGTGGTGTCTTTAGAGAATAACTCAAAACAACAGCTCAGTTAGGTGGGATAGGGGACTGAAATAATGTTGAACTAGTTATTTGAGATTTTTCCTCCACCACTGGGATACATCTTAGGTCTAAAACAATATTGATCTAATCCCTGAAGATAGGGGCTCATTAAAAAAAATTATCTATGTATCTATGTACTAAAAAATATCTGTGTCCGGGGCCTATTTTGTACAGTGATCCCATGGTATCTGCCAGGGATTAAGTTCTAAGACCTCCACAGATACTAAAATCACAGATGCTTAAGCCCTTTATATAATATAGCCACAGTTATTTGCATATAACCTATTCACTTCTGTATATTTTAAATCATTTCTAGATTACTTATAATACCTAATAAAATATAAATGCTATATATATATATATAAAAGAAAAATCCTATGGGTTATTTAAATCATTTTTATTTCAAATATGGCTGTTTCAGCACCGTGGCAAGGGCAAGGTTGCTTTAAAGCAAAAGTTATATATTTTGATTTTTTCTGCAATGTCATTGGATGGTTGTGGATTCATTTACCAAAAGATCATTGGATTGTGTCATTTTTACTTCCTAAGTCAGAGTTTCTAAATCAGCTTTTAAAAGCAGGGAACTTTTAAAACATGCAGATTCTTTGGCCCACCCTAGGAATCTGCATTTTAATCTACTCCCTGGTTCTTTTTTTTTTTTTTTTTTTTGAGGTGGAGTCCCGCTCTGTTGTCTAGGCTGGAGTGCAGTGGTGCGATCTCAGCTCACTGAAACCTCTGCTTCTCGGGTTCAAGTGATTTGCCTCAGCCCCCTGAGTAGCTGAAATTACAGGAACATGCCACCATGCCCTGCTAATTTTTGTATTTTTAGTAGAGATGTGGTCTCACCATGTTGGCCAGGCAGGTCTCAAACTCCTGACCTCAGGTGATCTGCCTGCCTCGGCCTCCCAAAATGCTGGGATTACAAGTGTGAGCCACCGCGCCTGGCCCCTGGTTTATTTTTTATGGAAGCAATTTAGTGCCCCCTCACAGCCCACCACTTCCCTCTGAGTTAATGACTCCCAAACACTTGCCAATAACACCCATTAGGTCATGCAGTGTTTACCTGGAAGCTTTGTGTTAGCCAGATTCTGTCCAGCCTTAAACCGACTCTTCATCACAACAAAGCTTACAGCTTTCAATTAGTTAATTTATTTGGTATCCCAAAAATTCTAATTTTGCTTTTCCAGTAGCAGTGATCCATTGTGACCTAGTAGGTACAACTCAGTCATTTTTCTGGGTTTAAAAGAGCGAATATATTTCTGTGTACAGCAGACCAAAGAGATTAATGATGGAAAACGGGAAATGAGACTTTCATCCAGAAGATACAAACCTTACTTGGTGTCTACAATGAGTGGACTGGGACTTGAGAAAAGAGGACATCACCTGCCCAGAAATTTAGCTTTGCCCTTTTTATCTCAGACTTGTTAGCAAAATCACTGGTTTCTGCCTTTTTAGTATTTTTCCACATTTGAGAGATGAGACATACATAATCCCGTGTGTGGGAAATCAGAAGCAGTGCATACTCATAACTTCCCTAGCCCTTTGAGGGCCATCAGAGGAGGCTATTTTACTACTGATTTAATATTTCAGAAGCACAGTAAGTCACTTCCTCTAAGATGTGGCCAGATGTACGTGTTTTAATATTCTTTAAAAGTTTGCAACAGAGAAATAATTAAATGAGTGTTAGAATGCCTAACAACAGGTTATACTGCTAGAACCTAGAAATTCTACATGTAATATAGATAGTATGATATATAATGAAATATAAAATGTTAACATAAAATACAGCACAATTTTTATATAATATGACACTGTCCTGCCCCCAGATTAGAAATCTGTTAGAGTTCACAGATTGATTTGAAATCCAGTTTCTTGGAACTTGGAAAAACACCTTATTTCTTATATTATTATATTATATTTATTATTGTATTATAATATATATACTTTATATTATAAGAATACTATCCTATGATATTGTATTTTGTTATATAGCAATATTTAACTTGTCATAACCTATTATTATATCATTGTCTCCTGATATTACAAAAGATAATTAACTCCATGGTTAGCCCACATAGCTATTGGTTTTTCATTTATGTTTCTGAAATAGTTTATATTTGGCAACAGCATTTTCTATCATTTTTCATTTCTTCTACCTGGTAGCACAGTTAAGCTACAAGCTAAATATGCTTTGATGTTATCATTGAGACACATAACTAATAGTTATTATGTGATTATAATGAAAAATGTCCTGTCGTGACAACAGAATGTAGTTGCTTGAGAAAAATTTCTTCCTCTCGAGGGGAGTGGGCAGATGTTTAGCTCTTTGGACTAAGGGATCCCCCATGTGGCATGGTCCTGCCATATGTATGTGTAGATAATTAAAAGTTCTGTATTTATAAACAATGGAGAATCTTCCTTAATATTGATAATGATAATTATAAAAACAAGAATAACAGCCACTAAGTGCTTATTATACATAGGCACTGTATTAAGACCTTAAAATACTTTGTCTCACTAATGACAACTTTATGAGGTGGCTACTGAGATAATTAAGACTTGGGGAGGTTAGTGACTTGTCCAGAGTCATTGAGCAAAGGGTTTTAATACAGCCTGACTCTGTCAAAAGCCTAAGTGCTTCTCCAAAGGGCTCTAAAATCTGCTTACAGTTCTATTAAAAATATAAAATATTCAAATTGTCTATTCTGTGCAAAAATGGTAAGTGAAATAAGAATTTAGGAAAAAAAATTCCAGATCTTTCTGTTGTTGTTTTTTTAAGACAGAGTCTTGCTCTGTTGCCCAGGCTGGAGAGCTGTGGCACAATCATAGCTCATTATAGCCTTGACCTCCCAGGCTCAAGTGATCCTCCTACCTCAGCCTCCCATGTAGCTGGGACTGCAGGTGTGTGCCACCATGCCACCTATTTTTTATTTTTTTATTTTTTAGTAGAGTCAAGACCTCACTATGCTGCCCTGGCTGGTCCTGAACTCCCGGGTTCAAGCGATCCTCTCACTTGGCTTCCAAAAGTTCTGTAATTACGGACGTGAGCTACTGTGCCTGGCCTCACCCCAAATCTTATCATTCAAAGACAACTGTTAATATTTTTATGAAAATCCTTTAAGACTTTTCTCCACATACATATAAATATATAACATATAACTATAAATAATAATATAAATGTTAGAATATAAATATAATTGTAAGACTATAATGAATATATAATTTACAGTAATATATTTATAAATACACAATTATACTATACATACATATCTAATATCAATAAAAATATATATTACAAACTTAATATCAGATTGTATATAATTTTGTACCTACTTTTCTTGGCTAACAATATACTATGACCACACCTCTATATCAATAAATATGAGTAATATCTTTATTCTAACTGGATGCTAAGAATTTCACTGTATAGGTAAAACTATATATCCCTATTCCAATTATTTAACATGTAGGATTTTTCTAGTATTTTTCTATCATTTACTTTGACAAATATTTTTACACATTTACCTTTGCTAATACACCCAAGTATTTCCTTAGCATGAAATTATAGAACTATAAGATCAAAATGTATGAGTGTTTGGCTAAATTGTATGGCTAAATATATGGCTAAATTGGCCTTCAGACAACTATATCAGTGTAAACTCTCAATTGCATTGCATGAGAATACATCCAGCCCCATGTACCAGCCTACAGGGTCACTAGTATTTGTAATCTTGGTCAATCTGGTAAGCAAAAAACATGTCACTTTAATTTGTCCTTTTATTATAAGTCAAGATGAGCATTTTAATGTGTTTATATCATTCATATTTCCTCTTTTATGAACTTTATATTAATATCTTCAGCCCATTTTCATTTCAGATGTTACCTTTTTCTCTTTGATTTGGTCTGGCTGTGTCCCCACCCAAATCTCACATTCAACTGTAATAATCCCCATGTGTCAATCGTGGGGCAAGGTGGAGATGGAGATAATTGAATCATGGGGGCGGTTTCCCCCATACTGTTCTCATGGTAGTGAATAACTCTTATAAGATCTGATGATTTTATAAATGGGAGTTCCCCATACAAGATCTCTTGCCTGCTGCTATGTAAGCCATGACTTTCTTCTCCTTTGCCTTCCACCACGATTGTGAGGCCTCCCCAGACATGTGGAACTGTGAGCCTATTAAACCTCTTTCCTTCATAAATTACCCAGGCTCAGGTATGTCTTTATTCGCACATGAGAACTGACTAATACATTCTTATTGGCTTATAAATGTGCTTTATATATTGAAGACATTAACACTACATTAAGGTCAATTACACAATTTGTTTCCCACCATTTAAAAAATATTTTACTTTTAAAATGACTTCTGCCTTTCTGAAGCTATGTTTTTCCAGGGACAAACTCCAGTACATTTTTTACAGCAGCTTTATTGGGTTATAATTTACATTCCATTTCTGTGGTTTTTGGTATATTCACAGAGTTGTGCAGCCATTACTATCTAATTTTAGAACTTTTTCATCACACCAAATGAAACTCCTCTGCTTAGCAGAGGAGAGAAACTCTGTTTCTCCTTCCATGTACCCTCTGGAAGCATTAATCTACTTTCTGTCTTTATGGATTTGCCTATTCTGGACATTTTATATAAAAGGAATCCTACAAAATGTGGCCTTTTGTGACTGGCATCTTTCACTTCGCATAATGTTTTCAAGTTTCACCCATGTTGCAACATGTATAAGTACTTTAGTCTTTTTTATTGTCAAATAATATTCTACAGTATAGATGTATATTTTGTTTATGCATTCATCAGTAGATGGATGTGTGGGCTTTTCTACCTTATGGCTATTGTGAATAATGCTGTTCTGAATGTTTTCTTTTCTTTTTTTCTTTTTCTTTTTTTTTTTTTTTGAGACAAAGTCTTGCTCTGTTGCCTAGGCTGGAGTACCAGTGGCACAATCTTGGCTCACTGCAGCCTCCAACTCCCAGGTTCAAGCAGTTCTCCTGCCTCAGCCTCCCAAGTAGCTGGGATTACAGGTGCACATCACCACGCCTGGCTAATTTTTTGTACTTTTAGTAGAGATGGGGTTTTGCCATGTTGGCCAGGCTGGTCTTGAACTCCTGACCTCAGGTGATCCACCTGCCTCAGCCTCCCAAAGTGATGGGATTACAGGCATGATCCACCATGCCTGGCCTACTATGAATGTTTTAATAAAGGTTTTTGTTTGAACATACGATTTCAGTTCTCTTAGGTATATATCTAGGAGCAGAATTGCTGGATCATGTGGTAACTTTGTTTTAACATTTTGAGAATGTTCAAACTGTTTTCCAAAGTGGCTGCGCTATTTTACAATTCCACCAGCGTTGATAAGGGCTCCAATTTCTCTACATTTTTGCTAACACCTGTTATTAGTTGGCTTTTTAATTTTAGCTATGCCAGTGGGTGTGAATTGGTATTTCATTGTGGTTTTTATTTGCATTTCCCTGATGACTAATAAGGCTGAACATATTTTTGGGAGCACATATTGACCATCGGTACACCTTATTTGGATTAATGTCTATTCAAGCCCTTTGCCCATTTCTAAGTGGGTTATTTGTCTTTTTATTGTCAAGTTTTAAAAGTTCTTTATATATTCTGGACACCAGACTTATCAAACTTATAATTTGCAAATGTTTTCTTCCATGTTTTAGTTGTGTTTTTCACTTTCTTCATGGTACCTTTTGAAGCACAAAGTTTGTCATTTTGGTAAGGTCCAATTTTTCTTTTTTCCACATGTGCTTTTGGCTTTTGGTGTCATATCTAAGAGGCCATTGTATAACTCAAGTTCACAAAGATTCACTGCGATTTTCTCCTCCCTGCCAAACATTTTTTTTTTTTTTTTTTGAGATAGGGTCTTGCCCTGCTGCTTAGGTTGGAGTGCAATGATACAAACACAGCTCTCTGCAGCCTAGAACTCCTGGGCTCGAGCGATCCTCCCACCTCAGCCTCCTAAGTAGCTGGGATCACAGGCACCCACCACTACGCCCAGAGCTAATTTTTGTATTTTTTTTGGAGAGACAGGATCTTGCCATGTTGCCCAGGCTGATCTTGAATTCCTGGGCTCAAGTCATCCTCTTGACTTGGCCTCCCAAGGTGCTGAGATTGAAGGCATGAGCCACCATGCTCAGTCTATTTTCTCTTTTTTTGAGGTAACTTCAGTACTTTTGTAAAATGTTTTCTCTTTGTCATCACATTGACAAATTCTCCTCATCCCAGAATTGTATAAATTTTCTCATATTAAAATGTCTATATATATATATATATATATATATATATATAATTATTTTTTTTTTGACAGAGTCTCACTCTGTCACCCAGGCTGGAGTGCAGTGGCATGATCTTGGCTCACTGCAACCTCCGACTTCCCGGTTCAAGCGATTCTCCTGCCTCAGCCTCCCGAGTAGCTGGGATTACAGGCATGTGCCACCATGCCCAGCTAATTTTTGTATTTTTAGTAGAGACAGGATTTCACCATGTTAGCTAGGATGATCTCAATCTCCTGACCTCGTGATCTGCACTCCTCGGCCTCCTAAAGTGCTGGGATTACAGGCGTGAGCCACCGCGCCCGGCCTATATATCTTTCTAGTAATTTTTGCTTGTGTTTTTTACAGTAACATTTTAATCCCTCTGGGATTTATTTGGGTATGAGAATTGGAGCAGAACACACTTTCCCTATTTTATACTTCAGAGCACTTTCACATAAATTATTTCATACTTGTAATGTAGATGAGAGAGATACATAATTTTTTACATTTTATACATATGAACACAATAATTCAGAGATTTCAAATGATTTGCCTGTGGTAACACATTTAGGTACTGTAAGTATCACACCTGGAATCCAGGTCTTTGTTCATCTGCCTGGAGTCTCTATGACCCATCATCTTTCTCTTCAATGGCGTTAGTTATGGACAGCTCTCTTCTTTGTGGTACTTAACATTACTCACTGGAAGGGAATTTGATCATCTAGTTTGTTAAATCATTATTAAATGCAGCTTATTATATTATTGCAGAGAATTTCAACTTTTTTATGTCCCTAGTTTGTCACAGTGTGGCCTCAGGCAGGTTATTTCATCTCTAATAACTATGACAATAATAGCTAACGTATGTTGACACTGTCCATGTGCCAGGGGCCATGTTCAGCTTTTCACATGGGTTATCTCATTTAATCTTTACACACAAAAAACCCTATGACCAGATGCTATCATGGAAAGGTGTAGTATATAAGCCTAGCAGCCATTTGAACACTTTTGGGTTTCTGACCAATCTTTTCACTTTCAAACTTATTGAAAACCCAAAGAGTTTTTTGTTTGTTTGTTTTGTTTTTTGTTTTGTTTTGTTTTTGAGATGGAGTCTCACTCTGTCACCCAGGCTAGAGTGCAATGGTGCAATCTGGGCTCACTGCAACCTCTGCCTCCCAGGTTCAAGCAATTCTCCTGCCTCAGCCTCCCGAGTAGCTGGGATTATAGGTGCACACCAACATGCCCAGATAATTTTTGTATTTTTAGTAGGGATGAGGTTTTACCATGTAGGCTAGGATGGTCTCGAACTCCTTACCTCAGGTGATCCACCCACTTCGGCCTCTCAAAGTGTTGGGATTACAGGCATGAACCACCACGCCTGGCCTCATTTAATCTTAACACACAAAAAAACCCTATGACTAGTTGCTATCATGGAAAGACATAGTATATAAGCCTAGTGGCCATTAGAAAACTTTTGGGTTTCTGACCAATCTTTACACTTTAAAACTTATTGAAAAACCAAAGAGTTTTTTCTTTATGATTTATATCTATCGCTACCATATTGCAAATGAAAATTAAGAACACTTTATTTGTTGTTTCCTTTAGAAGAACAATAATGAACCCATTATTTGTCAACATAAAAACATTTTTAAAGTGAAAAATAGCTGTATTTTCCCAAAGAGTAGTTTTTTTTTTTTCAGTTAGCAGTGTCTCTTTAATAATTGGCTTAACAGATGACTGCAGGATTCTCATGTTTTCTTCTACATTTGTGGCAATCTCTTACATCATATAACCTCTGGAAAACTCCAAATATAGTGCTCGTGAGAGAGACAGTAAGAAAGGCAAATAGTCCTTTAGTATTGTTATTAAAATAGTTTGACCTTCCAGAATCTCTAAAAGGTTCTTGGGTTTCTCTAAAGAACTGTGAAGTATAGTACAGTGGAGAAGAGGACTGAGGCTGACACTGGAGCAGGATGCTTTGGTTTGCTTTTTTGTTTGTTTGTTTGTTTTTTGAGACAGAGTCTTGCTCTGTTGCCCAGGCTGGAGTATAGTGGCACAATCTTGGCTCACTGCAACCTCCACACCTCCCGAATTCAAGTGATTTTCCTGCCTCAGCCTCCCAAGTACCTGGGATTACAGGCACCTGCCACCACGCCTGGCTAATTTTTTTTTTGTTGTTGTACTTTTAGTAGAGACGGGGTTTCACCGTGTTGGCCAGGATGGTCTCGAACTTGTGACCTCAGGTGATCCGCCCGCCTCGGCTTCCCAAAGTGCTGGGATTACAGGCCTGAGCACCACGCCCTGCCAAAATGCTTAGGTTTGAATTCCATCTTTACCATTTGCTTGCTGTGTGATCTTGGGCAAGTTATTTTGTACTTTTTACCATACATTCCTTTATCTGTAAAGTGGGGGTTATAGTAGTGAGGATTAAATCAGTTAAAATATCCAAAACATATCAAACAGGGCCTGGAAAGGTATAAACATTTTTATCTGCAATAACCATTATTATTATTATTATTAATGAACCTCTTCCTACATTGAGGAATTGAGGTTTAGTGAATGAATTCCTAGGCTGAGATTTGGGTCCTATTTCTGTCAGTTTTTAACTATAAAATATTGGATAAATTTCTTAACCTTGGCAGCCTTAGCATCCTCATTTGGGACACAAGAAGAAGAAAAGTAGCTACCAGAAGAGTTGTAATAATTGTTAAATGAGACAAGTCACATGAAATACTTAGCACAGTGACTGCCATTTAATGGAAACTCACAATGTGTGTGTGGTTACTAAGGACGTAATTATTACTACTATTAAAGATGTCATTTATAAATGTGTATCTATGCGCTTGTCCACATACACTCAATGTTATGGACTGAAGGTTTGTGTTCCCCAAAATTCATAGTTGACATGTAATCCCCGATGTGATGGTATGTGGAGGTGAGGCCTTTGGGAGGTAACTAGGTCATCAGTATAGAGCCCTTGTGAATGGGATTAGTGCCCTTATAAAAAGGACCCTAGAGAGATCTCTCCCTTTCTTTCTGCCACATGAAGATGCAACAAGAAGTTGGCCATCTGCAAACTGGAAGAGGGTCGTCAGCAGAACCCACCATGCTGGCCCCCAATCTAGGATTTCCAGCCTCCAAAACTGTGAGAAATACATTGTTGATAAGCCACTCAGTACTTTGTTAGGGCAGCCCAAACTGACAAAGACACTCAGAATATCAGGTACCGGCCTACTGGGGACAAGCAGATAAACCATGGCATGATCAAGCCAGTCAGGATGGTCCGTTTAATTAGATATGTGGCCTACCAGGTTGTCAGTAGCTGGGATGCTGTGAAGTCAATAGAGAACCTTTCCTTTTATTAATATTCAGAGGAACCTATGGATACTTACCAAAGATCAATCTCCTGGCCGGGCACGGTGGCTCACGCCTGTAATCCCAGCACTTTGGGAGGCCGAGGTGGGTGGATCACCTGAGGTCAGGAGTTTGAGACTAGCTTGGCCAACATGGTAAAACCCCATCTCTACTAATAATACAAAAAGATTAGCTGGGCGTGGTGGCGCAAGTCTTTAATCCCAGCTACTCAGGAGGCTGAGGCAGGAGAATCGCTGGAACCTGGGGGGCGGAGGTTGCTGTGAGCCGAGATGACGCCATTGCATTCCAGCCTGGACAACAAGAGCAAAACTGCATCTCAAAAAAAAAAACAAAAAACAAAAAACAATCAATCTCTTAACCATGACAGTTGTTTAAATCCCGGTAGATCTCCATAGAAAGCTTTTCTTCTTCCACTTCTTATTAGGAAGCTCTGAACTATTGACTACTGACAATTAAATCTGGAACATCCAACTCTAACATGGCTGAATGGTTGATTGGTCTTTTGAAGTGATAATTTTTGGATTAATTAGAAATTAAAGCAGCCCATCATTTCATTAAAGCTAAACTTCCTCCTCTGCTAATTAAGATGTGCTGTGTAATAATCTCAGTTGATTGAGTTTGATTTGTTTGTTTTGTCATAGAGTTACCTCAGGAAAGTTTTCTCTCATGCAAGCTTTTATTTATTTATGTATTTATTGAGATAGGCTCTCCTTTGTCACACAAGCTGGAATGTAGTGGCGCCATCACCACTCATGCAGCCTTGACCTCCTGGGTGCAGGTGATCCTCCCACCTTAGCCTCTGAGTAGTGGGTACTATAGGTGTGCACCACCATGTCTGGCTATTTTTGTATTTTTTGTAGAGACAGTTTTGCTATGTTGCCCAGACTGATCTCAAACTCCTAAGCTCAAATGATCCTAAGCTCAAATGATTGAAATGTTCATCTTATCTAAAAAATACCTTCGCAGCAACATCTAGACTAGTATTTGACCAAATATCTGGGTACCATAGTCTAGCCAAATTGGCACGTAACTTTAACCATCACAATGGTGAATTTCACAAGAAAAAAAAAAGAAAATGTACATGCACCTCAGCCTCTCAAAGTGCTAAGATTACAAGCAAGAACCACTGTGCCTGGCCTAGTGTTAATTATTATTTATACATTTTAACCTTTATGTAATAGCTTTTTAACAAGGAAATAAACCATAATACCTTTGTTTTATGGATAAAACACAATCTTTTTAAAAATATTAAGAAGTGTATGGGTGGTTCCTTGATTTAAGAAAAACATCAGGTTAATAGAGAAACCCTTCTGTAAAAATCTAAAGTTTTTGGACAAAATAAAAATAAGTAACTTAAAAAAAAACCCACATGACTGTATTAGGATTGTCCAGAGACACGAACCAATAAGGTATAGTGTGTGTATGTGTCTGTGTGTGTGTGTATAAAAATACATACCTCTATGTGTGTGTGTGTGTATGTATGTATATGTGTGTGTAATACACACATATACACACACACATGAATGCTTTTTTTGAAAAAGATATTGGCTCAGGAGATTGTGGAAGCTGGCAAGTCCAAAATTGTCAAGGTGTGCTGGCAGTCTGATGACCCACGGAAGAGCTGATGTTAGTTTACAAGCAGAATTCTCTCTGCCATAGGGATGGTGCACTTTTTCTATTAAGGTCTTCAGCTGATTGATGAGGCCCACTCACATATAGAGGTTAATCTGCTTTACTCAACTGATTGAAATGTTCATCTTATCTAAAAAATACCTTCGCAGCAACATCTAGACTAGTATTTGACCAAATATCTGGATACCATAGTCTAGCCAAATTGGCACGTAACTTTAACCATCACAATGGCTAATTTCACAAGAAAAAAAAAAAAAAAGAAAATGTACATGCGCTAGAATTGTAGAAAATGCTGATAACCACATCCCAGGAGCCACCTACTGGACATTACTGGACCTGGTTATGGCACAGGCTGTGCAGTGACAAAGAAATAATATCGTTACTGGATATGGATTAAGTGTTGAAACTGGGGCTCCTGCAGAAAGCAATTTTAGGGGAAGAGAAATTTGAAAAAGAAAAGCCATCTATTGACTCAGGAGGGCAACAAGGAAGTTATTCTCAACCCCAGGTCAGGGTGGAAAAAAATAAGTCTCCCTCAAGAAATAAAAGCCATGAAGTCATAAGTTTGAAGTCTGAATTTTAGCTGTCCTTGTGTTGAGGAAATCCCAGGACAAAAATTAACATAAAAATTAGACACATAGCAGAAATTCTACTGAAGCAAGTGGTAAAAAGAAAATTAAAACCTCTCCAGAGATACATTTCAATAACCGTGACACTACAGAGAAAGACTTCTGTCACCTAAAATGAGATGACAATAAAATATTAGAAACGATGCAAAAACAGTTTATTTATTTTTTAAACAGGAAACAAAAATGGAAAAATTCTCCCTTCCAGGAACCGGAAAGACTACGAAATGAGAGGGGCCATAAGTATATATAAAATGCGGTAGAGAAAAAAAATTATAAAATATATGTGGAAATATAAAGCAATATACTATAAAAATAGGTTAGAAATACAAAGACAAATTATGAAGGAAAAAGTACAGATGTTAAAAAACTCAATGGGCAGATTAAAAGGCAGAACAGG
The DNA here is from genome assembly GCF_000001405.40 of Homo sapiens. Classification (NCBI taxonomy): domain Eukaryota; kingdom Metazoa; phylum Chordata; class Mammalia; order Primates; family Hominidae; genus Homo; species Homo sapiens. The sequence continues at coordinate 223,674,483 of NC_000002.12, read as the reverse complement.
CATGGCTAAAGGGAATGTTAATGAATTGGAATCAGAACCGAAAAAATTACCAATAAAAAATAATAATCATGGCCAGGCATGGAGGCTCACATCTGTAATCCCAGCACTTTGAGAGGCCAAGGCCGGAGAATTGGTTGAGCCCAGGAGTTCAAGACCAGCCTGGGCAACATAGGGAGATGCAATTTCAACAACAACAACAAAAAAAACAAAAAATTAGCCAGTTGTGGTGGTGCATGCCTGTGGTCCCAGCTACTCTGGGGGCCAAGACAGGAGGATCACTTGAGCCCAGGAGACAGAGGCTGCAGTGAGCTGAGATCACACCCTTGCACTCCAGCCTGGGTGACAGAGAGAGACCCCGTCTCAAAAAAAAAAAAAAAAAAAGAAAAAGAAAAATAATAATCGTATTCATATCAATTGCCTGTATACTTTGTACCAGTCATTATAACTATTTGTATTTGTGAACCTATTTAATCCTCACAAAAACTATGAGGATAGTAGATACAATAGTTCTAGGTTTTTTTTTTTTTTTTTTTTTTTTTTTTTTTTTTTTTTTTGACAGAGTTTCACTCTTGTCGCCCAGGCTGGAGTGCAGTGGCATGATCTCGGCTCATTGCAGCCTCTGCCTCCCGGGTTCCAGCAATTCTTCTGTCTCAGCCTCCCTAGTAGCTAGGACTACAGGCGCCCACCACCACGCCCAGCTAATTTTTTGTATTTTTAGTAGAGACAGGGTTTCACCATGTTGGCGAGGCTGATCTCGAATTCCTGACCTCAGGTGATCTGCCCACCTCGGCCTGCTAAAGTGCTGGGATTACAGGCATGAGTCACTGTGCCCAGCCAATAGTTCTAGTTTAATCTAGGAACATACCAGTATAAATTTGGGATGGATTATGATCCTAAAGGTACAATTAAAGACAACAAGTAATAACAATTGCGTCTCAGGAAGCCTCTATATTTAAATAACCTGATCCATGAGCCTGATATTAAAGCCACTTAATCTTTAATATCAAAAGAGAAAAGAAGGAATAAAAAAGAAATTCTGAATAGTTTAAGGATAAGATTAAAAGTTAGAACTCTGAAGTCAAATGACCTATATTCCAATTTAGGTTCTATTCCTTTTATTCCCTTTATAATCTTAGGTGGTTTATATAATCGGTTTTTCCCCTGAATTCTCATCTATGAAATGGGGATATTAACAGGAACCTATATGTTTAGCTTCTAGGACAGTTCAGTTAGGGTATGTTGTTCCTTGGTCAATTTTTAAAAACGAGCTTTTTATTTTGGAAAAATTTAGACTTACCAAAAAGTTGCAAAAATAATACAGGAATTTCCTATGTATTATTCACCCGGTTTCTTCTGATAGTAACATCTCATATAACCATGTGATATGGTTTGAATATTTGTCCCCTCCAAATCTCATGTTGAAATGTGATCACCATTGCTGGAGGTGGGGCCTGGTGGGAGGTGTTTGGGTCATGGAGGCAGATCCCTCATGGATGGCTTGGTGCCCTCCCCATGGTAATGAGTTCATGAGAGAACTGGTTATTTAAAAAGAGCCTGGTCAGCCAGGCATGGTGGCTTATACCTGTAATTCGGGCATCTTAGGAGGCTGAGGCAGGAGGCTCGCTTGAGCCCAGGAGTTTGAGACCAGCCTGGGCAACATAGGGAGACCCCATATCTACAAAAAACACATACAAAATTAGCTGGGCATGGTGGCATGCACCTGTAGTCCCAGCTTCTTGGAAGGCTGAGGCAGGGGGATTGATTGAGCCTGGGAGGTTGACTTCAGTGAGCCATGATTGTGCCACCCAGCCTGAGTGACACAGTGAGACCCTGTCTCAAAACAAACAAATAAACAAACAAAAACAAACAAGCTAGCTTCTCTCTTGCCATATGATACACTTGCCCCCTCTCTTGCCATGTGATATCCCCATTTCCCCTTCACTTTCCACTATGATTGTAAGCTCCTGAGGCCCTCACCAGAAGCAGATGCTGGCATCATGCTTCCTGTAACAGCTCGTGGAACCATGAGCCAAGATAAACTTCTTTTCTTTATAAATTACCCACTCTCAGGTATTCCTTTATAGCAATGCAAATGGACTAACACATAATAGTACATTGTCAAAATGGAGAAGTTAAAATTGGTACAACAGTATTCACTAAATTCTTGACTTTATTTGAATTTCGCAGTTTTTTCACTAACACCCTTTTTCTGTTTCAGAAACCAATCCAGGTTACCATATTACATTTGGTCATCGTGTCTTCTTAATCCCCTTCAATCTGTGACAGTTTTTCAATCTCTCCTTGCTTTTAATGACCTCAACAGTTTTGAGGAGTACTGGTCATATAGTTTGTAGAACGTCTATCAATTTGGATTTGTCTGCTGTTTTTCTCATGATCAACTTGGGGTTATAGGTTTCGGGGAAGGGTATCACAGAAATGAATTATCATCACATTAGATCAGAATATTCTTTCGAAGAGAATCACTAAGTCCAGACCATACTCACGGGAGAGAAATTAAGAGAGGGGAGAGTATGCTCATATATATTTGGAATTCTTCTGTAAGGAGGGTGTATTAGTCCATTTTCATGCTGCTGATAAAGACATAAACAAGACTGGGAAGAAAAAGAGGTTTAATTGGACTTACAGTTCCACATGGCTGGGGAGGCCCCAGAATCATGGTGGGAGGTGGAAGGCAATTCTTACATGGTGGCAGCAAGAGAAAATGAGAAAGAAGCAAAAGCAGAAACCCCTGATAAAACCATCAGATTTCATGAGACTTATCCACTATCATGGGAATAGCACGGGAAAGACTGGTCCCCATGATTCAATTACCTCCCCCTGGGTCCCTCCCACAACATGTGAAGATTCTGGGAGATACAATACAAGTTGAGATTTGGGTGGGGACACAGGCAAACTATATCAGACGGTTTATTTTTTGTCCACTTATTAATTATTCAATAATTTATTTATATCATTATGGACTATGCCTAGTTAATTTTATGGCAATTTTCAAATATAGAGTAACACTCTGGATCTTAAGATCTGGGTTTCTGGTCTTGCTTATTTGAGAATTATCTCATGATATTGACCAAAATTTCTTGAACTTTAGTGGCTCCAAATAACATTCTACCTCTTTAATACATTCTACCTCTTAATATGGATTTGGGAAGCTCCAAACAGTATGGTTTAAGAGGAAACTAACATTTAAGACATTATATGCATCTGAATTTCCTGAACTTTGCTGTCTTGACATTTGAAGAGTTGACTTTTGAAATGAATTTAAAAAATTTCCCCATATGTATGCATATATTTTAAGACATATCTATTGACTATAGATTCAAATACCCCATTATCTGCCTTATTTCAAATTGAACAGCATCTGGACAGAAGAGGTGAATGTGTTGCTACAAATACAGGCTTGGTTTAATGGATCTGCCAACCTGATTACTTCCTGAAAAGTAGACTTTTTGAGAGATTCTGTATTTTTTTTGTTTGTTTTGTTTTGGATGGATAAGCAAATTATAATATTTTCAAAAAGGGAAGAATGAGGCCCTACAAAATTTTCAAATGGTCATTCAATTATTCACCAAACATTTATGGAGTGCCTACGCCCCAGGCCCTGTGCTAGGATCTGAGAATATAATTGTGTACTAGAAGGTCATGCCCTCATGAAACTTAGAGATCTATGAGGAGCCAGAAAATACGCAGACAAATGAACAAAATTACTGATTGTGGAAAGAGCTAGAAACCAACTGCTATGTAGATTAAAAGTTTGCCAGCTGGGTGCAGTGGCTCATGCCTGGAATCCCAGTACTCTGGGGAGGCTGAGGCTGGAGGATTGCTTGAGCCCAGGAGTTGGAGGTGCAGTGAGCTATGATTGTGCCACTACACTCCAGACTGGGCAACAGAGCAAGACCTTGTCTCCAAAAAAAAAAAAAAAAAAAAGATATTTTTCTTGAAGGTGAGGAAGTACTTTAGAGGTGGTATTTAGGGATGGCCCCTCTGAAAAGGAACACTTATGCTGAAAGTTCTTCAAAGAGCATTCTTATCATATACAGCAGGAAGTGCCAAGCCCCTGAAGTAAGAAGGGGGTCTACTGGGTTCTAGAAGCCTCATAAGTGAGTGAGGTTGAGTGTAGTGAACCAGGGAAGAGATGGAGGGAGGTGTGAACAGATTAAACAGGGGCTTTGGGGTAATGGTAAGGAGTTTGCAATTTATTCCAGGTGTGATTGACACCTACCGAAGGATTTTAAGTGGTGGTGGTGGTGGCAGCAGCGGTGGTGGTCCCATGACTGAATAATTGTGATTTTAAAGATCACTCTGACTGTGGTTTGGTGAATGGGTTGGAGGGGGCAAGAAGGTGAGTAAAAGACTAGCTAGAAGGTTATTGCAAGTTGCTAAAAAAATGTTTTAGGCCAGGCGCGATGGCTCAAGCCTGCAATCTCAGCACTGTGGGAAGCAGAAGTATGTGAATCATGAGGTCAGGAGTTCAGACCAGCCTGGCCAACATGGTGAAACCCCGTATCTACTAAAAATACAAAAATTAGCTGGGCATGGTGATGCGCATCTGTAATCCCAGCTACTCAGGAGGCTGAGGCAGGAGAATTGCTTGAACCTGGGAAACAGAGGTTGCAGTGAGCCGAGATGCCACTGCACTCCAGCCTGGGCAACAGAGCAAGACTCTGTCTCGGAAAAAAAAAAAAAGAAAAAAAATTTAAAAATATCTTAAAGTGAGATAAAAGCTGTTTAGTGCTATTTAACCTGGTGTTTTGCCATACTTATTTGGCCACAGAAATATTTCATGTGTGTGTGTGCATGGGTGTGTGCGTGTGTGTGTGTGTATACATACTTTAGTCAGACTGTGGAATTAGTCTTCTCAAGAACCTACTTGAGAAAATGCTTAAGATATTTCTCCAAATTAATTTTTCTGCTTACTGTTTCTAAACATATGCTCCTGTGAGAAGCATTCAAAAGTATATTCATAGTCTAAAGTGTGAGCATTGCCATTCTGAGTACACTTTTTAATGCATTAAAATAAGAAATACAGTATCTTTCTGATCATGATAATCTTCCTTGGTCTTGACAAATATATTCTTATCACATTCCTTGATGCTGATGCTAATATGGAGGTAAACAATGCCATCCTGGTCAAGGGGAAATTTGGATCTATAAAAATAGTCATCATTCACACTAGGTACCAGGTGTTATTCTAAGAAGTATAATACCTTTCCATATATTAAATTATTCAATACTCTTAACAGCTCCATGACTTAGATACTACTATTTCTTTCATTTTTGAGACTGGGAAATCAAAGTCAAAAGAAACTACATAATTTGTCCACAATTACAAAGCTGGTAAGTGGCAGAGTTTCTGGGTGTGTGTTGCAAATACTGAAAATTCCCATAAGTCAAACAGAAGTGAGGAAAAGCTGGAAGAGGGTCAGAAGTGTAGGGAAGGTGGTGGAAATCGGAAGCATGGGGAAGAGCAGCTCCCTCTTAACCTCCTCCAAAATTCTCAGTCCTGAGAGCTTGTGATTTCTGTGTCTTATTTTTGTAGTGGGCTCATTGAGCAACTCTGAGGACATCAGTTTTGAAAGCAAGTGAAAGTCTGAGGAAACTTTTCCTTTTTGGTGAACAAGGTAAGCCTGATGGGGTCATGTGTTGGTCTGCAACCTCTTTCAACATATCATATCAGTTGGTATGTCTCTAGCTGCTAGTATCAGAGAACCTCAGCTCCAGATGCCTTAAACACTAAAGGAATTTATCATCCCACAGAGTTCAAGTTAGGTTGACTCCAAGGTTTGTTAACTGAAGAGCTCCATAATATCTTCGAGAATGCAGGTCCCTTTCATGTGTCTATCCTGTCATCTACAGAGTGGAAGTCCGTCCACCTCAGGGTAGCAAAATGTCTGTCACAGTTCTGTGCACAGATCCTGACACAACTGTGAGAAAAGAGGGACTGGCTTTCCTTGATCACGTGATGAATATATATCTAGCCTTAAAAGAATCACTAGCAAAGTGATATGGTTTGGCTGTGTCCCCACCGAAATCTCATCTTGAATTGTAGCTCCCATAATTCTCACGTGTCATGAGAGGGACCTGGTGGGAGGTAATTGAATCATGGGGGTGGGTCTTTCCTGTGCTTTTTCTTGTGATAGTGAGTAAGTCTCCTGAGATCTGATGGTTTTTTTAAAGGGGAGTTCCCCTGCACACACTCTCTTGCCTGCCACCATGTAAGACATCTTTTTGCTCTTCCTTCGTCTTCCACCATGATTGTGAGGTCTCCCCAGCCAGGTGGAACTGTGAGTCTATTAAACCTCTTTCCTTTATAAATTAACCCAGCCTCAGGTATGTCTTTATTAGCAGCAAGAGAACAGACTAATACACAAGGAAAACAGGATTGCTGCGAAAGTCAAAAATCTGTCCAAATATACCCTTGGATTGGGGATTGGGCCACCTTCCCTGAGCATATTGCATAGAAGAAGGTGGACACCCAGCAAGAAAGAATGGGAGGACGGATGTTACAGGGGCAACCATGTCTACTACAAAAGCGTTAATATTATATTGTTATTTGTTGGGATTGCATGATATTATTGTATATTTGTACAGAATAGTGAGGTCCTTCTACATAAAAAAAGTTATGGCCTTTTAGTTCTCACTGCTAACAGACACAACTCTGCTGTTTTCATCCTTATTTTTCTTAAAGCTCTTCTGACTTCTAGTGAATTTGTGATACCATCTAATGCACTGTCTTAGTATGCCATTTTCCTTCATTTTTATTTATTTGTTTTTCTGATGCATTAATCTGCTAGTTTGAATATATTTTAAAAATATTTTCCTGACCTTAAATGATGAATTGTGGTAAAAGTAATCAACAGTTTTTGATGAAACTCATACCATTTTTATTTTGGAAAAATTTCAGAAAATCCTGATATAGTCTTTGTGGTTTTTAAATGAACTGAATGAGCATATCTAAGTTAATAAACAGTGAAATACTTTTGATATTTGAGTGAGTAAAAAATGTAATCTTTTAATCTCTATAAAATTAAAGTTTACAGAGATTTAAAGGATGGTTTTATAAATTAAAAATTAAAGTTCACAGAGGTTTAAAAGATGAGCAAAACTCCATGAAATGGAGAAAAAAAAAATCCCCAAAGAGGAATTATGTAGGAAGAGGGCAAAAAACATCGAAAAAATTATTCTTTGAAACCACTCAACTTGGTGTTTTTTTAAAAAATGACTCCTTTTGGCTGGGTGCGGTGGCTCATGCCTGTAATCCCAGCACTTTGGGAGGCCCAGGCAGGTGGATCACGAGATCAGGAGATAGAGACCATCCTGGCTAACACAGTGAAACCCTGTCTTTACGAAAAATACAAAAAATTAACTGGGTGTGGTGGCAGGTGCCTGTAGTCCCAGCTACTCAGGAGGCTGAGGTAGAAGGCCTGGGCGACAGAGCGAGACTCTGTCAAAAAAGAAAAAAAAAAAGAAAAAAAAATGACTCCTTTCTCACAAAATTAAAATTAAAATTAAAGTGAGTGATGATATCCACATGCCAGACTGAGAGCCCTCATAACTCTAGGAGTCACGGGTGGAAGAGACAAGTACATCTTTCACATTCATCGTCAACTAAAGTGTCTGAGAACTTTGCAGTTTTTCATTTTGGGCTATACTTGAAAAACTTTAACATATATGAATTGAATGTATGTTGAATGAATTTGACATTCATGATTTTTTTTTCCTTTGCCTTGATCAAAGATGAAAGAACAATTAAGAGCTGTTTCAACCCCTTGGAAACAAATTAGGAGTATTTGAGCAATTAACGTTACAAAATCTCTTGCTTTTGAGACTCCCTGCAGCAAAGAGTTAATGCTTGAGCTATTTAAAATTCAGTGGTGGTTAAGAAGGCAATTACAGGGCTCTTTCTCATTACAGGACCATATCAAATTTTCCTTAAGCAGTTTTTCATTATTCCAGCCTGTTTTTTAAAAACAGGATTTCTAATTTCATTGCAATTTCAGGTGCCTTGTTCAGCACTTTTACCCATTTTTTTGCAAGTATACTGTGGGCTACCTTGGATACTGTCATATTTCTGAACTAAAATGTTAGATGCAGAAACTGTCATTTTTCCTTCATTTCTTATAAAAACAATTCCCCCTGTCTCTTATGTGATCCTACTCTCAACAGTGAGGAAAATAGGACTCTAATTTTATTCATTTCTTGTAATAAATGTGTTTTTCATGGAAATTACCACCATAATCCACAAACGATAGTAGAGCTCAAACTGTGTGAAAAACAATATGATATATATGTACCAAGATTGCAAAATTTGCCAGTTGGGGCAGACAGCCCCAAACAAACATCAACAAAACAACTCTGTAAGGAGGATAATAGAGGAAGCACAGACAACTGGATGCCCTTAGACTGCTAGGAGAGTTTGCTAACGGAAAGTTTGCTAGGGAAATAAGATCAGAGTTGAGTCTTGAAGAAAGGGAGGGAGGTTTCCAAGCAAAAGAAGGGACAAAAGGCATATAGAGCAAAGGGTGTGTGCTATGAAATCAACTATTTATTTAGGATATCTTTTCTAATACTGAGAGGCATTTCATGAGCTAGAAAATCCCCATGGTACACCTCTCACGATCACTTGTCTTTGTTTTATCAGCCCTTTTCCCCCTCCACATCACTCTCTGCTCTTTTTCTTCCCATAGCAGCAAGTACTTTACATAAAAACTCTTCAAAATACATTTCCCTCATACATTTCATTTTGTTGTTGTTGTGTGACTATTTGAAGATAATATGTCTCCTGATGTCTTCCGTACATTGGAAAAGGAAAGGCTCAGTGGTACTTTTTTTTTTTTTTTGCCTCCCCCAGGATTGGCATTATCTTCTTCATCTCTTGTCATTGTCTCAGGCTCCATTTCTTGAAAAACTGTGATGTTCTTATGTTGGTTGTTTGACCACTTCTGGTGCCTACTTCTTCGCATCTATAGTTTGTGATCCTGGGTCTCAAGAACTTGTTAGCATCTACCATAGCCATGCACTGGACTTCAGTGATTTTTAAAAAGATGATTTTTGCCCTCTTCCTGCATAATTCCTCTTTTGAAATTTTTTGCTTACCACTTGGTAGAGTTGTGTTCATCCCATCAATATTCAAATTTATTCTGTTTGTTCTTCCAATGCCTGGAAATGTAGTCAAGTCTTCCTTTGCTAATTAGAAGTTGGATTGCATCTCTCTTTCAAAGCCACTCAACTTTCTGTTTAAGAAAATACAACTCCATTCCCACAACAGATATAGCCAAGAACTCTGAGTCAATCTTGACCAGTTGTAGAGTAACAGGCATGAAAGGCTGTTGATGTTATTCAAAGGCTATAGAAAAATTAGTTAGATGTTTTTTCCAAGTTGTGCTCTTTTCTCCCATGGGTCTCTGAATTATCTGCATGTACTTGAATGAGAGGGAGAAGAGGTGTTCACTTTTCTTTGAAGACTTTTACTTTCTTGGTTCCATATACAATTAAGGCTGTCACGTTTTTAACAGATGATGCACCAACAGATGAGGTGGGCTTCTCGAGTTGCTCAAGGGGCCATATCTTGTGTAACATAAGCAAGTTGTGACCTCAGGAAAAATACTTAATCTCCTTTGTCTCAATTTCCTTATCAGTAATATGGGGAATAATAATGGTACCTATCTCCTATGATCATTGAGCCCAAAACAACCATGTCTATCTAAAAAATCCAGATTCTTCTACGGGATTTGCTCACACTGTCCTGAGAATATTAGAGAATTTGCCTTTTAAGGTCATCTTATTAAGCTGTAGTTCTTTGGAAAGAGCGGTTAGATCATGTTGGATTATCTTGTATTAAAATAGATATGCCCCTATTCCTAACCAGCTTGTTTGAAACAATAATAAAATAATAACGACAATAATAAAAGCTTATAAATGACTGTTTGGAATAATATTGAGTCATGGTAATTTTCTTCAGGAGAGTAACTAGAACATTTAATCAATCCCAGAATAGATTTTTTTATTAAAATGGTTGGAAGGAGCATTTTATGTTTGAGCATAGAAGACACTTAACAGATGTATAAAGAACTAAAGAGAAGCCTTCATGGAGAATTACTGGCTTCACTGCTCATTGTAGAGAACTTGTTGGATGAGAGACTAGCTAGCCCAGGGCTGTATACCTATTAATTACTCAGCATGGGTGGATTACATGATGGATCCGTATTTGGGTTTTTTTTTTTTTTTTTGAGACAGAGTTTTGCTCTTGTTGCCCATGCTGGAGTGCAACGGCATGATCCCACCTCACTGCAACCTTGGCCTCCTGGTTCAAGGAATTCTCCTGCCTCAGCCTCCTGAGTAGCTGGGATTACAGGCAGGTACCACCACGTCTGGCTAATTTTGTATTTTTTTGTAGAGATGGGGTTTCACTATGTTGGTCAGGCTGGTCTTGAACTCCTGACCTCAGGTGATCCACCCTCCTTGGCTTCCCAAAGTGCTGGGATTATAGGTGTGAGCCACTGTGCCCAGCCTGTATTTGGGTCTTATACCAGCCATACAAAGGGTTTCTGAGATGACTCTCATTTATGTCTAGGAAACCCTGTACACTTCTTCATTTGCATTTTTTAAAGTTCTTTTTAAATTTATTTTTTATTTCAATAGGTTTTTAGGGAGAAGGTGGTGTTTAGTTACATGAATAATTTCTTTAGTGGTGATTTCTGAGATTTTGGTGCACCCATCACCTGAGCAGTGTACACTGTACCCAATATGTAGTCTTTTATCCCTCACCCCCTCCCACTCTTTCCCCTGAGTCCCCAAAGTCCAATATATTATTCTTATGCCTTTGCATCCTCATAGCTTAGCTCCCACTTATGAATGAGAACATATGATGTTTGGTTTTCCATCCCTGAGTTACTTTGCTTAGAAAAATAGTCTCCAATTCCATTGAGGTTGCTGCAAATGCCACTATTTTGTTCCTTTTTTATAGCTGAGTAGTATTCCATCGTGTGTGTGTGTGTGTGTGTGTGTGTGTGTGTGTGTGTGTGTATACCAAAATTTATTTATCCACTTGTCAATTGATGGGCATTTGGGCTGGTTCCATATTTTTGCAATTGAAAATTGTGCTGCTATAAACATGTATGTGCAAGTATCTCTTTCATATAATGACTTCTTTTCTTCTGGGTAGATACCCACTAGTGAGATTGCTGGATGAAATGGTAGATCTACTTTTAGTTATTTAAGGAATATCCACACTGTTTTCCATAGTGGTTGTATTAGTTTACATTCCCACCAACAGTGTAAAAGTGTTCCCTTTACACCACATCCACACGAACATCTATTATTTTTTGATTATGGATATTCTTGCAGGAGTAAGGTGGTATCTATTGCATTATGGTTTTGATTTGCATTTCCCTGATCATTAGTGATGTTGAGCATTTTTCCATGTGCTTGTTGGCCATTAGTATATCTTCTTTTGAGAATTGTCTATTCATGTCGCTAGCCCACTTTTTGATGGGATTGTTTGCTTTTTTCTTGCTGGTTTGTTTGAGTTCTTTGTAGATTCCGTATATTAGTCCTTTGCCATATCTATAGATTGCGAAGATTTTCTCCTACTCTGTAGTTGTCTGTTAACTCTGCTGATTATTTATTTTGGTCTGCAGAAGCTTTTTACTTTAATTAGGTCCCATCTACTTATCTTTGTTTCTGTTGCATTTGCTTTTGGGTTCTTGGTCATGAAGTCTGCCTAAGCCAGTGTCTAGAAGGGGTTTTTCAATGTTATCTTACAGAATTTTTATGGTTTCAGGTGTTAGATTTAAGTCTTTGATCCACCTTGAGTTGATTTTTGTATAAAGTGAGAGATGAGGATCCAGTTTCATTCTCCTACATGTGGCTTGCCAATTATACCAGCACCATTTGCTGAATAGGGTGTCCTTTCCCCACATTATGTTTTTGTTTGCTTTGTCAAAGATCAGTTGGCTGTAAGTATTTGGGTTTATTTCTGGGTTCTCTATTCAATTCCATTGGTCAATGTACCTATTTTTATACCAGTACCATGCTGTTTTAGAGACTACAGCTTTATGGTATAGTTTGAAATCTGGTAATTTGATGCCTACAGATTTGTTCTTTTTGCTTAGTCTTGCTTTGGCCATGCAAGCTGTTTTTTGGTTCCATATAAATTTTAGGATTGTTTTTTCTAGTTCTGTGAAGAATGATGGTGGTATTTTGATGGGAACTGCGTTGAATTTGTAGATTGCTTTTAGCAGTATGATCATTTTCACAATATTGATTCCACCCACCCATGAGCACGAGAGGTGTTTTCATTTGTTTGTGTCCTCTATGATTTCTTTCAGCAGTGTTTTTTAGTTTTCCTTGTAGAGGTCTTTCACTTCCTTGGTTAGGTATATTCCTAAGTATTTTATTTTATTTTTGCAGCTATTGTAAAAGGGGTTGAGTTCTTGATTTGATTCTCAGCTTGGTTGCTGTTGGTGTATAGCAGAGCTACCTATTTGTGTACATTAATTTTGTGTCTGAAGCTTTGTTGAACTCATTTACCAGTTCTAGAAGCGTTTTGGAGGGGTATTCAGGGTTTTCTAGGTAAATGATCATAACATTAGCAAACAGCAACAGTTTGACTTCTTCTTTACCAATTTGGATGCCCTTTATTTCTTTCTATTGTCTGATTGCTCTGGCTAGGACTTCCAGTATAATGTTGAATAGAAGTAGTGAAAGTGAGCATCCTCGTCTGGTTCCAGTTCTTAGGGGGAATGCTTTCAAGTTTTCCCCATTCAGTATAATGTTGGCTGCTGGTTTGTCATAGATGGCTTTTATTATCTTAAGATATGTCCCTTTATGCTGATTTTGCTGAGGGGTTTAATCATAAAGCCATGCTGGGTTTTGTCAATTGCTTTTTCTGCATCTATTGAGATGACCGTTTTTAATTTGGTTTATGTGGTGTATCACATTTATTGACTTATAATACGTTAAACCATCCCTGCATCCCTGGTATACAACCCACTTGATCATGGTGGATTATATTTTTGATATGCTGTTGGATTCAGTTCACTAGTATTTTGTTGAAGATTTTTTTCATCTATGTTCATCAGGGATATGGTTTTTTTTTTTTTTCTTAATGTCCTTTCCTGGTTTTGGTAATAGGGTGATACTGGCTTCATAGAATGACTTAGGGAGAATTTCTTCTTTCTCTGTCTTGCAGAATATTATCAATAGGATTGATATCAATTCTTCTTTGAATGTCTGATAGAATTCAGCTGTGAATTCGTCTCGTCCTGGAGTTTTTTTGTTGTTGTTGTTGGCAATTTTTTTTTGTTTGATAGAGTTTCGCTCCTGTTGCCCAAGCTGGGGTGCAATGGTGGATCTCGGCTCACTGCAACCTCTGCCTCCTGGGTTCAAGCGTTTCTCCTGCCACAGCCTCTGAAGTAGCTGGGATTACAGGTGCCCGCCACCACGCCCAGCTAATTTTTTTTTGTATGTTTACTAGAGACTGGGTTTCACTGTGTTGGCCAGGCTGGTCTCAAATTCCTGACCTCAGGTGATCCACCTGTCTCAGCCTCCCAAAGTGTTGGGATTATAGGCATGAGCCACCGTGCCCAGCTGGCAATTTTTTTATCATTTTAATCTCACTGCCTGTTATTGATCTGTTCAGAAATTCTATATCTTCTTGGTTTAATCAAGGAGGGCTGTGTATTTCAAGGCAAACCACCTCCTCTAGGTTTTCTAATTTATACATATAAAGGTGCCTATTGGAGCCTTGAATGATCTTTTGTATTTCTGTGGTATCAGTTGTAATATCTCCCATTTTATTTCTAATTGAGCTTATTTGGATCTTCTTTCTTCTTTTCTTGGCCAATCTCACTAATGGTCTATCAACTTTTTTTTTTGAGGTGGGGTCTTACTATGTTGTCCAGGCTGATCATGAACTCCTGGGCTCAAGCTGTCCTCCTGCCTTGGCCTCCCAAAGTGCTGGGATTACAGGTGTTAGCCACCATGCCAGGCCCTGGTCTATCAATTTTACTTATCTTTTCAAATAACCAGCTTTTTGTTTCATTTATCTTTTGTATTTTTTTGTTTGTTTCAGTTTCATTTAGTTCTGCTCTAGTCTTCATTATTTATTTTCTTCTGCTGGCTTTGGGTTTTAGTTGTTCTTGTTTATCCAGTTTTGTAAGGTGTGACCTTAGATTGTCTATTTGTGCTCTTTCAGACTTTTTGATGTAGGCATTTAATGTTATGGACTCTCCTCTTAGCACTGCTTTTGGTGTATCCAAGAGGTTTTGACAGGTGGTGTCACTATTATCACTCAGTTCAAAGAATTTTTTAATTTCCTTCTTGATTTCACTGTAGACTCAACCATCATTCAGGAGCAGCTTATTTAATTTCCATGTATTTGCATGGTTTTGAGGGTTCATTTTAGAGTTGATTTCTAATTTTATTCCACTGTGGTCTGAGAGAGTACTTGATATAATTTTGATTTTCTTAAATTTACTGAGACTTTTTTTGTGGTCTATAATATGGTCTGTCTTGGAGAATGTTCCATGTGCTGATGAACAGAATGTATATTCTGCAGTTGTTAGGTAGAATGTTCTGTAAATATCTGTTAAGTCCATTTGTTTTAGGGTATAATTTAAGTCCATTGTTTCTTTGTTGACTTTCTGTCTTGATGACTTGTCTAGTGTTGTAAGTGGAGTATTAAAGTCCCCCACTATCACTGTGTTTCCATCTATTTTATGTCTTATGTCTAGTAGTAATTGTTTTATAAATTTGGGAGCTCCAGTGTTAGGTGCACATATATTTAGGATTGTGATATTTTCCTGTTGGACTAGTTTGTATTTTTTAACTGCTGTTACTTTAAAGTTTTTTCTGTCTGATAAAAGAATAGCTGCTCCTGCTCACTTTTGATGTCCATTTGCATGGAATATCTTTTTCTACTCCTTTACCTTAGTTTATGTGAGTCCTTATGTGTTAGGTGAGTCTCCTGAAGACAGCAAAAACTTGATTGGTGAATTCCTTTCCATTCTGCCATTCTGCATCTTTTAAGTGGACCATTTAGGCCATTTACATTCAACATTAGTGTACAGATGTGAGGTACTATTCTATTCATCATGCTATTTGTTGCCCGAATACCTAGTTTCTTTTTTTATCATTGTGTTATTGTTATGTAGGTCCTGTGAGATTTACGCTTTAAGGAGGTTCTTTTGGTGTATTTCAAGGATTTATTTCAAGATTTAGAGCTCCTTTTAGCAGTCCTTGTAGTGCTAGCTTGGTAGTGGCAAATTCTCTTAGCATTTGTTTGTCTGGAAAGGACTGTGTCTTTCCTTCATTTATGAAGCTTAGTTTTGCTGGATACAAAATTTTTGGCTGATAATTGTTTTCTTTAGGGAGGATAAAAATAGGATCCTAGTCTCTTCTATCTTGTAGGGTTTCTGCTTAGAAATCTACTGTTAATCTGATAGGTTTTCCTTTATAAGTTATCTGATGCTTTTGCCTCACAGCTCTTAAGATTCTTTCCTTCGTCTTGACTTTAGATAACCTGATGACTACGTGCCTAGGTGATGATCTTTTTGCAATGAATTTCCGAGGTGTTCTTTGAGCTTCTTGTATTTGAATGTCTATATCTCTACCAAGGCTGGTAGTTTTCCTCAATTATTCCCTCAAATATGTTTTTCAAACTTTTAGATTTTTCTTCTTCTTCAGGAACACCAAATATTTTTAGGTTTGGACATGTTTTCTCATTGCCCTGACCTTTGCTCATGCCCTTCTTATTGCCTGGAATCCTCC
Organism: Homo sapiens; assembly: GCF_000001405.40. Taxonomy (NCBI): domain Eukaryota; kingdom Metazoa; phylum Chordata; class Mammalia; order Primates; family Hominidae; genus Homo; species Homo sapiens. The sequence continues at coordinate 223,658,694 of NC_000002.12, read as the reverse complement.
TTACCCCAGCCAAATCCACATTCTAAGAGGTGCCTTCCTTTCAAGGCTTAGCTTCAATAGCACTTCTTCTATGTTTCACTGCTGTTTTATGCCTCTTTTGGCCTTTTCACCTTACAGCATAATACCCATGTATGTAAGTACTTGTTTCACTAGGTTGTAAACTCCACACCTTTTGTATCTCTATTTCTGACTGGCTGGCCCAGAAATGAGGACATCACAATTACTTAGATAAAGTTATTAGGTGAAACATCTCCCACCAATCTGCCTAAAACCCTCTCCAGTAAATTCAGATCTAAAGGGGCTTTTAGAGACAGTGGCTTTAATTAGAATAAGGCACCATGTTGTTTTAGATTCCCTAGGAAGGATGTCATAGTAATTCATTAGTACATCACGCGGGATTAGTCAGTCTGATTAAGCAATTCTTCATCTAGAAACATTTATCTGTAAGCCATAATTTTTGGGGATTATAGACAGCAGGGGTTCTCAGCACAAGCTGATTATCAAAATCACCTGGGATGTTTTAAAAAAATCTAACGTCCTGTAGGTTCTGATTTGGTAGGTTTATAAACAAAACCAGGAAACCATGTTTGTAAAAGCTTCCCTGGTGGCCAGGAAGGTGGCTCATACCTATAATCCCAGCACTTTTCCAAGCTAAGGCTGGAGGATCACTTGAGGTTGGAGTTTGAGACCAGTCTGGGCAACGTAGGGAGACCCCGTCTGTGCACACACACACACACACACACACACGCGCGCATACACATACAATTTTAAAAGCCTTCCCTGATGTTTCTAGTGCAGCCTGACTAAACAGATGCAATATAGTTTTTTCTTTTTTATTTATTTATTTTTTTGAGATGGAGTCTCATTCTGTAACCCAGGCTGGAGTGCAGTGGCATGATCCCGGCTCACTGCAATCTCTGCCTCCCGGGTTCAAGCGATTCTCCTGCCTCAGCTTCCTGAATAGCTGGGATTACAGGCACGCACCACCACGCCCAGATAATTTTGTATTTTTAGTAGAGACAGGGTTTCGCCATGTTAGCCAGGCTGGTCTCAAACTCCCGAACCCAGGTGATCCTCCCGCCTTGGCCTCCCAAAGTGCTGGGATTACAGGGGTGAGCTACCACACCTGGCCTCAGATGCAAGATTTGATGAAAGAAACTTCTGAGAAGTACACAGGTAGGACCAACATAAGAAACAGAGTATGTTAGGTGGGAGGGATGGAAAGGAGGCAGAAGGAAAACCAAAGAAAAGGTGAAAAGAAATCCACTCACCCATTGAATAATTACCCTGAATTGCCCAGCCTGGTGGGAGATGCTGGAAATTGCAAGGTGAAGAAAGACTTTGTCTTCGCTGCTGTTTCCCAGTGAGGAAGAGATCCAAGCCCTAGAAAGGGGAGGAGCACAGGGCCGTTTGACAGCACAAGGCAGGTCATCTCTGCAGTGTGTGTGCAGGGGGTGGGAGTGAGGAACCACAGCTAAGGTCATGAGATGCAAGGGGAGGTTTGAAGTAAGACTCGGCATGAGACAGGGTGTGGGGAAGGCAAAGAGTGGCAGGCCAGATGAGGGGGCCATAAAAAGCACCATACACTTGAGAAAGAAAACACTCTATAAAAGTTGGAAGGTGAGGGGAGGACATGGAGAGGGAAGGAAGGAAGGGGAGGTAAGAACTGCTCAGAGCGAGATGGAACAATGAACAGTCATTCAGGGTCACTGACTCTGCAGCAGTCATACAGGCAAGAGAGAATGGTCTGAACCAGAGTGGTGGCATGATGATTGGATGTGTTTGGGAGGAGTCAGGAGGTAGATTGCAGAGTATTTGGAACTGGTCATAGAGAAGCGGGGCACAGGGATGCATCCTTTGCCTCTAGCTTGGACAGTCACATGGATGGGGTTGCCCTTCTTACAGACAGGGAACTCAGAGAGAGGAACACGCTTGGCAAAGGGAGGGGGAATGATCCTTTTAATTATTAATTTCTTGAGTTTGAGTGGTCCATGTGACATCAAGGTGAGTTACTGAATATCCGGTTGGATAGAGGCTCCTGAGTCTCGAAGGGATTTTGACCAAACAGGTTTGAAAGTCATTAGTATAATAAAATTATTAATAAAAATTAACATTTGAAGGCTTACTACATACAGGCATTAATTGCTTTATATTCATTACTCTTTCCTCACAACAGTCCTGTGAGGTAGATATTATTATTCCTCAATACAGATGTGGAAATTGAGGCTTACAGAAATTAAGTCACTTGCCCAAGGTACATAGTTAGTGGTTAGTGGTAAAATCTGGGATTGAGCCCAGATGGTTTTATTCCACAGTGCACCTATTTCCCTGCCACCCAGACAATCACTGAAGGCATGGGAAAAATTTATATCTCTCAGGAAGTTTGCATGAATAATGAAAAGAGGGTCCTGCACAGAGCTTGCGACCTTCCAATACTAAAAGAATGGGCAGAGGATAAAGAAAGAATCTGAGAAGCAGGAAGGAAGTGAAGGTGTGTGGTGTTGTAAAATACAAAAGTGGGCTGGGTGCAGTGGCTCATGCCCGTAATCCCAGCACTTTGGGAGGCCAAGGCGGGCAGATCATCTGAGGTTGAGAGTTCGAGACCACCCTGACCACCATGGAGAAACCCTGTCTCTACTAAAAATACAAAAAAAATAGGAGGCGGAGGTTGAGGTGAGCTGAGATTGCGCTATTGCACTCCAGCAGCCTGGGCAACAAGAGCGAAACTCTGTCTCAGAAAAAAAAAAAAAAAATACAAAGGTAGCATTTCCCTGAGGAGAGGTGAACAATAACATGCCCAGTGCCTCTAAGAGGTTGTCTTAGTCCATTCAGCTGCTACAACAAAATACCTTAGACTGAGTAATTTATAAGCCACAGAATTTATTGCTCAGTTCCGCAGGCTGGGAAGTCCAAGATCAAGGGGCCAGCAGATTCGGTGTCTGGTGAAGGCCTGTGTCTCCTAGATGGCCCCTTCTCTGTGTCCTCAAATGGCTGAAGGGGCAAACAAGCTCCCTCAGGCCTCTTTGATAAAAACATTAACCCCATTGGTGAGGTTGGAGGCCTGGTCACCTAATTGCTTCCCAAAGGCCACACCTCTGGTCTCATTGAGGATTGAAGTTTCAGCATATGGATCTTGGTGGGGGACACAGACATTCAGACCAGCCACAGAGTGAGCTTGGGTTAAGGGTGAGGGGGTCATTAGGAGCACTGTGAGGGTGCTTTTGTGAAAAGATGGGCATAGATGCCAGATTGCAATGGTTTAGGGTGTGAGTGGAAGCAAGGAAGAAGAGACAGGAAGTGGAGACTACTCTTTCAAGAAGTTTGCCTGTGAAGGGGAGAACAGAGATAGTGTGAGAGTTGGTAGGGATATGGAATAAAGGAGGGATTTATTCTTTAAAAAAAATTGGCTGGAGTTGAGCATGTTGATGGAATCCCTTGCTGTTAGAATTAAGCAGGCAGTGAACGAGAGATTGAAAATAGAGTATAGAGGGCGCCTACTGACAGAAGGGCTCCAGAAAAGGGAGAAAGAATAGGGTCCATATTAGAGGTAAATGGATTTACTGTGGATTTAGGATAAGAAACAGCTTTTCCATTGTGACAGGAAAGAAGGAGCAGGCTGGGTTCGAGTGGGTACATTTGTAGAGCTGCTTTAGAAAATCAATGGAGCTCTTGTCTGATATCACCCATTTTCCTTGTGAGGTGGGAGGTGAGACAATTTTTCAGGGAGTGGATGTGAGTGAAAGGGGATGAAGCAACACAGAAGTTTAAAACACCCCCTCTGGGGAACGGAGTAGGATACAGGACTAGGAGGTGATAAGGTCCTGTGTGTCAGACTGTCATTAGTGAGCACCCGTCATACATGCTCCAAGATTTTGCCAGCAGAGGCCGATGGCCAGCCTGGAGGAAAGGCAGATTGTTGGACTGAACTAGAATTGCATGATTGATTACTTACACCACACACCACTCTTGTCCCTTCCTCCCTTCTAATGGAACGCGGTTTTTGTTTAGTAACTACTCTTCTCAGATTAGACACCTACTTCAGGGGAGGATGGCCCTGATACTTATCAGTCTAAGCCAATCATGATGTTTCTTTCACCAGTGACTAATTTGGGCAAGAGCATGAGCATGTGATGTAATTCCAGGCAATGAGGGGGATTCCACAAAGAGGGAAATATTTTCTTACTTCTAAAAAATATTTAAGAAAGATATGGTTTGGCCAAGTGTGGTGGCTCATGCCTGTAATCACAGCACTTCAGGAGGCCGAGGTGGTTACATCACTTGAGGTCAGGAGTTCCAGAGCAGCCTGGTCAACATAGTGAAACCTCATCTTCACTAAAAATACAAAAAAAAAAAAAAATTAGCTGGGCATGGTTGCACACACCTGTAATCCTAGCTACTTGGGAGTCAGAGGCAGGAGAATCGCTTGAACCCGGGAGGTGGAGGTTGCAGTGAGCCAAGATCATGCCACTGCACTCCAGCCTGGGTGATAGAGGGAAACTCTTGTCTCAAAAAAAAAAAAAAAAAAAAAAAAGATGGTTTATTTTCTACCTTGGGAGGCTGTCCTGTCTGCAGGCGATGCTTGGTGAACTAGCCTAAAGACAAGGTGACACAGAAGAATTCAGGAATGAAATGGAAGTCTGCCCTTGATAATATCATTGATTGACCCAGTGCCCTTCTTGTTACATGAGAAAATCTCCTTTCCTTACTCTTTATGCCTTTTGAGCCGATGTATCAACGTCCTCGGTGCTCTTTGTGCCACTATCTTTCCAATGTCCTCATCGAATGTGTCAATTCTACTTGAGGATATTGGCTGGATCTTGCTTGCGGGGTGGATCCTGTGGTCTAAGTTGGAGAGGGAAGGAAATAGCCCAAGCTTGATGACAGGAGCGGGCTGGACCCTGCAGGAAAGCAGAGGACATTGGGTCTGGAAGTCACAAAGAAGTCAACGAAACAATGCCTTAGAAGCAGCTGAGTGAGAAAAATGAAAAGCCTGAAGAAAGGGGCCGACCTAAACTTATTCAGATGCTTCAGCATTTTCCTAATATTGTCATTTTTGTGGCTCCATGTGCTCTCTATTTCTGTGAGTATCCCTACCAAGGAATTAATATAGAATCCTGTCAGCAGAAGTGGGTGAGGCAAGAGTATCTTGTCACCTTCCATATGTTTTGGAAATAAAGAAGAAAAATGGTATATTCCAGAGAACATCTATGGGGAGATTTGCTTTTAATAGGGAGCTGCAAATAGTATTTTTTTCTACCAGGCTCCATGCCAATTGGAGAAGGTGGCAATTAGCAAGTCACACTGTTGTCCACTCTTATGCATTTATAGCCCAAGCTTGATTCACAGGAGCTACAACACAGAATAGTTACTGTGAAGTGGAGCATTTTTATGTGGGGGATTTACTTTTAATGGAAAAATTTGTGCTATGACATTCATAGCATAACTGCCTGACTGCTCCTGCCTTCCCCATTTCTTTCACTGATGCCATTTTTATAACAGGTTGTTCTGGAAATAGGGCCCAATGTTTTATTCATACTTTATGTAAAATGAGGACTACTGAGTTCAGAGGGAAGTTGTGTTGCATTTCTGATGAGGGGCCTGTAATTGTTCCTTATGACATACAGCAAATATTTGCATCTTCCCACTGCTTCTTGGCTGCCTCCTTCTAAGCGGCACATCTTACACTCTATTTGTTCCTCTAGAATTTTCTGATTTGTAAGATGCATAAATAGGACAAGTAATTTCCCATAGAAAAAAAAATTCACTACATTCTTTTTGAACAGTCTTAGAGTCTTCCTTGATTAATGTTGTGAAGACATTTTGACCTTGTTTTTAAATCACCTTTCATTTTTTATTCAGAGAAGATTCACTACTTAATTGTCCCAAACCCTCTACTATGGCAACTTACTCAGTGGCTTTTCCTGTGTCCTTGTCCTTCAGCAACTCAGTAATCTAGCAATAATGGAGCTCATGCAGTATTCATGTTAAGCTACTCTTGATTAAAAATTTCTTAATGAGTTATCCTTATGATCATTTAGGAAGAGCGTGGATAGAAATAGAGATACTTGAGCTCAAAAGAATATTATCAACAATGGAAGACAAAGCAGCATAATGCATGTTTGGGCGGGGGTATATTTTATTGCACTTTTTCCTCACGAGGTAGATGATAACAAACATGGCTTAATTTGTTCTAAGTACAGTCTAATTCTATCTAAAAGCAGATGTTATTTAAATTTTAAAAGGTTTACAAATTTATTTCTTTGTGATTTAGAAAGTATATTAGTCAGGGTAGGCCAGGCCATGCTGTGGTAACAAATAACTGCAGCAATCATGTATCTATTTTTCAATCAATGTCTGTCAGGCAGGAAGTCTCTGCTAATGGGCAGTCACTCAAAGACCCTGGATGATGGAAACTTTGTGTCAACATCATGTACTTTCAGGATTGCCCCACTGGAGGAAAGGAATGAGATGAATTATGACCTGGTCCTTTTCATTGGCCAGATGGTCTCCTGGCCATGCCCTAACTTCAAGATAGCGGAGTGCAACTCCAAGTGTGCTCAGAAGGCAGAGAGCCAGAAATATTTACTGAACAGAACTTAGAACCTTCACAGAAGCAATGCATTCTCATTGAAGAAAATTTGAGAGGGTAGAAAAGCGGTCAAAATAATTGGTCTTAGTCTATTTAGGCAGCCATAACAAAACACTGGGTGGCTTAAATAACCAATTTATTTTCTCACAGTTCTGGAGACTGGGAAGTTCGAGATCAGCATATGAAACGATTTAGTTTCTGGCTTCCAGATGGCCACCTCTCACTATGTCCTCACATGTCCTTGCCTCCGTGCGTGGGTGTGGAGAGAGAGAGAGTGAGCTTTTTGGTCTCTCCTCTTATAAGGACACTAATCCTGTCAGAATTGGGCCCCTCACTGTAATTACCATATTAAACTTTAATTACTTTCTAAAGGCCTTATCTTCAAATATAGTCAAATTGAAGATTACAGATTTAACATACGAATTTTGAGGAATGTAAACATTCAATCCACAACACAAATGTTACCTACAGTTGCAATTTCAGTAAGAAGGAAGACTGAATGGGCGTAGAAACTCTTCTCACTACAAGTAATTGAAATACCGGTTCAATTACAATAAATACTTATTTGAGTTTGAAAGAAATGACTTTTCAGAGATTAAGAAGAAATGCAAAGCCAAAGGGGAAGCGCTAGGGGAAGCTGATTTTCCAGGGACCCTCTCTGGATGTAGACTCTAGGGACTGGGGATTTAATGTCCACTGGGGAGCAGGGAAAAAGGCTCCAAGGTGGAGCTGTGATACAGTCCATCTGTGAAAAGAGGACAGAAAATCTTTGCACACCAGATTGGAGAAGTGACAAGAAAATGAACTGTCTACCTGGGGAAGAAATAGTATCCTGTGACAAACTGAAACTCTAATTCTGTTCCATAGGGCTGCTGCATGGTCTGATATGACCACCCACTTAATTCAGGGTTCTAGGGAAAGAAATTAACATAAAAACTGGATTTAGGCTGGGCGTGGTGGCTCACGCCTGTAATTCCAGCACTTTGGGAGGCTGAGGTGGGCGGATCACGAGATCAGGAGATCGAGACTATCCTGGCTAACACGGTGAAACCCCATCTCTACTAAAAATAGAAAACTCAGCTGGGCGTAGTGGTGCGCACCTGTAGTTCCAGCTACTCGGGAGGCTGAGGCAGGAGAATGGTATGAACCTGGGAGGCGGAACTTGCAGTGAGCCGAGATCACGCCACTGCACTCCAGCCTGGGTGACAGAGCAAGACTCCATCTCAAACAAACAAACAAACACAAGCAAACAAACAAACTGGATTTAGTCTTAAGAGAATCCCCAGGTCCCCAACAGAATAAAGTATAATCACTCTTTAAGGAACCTGGTACAATTGGCAAGAAAATCACTTGAAATCTCGTCATCCAGAGACAAAATTGATTAATGTTAGTAATAGTGCCTCAAGGAATTTGTCTACATATAGATTTTTTTAAATATAGTTGCTACCCTAATATTTTGAATCATAAAAAGCAAGTTTTCCTGCAAAGGAAATATGGCTGTATCCTGCTGCCGAAAGGAAAAAAACGAAGAATTCAAAGCAAAAGATAAAAATAGAAAAGGATGAAGAAAGAAAATATGGCTCCATAAGAACTCAAATGATGCTTTTGTCCCCAGTATGTGTAACAAGGGCAAAATCATTCCCATTCAATTGATTTACGTAGGTATTTCTCTCAGCAAAGGGGTTTTGCAATCAACTCAATCCCCTCCACATCAATGTCTCCTGATTTCCTCCTTTATGTCTAATTACATTGGAAGCTGAGTTATTTCTCCAGAGCGTCTTTCAGGAATTTGTCAAAGGGATTATATGTCTCGAGGTTGTTGGATGAGTTCAGTGTCAACACTTCTGCTCTTCCTGTGCAGGAGGCATAATGGGGACACGGTGAGCTGCGAGGATGACAGTTTGCTATTAAGCAGCTTCAGTTTCTTTTCAGAATTCTGTGGGTTACTTCTGTGATCTGCTAATCCTTAAACACAAAGCACACCCTTGCCTTGGGCAGGGTGGACGCCTTTCCCCCTTCAATGGTGGCGAACACTACATGTTGCCAGGTGTCAGTGGTTTGGAGGAGGCAGCTGCTTGCCTGCCTCTCTCATGAGTTCTAACCAAATGAGGCTCAACATAAAGAGCCAAGTGGGGATTAAAATGCAGGTTCTGTTTGTTAAAATAATAAACCTTTGTCTGATGAATTCCACAGCACCTCCCCTGTCTTAAATCTAGGGTTCTAGACTCATAGGACTCTGACCTCCTGGCTCAGTTGCCAAAGGAGAAATTAGAATAGCAAATATGGATTGCTGGCCAGGCCCAAAAAGTCTGCTTCCTGCACTGGGGCAGACATTACTAGTGTTCATCAATATTTCCATTTTCCATCTCCTCCTTAACACATGGAAGACCACATTTCTCAGCCCTCTTTGAAGTCAGGCGGAACCATGAGACTAGCTCTGGCCAATAGGCTGTAGCAGGAATTGAAATGGTCACTTCTGGGCTGAGGCCAAAATCCTAAGTGTGATAGATAGGCTGAAACATAGGCAACTACAAAAGCTTTACCTGGTAGGCCTTATTGAAGGTAGGTGAGGCTGTCCTCCTCACACCAGGCATAGTGCATGGCCGGTGCATTGCAGTCTCTGGAGGAAGTTGTATTTAAGGAATAAGGCTCCCAGCCAGGCACAGTGGCTCATGCCTGTAATCCCAGCACTTGGGAGGCCGAGGTGGGTGGATCACCTGAGGTCAGGAGTTCAAGACCAGCCTGACCAACATGGTGAAACTTTGTCTCTACTAAATACAAAAAATTAGCTGAGTTTGGTGGTGCGTGCCTGTAATCCCAGCTACTTGGGAGGCTGAGGCAGGAGAATCGCTTAAACCTGGGAGGTGGAGGTTGCAGTGAGCCAAGATTGCACCATTGCACCCCAACCTGGGCACTAAGAGCAAAACTGTCTCAAAAAAAAAAAAAAAAAAAGACTAAGGTTCCTCAACCCCCAATTAGAGCTGTTATGCATGTTTGCATTTGTAGTCTAGGAGCCTCCCATTTGGAGGCCTCCAAAAAGGGGTGGGGGATTAAAAGCAGTTTACTCTGACTCAGTGTTTTCCCACTTCTAGCCTCTCCTCCTTCTCCTCCCAGCCCCCAAGACCCAAAAATGACAGGAGGCTTTTGTCCAGAGAGGCTCTCCACTTCCCCTCAATCTGGGTTGCATGTCATCTGACCCTGTTCCCTGGGGCAAAATGGAAGGCTGTGGGATCAGGCACCTTTTGCTGCACACAAGAGTCATATCACAGCAAGTAAATAAAGGCTTAATTGTTTTTTGTTTTTTGGGGGGGAGAATTGGCATCTTTATTATTTTTTTATTTTTATTTTTTTATTATACTTTAAGTTTTAGGGTACATGTGCACAACGTGCAGGTTAGTTACATATGTATATATGTGCCATGATGGTTTGCTGCACCCATTAACTCGTCATTTAACATTAGGTATATTTCCTAATGCTATCCCTCTCCCCTCCCCCCACCCCACAACAGGTCCCAGTGAGTGATGTTCCGCTTCCTGTGTCAATGTGTTCTCATTGTTCAATTCCCACCTACGAGTGAGAACATGCGGTGTTTGGTTTTTTGTCCTTGCGATAGTTTGCTGAGAATGATGGTTTCCAGCTTCATCCATGTCCCTACAAAGGACATGAACTCATCATTTTTTATGGCTGCATAGTATTGTTACTTTCAGTTTGGTGCATTGTCTTAATTGACCACCTGACACCTCGCAGCTCTCTAACACTCTCTTCTCCTGTTGTGGTGAACCTTTGAGTCTTGTGCTTGGTGGAGATGTCACAAGAATGAAGCAGCCTGGGATCTGGAGCAGTAATGTCGGAGAGATTCCCAGACACAAAGCAGCCTTTGGAGAGGGAGAAATAAACTTTTTTTAAGCTGCTGAAATTTTGGTGTTTTTACTCCAGCATATCAAGGCTTAGCCTAACTGCAATGTGCATCAGACTAGAAGTGGTAACATCTACGGTTCTGGGACTGTAGACAGGTCCAGGATGGTGATAGGGTTAAAAAGATAGAGATGGTCCAGCATCAAGTGACTTTCAAGGCAGAGGTTATGGTTAAGATGGTCCAACGAATGTCAGCCTCTCCCTAGACTTTCCAATTATATGAGTTACTCCTCACAATGGGCAAGAGAAAGTCAGGAGGTGGTGAGGAAGAGAGGGAAAGTGTTAAGTCCATGTTGTTCCCTTTGTGGGGGCAAAACAGAAATTCTATACTTAATACTGTGCTGCTCCAATCCTCAGATATGAGAGTTTGTATCACTCCACCAGCTGAGCCACCCAGCTTGGCAGAGGCATCAGCTGAGGGTGAGCAGAATCTCAAATGGGTGGTGGACAGGAAATGAGAGTTTCAGTTATGACCTCAAGGTCAAATGCAGTAGCAGGAGCTAGAGTTTGTCTCACGAACTCTTAAGTTCCCCAGAAACCAAGACCAACCAGAATCCTGAAGAAACTGTTCCCAGATGGATCAAATTTATGATATGACACAGATAAGTCTGAGTGGACCAAGGGGTGGACTGCAGTGAATATCGAGGTGCGCCACCCAGTTCCCTACTTTAGGGTGAATATACCCATTCCCTGGCTGCTGAGAATACCGACTGCTTACAGCTCATAGCTGTGCTCCTCCGTGGACACTGTTCTCAGCCACAGACAACTGCCTCACCCAAAGTCATCCCCTTTCTGTGCAGACGGTCTATGGCCAATGACTGGATAGGGTGGGGATACAAAGTCCTGCCCCCCTTGTCTTCCTTTGGGAAAACTCTGAAAGGTGCTCTTAGCTCCAGAGCTCACCACAGGAAAGACAGAGGCTGCAGGGGCCATCAGGTTTCCAGCCAGCCTCTCTCTCTGCCCGTTCCTGCCTTCTTCATTTCCTTAGTCTCACTGAAGCTTCTGCTTGCATTTCTCCATTCCAAAGTCTGGTCCCAGGGATCCCAACCTAAGTCAACTTCCTTCTATAGAAAGTAGAAGGGAAGTGTGAAAGGAAAATATCTTGGGCCCCCAAAATCACTAAGGAAAACTCAAGCTGGAAACTGCAGAGGGCCAACTTGCCTCCCATTCTATTCAGTTATCCCTCTGCTCACTGAGGTGGATGCATATCTGATTGCCTTCTTTGAAAAGGCTAATTGGAAACTCAAAAGAATGCAACGGTTTGTGTCTCACTTATCTGTGACCTGGAAGCTCCCTCCTTGCTTGAGTCTTTCTGCCTTTGCTGCAAGTTGTCTCGCTGTTCTAGACCAAGTCAATGTAGTTCTTACATATATTGATTGATGTCTCATGTATCCCTAAAGTATATAAAACCAAGCTGTGTCCCAACCACTTTGAGCACATGTCAGGACTTCCTGAGGCTGTGTCACTGGTGCGTTCTCAACCTTGGCAAAATAAGCTTTCTAAATTAACTGAGACCTGTCTCAGATTTTCTGGGTTCACGGAAGAACACATGTTGCCTCCCAATACCAGATATTTCCTACTTAGAGCTTTGGAAAAGAAATGAACTTATATGGGGAGCATCTGATATGTGCCCTGCACTGAGTTATTATTATTTTTTTCATGTGATTCTCATATCCTGGTGTGGAAATGAAACTTGAGATGAAACGAGTTGCCCAAGGTCACTCCCTAACTGTCTGACTGCAAGCAGCTCATTTCTCCAGTCTGATTTTTTGACAGAAGCTGCAGTCGGATAAAAGAAACCCAGACAAGAAATCTATACAGACATGGAAATATACTACCAGAGTGCCAGGCAAAGCACAAATCTCCCTGGGGGGTGTTCAAGGTTCAGTTGAGTCTACCTCAATGTGTTGCCCAGTGGATGCAGATGACATGCTGAGCGGGGCTCCGTCGGGCCTCCAGCTCCCTGTTTATTTTGAGGGAACTGATTTTATCAGTTCCTTACCCTCTCAGCAAACTGGCCTTTCCCCCTGCTTTTCTGCTCTCTATCTCCTGCCTGCCACCAGATGTATTTTTTATTATAAAGCCGATTCAGAAAGCATTGTTAGGAGTAAAAGACCCTCTGTCCAACAGGATTGACCTTATTTTTCTTTTTTTTGATGTGAGAACTTTTTTCCAGAAGAAAATGTGTTAGAGTCAAAATCTCATCAATGGGGCCCTGAAAGAGGTGACATTCTCTGGTTCCAAAATCAAATCTTCAAATATTTAAGGTGATGGATAACCCAAGTACCCCAATTTGATCTTTTTATTTAGTTTTTCTTATTTTTTATTTTTAGAGACGGGGGCTTGCTCTGTTGCCCAGGCTGAAGCACATAGTGCAATCACAGCTCCCTGCAGCCTTGGAGTCCTGGGCTCATGTGATCTTCCTGTCTCAGCCTCCTGAGTAGCTGGGACTACAGGTGCATGCCATCCTATCCAGATAATAAAAAAAAATTTTTTTTCATAGCAACAAGTTCTCGCTATGTTGCCCAATCTGGTCTCAAAGTCCTCGCTGCAAGCAGTCCTCCCTCCTTGGCCTCCCAAAGTGTTAGGATTACATGCGTGAGCCAGTATGTCTGGTCTACTGATTTGATCTTTACAACCTATATGAGCATATTAAATTATCACATATATCCCAGAACTGGGTACACCAATTATGCATCAATTAAAAAAAAATTTCAATTTAAAAAAAATGAGATTGAGGCAGCAGGATTGCTTGAGCTCAGGAATCCAAAACCACAGTGAACTGTGAACACACCATTGCACTCCAGTCTGGGCAACAGAGTGAGACTCTGTCTCTAAAAAACAAAACAAAACAAAAGCAAAATAAAAGAAAACCTTCGAAAATAAAATACAGACTTTTATTTTAAAATCTCTTAACTGGAATACTCAGGGCATTTAGTATTCTATTTCCTTTAATTTGTCACTAAAATTTTTCTAAGTACATGTGGATAAAATTATGAACCCACTTTTCTGCTTGAGTTTTAATATAGTGTAAATGATTCAAATTAAATGTCTCTGATAATTCAGAGCCTTGTCTCTAAGCAATCATTTGAAGCAAAACAAAACTTCCTTAATGAAAACTTCTAATTAGTTGCAGTTTAGTAAATTGATGTTTTACTGAACAGATTAAAATCAAGTACAGGGGCTCATGCCTGTAATCCCTACACTTTGGGAGGCTGAGGCGGGCAGATCACCTGAAGTCAGGAGTTCAAGAACAGCCTGGTTAACATGGTGAAACCCCATCTATACAAAAATACAAAAATTAGCTGGACATGAGGGTGGGTGCCTGTAATCCCAGCTACTCTGGAGGCTGAGGCAGGAGAATTGCTTGAACTTGAGGCAGAGGTTGCAGAGCCAAGATGGCAGCATTGCACTCTAGCCTGGGCGTCTCAAAAGTAAATAAATAAATAAATAAATAAATAAAGCATTCTATTGTATAAAAATATCATGCTGTATACCTTAAATATATACCAAAAATTATATAAGTAAATAAATAAATGCGAGCATTCTAAGTTACATGTCTTTAGATGACTTGGGATATAAAATGAAAAAAAAAAATTCCCCAAATGGAGCTGACTGGAGGCAACTTTTTAAAAAATATATACATATTTTTTTTTAAAAAAAACGCAGATTTATTTTTAACTTTCCAACTGCAGATGTTTGGTAAGCCTGTTTTCATAGAACTACAAGTTTCGGTGAACTTCTTTTCTGTTATTATTGTGCTTGCCCTTCTTCTTTATTGCTCATTATCCATTTCCTTTGGACACATGCAGGGCTGTTCAATTTCAATGCAGCAAGTGTTATGTCTCCCCGTGGTAAGCTCCCATTGTTTTACATTCAGGAAATTTTCCTTTGGAGGTTGCTTGTGGAGCTCTTACAAAGGAACAACAGGACCCAAGGAAATGACAGATGTTATCCTTGTCAAGGAGAAGCTCTGACTCTATTAATATTTAACAGATTGCAAAATGATGAAAATAGGAAAGTTTACTTTCAACTTCAAATCCTTTGCATTTCTTAAAACTAAGAAAGAGACCAGGCTGGGCACAGTGGCTCACGCCTGTAATACCAGCACTTGGGGAGGCCGAGGCAGGCGGATCACCTGAGGTCAGGAGTTCGAGACCAGCCTGGCCAACATGGTGAAACCCCATCTCTACTAAAAATACAAAAATTAGCCAGGTGTGGTGGCAGGTGCCTGTAATCCCAGCTACTCAGGAGGCTGAGGCAGGAGAATCACCTGAACCAGGGAGGTGGAGGTTGCAGTGAGCTGAGATCACACCACTGCACTCCAACCTGGGTGACAAAGTGAGACTCTGTCATTTTCAAAAAAGAAAGAAAGAGGCCAACAATCTTTGTTAAATACATCACTTGTGTAAAAGGTGAAGTCACATTGATAAAGATTAATACAAGGTTTTTAGGGTATAACTTGTTTGAAAAGCTGGAGTAAAATTAAATAACCAAGGTCAACTCTGAGAGCCCTCATTCTGTACTGCAGATAATTTGGACCACTCCACTTGGTTTGTCTTCAGTAGTCCTGTTCCCATTTTTATTTTAGGAATTTCTTCTGAGATCACTTGGGCCTCCTCAGTGGAATTCTTAGACCAAGCATCCATCCAACCGTAGCACTGGAGCTGAAAACTGCTGGCCCTGACGTAGCCGTCTGAAATATTTTGTTTGGCTACTGCTGAAATGTAAATATTTTGAATTTGAATGCCCTTAGGCAGGAAAGGCCATTGTCACTAGACCATGGTTCTCAAAACTCCTTTATCTGAGAGAACTCAGAGCCCTCTGAGTTTGAAACCCCTGTCCTCATTCCCCCAGCGTGAGATACAGTATTTCTAGCACACACTAAAATGTAGAATATATGGAATATTAAAGGTGAAAGGGATGTTGTTAGAGGGACTAGTATGTAGGGATATGTGGGGGAATCTGGTAAAGGGAAATGAACCCCATAGAGATTATGCAAATTAACACCAGAGCTGTTTAGAAACTTAGATTTCTCAGTGAAGACCCTCTACCTTAAGAGGTAGAACATTGTAGTGGTGAAGAGCATGGATTCTTGAACAAGGTGGCCTGTTCCCATCATGTACTATATGTGTAAGCTTCCTGATCTCACAAACAGGATCATAGCTGTATCTGCCTCATATGCATTTTGCAAGGTCTGACTCAGTTAACAAATATAAAACCTTTAGAATTGTTTCTCACACTTAGTAAGTACCAAATATTGGCAATTATTATCTATTCATTCATTTACCATGCATTAAAGGAACATTTTCTATGTTCTAGGCACTGTGGTAGGTCCTGAATATTCAACTGTGAACAAAACTTAGTGACATTTTTCAAGGAACTAACAATCTAGTAGGGTGGGGTAATCTGAGCCCAAGCTGTCTTCTGGTACTCTGGTCATTAATGGGCCTTCTCAGGGCTGGCCATCATTGTGCAACTGGAAGAGTTTGTTTCAGCTATTCCTGTGCCTCATTACTGTACTTCCTTCTGAGTAGAATTCATTGCTCCATTCTCTGACTGCTGACATGGTGCTTCTAGTAGGGATTACTCAGGCTCTGCAAAATAAAGAGATTGGACTATATTCAGCTCTAAACTCCAACCCTTTTATTTGCTGACTTTGTCCTGGTCACAGACCAGTTTCGACGGACTTAGAGGAAGGTATGTGAGAGATGTAGCCCAGTACCCTCACTGCACAATAGAGCAAACTGAGGCCCATAGACAAATGTGTGTCCAATATTGCATAGTTGGCCTTAGAGGAGGAGTTGGGAAGGAAGGTCAGAACAGAAGCTAGGTTTCCTGTTGTCACTTGGGGACTTTTTCCACCAACGCCCTACCCCTACCCTGGTGACTTGAATGGGGTCATACTTCATCTTTAACCTTGTTCATAAAACAGAGCTCAGATGGGAAAAGAGGCATGTTGCTGGGTCATATCACTAACGATCTTTCTGTCTGTTTTTATTATTGTACTCATGCTAGAAGTGAGGCATTCTCCACTCCTTTGAAAATGCAAACTGTTAGAAATAGAACCTGCCAATACATGGAATCACGTATCATGTATCAGCATGGAATGGGGGCCTTACATCTTCACATTAGGTGGCATTTCTTTTTTTTTTTTTTTTTTAACAGAGTTTTGATTTTGTCACCGAGGCTGGAGTGCTTTGGGGCGATCTCGGTTCACTGCAACCGCCAGCTCCCGGGAGCGATTCTCCTGCTTCAACCTCCTGAGTAGCTGGGATTACAGGTGTGTGCCACCAAACCAAACTGATTTTGTATTTTGTAAAATTAGAGATGGGGTTTCACCATGTTGGCCAGGCTGGTCTTGAACTCCTGACCTCAGGTGATCCGCCCGCCTCGGCTTCCCAAAGTGCTGGGAATATAGGCATAAGCCGCCGCTCCTGGCCTAGGTGTCATTTCTTAAAAAAAAGATTGTAAAGAGGACAGTAAAATTGGTAAGCTTGTTTATTTTGGTGATGAAATATATTTTTCTGTGTGTCTGATAGTTGAAACTGAAGTCTTTTGAGAGAATCACCTGAAGACTCAGTGCACATATTGACTTGATAAGCCTCCTATTCCTAGGGACATGGCCTATTTCTCATGTGCAAACATGATGGATAGTGTGTGCATTTTTCTTTTTAAAAAAACATATATCCTTTCTTTACTGCAGGGCAGAAATGCTCTTTATTCTTGGTTGTCATATTAAGTTAGGAAATGTGGGGTGGAGGAGATGCTTATCAAGTTCTTAGAGCCTGAGGCCCTTGTTACTCCTTTTGGCAGAGAGTGTGCTCCCCAGCCCCCACCATGATGCGTGATCCGAGCTGGTCACATGACTCCAGGCAGGCCAATCAGGGGTAATGGGATTTAATCCTAGAAACTGGTTTGTGTTATTACAAGGACGTCAAGCTGCAAGATAGATCCTGGTGGCATGCTCTGAACTTATATTAAGCCCCACTTGAAACTTCTGTCCTGTTAACGGCCTGTGAGCCAACACATTCTCTTTCTGTAAGCTTGTGAGGCTTGGGTTTGACATCTTTATGACCAACTTTGGCAGATTTCCGGAGCTTCACAGGTTTTAAACAAATGTTTTTTAAAGTAAACATGTAGCGGCCTGAATATAGAAACCTGTCCATTTGCAGTCAGTCAGACTTACTTGCAAACAGCTGTGTGAGCTCTGCACTACCCAGATAGTAATTTGAACTCTCATCTTTGACTTGAGGTAAGGAAAGTAAATAAGACTGTTTCCAGGTGCATGTTATAATAGGCCAAATTCGGGTCTACTGCACCCAAACCTGGAGTAGTCCTGAAGGTACAGCAAGAAATTAAACTTGGAAGTATAAAGACAGGCATTACAAGATATCCTTTTATGGAAGCAGCATAATGGACTCTGGAGACTGGCTTGGTGTGAATCCTGCTCTGCCACTTTCTAGCTGTGAGACCTTGGGCCAGTTATTTCATTGCTGTGTGCCTCAGTTTTCTCACTGGATGTTTTTTACAAACCACATTTGTAAAATGCATAATAGATGCCATATAATTTTTTAAAATTATGAATATATATGGTGATATGGTTTGGCTGTGTCCCCACCTAAATTCTCATCTTGAATTGGTGATTCCCACAATTCACACATGTTGTGGGAGGGACCCAGTGGGAGGTAATTGAATCATGGGGGCAGGTCTTTCCTGTGCTATTCTCGTGATAGTGAATAAGTCTCACAAGATCTGATGGTTTTATAAAGGGGAGTTTCCGTGTAAAAGTACTTTTCTCTTGTCTGCTGCCATGTAAGATGTGCCTTTCACCATCTGCCATGATTGTGAGGCCTCCCCAGCCAAGTGGAACTGTGAGTCCATTAAACTCCTTTCTTTTCTAAATTGCCCAGTCTTAGGTATGTCTTTATCAGCAGCATGAAAATGGACTAATACATGTGGCAATAAACCAGCCCTTTGAGTGCTGACATATCTTCTCCCCAACTTGACATCATTTGGCCTCAGATAGAATGCAAAGCAGTGAACTCAGTTCTATGTGATTCACTCCTCCTTCAGTCTCCCTGGGTTGTTCAGACCACTGAATTTTGGGATGTCTCTATGAGGAACAAAGCAGGATTCAAGAGCCCCATCAACTCACACCTCCATGCTTTCAGTATTGTAGGCATCCCTTTTGCAAGGTTTGTTTGCTGATTCGTGAACAGGACACAGTGAAATAAACCTCAGTTGAGACTGATACTCTTTCACCTAGGCCAGTCTTGGTGACCTGATTTGGCTCAAAAGTAATAATAGAGTCAATGCTGAAAGCATGTTTGACAAGAATATTTTAATATGTTCTTTTTTAAAAAGTTGAGTTTTTTTTGGGGGGGTTGATTTTTTTTGTTCGTTTTTTGGCTTAATTCTTCTTATTGTGACTTAGGAAATAAGTTGATGCTTTCACAACCATATGCACTTTCCCAACGTGATTTCACATTTAAATTTATTCCAAGATCTGGCATTTGTAGTTAGGCTCACTTATCTTTCTCTTTACCCATGTCTTTATTCTTTGTTGATGTCAAATCCTATTTTCATTTTAGCTACTGAAAGGGAACAAAGCATGGGTGATCATGAAAAGCAACCTGAAGCTATTTTCAACAGTGTTGTTTATTATAGACAAAGCAAACAAGATTCAACAGGTACAATAGTATTAAAAAGCATCTAATAAGATTGACTACTTGTTTGTGCAGCATACTGATTTGTACTCTTTTTATAAAGTACACAAAAATAAATAAATGTATTTGTAATTAGGTTTTTGTATTAGACTTTTAAATCCAAGTTTATTTTTAAAGAGCTATCTGTTTATAAACTGCGAATCTATTCAGTAAATGGGAATAGATAACATGATTTTATTGTTAATAATATTTCTGATATGCAGTAAATTTTTTTTAACCAAATTGACTGGTTGCTTGGATTGGCTCTCTCAATCTTCAGTTCATCATCCTTCTATTTAGAGAAGTTGGAAAGCTAAAAACGTGATGTTACCCTGATTCCCTTGCAGCTAGGGTCCTGAATACAGATTAGATTCAGTCAATTGATGAACTTTCATGGGATTTGAAAGGCAGAAGGATGCAGGATGTGATTGCTCAATAGAGTTTAGATGGACAATTAGGCTCTAACAGGAATGAATTTTAGCAGTGGCTGGATTCCACTTTCCACCCAGGTTACTGGCTTTGTGGGAGGAAGCGGCTTTGAAATTAGCAGCAGTGGCAATAGCTATATTAACTTCCTGACCTTGCATCACAGCTACAGTGGTGAAAATTTGGAGGCGAGTTCCTTTGTCCCTTAAACTGATTTTGTAAGCACTTAATCTTCTGTTTTACCGAGAGTAATTTCTTTCTTTTGCATTGAGTACTGCCTGATAATAAGTGTTAAGTCATATGTCTAACCTGTGTACAATTCAATGCAGTATTCTTAATTTATCATTCCTGTCTTGGAATCTTTACTTGGATGTCTCTTTTCACCACTGAAAATACCACAAAGAATGTATAAGACAGTTATTTATGAAATTCATTGAGAATGCCCTGTCTGGAACTGATGCTGCTTGTACCCTTTATCCTTGACTTTCATTCACTCCACAAATATTTATTGTTTGTCTTCACTTTGTCAAGTGTTACACTAAGGGTTGGGAATGCGATCATGAACAATATAATAGTCCTTGACCTTGCAAAGCTTATAATCTCCTGGCAAGACCCAATGAGCAAGTATTACAACTGTGATAATAATAATAATAGCTTACATTTCGGATGAGCACCTCCAGGAGATTCTGATGCAGGTGGTCCACAAACCAAACTTTTTAAAAAAACGAAACTTGGACTTAATTAATATGTTCCCTTTAATCACCAATCTGCTGGTAAGAATGAATGTAGAACCAGAGGGCACTAAATAGCATCCTTGACGTTGAGCTAAGGGATTGAAAAAGAGAATATGGCTGGGATATTTGTTGGATTTCTTTGACAAACATTTCTAAACATTGGTTTTCAAAATGCTGTCTTCATAGTTTCCATTGTGCAAATTTTGCTCTGTTTTGCTTTGCTGTTGTTTTTAAGCAGCTATTACTTACTGGAAAAATATCGCCTTTAATTTGAAGGAGAGATAAAATATGTTTCATTTTTGAAATTTCATCTTTGCTAACAGCAGCCAACATTTGGGTTGACCAAAGTTGAGTTTCACAGTTGATTCTCACATTAAATATTAGTAAAGATTAATGTATTTCTTATGTTTTAAATAAACTATCTTTCTTCTCTCTTCTAAGGAGACTTTCTACTTTCAAGTTTTATGTTTTCATTATCACCATCATCTTTGTCATCATCACTGAATTATTATGACTTTGCAATAAAGGAAATTCATCCACAGGGCCATGCTGTTTTTATCTTTAAATAAAACAAAAGAAATATGTGAAATATTTATAACATATAGAGCTCTAATGTTTTCTTTCAACCCTTCATTGATTGACTCGTGTACACTCTGGGATGTGTCCACCCATCTTTAGAAACCCATGGCTTAGAGGACAAACTTTGCTGGCTTACCGCTAAACTTTCCATATAATAATTTGTGACTTTAATCCACACAGAATATCCCTTTGGGGTAATCTTAATTTCTCACCTCCAAGTACCACTGTTGTCCCCACATTTATTCATTCAACAAATATATATTAAGAGTCTACTCTGTGCCAGCAACAGTTCTAGGCCCTGAAGACATATAAGTGAACAAAACAAAATTCCTGTCTTCATGGAGCTGGTATTGTAGTTGGAGGTGTACATACCATGAATAAATTAATAAGAAAGATGTAATAGATCATATAATCACTGCAGAATAAAATAAAACAGAGTGAAGAGGAAGAGAGTGCAATGGTGTACCACAGCCACTTGCATGGGCTCTTAGGAGCCAATTGTGTCCACGTCTTCCCAAGTCAGCATTCAGTGATGTCATGTTGGCAGTTTGGGATTGGCCATTGTGGGGATATTCACAGCACAGAAATTAACAAACACTGCAAATCAGATCTTTTTTCCCCCAGAGAGCCAACAGTCCAACAGTGCCATAAACATATCCATTAGCTCCAAAAGTTTCCTTCCTTTCCTTCTCCCTTCCTCTCTCCTCCCTTCCCTTCCTCTTCCTCTTTCTTTCTTGCTTTCATTATTTTTTGGTGATAAGAACACTTAGCATAAGATATACCCTCTTAGCATTTGTTATTTTTTTTAAGTGACCAAGTTTTGTCAGTTACTCTGGTGTAAACTGTTTGATGTGTGTGTGTGTGTGTGTGTGTGTATGTGTTTTGTAAATTATACATATGTATATTTTACTCCTTTTTTTTTTGAGATGGAGTCTTGCTCTGTCGCCCAGGCTGGAGTGCAGTGGTGCGATCTCGGCTCAGTGCAAGCTCCGCCTCCCGGATTCATGCCATTTTCCTGCCTCAGCCTCCCGAGTAGCTGGGACTACAGGTGCCCACCACCACGCCTGGCTAATTTTTTTGTATTTTTAGTAGAGACAGGGTTTCACCATGTTAGCCAGGATGGTCTCAATCTCCTGACCTCATGATCCACCTGCCTCGGCCTCCCAAAGTGCTGGGATTACAAGTGTGAGCCACCACGCCTGGCCTGTTATTTTTTTTTAAGTGGCCAAGTTTTGTCAGTTACTGTGGTGTAAACTGTTTGATTTTATGTGTGTGTGTGTGTGTGTGTGTGTGTGTGTGTTGTAAATTATACATATGTATATTTTACTCTTTTTTTTTTTTTTGAGATGGAGTCTTGTTCTGTTGCCCAGGCTGGAGTGCAGTGGTGCGATTATAACTGAAACTTCTGGGCTGAAGTGATCCTCCTGCCTCAGCTTCCTGAATAGCTGGGACTACAGGCATGCACCATTGTGCCCAGCTAATTTTTAAATTTTTTTGTAGAGACAGGATCTTGCTATGTTGCCCAGGCTGATCTTGGATTCCTGGCTTCAAGAGATCTTCCCACCTTGGCCTCCCAAGGCAAGAATATACTATTTTTTTTTCCTTGAGATGGAGTCTCACTCTGTTGCCCAGGCTGGAGTGCAGTGGTGCGATATCAGTTTACTGCAATCTCTGCCTCCTGGATTCAAGCAATTCTCCTGCCTCAGCCTTCCAACTAGCTGGGACTACAGCCATGCGCCACCACGCTTGGCTAATTTTTGTATTTTTTAGTAGAGATTGGATTTCGTCATGTTGACCAGGCTGGTCTCAAACTGCTGACCTCAGGTGATCCACCTGCTTTGGCCTCCCGAAGTGCTGGGATTATAGGCATGAGCCACTGCGCCCAGCAAGAACGTACTATTTTAAGTGTACAATTCAGTGGCATTAAGTATATTTGCACTGTTGTGGAACTATAACTGCTATCCATTTCTGGAACTTTTTCATGATCTCAGACAGAAACTCTGTACCTATTAGGCAATAATTCCCCATTCTCCCCTCTCCCTAGTCCTTGGCAAACTTTATTCTACTTCCTAACTCTATGAATTTATCTATTCTATGAATTTATCTATTCTATCTATTCATGTAAGTGGAATTATATAATACTTGTTCTTTTGTGTCTGGCTTATTTCACTTAGCATAATGTCTTCAAGGTTTATCCATGTTGTAGCATGTCCAAACTTCTCTAATATGGGCGTGGGTATGAGATAGCCTCTTTCTTCTAAAGAGCTTTTCTACTTTCAAGTTTCATGTTTTCAGCAGCATCATCATTATCATCATTGAATTATTATGACTTTGAAATAAAGGAAAGTTACCCTCAAGACCATGCTGTTTGTCTTTGAACATTATTTTTGACATATGAATGAGGATACTTAGACACTCATATCAGTTAAGTGCTACCAAGAGTGAAAAGTGAAACAGAATGATCCTCTAGTGAAATCAGATAGGCAATGCGAATCATCTAGACAGTTTGGCATGAAAGAGCTGATGTAGCAATTTCCCATTCTTGTCATACCTTATAGGAGAGTTTGAAGGAAGTAAATAACCATTCAGTATTGAACACAAACAGCAGCTCTGAGCTCAGGCCCAGGAAAGAACTTTGTTCACTCACTGGAAATTAAGGCTATAGGCTGAGTATATTCCTGTGCTCTGATGAGGGTGGTCATGCCACCCAGCCAAGGACATGGGATCTATCTACAAATCTGGGGAAGCAGAATGGTTTAGAGGCTCTAAAGTTAGACTCAGCTTGGACTCATCCTGGCTCCATCACTCACCATCTCTGTGGCCTAGGATTACTTACTGACCTCTCTGAGCCTCAGTTTTCTCAACTGTACAGTGGGGATGATATTACTATTTATCACAAAAGGTGGTAATGAGGATCAAGCGAGGCAATCAAAAAAGGGCTTCACATAATGCCTGACATGGGTTAAGTGCTCAAGAAATATTAGTTGTGAATCAAGAGTGATATTGAATTGTTTACTAAGTAATAGGGCATGAATAGAGACCAGTCTAAATTGTCACTCCCCGGAGGTGTCTTCTGTGCCTAAGATTATACTTTTCGTAACTGGATGGTGGGCAGGCCCTGGGGGTAGGCAGGAAGGCAGATAGCTTTTGGGAGACTTGAGGCAGCTGCTATTAACCAGCTGGTATGGAAGTATTTCAATATTTTAATAACTTGCATGACCACTCCCAAGTCTCAGGCCTGGCTGTTATTCTGATGATTATTCTTGCAAAGGAGCATTATTCTGGAGGCATGAATGCATCACATTACATAGCTTCTCTATGCCGATGACTCACAAATTTATATTTTCTGCCCTCTTCTGCGCCACTGCCTTCTTGACATCTCCACTTGGCTGTCATATGGGCATATCTGACCGAACATTTCCAAAGCAGAATTCTTGATCTCCTCCACAGAGGTCCTGTGCCTCCTCCTCTTTCTTCCTCAATTGATGGTACCAGGGCCCTGGTGCATACCCTGTGTGCCTCTCTCTTCATGTAAAAGGGGCTCAAGGCTGGGCATGGTGGCTCACACCTGTAATCCCAGCACTTTGGGAGGCCGAGGCGGGTGGATAGCTTGAGCCCAGGAGTTCCAGACCAGCCTGGCTAGCATGGTGAAAACCAGTCTCTACTAAAAATACAATAAGTAGCCAGGTGTGGTGGCATGTGCCTGTGGTCCCAGCTACTCAGGAGGCTGAGGCATGAGAATCACTTGAAAACCCGGGAGGCAGAGGTTGCAGTAAGCCAAGATCGCGCCACTGCACTCCAGCCTGGGTGATGAAGCGAGACCATGTCACAAGGGTCTCAGCAAGTGAATAAACAGACATGTGGTGCCTCACCATGGCTACAGTGTTAGCCTGTGAAATGTGGAGCTGGAGGCCATCTGGCAGAGTGAATCCATGCAGTGCAGCCACGCAGAACTAGACTTCATCCCAGCTTTGTCATTTGCTGGCAGCGGCCTTGGGCAAGTCTCCAGACCTTCATGGCTAAATCATTTTCCTGTCTAATGGGAATAATACTACTGCAGGATGACATGGTGTATCCAAGATAATATACATGAAGTGACTGACACATAGTAGGCACACACAGATGATGCTCTCATATTTGTTATTACTATTATATTAATGGCCAGAGTCATTCAGATAAAAGGTCGGGAATCTCCAGGACAGGCCAGCTGGTCAGGAAGTGAGAACTCTTCTCCGTTTTCTTTTCCTTAATCACAAACTTCCCATCTCTGATCTTGAATTTCTCACATTGCACTTAATTCTGTGTTTGCTTAGAGCATCTTTCCTCCCATGCATTCTCTCAGCACTTTTTCCAGAGTCTCAAATCCTCACCTTTGAAGTTGAACGATAATATTTTCCACTTGTCAGGCTGAAATGTTTGGAGAGTTAAGAAAATGGTCCAAAACTTGGAAATAGACAAAAGGCAATCATTATGGACTGAATATTTTTGTCCCACTCCCCTCATCCCCCCTCAAAATTCACATGTTGAATTCCTGAGCCCTCAATGTGATTGTATTTGGAGGTAGGCCCTTTGGGAGGTGATTAGGGTTAGATGAAGTCATGAGGATGAGACCCTGATAATGGGATTAGTGCCCTTATATGAAGAAACATCAGAAAGCTTGCACAAAGGGGTCATGGGAGCACACAGTGAGATGGCAGCCACATGTAAACAAAGAGAAGGGCCTCAGAATAAAATCGAACTTGCCGGCACTTTGACCTTGGACTTCCAGCCTCCAGACAGAATGACATTTCTGTTGTTTAAGCTGCCCAGTCTATGGTATGTTGTTATGGCAGCCTAAGCTAGCTCTGACAGTATTACTGAGTATCCTTTCAGGGTAGTGTTGCCTGTTGCTAGTAGTCAGTCCCATTCCTCCTTGGGATGATCTAATTTTCTAGTGGGTATACAGTTGTTTGTCCTTCTATTGATTAATGATTAGGCAATTTCACAAATCTGTAAAGGTAGAAATTAGCTTGTAGAAAACTGACAGCAATGCAATTTGTGTTTGTTGGAGGGCAAAGCAAATAATTCCTATCTATAAGATAGATCACTTCAAAAGTTACAGTTTATTACCTACTAGGACATTTGTCAGTTTTATAACTGTTAGCAAATTTATTTCAGCTTTCTATTGACTGTCTGACTCAACTCCCCTCTGAATCAGGGTCAATGTCTTACTGGTTTCCTTGTTAATTAATGAGTTGAATGGAATATTTGACGCATTCATTTTGTATTTATATGAGAATCATGTTTGAACGTTCTGAAAATTAGACTTTAATAGAAGCAGTAATGAGTTAGTGTTTAGAGAACACTAAATCTCTGGGTGAAGTGTGTTGCCTCATTGATCAGCATTATAAGAAAGAGCACTTGTAACATTCATAATTCCTTTCTGAATAGTGTCTGCCCTTCTAGGTTATATTTCAGTGTCTTTCATGTACCTTTGAAGCCATTCTGCAGATTCTTTTTTTTTGAGGAGCACATAATGAAGATCTGGGTCATTAAGGCATATTCTGTAATGGGCAATGCTATGGATCAGTTGTTTTTTGACTTTTGAAAAATAACTTTTTCACCAATTGCTGTCTTTCTTTCCAGGGCAAATGAGCTGCTTTAGATTCAGTGTACTGAAATAGGACATTCTATTTGCTACCATTCTGCTAAAATGTTTAAAATGGATAAAATGTCACCAGAGTAATTTGTGGTTGTTAAATTTTTGATTTCTCTAGTTACACATATTAATGGAAACAAATCAAATGTCAGCCACCCTTGATACCTTATTCCACCCCAGCCAAACTGTGGGATGTATACCAGGATAAATTATAGACAAATAGTGCTCGGTGACATAGTAAATTATGATGATTTAGGTTTTTTTTCTCCATCATTCTTGTTTCAACACTTAACCGAGTATATAGATTTCTCCTGTGCATCAGAAAAGAAACATATTTATGAAATTAAGGTGGAAGAGCCAATTCATTAATGCTGAATTTCAGATTATTAAAAAGTCTCTGGAGTTAAACTACTGACAGAGGGTAACTTATTAATCCTTTGTCAATCATCTTTTTATTATTATTATTATTATACTTTAAGTTTTAGGGTACATATGCACAATGTGCAGGTTTGTTACATATGTATACATGTGCCATGTTGGTGTACTGCACCCATTAACTTGTCATTTAGAATTAGGTATATCTCCTAATGCTATCCCTCCCCCCTCCCCCCACCCCACAACAGTCCCCGGAGTGTGATGTTCCCCTTCCTGTGTCCATGTGTTCTCGTTGTTCAATTCCCATCTATGAGTGAGAACATGTGGTGTTTGGTTTTTTGTCCTTGCGATAGTTTGCTGAGAATGATGATTTCCAGTTTCATCCATGTCCCTACAAAGGACATGAACTCATCATTTTTTATGGCTGCATAGTATTCCATGGTGTATATGTGCCACATTTTCTTAATCCAGTCTATCATTGTTGGACATTTGGGTTGGTTACAAGTCTTTGCTATTGTGAATAGTGCCACAATAAACATACGTGTGCTATGTGTCTTTATGGCAGCATGGTAAATCATCTTTTTTTCTCTGCACAAATCTAACTGCAGTCACTTTTAGTGGTTAATAATAAATTAACTCCTCTCACACCTGGGCTGTTTTTTGCCAGCTCATGAACATCATCACTACCTATAATCAAAGGCATTCCAGAGTCACAGCCACATACTGTCCATCAATAATGATAGAAGCAATGGAAATTCATTCCTTATAACATTGTTTCCCATGTAATTTTAGACATGATCCCCACCTTTATGGGGGTTACATTCTAGAAGATGACACAAACATTACACAAGTAATTAAAATTCTGTGGAATGTCATGACCCCCGCTCTCTCAGGCCCAGCACTTCTTATGTTTTTCCATCATCATCTTTTTGTTTTTTAATCACAAAACTATCCAGACTGATTAATTACAACTTATCAATGCCTGCTGTTTGTGTAGCACTGGGCTGGTTGGAATTATTCATACTCGGATCCTTGATGATTAATAAAGACAAAGCCCATCAACACCCAGGAATGCCTATGCTAGGGAAAATTACAAATAATTGAGAGGGAATGTGGAGATATAATTCAAATGGGACAAACTGGCAGTTATGTAGGATGAATCAGTCTAAAGGTCTAATGTACAGCGGGAAAATGATAGCTAATAATATTGTATAGGCTGGGTGTGGTGGCTCACACCTGTAGTTCTAGCATTTTAGGAGGCCAAGGAAGGAGGATAGCTTGAGCCCAGGAGTTCAAGACCAGCCTGGGCAACATGGTGAAACCCCATCTCTATAGAAAACACAAAAAAATTAGCCTGGCAATGTGGCATGCACCTGTAGTCCTGGCTACTAGTGGGGCTGAGTTGGGAGGATCCCTTGAGCTTAGGTGGTCAAAGGCTGCAGTGAGTAGAGATGGCACCACTGCACTCCAGCCTGAGACAGGGCAGGACCCTGTTTAAAATATATATATACAGTATATACAGTAGATATATATTATATAAATTATATATATTATGTATATAAATTCATACTCATATATATAATTTGCTAAGAGAGTAGATTTGAAGTACTGTTGCCACATACACACACACACACACACACACACACACACACATACACACACACACATGAGGTAACTATGGAAGATGATGGGCATGTTAAATTGTTCATTGGTAGTAATCATTTCACTATGTATATGCGTATCAAAATATCATGTTGTACATCTTAAATTTAAAAAACAATTAAAAAGCCCCTAAATCATTGGGACACAAAATAAATATAGTGGATATGTGCCAATTAGGAAACAGAACTCCATCCACTCCATGTGTTTTTTGCAACCGAGAAAGAGAGAGATCACTGTGTACTGATGTCATAAAGAAGAGGTTCATGGGGGAAGCAGAGCATGAACCAGGCAAAGAAAGATGGAGAGAGGATAGTTACTGGATGCCAACCAGGGGTGGAACAGCATTTTCTTCAACAAGCACTTTTAGAAGGCTTGTTATGTGTCAGAAACTGGTCTTAGTGCTTTCAAAATGCAAACTCATTTAATCCTCGTGGTAACTCTGTGAAGTAGGTACTAGTGTTATCATGTCCATTTTTACAGATGAAGCACAGAGAGTCTAAGTAGCCTGTTAAGGTCACACAGCTGGAAGTAGAAAACCATGATTTATACCTGGGGAGGAAGACACCACTGATGTGCTTTTAACCACTGTGCTAGGCTGCATCCTCGGCATCAAGCAAGGCATTTGGAAAGGAAACTGAGCTACAGGGAATCAGTTATACTGTGGACGTGTGGTGATGATGGACATCCGTGTGGCCCTTTGGGCTTGCAAAAGCAGAGATTGTTTTGAGAGATGGCAGCTGGAGTTACAGATTCATAAGTGTCATCTACCAAGACACACAGGTGAAGCAAAGGATAGCTTGCATAAAGAGCAAACCTTAATTTTTCCTTGAATGGGACACTTATTAAATTCTGCCTATTTGACAGTCCTTAGGCGAAAGGAGCTTTTACATTGTCTCTTAGTGGCAGGTTTCTAACCGACAGATTGCAAATCAAAGTGAGGGGGCATGCAAAGATATTTGCAGTTGTGAAATATACCCATGGAGTGACACAGGTCCCCACTGTGTCACTGCATCCAAAGCAATCAACACATACATAGACAGTACTGATTAGGAGGGAAAAGGCTGTCTTTGTGGAGCAGCAAAGCTTCTATTTTGGATATTTATTGTTTTGCTCTGAGAGCAAAGCCTCAAGTTTAAGGCCTTTTTCATACCCACTGCAAATCAAATTATTAAAGAGTGCTGAACTGCTGCTCTCATTATTCTGATTAACAATTCAGAACCTGATATTGAATTATTCATGGTGTTTAAATAACTTATCAATGCGAACAAAAGTAATGCGAAACTGTTGCAATTAGAAAAGCTTACTTAAAGCTTGTAGACAAATATCCTTAATTAAGTCATATTGCCTGCTGGAGATGGAGTTTCTGGGAACCAAAGAAGAACTGGAGAAATGGAAGTCCAAGAGGGGTAAAAAACAAATAAACAAAAATCCCATGTGTGTGAAGGTACTTTAGTGTACCCACATGATTTTGGAATGCTTGAGGGAGCTTCAAGCAAGAGTCCCCTGAAGGCCTACCACTGCCTTTGGAGAGTCTAGTTAATTAGGTCAAAAAAAGAGAATTTAGAACAATATGATACATTAAGCTTTCAGTTACAGAAAAGTGACAGGAATGGTGGATGCTAATGTGTAAGTAATCAAAAGTTAAAAAAAAAATACTGACCCAGGGGCAGGAAAACCAGTCTAAGGAAGGTACAACTGGCATCATCTTGAGTGTGGTGTCTGAGCACTGGGGAAACCCTGAGGCTCCCGGTTGTTCTATTTTGTCTGCTGCTCCTAGATTTTCTCTAAACCATTTTCCTATTCTCAAGTCCTCAAATGGGAGAAAGAGGTTTGGGGTAGATGAGAGACCACTCCATTACTAAGCATGTTGAAAAAAACCAAACAAACAGACACCATTTATCATGTACTACTGAGATGATTGGGTCTGTGGTTCCAAAGCCAAACAGTAGCTTGTTCTTGTCTCATAAAGAGCTCACAGTCATGCTGGAAAAGCAAAACAGCAGATGCAGTAGTCATGCAGAAGGTGCCCAGGATGCATAGCAGAGGGACGGAGCTCTCTTAGGGTCCAGATGGCTGAATACCCAGAAGCTGGAGAGACTCATGTTTCCCAGTGTTGAGGTCTCACATGGGTGGAATGGAGAAGTCACTGTACCAGTCAATGTCCTTAGTTTCAAGCAACACATACCAATGGGATAACTTTGGCAGCAATTAGTGGAAGGCAGCTCTTTCCAACAATAAAAGGCTAGAGGGGCAGACTTGACAAATGGGCAACAGTAGGGGAGTTTGGAAGATAAGGTCAAGGCAAAGTTACCTCATTATACTAGTTGGTGTGGGTAGTTATCATTGGCATCTTCCCAGAGAGACGCTTGTCACCATGCCACTGGACCCTGTTCCACATCTTTGACAGCCTTTGTTCCTCCTTCATGGAAACACTCACCAAGAGTCAAAGTGCTGACTGGGAGCACCTGATTGGCTAAGCCTCAGTTACATGGCCCAATCCCAGATGTCAGGGCGCAAAGTTGAGAAATATCTCATACCTTTTTTTTTTTTTTTGCAAAGTGCGGCTCCTTCCCAAGCTTGCCTCCTACCTATTTGGGGATTTCTTCACATAGGAAGGATATTTGGTTGTTGGGTGACCAGCATCTTCAGCAGCACCCTCCTCTAGCCAAACACCTTGTCCTTCAGCCATGAGGTATTTGGGCTGACTGCACAGGGAGAAGTACACATGTATGCACCCAACTTCCTGGGACATACCTTGAACCAACCCCCACTACTGTCTAGAAGTGTTGAGAGGAAACATATCCTTTATGGTACATTGTCATACCCAGATATTTAGAACCCTCTAACCAAAATTCCAGAATGAATTCCTTAACCTGAACAAATTCTACAAAGCTCTACAGAGGTGCCAGATGGTGCCACTCCTTCCCCTTCCTCTTGCTGCTGTAAAAATGTATTATAAAGTGGAGGAGTTAAACAGCAGGAATTTGTCTCACAGCTCTAGAGGATACGAGCTCAAGATCAAGGTGTCAGCAGGACCAGCTCCTTCTGAGGGCTGTAGCTGTCAGGGAGAAAAGTGCTCCCGGCCTCTCCCCTGCTTTTTGTGGTTTGCTGGTGGTGGTTGCTATTGCTCAGCTCCTGCTACATCACCCTAATCTCTGCCTTCCTGTTCCCACAGCATTCTCCCTGTGTGCATATCTGTGGTCAAATTTCCTTTCTCTTTTTAGAAGCACACACATTAGATTAGGAGCACCCTACTTCAGTATGATTTCACATTAATTTAACTAATTTTATCTGCAATGACCCTATTTCCAAATAAGGTCTCATTCTGAGGTATTGGGGACTTCAAATTATGAATCTGGGGATGGGGAGGACAGAATTCAACCCATAACAACCAACTAACCAACTCACCTACCAGTCAAATATATACAATTTTTCTTGTTCGAAAAAAATTAGGCACAGAAAGAGTTCAAACAAGGTAAAGGAACAAGTAAGCCTGTTTTCTGGTCAGCAGGAATGGAAAGTTCTACATTATTGAAGGCATGGCCAAATTAAAACTCCTTGGTTAAGATCTAAGCCACTTATTATAAATGGACACGCTAATGTAAAGTTTGAAGCAAGCAAATCAACAAACAAGCAGGGGAGCGAAAAGCCAGGATAAATCTAAATGCCTCTTAGGAGCGTTCTGTCTATTGGCCAAACAACACTCAGCTGAAGACTAGACCTTCTACTCTACCAGCGCCTACTTTCACCAAAACTTACTGCCACAAAGGGTGCATGTATGTAATCCTCACAGAATTAGAAATTTGTAATTTAAAAAATATTCCTCTGTCATTCTATTCAAACACCTTCATTTTCACCCTCTGTTTTTCTTCTCCTTCTCCTTCTCCTTCTCCTTCTCCTTCTTCTTCTTCTTCTTCTTCTTCTTCTTCTTCTTCTTCTTCTTCTTCTTCTTCTTCCTCTTCCTCTTCCTCTTCCTCTCCTTCTCCTTCTCCTTTTTCTTCTTCTTCTTCTTCTTTTTTTAATTTTAAGATAAAGTTGCTCTGCTGATGTTCAAGGCCCTTTGTCTTCTGGCCTCACTAAGCCTTATTTCCTTCTCCTCAACTATTTTCTGCTCCAGTTAGGGACCTTCTGCTGAATACTAATGATTGCCCTGGCTGTTCAGTCTCATTTCCTTCCTCTGTTTAAACACATGCAGCCTTTCTTCTTCCTTTAAGTTACTGTTGGTTGATTTTCCCTTTGAATTGTAAGTGGCATTCTAAACTTCCAAATGTCTCAGCTGTGTTGTGGGCTAACGTCTGCTACTTTTTCAAGTGCTTCAGCTATGACACTACAAAAGCTTATACATTCTTTGGTCAAAAAGAGAGGTGACCTTATACTCACATCTTGAATCTCCCTTGATTTCAGCTATAGTGAGCAAAATCAACCCTCAACAGATCCTTGATTGGAAGGAGGTTTTTGGTCAAAATTCTGACCTTTCCCCCAGATATCTTGGTTGAGGAAACATGACTGTGGTAGCTACTGTGGTGTCTTTGAGAAAAGTCTACATGATCAATATCTAACAGATCATGCACTCCAACTATAACGCAACAAATTAGAAATTAATAGTAAATATTAAGTGATTAAAGAAATTATAAAACTCGTATGTAAGAAGACAGAGTACATTAGTAAGGACTATCTCTTCTTTTCTTTTTTTTTGTGGGTTTTTTTTTGGCAGAATCTCACTCTGTCACCCAGACTAGAGTGTAGTGGCATGATCATAGCTCACTGCAGTCTGGAGCTCCTGGGCTCAAGGGATCCTTTCACCTCAGCCTCCCCAGTAGCTAGGACCACAGGCACACACCACCACACTTGACTGATTTTTGCATTTTTTGTAGAGACCTGTTTCACCATGTTGCCCAGGCTGGTCTCAAACTCCTGCACTCAAGCGGTCCTCCTGTCTCGGCCTCCCAAAGTGCTGGGATTACAGGCATGAGTCACTGCAACTGGCCAAGGAATATCTAAGTAGTAAATAAACCTATAATTATATTATATATTATATATATATTATATTCATATATATATATAATGGAATACTACAGAGCCATAAAAAGGAATAAATTAACAGCATTTGTAGTTACCTGGATGAGCCTGGAGACTATTATTCTAAGTGAAGTAGCTCAGGACTGGAAAACCAAACATTTTATGTTCTCAATGAGATGTGGGAGCTAAGCAATGAGTATGCAAAGGCATAAGAATGATACAATGGACTTTGGGGACTTGGGGGGAAGAGTGGGAGGAGGGCGAGGGATAAAAGACTACAAATATGGTGCAGTGTATACTGCTTGGGTGATGGGTGCACCAAAATCTCACAAATTACCAGTGAAGAATTTACTCATGTAACCAAATATCACCTGTACCCCAATAACTTATGGAAAAATAAAAAACATTTAGGTTAAAAAAAATTAATAGAGAAACTGATGTACCAATAAGTATCAGAGAAACTCCCCTGCTGCCCCCACTCATTCTCTGTCCCCATCTCAGGCATGGATGGCTTAATGGAACTCCAATAAATCTATAGGGAACACTAGATCCCTAGACTATGTTAAGTTTTTCCAGAAAATAGTAAGACAAATACAGTCCAGCCTATTTGAGGTTAATATAATCTTGACTACAAAAGCAGGTTAGAAAAATTTTTAAATAAAATATAGACTGATCAAATATAATATTGTATTTTAAAAAATGATCTAGTAGGGTTTTCTCTAAGAATGTAAATATTATTTAACATAAAAATCTAACAGTGAAATAACCCACATTATTTGACTAATGAAGAAAAATCTTATGAATATTGTAATCCCTGTATCAAAAGCATTTCATAGATTTAAAACTTATTTGTGATAAGAACTCTTCACAAACTAGAATTAGAAAAGAATTTTCTTAACCTAATTAAAATAATATTCCAAAAATCTGTGGCAAATATTATACCTAATAGAGACACTACATACGTATTATGTCTAAGGTTGGAAAAAAAACAAGGATTCCCTATATTAGCACTTCTGTTTTCAGAGTACTGGGGCTCCTGGCCCAGGTAAAAGTGATACAGTATATGGATTTAGGAAAACAAATAAAACTGTGGTTGCTTTCAGGTGATATAACTACCTACATAAAACAATCCAACAATCACAACATATAAACTATTTGAACTGGCAAAGGGATTAAGTTTAAGGATACAAGATTAAGCTCCAAATAGCACTATAATTGTTCTATACTAGTACCTAATATAATATCATCAAAATTACGATACCTTTTACAACAGCAACAAAATCCATAAGGTATTTAGAAATTATCTTATGCAAGAAGACAAACTTTCAACCTTTAATTAAAGACATTGAAAGTTATATAAATAAATGGAGGCATTTACTGAATATAATGACGATATTGTAAAGGTATCAATTCTCATGAAATTAATTTTACATTCAATGGAATAGCATTTATCAATCCCATTGAACTTTAAAAAGAACTTGCTAAACTTATTTGGAGAGAAGGAAGATCCAAGGCATCCAAGTTAACCTTAAAAATATTGAGTATGTACTGACCTTTACAGAAATTAACCTACAAAGTCATTATAATAAAAAGTACAGCATATGTTCATTAGCAGATATAGAGACCAATGGGATACAATGGAGAGCAGAGAGAGAGAGCCCATGAATATACAGAACTTTGTGTACAATAAATTTAACACCACAGATCAATAGGGAATTCACAGATAACTTACTAGTTGAGATTGGGAAAAGTGGCTTACTCTAAGGAGAAAAATAAAACTGGATTTCTAATAATACCACAACCAAAGGTAGACCTTTAAAGGGATTGAAGACCTAAATAAAGATAGTAAAACTATAAACCTCATATGTAGTAAAAGAATATAGAATATTTTTTGTGACACAGTGGTAGAGGAAATCTTTTAAAATACAAAACCTCAAATGAATATTTTAGAATAAAAAATGATTATTTTGATAATATCCAAATTATAAATTTCTGTTCAACAAAAGACGCCATAAGCAAAGTTAATAGATGGCATAATGGGATAAAATGGTTGAAATATTTAAAACTGACAAGGGATTTAAATCTAGACTCTACAAGATATCAGCCACAAAACAAAAATAGTCAAAGGATACAAATAGACTAACCAGAAGAGGAAGTCCAAAGACCTTCAAGCACATGGAGTCTTGTTCAAACTCATTAGTAATCAAATAAATGCAAAATAAAATAACAAGATATCACTTTACACATATAAGTTTGTCAAAAAGTAGGAGGCCGGAAAATGCCACTAGTTGGCAAGGATGGGCATGTGAGGATAGAGAAGCCCTCAAGAGCCTTTGGAGAACAATCTGGCATTAGAAAAATAAGAATATGCACAGATGTTAATGGATACACACAGGGATACCTTCTACAATACTGTTTGCAGTGAGGCAGCGTTGGAAGCAAATGCAGCAGCCATCACTGGGTCAGTGGCCAGTACGGTACGGGGCATTCATACCTACACCGTGCTGATTAGATTCACACCTGGCAACTTGGATAAACCATAGCGGCATAGTGATGAGTTATAAAAATACAAGAAATGGAAGGAGACATTTAACACAATACAATGTAGGTAAATTAAAGATACACACAGAACAACAAAGCCCATTTTGCAAGAATATAAACAAGCAAAAAGATACACATTAAACACATGAGTGTGCTTGCCCATGCAGACATGGTTAGGAGTTGGAGAATGGGAATGGAGAGTGGAGTTAAAAGAGAATTTTTTTAAATTTGCCTTCTGGGAGAAGGAAACTACTTAATTGGGCTTGGAGAAAGGAACACTTGATGCGATGCTCTCAGGCTGTCAATTAGAAAACACCAGGCGAGGTGATGCGTCACCTCACCCGGCTCAGCATTGCAGAGGCTGGAAATAGAATCCAGGGCTCAGGAGTCTGCCTCCCACGGATAGGGTCAGAGGTGCTTGATGCTAGGCTTCTAATTGGACATGCTTGTGTCAGAGAGCAGAGCAGGGGCTTCCAGCACAATGCTCAGCATATATGATTAGCTTCTGTGACACATTTTAAAGAGAAAGCGAGAAGGAACAGTGACACTCGGGCATCCTGTGATTAAGCCCTGGGGGTTGTTTATCACTGCTGTTATTTTACAGTTACAGCCATGTCAACCATCACGCGGATTGTGTTTCTAAGTGCCCTTGGGCTTCAATGGATGTACTCTGCAGTATCCTAAGGGTGTGCTGAGAACACAGACTGCTTCTTCCAGACAAGTAGTCAAAGTAAGGTCCTGAGCACTCGTGACTTTCTCCTTGGCAAGGTGGAGCCCCTATTTTTTGCCCCCTCCCTCATGTATTATTTTATGATCCTCATGTTGTCTACATGGTAGAGATCCTCAAGTAAAGTGAGTGGCCTGTTGAGGCTCTCTCAGGATGGGTGTGCTAAAATGCTAACCGATTCACCAGTCAGTTTGACTAGACCTGCCTCTCCAAGCTCCCCACCGACCCTCTCAACCAGTCACAGATGCCTTTAACCTGCCTACCAGTGAGCCAGACCTCACTGGCACTAGGCTTATCTCTCCAGCCTATCAAGTCCAGAGCTGGTCTGACTGTCACTCACCTGGCCTCTCCCCTATCTTAGAGGAGTGCTGGATACCCATCCACCTGTGTGCCAGGTCTGTTCCCATGCAAGTTGTGTCATCTGGTCTGTGACTGCAGGCCATGGCCTCCTCTTTCCCGTACAGTGCTGCTTGTTCCCCTCAGGGGACTGGGATTTTTTTTTTGTTTAATAGAGCATCACTCCAGTGCTGGGTACTGGGATTAAAAAGTCAGCATAGGCTGGGTGCAGTGGCTCATGCCTGTAATTCTAGCACTTTGGGAGGTCAAGGCGAGCGGATCACCTGAGGTCAGGAGTTCGAGATCAGCCTGGCCAACATGGTGAAACCTCATCTCTACTAAAATTACAAAAAAAAAAAAAAAAAAATCAGCTGGGTATGGTGGCACACACCTGTAGTCTCAGCTACTTGGGAGGCTAAGGCCAGAGAATTGCTTGAGCTCTGGAGGTGGCAGCTGCAGTGAGCTGAGATTGCGCCACTGCACTCCAGCCTGGGTGATAGAGGGAGACTGCATCACACACATACACACACAATACACACACACACACACACACACACGTCAGCACTGACAGATGTGGAAACTTCTTTCAGGGAGCTTACAAGCTAGAGGGCCAGACATAAAAAAAAATCATAGGAAAAACCCAGGAAAGCCCTGTGAGAGTACATGTATTAAGGTGCACCCAGTATTTGTTTTAAATGAGTATGGTAAGATGTGCAGACACAGAAATGATTGTTATGAAGGAAGAAGTTTATACTCACTGATTCCTGGAAATAGGAAGCACAGCACACCATGCCATGCCATGCCATGCAGGGCCACGTGGGGTAGGGCCAGGATGGGCCAAGAGGCAGAGATGGGGAAGGGCAGAGCAAGCCCCTGAGCCTTTATTGGGTTTAATAGGAGGGAATGGGTGAGGCAGAATAGGCACACTGAGTAAGCTTGGGATTGGATAGTTGGAATAATCTGGGGGATGTGAGCTCTAGAGGGGTTCTCTGGTTGTCCCATAGTTGGCCCTGGGATGATTTAGGGTAGGGTAATGTTGACATGGCTTGTGACAGTTTGGTAAAGGAGATAGTTACAGGTGTGGGCTGTGCATTTCTTGGTTTGTGTATTAAAGGCCTGCTCGCAGGGAAGTAGAGATCAGCTGGCCTTGGGAGGGGCAGTCTCACCAGGATCAAGGCTCCTAATGTCAGAGCATCAAGAATGCAAAAAATAAGAATTTATAGTCAATACAGTAAGAAATTAGTTTCTTTGAGAGTTTATGAAAAAGGAACCTGCTTTAACCTGGGATGTCAGGGATAATTTCTATTAGGAAATGATGAGTAAAGTAAGGACTACAGACTGTGAATAGAAGCTAAGTAGAAGGGGCAAGAAGCCACACTGCATGCAGAGTCAGTGGAATGTGCAAAGGTTCTGGAGCAGTAGAAAGCCCCACATAATTGAGGAACAGAAGGCAGAGATGAGAGTGAAAGAGAGCAGGACTTGGGAGACAAGCAAAGGCTGGCCCTGCAGGGACTGGCAGCGGGAGGGGGCGGGGGCAGCGATCAGGACTGGGAGTTAATCTAGGGCAGCAGCTGGCCTTTGAAGGGTTCTAAACAGGTAGTGGTCAAAATCCTACTTGGTTGGACTTTTTTGGATTCTCACACCTGACTTAGATATGAACAGAACCATCCTCTGGAAAAATGCGTCCTGTTACTATCTCTCTAGCCATGAGGAACACCACCAGTTTTGCCACATTCCTGGTTTCGAGTGTCACTAGACAGGCTGCCACCCAGGTATGACTGCATTTGCCTCTCCTGACTGCCTATGTGCTGGCGGCCAGGACTATCCCTTACTCCCATCCGCCAGCCCCAGTCTTCCTCTCTCAGCTCAGGTAGCCATGGTCTCAGCTAAGGGAGGGAAATTCTAGTGGGATTTACTCTCATCAAATCTGCAGAAAGTTGAATGACTCCAGGAAAAGTGGTGCTCTGCTGGAAGGACTCCTTACTCTCCTCTCAAGACAATGCAGCTAATGAATGAGAGATTGGCATGAAGAGGAGCACAGAGCTGAAATCAGGCTGGCTTTTTCCCCCCTTAAAAATGCACGAATAAGAAGTTAGCAAGGCTTTAATGCAATTACATGCAACACCTAATTTGGAGCAATTAGGTGTAAGGCAATAGCTCTTTGTGTTCAATTGTGAAGTTGTGGGAGCACGTGTCCCACAGCGGTCTTGAGATTCATTTCTCCCTCTTAGAGTCCTGTGTCAAAACTTCAGGAGCACCTTGATTTTCTGCATCTGCCTTCTCAACCTGAGTTGTTTTAATTAACTCTTTTCTGGATATTTCTAGATTACTTACTTTGGTCTAAGCTTTGCAGACAAGAAAAAAAGAAAAGAAAAGAAAAAGAAAAAGAAAAAGGGCCAATGAGAGTGGGAGGTAGGGCCAGACTGTGAGGGAGTGCACCTTCACTAGTTTGGGAGGACAGTCAAGGTCGACTGTCCCTGTTTGCAGCATCTCCCTGTTTGCAGCATCAACATCTTGGGCTGCAGCTCCTCCAGGGCTGGCTGTGCTCCTTGGGCTGAAGTAGACGGGAGAGGTTGGAGGTGTGGCTGTGGAGCAGTCCGCTGGTGCGCTCCTGCTGGTTTAAATACTGGGGAGTGTAAACCTGGGCCATGCCGTGGAAGAAACGCAAGACTTGGAGATAGAGAAGTGTACTTGGACCTCTGTTCAGCCACATTCCAGCTGTGGGATTTGGGGCAAAACAATGCAGTTTTCTCTGTTCTTATCTGTAGAACGAGAAGACTGATCCAGATAACTTCGTTGGCAGTGGGGGGGTGAGGTGGGTTCCTATCCAGTAGAAAGCCACCTGCCCAGGATGTGTGAAGGGTCTTTAAGCTGATCTGGGCCTGCCCTCCGTTTATGTGTAAGTCTCTAACCTCTTTAGACGACCTGAAAGTCTGAATTTCCCTTCTTTAGAAGCTCTGGCTTGAGGCGTTAAATGTTCTCATTAAGATGCAAATACATTCTCCACACAGCTGCCCCAGTTGTTTCCCTCATGTTGTCATTTATTTCCTTTCTCTCCTTAGAAAATTTGACAATGAAGCCCAAATCCCCTCATCTGCATTTGAGACAATGTCTGTCAAGACTCCAGCCTTGCTTGACTTTCTCTACCACAATCCTCGTGGGCAATGCGGGGTGTGGTCAGGAAGGCAGACTGCCTGCAGGGGTCTCTGCTCCTCACTTTAATAAACATCCAAGCTTGGGAAAGTTGTTAGATCTTTGGGGCCTTCAGTTTCCCACTCTGTAAAGTGCGAACAATGAAGGTACCTGTCTCGTTATTATAGGGATTGCATGTTTTAATTAATGTAAAGCACTTAGCCCTGTGCTTGGAACAAGGTGAACCTTCATTAAAGGTTGGCTGCTTTCCTTGTGGCAAACCAAAGTCTTTCCCCCAGCAAACCTCCTTCCTCCCCAGTCTGTATCTTGCTCAGTCCTTTCCCTCAGGAGAGCAAGTTCTTACCTCACTTTTCTTCCTCCTGAATGCTTCTTCAAGGTCTTGTTCAAATGTCACTATATCCATGAAGGCTCTCTTGAAACTTTTGGAGAATTAATTGCTCCTATTCCCTCTTGGCCTTTTCCTTGTGCCTCTCTCGAGAACATGTTTTATTCTGTTTTATCCATCAAGGATGTACGTGTATGCCTCCTTCACTTACCCGCCCCCGCCCCGCTCAGTGCACCCACCCTCAGTCCCAGCCACTAGTCTGTGAGCTCGAAGAGGGCAGAGAGCACAGCACCATTACTTTCTGAATAATTCAATCAGTTCAATAAACATTTGATGAATGAGCAAATGAATGAATAAATGCATGAGTGGAAGGTTATCCAAATAGCGTGTTCTGTCATTATTACAGATTGATTCTGTCAGAGAACATGGCTTCAGGAAACTGAGATTTCAATGTGGTTGGTGCTAATGGCAGGCTAAGGTCTGAGGTTTGAGATGCAGCTATGGAGGGACAGGTCTATGTGGGGACAAGATGAGGTAAAGTGTTCCCTAAACAAGTACCTTTTCCTTGTCAACCCCTTTTAAAAAAGCTCTGTGGTTTTGGTTTGAGTTGATGGTGACAAGTAATTACATGAGTAATGATAAGCACAAAATGAGGCAAATCTGAATGTAGCAAGGCCCATACCCATCTTACTGGATTTTGCACCTATAGTTCAAACTTCCATCAGTCATGGTGGTTCTTTTTTCTTTCTTTCTTTCTTTCTTTCTTTCTTTCTTTCTTTCTTTCTTTCTTTCTTTCTTTCTTTCTTCCTTCCTTCCTTTCTTTTTTTTTTTTTTGACGGAGTCTAGCTCTGTCACCAGGTTGGAGTGTAGTGGCATGATCTCAGCTCATTGCAACCTCCACGTCCTGGGTTCAAGTGATTCTCCTGCCTAAGCCTCCCAAGTAGCTGGGATTACAGGCACGCGCTGCCATGCCCAGCTAATTTTTGTATTTTTAGTAGAGACAGGGTTTCACCATATTGGCCAGGATGATCTCGATCTCCCGACCTCGTGATCCGCCCACCTTGGCCTCACAAAGTGCTGGGATTACAAGCGTGAGCCACTGGGCCCGGCCAGTCATGCTGGTTCTTGAAGGAGATAATTGTTTCCATGGAAGATTCGTGGTGCTACGGTAGGAGGCTGGAAGGGAGAACACATTTACCATGCACTCTATGTAAGACCCAACTATACAGAATTGGTTTCAGCAATACCCAGTTGGATTTAGTTTTGTTCAGTGGGGATGCCACTTATTTAAAAGATGATTGCCAAATTCTCAAGTTTAAATTTATTTCACTCAACTAATCATGGTTTTGAGTAGAATAAAAGAGTGAGACTATGAGGGGAAGCCGTAATCTTAATACCGATGAGGGGTTGAGATTTCCTGTATCTGTGTAGCACCGCTAACCTGGTGCCTGGCTCTCCTTTATAGCTAGCCCCAGGGTAGCAAAGAGAAGGCAGCAGTAGAGGAAGCTTTTTGAGGGCCTCTTGGGAAGCCTTCCCATTTCCATGGCTCCTGGGAAATGGTGATCAGTGATATAACCAATGGGTACTCTTGACAGTTTCTCTTTTGTATCTGTTTTTCTTATGCTCCACCCCAGTAGTTTTTGTTGCCTTCTTAGTGGTCCCTTTAAGCAAAACTGAGAGTGTCATCCCAAGTCTCCAGAAACTCAACAAAGGACCTCTGTCCCCAGTTTCCTGATTTCAAACCCAGTCACTGCTCTATGTTCTACTCATCACTGAATCCTCCTTTTCAGAGTGATCATTTAAATGCTTCTCTCTTACTAGATCTTGGGAACTGGGGACAACAGGACCAGGCCTGGTAGTCAATGCAGGATACCAGGAGGCCCAGCGCCCACCCCTAACCCTCTGACTGCCTAGGAATGGGGATTAGTCTACTTATTTTTTCCTCTCCTTTGATCAAGGGTTAGTTGGTATAGAAAAAAGAATGTTGCAATCTCAAAATGTGCTAGGCCCTTATTTATTAAAGTATCCTATTTAACAGCCACCACCCCCCAACATCCTTATGAGGGTAGAAACTATTATTAAGTGGTGTCACCAGAAATCAAATCTAGATCATCTGACCACAGGTCACTTGCATCTATTCATGACCCTCTCTAAGCTTCAGTTTCCTCATCAACAGAATGGTAATGATATTAGCTTGAACCACATGAACTTGCTATATTCGATCATTTTCTAAATCTAAAAATGGCAAGTTAACATAGTTCAACATGTAATATTCCCAATAGGTTGAGTGTAAAGATATAGTAATTGTAAACGGTGTGACATATAGTCAACTTAATAAACATTAGCTATTCTCATGATCACATACCCTTCGTTTTGCCACTTTATCTTTCCACATCCAAGAAATCCTGAAAAGTCATTAGCTGAGTGTCCTATTGTGACTACTTGATGAGAGCTATGAGAACTTAATTCCAAAGCCCCAAGATCAGGAATATCCTAAAAACATAGAATGTCTTGGCCTCTGGCAAGTATCTGTTTGGTCCCTTTCTCTCTCTCTCTCTCTGTCTTAAAAAAAAGAAGACCCCTTCTTTGACTTGATTTGTTATCTTTGGGTGCAAGAGACATAGTAAACCCCTGGAGCATGTAGTGTCTTCTAGAGCAGCACAGGTGTGGGGACAGGCTCCAGACACAGAGATAAGGCTCTAAAACACCCACATACCCTGTGGGTCACGTTCAGGGTCCGGGAGCAGCCTGCTCTTCTCTTCGGACAACTGAAGAAAGCTCTGCGTAAAGCTGCAGACTTGCTGAGAGATTGAGATGAAGCAAATGCTTCTATTCTTTCTTTGTTTTTCTTTGAGACAGGATCTCGCTCCATTGCCCAGGCTGCAGGCTGGAGTGCAGTGCTGTGAACATGGCTCACTGCAGCCTCAATCTTCTGGGTTCAAGCGATCCTCCTGCCTCAGCCTCCTGAGTAGCAGAGACTAGAGGTGCATGCTGCCATGTCTGGTTAATTTTTATTATTATTAATTTTTGTAGAGATGGGGTCTCTACATGATGCCCAGGCTGGTTTTGAACTCCTCAGCTCAAGGAATCTTCTTGCCTCGGTCTCCAAAAGTGCTGGAATTACAGGCATGAGCCACCACACTCAGCTGCTTCCAATCTTTTCCTGGCCAGCTTCCATCCATTTTAGACACTCAAGTTCAAAGGTTCCCTGCTATCTAAAATCTCCAGCCCTCCTATGCAACACTAATCATGGTCTCTCTCCAGCCACTGGTCCCTTGTCTTCCCATTTATCACAGCCTGCTATGATGTGTGATATGGTTTAGATGTTTGTCCCCTCCAAATCTC
Source organism: Homo sapiens (assembly GCF_000001405.40). Taxonomy (NCBI): domain Eukaryota; kingdom Metazoa; phylum Chordata; class Mammalia; order Primates; family Hominidae; genus Homo; species Homo sapiens. Next base: position 223,614,622 of record NC_000002.12, on the reverse strand, counting down.
ATGTTGTGGTGTAATCCCCAATGTTGGAAGTGAGGCCAGGAGGACTGGATCATAGAGATGGATCCCTTATGAATGGTTTAGTACCAGCCCCTTGGTAATAAGTGAGTTCTCCCTCAGTTCATGTGAGACCCGGTTATTTAAAAGTCTGCCCACACAAACCTGCTGCCACTCCTGCCGTGTGACATGCCTGCTCTTATTTCACCTTCCACTGGGACTGTAAGCTTCCTGAGGTCCTCACCAGAAGCTAAGCAGATGTTGGTGCCATGCTTGCACAGCCTGCAGAAGCGGGAGACAATTAAACCTCTTTTCTTTATAAATTACACAGTCTCAGGTCTTCCTTTATAGTAATGCAAAACAGCCTATGCAATGGGTATAGATATTTTCCTCACTAGGCTCCACATGAACAGCCCTTGAATTTTATTTGCTTTGTGTTGTCAGTGCCTGATGCAAGTCTTGGTGAAAATAAAAGGTCAATAAATATGTCATAATGATAATAGCACTATATTTATCGAATGCTTATTGTTCTGATTGAAGTCACACAAAACCCTATGAGGTAACTGCTATTATGATTTCCATTTTATAGAGGAGAGAGAGCAGAAGAACAAAGACAATAAATAAATAGCTTGAGGCTCCACAGCTAGGAAGAGGAAGAGGCAGGTGCAAACCCAGGCACCTGGTTTGGCACCAGAATGTGCCCATTAACTGACTCTCTGTCTCTTTTAATACGTGGATGATTCTTGACTTTTGGCTAAGATAAAGAGTAATGAAGCCGAGTTTAGAAGAAAGGGATTCACCATTGTAGGAAAAAAACCACAGGATTTTAATCTCCTTGTTGTTGTTAAAAGACCCAAGTCCTACTTCAGCTGGTGGATGCTAGCCAGACAGACGCAGACAGTTTAGAGATGTTAGGGTTTAGGTCCGGAAATAAATACCCCAAAGGGAATCTGAAGGGGCACATTCACTCAGAACCCTCTAACTGGCTTAGTAGCCAAGAGGTCTGGGGGCCTTGGAGATAGTCGTCATGTCGGGGTTTGCGTCTGAGGCCCCCGCCCTGGTTCCTCCGAAACCGGCTGCATCACCAGCATCGTGTAGTTCTCCCATCAGGAAAAGACACAAAAGCATCATGACATTTAAAGCCTTGTTCCTGAGTCTCATTAGGGCAGAGCCCGAGGATGACTGTAATGAACGGCTGCGCCTCTGTGAATGTGTAATGTGCAAACTGCTCCCGCCGTGCCCCTCCATGCGGGGCTGTGCGGAGACACTGATGATTAAAACCGTGAACCTGGCCTTGGGCTGAGGAGGCGGTGGCTCAGGCCTGGAGGAGGCGTTCACTCTCATTCATTTCTGCTGCTGATTCCCCGGAGCGGCTCAGCCCCGGCGGAACATGACTCATCGTATTCCCTGTAGCCGTGTGTGTTTTGACTTAAAATCCTTCCGTCTGACGCCAAGCCCTGCTGAAGTCAAGGGAGCCAGAAGCAGACTCCCAGAAGAAACTCCACCTCCGCCGGCTTGACAGAGAAACAGGCTTCTAGCAGTTACGCAAACACTTGCGTTTCTTTTCTTTTTCAGTCTAATGGAGGAGAGGCTGCAAATGACTCGGTTTGCGATGGCGTCCAGCAATCAATTCTAATCACATCAGTAAAAAGGAAATTATTATGTTTTAAGGTTGGTTACAATGTTAAAATTCAGGCATGGCAAGCCCTGTTTCAGTGAATTCCCAGGGACTGGGAGCTGAATAATAATCAGGGAAGGCAACTGCAGAGTGCCTCAGACCTTCCAACGCGTTTCTACAACTATTATATAATTGAATCCTTGCAGCAACTCTCTGAGGCCTCAGCCTAGGTAATGTTACCCTCATTTGACAAATGAACAAACCGAGGCCCAGGGAGGTTAAGTAATTTGCCTAAGGTCACACAGCAGACCCAAGCCCAGTTTTCTACCTTCTGCTGTACATAACTCCTGCCTATTGAATATGTTCTGAGGCAAGTTTTGCTGTGGAACTAAAGTGTTAAAACACACACACACGCACAACGTTTTTGGTCACTGAATTTTTTTTTTTTTTTTTTGAGACAGGGTCTCACTCTGTTGCCCAGGCTGGAGTTCAGTGGCATAATCACAGTTTACTGCAGCCTCAACTTCCTGGCTCAAATGGTTCTCCCACTTCAGCCTCCCGAGTAGCTGGGACTACAGTTGTGTGCCATCATATCTGGCTAATTTTTAAAAATTTTTTGTAGAAATGGGGTCTCTCTATGTTGCCTGGGCTGGTCTTCAACTCCTAAGCTCAAGTGATCTCCTGCTTCAGCCTCCCAAACTGCTAGGATTATAGGTGTGAGCCACAGTGCCCTGCCTGCTCAATGAATCTTGAGAACCCTTGGAGACAGGAAGAAGAGAGAGGTGAGAATACACAATCAAGAGTTTTGGACTCCAAAATGGGAATTAGGCCTCACCCAAGATTGAACTACAAGATAATACAAAATTTCTCCCCCCCAAAAAAATTAGTCATTTGAAGTATTACTTTGTTATCTCTAAGCATTATTTGTGCTACTATTTACTTAATTTTTTTGAATATTGAACCTCTTGTTAAGCCTAAATCAAAGAAGGTTTATATCACTGCATCAACTTGAAAATTTTATTGCCTATATAAATGGAAAGAAATTCAAACCCTAAGTTCAATACAACCATAAAGATGTTAATGAATTTCTGGTTAGATCCTGCAGCCTGCAGAAAGCTCAGAGTCTAAGGCCAAAAAGGAGGATTTTCAAGCATCAGAAAGGTGTTCACGCTAGCCTCTGATAGTTTCTTTTTTGTGTAACTAGGAGAATTGCACAAGGAATACATTTCAGACAACTATAGAACTTAATGCTACTTAATGCCATATCTATGCCTGGCAAAAACATTCCAATAGTGTTATGGATATGCTTTTCATATGCTGGGAAACATGCATCTGATTGGCCCCTTGGAGTACAGGAGCACCCAGGAGAAAGCAGGACAAGCTTCTCACTGTCAACTGGTCTTATCTCCTTTCTTTGGGTAAGATTATAACTAAAAGTCTGTCAATATTCATGCTATAGCAATATTCCAAACCAGTCATGTTCAATAGTTATATCAGTCAAGCTGGGCTAGGTTATGTGTGATAACAATTTCTCAAAATCAATTGCTTAAACAACTTTATTTCTTTATTTTCTCACTTTACCTGTTCATGAAAGGTCTGGAAGGTAACTCTGCACATTGCAGCCAATCACAGAGCAAGCTATGTGAGCAACCACCACCTCAAAACTTGCCTGCCTCTGTGGTGAGGGAAAGTGCTCTGGGACATGTCATTCGACTCTAAGCTTATTGGCTAGAACTTGTCACATGGTGCCACCCAATCACAAGAGTTCAGGCGGTGCAATTCTATCATAAGCCCAGGAGGAAGGAGAGCCAGAAATATTTGGTAACCATTACTAAGAGCTACAACAAAATCTCAAGGTCATAGATTCACTTGAGAACCTCTTTACAGTCCTGGAGCTTCCTGCAACAAAAAGCACATGATCACATGTACATAAACACTTGCATTTAATCTCATAGGTTTCAACGGACTTCAGGTTAAAAATCTGTGCTCTAATAATGGGGTAACTGCATGCAAGGGGGTACGGGTTAATTAAGGAAAGTTTTACTGAGAAGATACATCAAATAAAACTTTGTTTTTCTTTTCTTTTCTTTCTTTTTTTCTTTTTTTTGGAGAGAGGCTGGAGTGCAGTGGCAGTGGCATGATCATGGCTCACTGCTATCTTGAACTCTTGGGCTCAAGTGATCCTGCTGCCTCAGCCTCTCAGGTGGTGGTACATGGGCTTACAGGCATGCCGCACTACACCCAGCTAATTAAAAAAAAATTTGTAGAGATGGAGGAATGGAGTATTACTATGTTGCCCAGGCTGTTCTTGAACTCCTGGCCTCAAACAATCCTCCCACTTTAGCCTCCCAAAGCATTGGGATCACAGGTATAGGCCACCATACCCAGTCTCAAGTAAAACTTTTTAAAAGAATCAAAATGGTGGGGAAGAGGGGAAGAACATTTTCAAGGCAAGGAGAATGATGCAGATGAAGATGGGCTGAGAAGATTAAGTATATCTTCTGGTTGAGAAGATTATAGGACCAGCAAAAAATCTAGGGAGGGTGGGAATGCAGAAGTATGAGGGAGCATAAAAAAAATCGGTGGAAGACCTTGAACTATGGAAAGTTAATCCAGCTGGCACCAGTTGAGCAGGGGAGGCTCACGATGGAAAAATGTTGAAAGATAATTTGCTATGGTGTTTAAAGGATGGAGCCCCTTGGCTTGTACTTAGGCATTTAATAGATATTGACTGCTTTTTTTTCCCATTGTCGTTCATTTTTTCCCATTGTCATTTCCCATTAGTTATTCAGTCAGCAGTAGTTCCTGAGTGCTAGTTCAAATTAGAAGTAGGTATTATTTCCCTTAAGGTGCCAACACCTAACTTCCTGCAATAGAAAGGCATGTATGAAAGATTAGTGATAGACACTTGAAAGGCTGGGGAGAGATTTTGAATGGCCAAACGTAAGAGAATGCTAACAGGCTATGAAAATGGATAAACCAGAAAGGGGCAACTGGGAAGAATTGGCAAAGGCTGGGGAAATAAAGGGGTGAGGCAGTGGAGAGGGAGAAAGTACAAGAATAAGCCAAGGAGATAATAGTTCCATGACTGAACTGGAGGGACAAGATTAGAATTAGTTAAGAGAGAACTTTGAGAAGGAGGTAAGGGATTGGAAGGAAATGTGGTCAGTTTGGATCTTGATATGCTTATTTTTAGATATTATTATTATTATTATTATTTGTATGTGTGTGTGTGTGTGTGTGTGTGTGTGTGCTGAAACTCAGGCCTGTAGATGTTACTATTTTTAAGCATTGGTTTGGCTGGGTTTTGGGTACAATGGACTTATGTCCCAGACTTCTTTATGTCCTCAAATACATTAAAGTCATTTGGGAAGAGAGTAATCTAAGAATCCCACAAATAAAAATGCTATAATATATTACAACTATACTAAGTACTAACCAAGAGAAATATTTGGTTCCATGAGAGAATATTCTAGAGAGAATTGGCCGAGTCAGGAAACTCAGAGAAATGAGCTTCCTCAGAAGCAAGATGTTGACTGGGCAAAAGCGGGCGGCTTGGAGGGGTTGGGGAGAACTTTCTAGGCAAGGGGACTGGGATGAAGGATATCCACTCTGAGCTAGATGCTGTTTTCAAGTCTTACATTGAATTAGGCCAAAGACTGTGCTTTGGAGCTGAGGTCCAGCACCATGAATTACGAAGAAAATTTAACAGAACTGTTTCATTTAGAAAAAGCAAACTGGCTGGTGAGGCCTGATTCTGGTGACAGAAAATAGGACCAAGACTTGCTCCACATAGCCTTCCAGGGCAGAACTCAGATCCATGGTGAAGCCACAGGGGGTCATATTTCAGCCCAATACAAGGGGGGAAATACCCACAAAACTTGAGAATAAATTTGCCCAAAGATGGAATAGGGAGCATTGGGAGGTAATGAGTTGCTATTTTTTGGAGGTATTTAAGGAAACTTAATATTATATGCTGGAAGTCTGTTTGTTAGGAATTTGACAGAGCAGATGCAAGCAATGAGCCAGGTTAGAGTGGATGACATTTTATATATCTTTCCAATCATAGCAATCTATGAGCTAATTTGTACTCAGATAAACCCATCTGTATTTATGCAAGAATCAATTTGAAACCTCTATAAAGCCAGGAAGAGATGTTCTTTGCAAACATCAGTAGCGTTTCCATATCGGGAGCAAATAATGGGCTGGTGAGCCAGTCTCTAGGAAGGCTGTCGGAAAAGGTCAAGTGTATTTACATTTATATTTGGTTTTATGCTAAATGAACCCTTCTGGGTGGGGTCTGAAAATGTGTGTTGCTAACAGATTGCTGAGTGGTGATGATATTGCTAACCTGGGACCACCCTTTGAGAATCACGACTCCAATACATGCTTTTTTTTTTTTTTTTTTTTTGAGACGGAGTCTCGCTCTGTCGCCCAGGCCGGACTGCGGACTGCAGTGGCGCAATCTCGGCTCACTGCAAGCTCCGCTTCCCGGGTTCACGCCATTCTCCTGCCTCAGCCTCCCGAGTAGCTGGGACTACAGGCGCCCGCCACCGCGCCCGGCTAATTTTTTGTATTTTTAGTAGAGACGGGGTTTCACCTTGTTAGCCAGGACAATACATGCTTTTAATCATGCCCCTGTAGTATACAGGGCCTGTGTCCTTTCTTCAGTGTCAAAGTAGTGAGATGATTTGATTTGTGCGCTAATTCCTGCTAAGGAGGTAATAACTGATTAATGAATTATCCCTTACAATGGAGCTCCTAAGGACCCTGTACCAAAAATTCTAAAAAACCCCAAACCACCTATGATGTAGAATACAGACAGGCTGGCTGGATTTGGGGGAGAAAGTTCTGGGTTAAGGAGGCTTTTCTCAGCTCCCCTCATCATATTATATATGCAAGTGCCCTACCTCCAGAAGTGATATATTCATTTTGCCGATATAGAAAGCACTCCAAAATTCCTACAAAGGCTAAGTGAACTGTGAAAAGTCATCTGGTGAATCCGTGGGAGCCCTGGACACAAAATGCTAAACTTAACCATAAAGATGCTGCACTTTAACCTTGAAGACTTTCTTACATCTCTCTGGGCTTTTGATTAAAAGGAGGGGTGAGAGAGTGTAGGTGGGAAATTTCCAAGCCAAAAAAAAAAATCGTTATTAAAATATTGGCATGTAAATGCTGAAAACATTGATTCACAAAACAATTATACTAGGAGAATCTGAAAGATTGAGACATTCATCATTGTTTTAAGCAAAGTAATTAACTTCCAGTGCACAAACTTCCTTCTCCCGAAATCCATCGAGGGAGCAGATGCCCAAACATTCATGGTATTGGATTAAGAAAATGGTACTTGCTTTTCTTCCAAGTACCAGATGGTTCCAAGAATCCAAAGTCAATGAAGAGAAGAGCCTGTGTTTATTTGGTTTATACAATTCTTATTGAGGGTTTATGAGAAAAATCGTATTTTAATACCTACCAGATAAATAAAAAAAATTTCACAGCAGACTGTCATTTCACGGAGTAAAGAGGTCAAGGGGTAGAAAGAGCCTTAAATGTTGTCTAGTTCACCTAGGGCTGTCAGTAATGTGGTACCTTGATATGCAGAGCAAAAATATTACAAAGAATAAACAAATACTGGAATTAAGAATAGCTCAATTTTCTTTCTATGTGCAATTTCATATTTTTACTCAAATACTTGGAAAATATTTTACAAAATGAAGCAAAAGTTAGAAAAATATAGAATGCTCCTGTAGTGGAGGAAAATATTCCTTAAAAAAACTAAACTGAATTTGCTAGCAGTGCATGCAATGCAAATGAATAAAGTCAGTGCATTTGCATAAGGATGCTACTGTAAGAGGATTAAAAAATTCCAAGAGAAAATGTGTGAAGCTTTGGTAGCAGGAATGAGAAAACTTTAATTCAACTCGATTCACAAACATATTTTTGGCATGAGGGTACAATAATAGAAAGCAGAGTTTCTACCTCCTAGAACCTAGTGGATTTTGTCTGGGAAACTGTGCAGTCACATTATTAAATAAAGTATACCCTGTTTCTGACTTGTGTGTTCTCCAAACAGCAATTTGGCAGGCCCTGCCTTTGCAAGGGAAGGGGAAAAATATTTCACTCTTCTTTGACACTGAGTTAAAAAACAGTCATTTGTTAATAAAGCGCACTACAACTAAGAGAATGGAATTTAAATTTTGGAAGCAAAAGATAAAGGTGGTAAAGAGTAAACAAGGAGCGTAAAGAAAAAAAAGTAAAAAGAAGAGAAGGCAGGCAGGCAGGTGAGGACTGAGCAAGGACAAGTAGCCAAGGCCCTGAGGGGCCGGGGTAGACACTATACCCTCCTTGCTGGCACAGTCAGGTGAACGCTGGAGGACCTCAGCTGAAGCGTGCTGCATCTGGACTCCACCGTGAGAGTCTGATCTTCCATGGGAGGGAAGGGCAGGCAGGGAGGCAGTTAGAGACAGGGAAGAAGCAGACAAGAGAAAAAGGAGAAACAAGACACATTGGCCTTCTGGATCTCAATTGCTTCCATATAAATTGAAACAAAATGAGAAGTGTAATGGAGTGTAAGAGCGAGAAGTTTCAAATGAAAAGATTACTAAGGTAGAGGATTGCTTGTATGAATGATAGAAATCAAAATCTTGTCTAGATAAAATATGAAATTGAATAACAAAGAATAAAATGACCAAGATTTAAGAAAATCCGGTCATAAAAACAAACTCATCTGTTCTAATTACTTAACGTTAAATTGTGAATGATTAACTTGAAATTAACAGCACCCTGGTGAGGATGCAAGCTAATTTTCTAAAAATCCATTTTCATACATAGTACATAATTATTCTGAAAACGTTCACAATATAGAGATTCGTTTCTTGGCGGTGATGATAGTTGGCAATTTAGATCTAACAAGAAAATTAAAATTTTGTAAGGCATGCTTAAATAATTCCTTGAAACAGGTTCAGTGATACAAAGATTTATAGGTTATTTTAATGTTTTATACATGCTCTAAAATATTTTATGTCAACAAACTATTGATATATATATATGTGTGTGTACATATACGTGTGTGTATATATATATATATATATATATCATTTTAAATTCTTCTCCAAATACATTTCTATTTGAGAAATAGCTCCCTTTAGAACAAATAACTACTGGCAAAAAATTAGTGACTTTTGGAAATATGTTAAATATAACACATTGAAAAATCTATAAAAACAAAAAAAATTGATGTTGGCAATGTTATGGAGAAAAAGGAATGCTTATACACTGTTGGTGGGAGTGTAAATTAGTTCAGCCATTGTGGAAGACAGTGTGGTGATTCCTCAAAGATGTAAACTACCATTCAACCCAGCAATTCCATTATTGGTTATATACCCAAAGGAATACAAATTGTTCTATTATAAAGACACATGCATGTGTATGTTCATTGCAGCACTATTCACAATAGCAAAGATGTGGAATCAACCTAAATGCCCATCAATTACAGACTGGATAAAGAAAATGTGGCACATATACATCATAGAATACTATGCAGCCAAAAAAAGAATGAGATCATGTCCTTTGCAGGGACATGGATAGAGGCGGAGGCCATTATCTTTAAAAAACTAATGCAGGAAGAGAAAACAAAATACCATATGTTCTCACTTGTAAGTGGGAGCTAAATGATGAGAATACATGAACACAAAGAGGGGAACGACACAGCCTATCAGAGTGTGGATGGTGGGAGGAGGGAGAGGATCAGGAAAAATAACTAATGGGTAGTAGGCTTAATACCTGGGTGATGAAATAATCTGTACAACAAACTTCCATGACAGAAGTTTACCTATGTAACAAACCTGCACATGTACCCCTGAACTTGAAAGTTAAAAAATATGTTTGGGGAGTTTGATTTTGAAAAAACAGGCTGGTGAATAGAATTTTCCTAATTCAGCAACTGTTCTCTTATTTGGAAGATGTATGCCCCATAGCATCAAGGCTGTGATCTAATGTTTATTCTTGCTTTCCATTGGTGCTGCCCCAAATAGAAGTCCCGGCCTATGCCTTTGCTTTTCTTAGACCAGGAAAAGCAACTGGACAACTGGGGGTTTTTGTCAAAGAAACTAAATTCTGGACTTGGGTCTTTAATGATTAAATCCATCCCATATTTATTTCTGTATTTCCATCTCTAGCAGTGTCTGAATCATAGTTTTTATTGTAGAAATATCATAGAATGGACTTAAATACAAATTCTAGCTCTACCAATTATAAGTCAAAATAGTGGGCAACTTACTTATTTCTGAGCTTTAGTTTCTTCATCTGTAAAATGGAGATAAAAATACCTACTTGTTATAGTTGTCCGGAGGATTAAATTAGGTTCCAAGTACAGTGCTTGGATCATAACAGAACTCAGTAAGTGAGAGGTATTTATCATAGTCTCATAAGATAGGCAGAAATTCAATAGCCCACAATGGCTTATTGTTCTACCCACATCTTGAGCCTAGTGGAGCCAATCCATCCCAGCAACAGCCTCCTGGCATCTCACATCTACTTGGAGATTTTGAATGAGGTTTTGCATGTCTTTTGGATGATTGAAGATATTTCCAGGCAAGATGTTGACTCTGGGGCTTTAGAAGAACCGTAGCTTCTGGTTCTTGCCAAAAAGTTTAGTTCCACATAAATGAATTAGCCTAGTCAGGATGACTTTCTGGAGGGCTTTTGAGACCTATGCTGAACAAACTCAACATTTTAAGAATAATTGCAGAGTTTTCTAAAGCTGCGTTGATACTGGTTAGTTGAACTGGTCACACAGAACTGCTGGACAGAAAATTAGGTCAAACTTGGAGCAGCTAGCCAGGGCTTTGTTAAGATTTAAGGCAATCTTAGCTAAGGATGTCAGTGAATGAGCTGGTGTCATTGAGATGATGCTTGAGAAATGGGTCATATTTAGGTCTCTTCAACCCAGCATTTGATCATGCCCTAAAAAACCACTATGAGGCAAAATTTGTTGGATGAATTGGACATATAACCCCAGTCTGAGTGTATATGAATTCATATCAATCCACAAATGATGATCTCCTAGTCGTTTAGGAAAACCAAATAGGGAGAATCGAGGCACATTTTTCCAAGATTTTTTCTGTAAGACTTTAAGCCATTTCCTATTTTTTCGAGGAATTCAAAAGTACTAACATAGTTAGAAATCCTTGTAAGAAAACCTGATAGTGAGAAATCTCAGCTTAGGCCTTTTATTCCAGGACATTGTTTCCCCCTGAATTTCTAGGTTGAACCCATTGGCTATCCAAATGGTCCAAACACTGCTAGCTAACCTCTCTATTGATGCTTTCCAATTTATATGAAAATTATGTGTTTATTTGCATGTCATCCCCATTAGCTGAAAGGCTCATCAAAGGCAAAAAAATCACTTATTTTTGTATTAGTTAACAATTGTGCATTTAGCAATGTATCTGGCACCTAGTAGGTATTACAATTTATTGAGTCAGTGGCTGATTGTTCATTTAGCAGAAACACATGGGATCTCTTATATGGCAAGATTCTGTTGCATTCTTAAAGTATATGTCAACATATACAGTTTTTAGAAACTCATATCTTTAATAAAATAAAGTTTAAAATTTATATCCATATAAATTATTGAAATATATAATCAGGTTATCTGGTAAGGCAGAGGAATGATTATGAATTATAAATCTGAGAGGTTGAAAGTTAATTGCTGTATTATTCCCTGGATTGTTCACATTCATGGAAGGTATTCAACTCATCTGATTCAACAGGAGAAGGGAAATATTTATAGTACAACTTCCTTTCGATTGCAAATGAATTCTAGTTACGTATGTGTCACATTTTTCCCAAACAGTGAAAAGACTTTTTTTTTAAGTAGATGAAAGTATTTTCATCAGCACTCAACTTCTGAGCTTCCCTTTCTGAGATCAGATATTGTGAAAGACAGTAACAGAGATATAAAGAATTATTAGCTACTAAGCTTGAAGTCTGATAAATACCCATTTAAAAAACTATATAAGCTATTAAAGTTGGCTCTCATATAAAAGAGAGAGAACTCTCTGTTTTATTCAAATAAATATGATTTTAAAAGAATGATGGCTGTGGTCATGATAAGAAATATGGCCTTTCATATTTATAATGTGTCCTCCATTCATCTTGGTTATAACAGGAAATGGTAATGTAATTTCTTTGTGGGCAAAGATGAAAAAATAATCCTTGTCTGTAAAACTTTCTTACAACGACGACAACAATTACAACAGTGACACCAAGAAACTATTATAACAAGTTGCTAGAACATAGATGAGATTGTCTTGCAATTAGCCATGTCTGTCTGACACACATTTCTTTCTTTGTAAGAGAAATCGTGCAGAGCAGTTTATTCCGTCTCAAAGATTTTGATAAAAGAAAAAGGAAAACTGCAATTTTTGCCACAAAAAGACAGGTGGCGTAAGCATGCAACTTTTTTTTCTTTTCTTTTCTTTCTTTCTTTTTTTTTTTTTTTAAATATAAAGTGATTATTTTCTCTTGGTTCTTTGAAAAACCTCGCTTGTGCTGGGGTTTGTGGCTGAACCCGGTGACGTCAGTGTGGCAGTGCGGAGTCAGGCGCAGCGGCTCCCTATAAGCAGAGGAGCTGTCCGTGTGCTGAAACGGCCCGAGAAGCTCGCCCGGAGAACGGGGAGGAATATGCTGTGGAGCTCCTCTGCCATATAAACAAAAAGAGGTAAGGCTGCTTTTCTCTTTGATTTATTGGAAAGTTCCAAATTGCATGCTCTTCTTTTAATTCCTAGCTGAGAAGAAAAAGACTGTTTGGCAAGCTTATGTCGATAGGATAACTGAATAGCAACCTGCTGCTCATCAGCCAATGTAAGGACACTACATATGTGTATATACATGATCGGGTCTATGCTTTATACTACTTGATGTTGGATATTTACTAACCAGAATGTTACTTAGATAATCATATAAAAAAGAGTGAAAAAGTTAAGGATTTTAGTGTCAATACACAGATTAATGTAAAGTTAACCAAGCCCAATATCTTGTTTCTTTCCAAAATTTATTATTTCTGCCACTAAGAGCCAGATACGAAGCCAGGGGTATAATTTATATGTTTAATATTCTTAACAGTAGGTTTCCAATGATACAAAGGCTGTCAAGCATGTTAGTCATAAAGGCAACCCATTTTGGAACTAGGTTTTTTTTCTTTGATATTTATCTTACAAGAGCTCTGAATTAACTAACCACATAAAATTCTTTTCTGAACTTGTATATTTGAAAGAGCTTACATTATTATCTCCTAATTTTAGTTCTAAGATGTTAACTTAGGATTTTCCTGAACACTGGATTCTTCCTTTTTCCAGGGCAAAATATTATCTTGGGTTGTAATTTGGCTGTGACCATGAATTACAGAGAAATGATCATTTTGAATACATGATGAAAATACTCATAACTTTGTAAATTGTTATTGTTATTGCTATAATTTGATTTAAAGAGGATGTTCAATATGTTGCTAAAGATTTTGTCTGGGACAAGTATTTCATTTTTTCTGTATCCCAACTAGTTGAATTGCTTAAATTACATATAGTCACCTGCATGTGTCAATGCTCTAGCCTGAATTCAACAGAAAAGACATTTTAACTTGAGAGATTTTAATGATAGCTATCAGGGGAAAAATAATGTTCTAATTATTTGGATTTCAGAAAATTCAATTTTAAATCAAACCCCATATAGAATAGTAGAGCTGTTGAAACATCTTTACTACTTGAAAGAGCTGCTACCTGGGAAAAGAATCCTTTGGGTCTCACTCAAAGGCAATAACTATGTCATTCAAACTGAAGCTGAATAGTTAAGCAAAGGGTAGCACTTCTTAGGCTGTGGTTTAAACAACTGCAATGAGTAGTCTGCTTCAACTTTACAGCAAAGTGCAGTTCCAAGATAATGATTTTAAAGATGAGCATATAATCCACATGTTAAGACTATTTCAGTATTGTGGCTTCAAAAAAAATAAGTTCAGTAAGGTTTTTAAGATTATTATTTCAAATGCCAATGTTGAAAGTTGATTACCAAAGCTACATTAATCCTGAAATAATATAAACAAGAGTGCATAATGTATTTTTATTTGAACCTCATTATTTTATGAATAAAATTACTTATAGTAAACATGTATTTATAATAAATATTTTGGAAGTATCCTCTCAAATGCCTTTCAAGATGTTTCTTTCAATAAATTAAGTACTCTGGTAAACGTGAATCATTTAAATAGGTATATACGTATGCTAAAATGTTTTCATAACTAAGCCATTATTGGGCTCTAAAAAACTGGAAACAAAATCATCAATATGATCTTGTGAACAATGGTATTTTCTACAATTGATGTCTAAGCTAACAGAAAATTGTATACATATAACTTAGCTTATCTATCACAAAACCATGATCTGGTAAAGATATGAACAAACTTGTAAACTCCTCTTACATTCATTTTGTTTACAACAAAATAGCCAATATTAAAATAGTTTTTTCAATGTTAGCAATATTAAATGTAAAACACATAAAAACTAATCCTCTTCCTAATTCCTATGTAAGATTTTAAGGCATCGGAGGAAATAATGAATGGAGATTTTTAAGTAGGAAGAATTCAGCACATCATCTGTGTTTATTTGAATTGGGATTTACATAGTGGTTATTTTAAGATTTTTCTAAACAGTATGAGTGATTTAAGATTTCACAGGTCCATACCAAAATAGACACAGACAGAAGACAAACTGAATCTGAACACTCACAAGTTCAGAAATAGACTAGCTAAAAAAACTTATGTTCTCTCTGTAGCATCTGTTATTATTTACTATACACTCTGAAGGGCTGATGAAAAGTATAACCACAATTGCATTTTGCAAGACAGTCATAATATAAATTATTAGAAGAAATATGAAGCAAAGAGATTTTAAAACACTTTATTGGTTTAGCACGTTCACACAAAAAGAAACTTCATTGGTTTAGTCTACTGGCTGGAATCTGAGAAGACCCGTGTTCTGGAGGTTATTTATGGATCATTGGATTCGGTATCAGATTGAGAACAAGTTATTTCTGAAAAATATATCTGGATAGGACTCCCCAGAAGGTAATTCGGTATGATTGACATATAAAAGTATTACTTTGTCATATATGGTCATGTAACTGCAGCTGTGTTTCAGCAACAAAATTAGATGGACATTTCAGGAAATAAACCACATGTTTTTTGACACAACTTTAAGGACATAATTTGTGGGCGCGTATGTGTAAATGCATGTTTTAAATTAAGCCAACACATTATTTTGCCAATAGACTTCAATATATAAAATAATTAAAACATCTTGGGAAGTATTTGCTGCTTTATTATAGAGAAACAACATGTACTAAACATCAAACTACAAGTTCTGTAAATGAAAAAATAAAATTTAAGAAATCTCATATCAGTGTTTTTGCTGTTGTTTTAACTAAGAGAATGCTATGCAAGTTTTTGGTGAATGAGTAATAATTTTGCTAAAGATTCCTGTGGTTTGCTTGTGGGAATCATGTGGAAAATATTCATGAATTTTTAAAAAGAGTTATCCTAAGCTTAATGTGAAATAATATCTACTATGTTTTTTCCTCACCTCAATGATCAATTATTTCTTTTGCTATAGTGTCTTCTAGTTTGTTTCATTTGTGTAACTCATATTTTTTATGTTTTAAGGAAATCTTTCAAACATGGCTGAAGCAAAGACCCACTGGCTTGGAGCAGCCCTGTCTCTTATCCCTTTAATTTTCCTCATCTCTGGGGCTGAAGCAGCTTCATTTCAGAGAAACCAGCTGCTTCAGAAAGAACCAGACCTCAGGTTGGAAAATGTCCAAAAGTTTCCCAGTCCTGAAATGATCAGGGCTTTGGAGTACATAGAAAACCTCCGACAACAAGCTCATAAGGAAGAAAGCAGCCCAGATTATAATCCCTACCAAGGTGTCTCTGTCCCCCTTCAGCAAAAAGAAAATGGCGATGAAAGCCACTTGCCCGAGAGGGATTCACTGAGTGAAGAAGACTGGATGAGAATAATACTCGAAGCTTTGAGACAGGCTGAAAATGAGCCTCAGTCTGCACCAAAAGAAAATAAGCCCTATGCCTTGAATTCAGAAAAGAACTTTCCAATGGACATGAGTGATGATTATGAGACACAGCAGTGGCCAGAAAGAAAGCTTAAGCACATGCAATTCCCTCCTATGTATGAAGAGAATTCCAGGGATAACCCCTTTAAACGCACAAATGAAATAGTGGAGGAACAATATACTCCTCAAAGCCTTGCTACATTGGAATCTGTCTTCCAAGAGCTGGGGAAACTGACAGGACCAAACAACCAGAAACGTGAGAGGATGGATGAGGAGCAAAAACTTTATACGGATGATGAAGATGATATCTACAAGGCTAATAACATTGCCTATGAAGATGTGGTCGGGGGAGAAGACTGGAACCCAGTAGAGGAGAAAATAGAGAGTCAAACCCAGGAAGAGGTGAGAGACAGCAAAGAGAATATAGAAAAAAATGAACAAATCAACGATGAGATGAAACGCTCAGGGCAGCTTGGCATCCAGGAAGAAGATCTTCGGAAAGAGAGTAAAGACCAACTCTCAGATGATGTCTCCAAAGTAATTGCCTATTTGAAAAGGTTAGTAAATGCTGCAGGAAGTGGGAGGTTACAGAATGGGCAAAATGGGGAAAGGGCCACCAGGCTTTTTGAGAAACCTCTTGATTCTCAGTCTATTTATCAGCTGATTGAAATCTCAAGGAATTTACAGATACCCCCAGAAGACTTAATTGAGATGCTCAAAACTGGGGAGAAGCCGAATGGATCAGTGGAACCGGAGCGGGAGCTTGACCTTCCTGTTGACCTAGATGACATCTCAGAGGCTGACTTAGACCATCCAGACCTGTTCCAAAATAGGATGCTCTCCAAGAGTGGCTACCCTAAAACACCTGGTCGTGCTGGGACTGAGGCCCTACCAGACGGGCTCAGTGTTGAGGATATTTTAAATCTTTTAGGGATGGAGAGTGCAGCAAATCAGAAAACGTCGTATTTTCCCAATCCATATAACCAGGAGAAAGTTCTGCCAAGGCTCCCTTATGGTGCTGGAAGATCTAGATCGAACCAGCTTCCCAAAGCTGCCTGGATTCCACATGTTGAAAACAGACAGATGGCATATGAAAACCTGAACGACAAGGATCAAGAATTAGGTGAGTACTTGGCCAGGATGCTAGTTAAATACCCTGAGATCATTAATTCAAACCAAGTGAAGCGAGTTCCTGGTCAAGGCTCATCTGAAGATGACCTGCAGGAAGAGGAACAAATTGAGCAGGCCATCAAAGAGCATTTGAATCAAGGCAGCTCTCAGGAGACTGACAAGCTGGCCCCGGTGAGCAAAAGGTTCCCTGTGGGGCCCCCGAAGAATGATGATACCCCAAATAGGCAGTACTGGGATGAAGATCTGTTAATGAAAGTGCTGGAATACCTCAACCAAGAAAAGGCAGAAAAGGGAAGGGAGCATATTGCTAAGAGAGCAATGGAAAATATGTAAGCTGCTTTCATTAATTACCCTACTTTCATTCCTCCCACCCCAAGCAAATCCCAACATTTCTCTTCAGTGTGTTGACTTCTATCCTGTTAACACTGTAATATCTTTAAATGATGTACAGGCAGATGAAACCAGGTCACTGGGGAGTCTGCTTCATTTCCTCTGAGCTGTTATCTTGTGTATGGATATGTGTAAATGTTATGACTCCTTGATAAAAAATTTATTATGTCCATTATTCAAGAAAGATATCTATGACTGTGTTTAATAGTATATCTAATGGCTGTGGCATTGTTGATGCTCACATATGATAAAAAAGTGTCCTATAATTCTATTGAAAGTTTTTAATATTTATTGAATTATTTTGTTACTGTCTGTAGTGTTTTGTGGAGTACTGGACCAAAAAAATAAAGCATTATAAATATATAGTTTTATTTATAAGGCCTTTTCTATTGTGTGTTTTACTGTTGATTAATAAATGTTATTTCTGGACAACTTTGGACTCTTAATTATGGAAAACCAGAGACAATGTCTACGAAGCAAGCAGTATGAAGCCAAAAGAGAAAATCATCTTCACCAGACAATTCAGGTAAGAAGTAATGAATTTTATACATGTGTTCATGGTACCTGCTTGCAGAATGCTGCATCCTTATGCTTGCCCATGGTTTTCCTTATGCTTGCCCATGGTTTTCCTCAAATATATAATCGATAGAGTCTTTGTTTTAGGTATTTTTTACTCTTGATTTATATAAGTAAAAGAAATTTAAGTCTCCAATACCCATAGGCAGCCATCAAAACAAAAACAGAAAGAAAAAGAAAAGGCTGCATAGATGGCAATCAAAAATGACTACAGACTTGAAAGGAACTTGTCTATTCCCAGGTCATGTTGGTCCCCAAAAGACAAGGCTGTTGCCTCCCTTATGTGACTTGAGAGGGGCCAAAGGACCCCCAAACTGACCATTAGGTAAGTGAAGAAGCACAGTAGCAGTGGGAACAACCAGCCCCATCTTCTGCCCTAGTGGGCAAAGAAGTGCATGGTTATTACAGCGCACATCACTTTAGTGCAATGTCAGCCACCTAACACATCAACAGAGAATCAACACAACATCAGCAAGAAAATGCACAGAGCAACAAAACAATAATGGTCATAAACAAGGAAATAAACAATAGCTTTTATTTTTTGAATGCTTATTGTGCTACAGGCTCTATACTAAACACTGTACAAACTTTGCCTTGCTTAGTCTATAATTTGTAATTATAAACTATAATTTGTTTACTCTATAACTTCCCCCTCCCTTTTACAATAGGAAAAATAAAACTTAGCAAGATTAAATAATTTCCCCAAAGTCACTTAGCATTATGAGTTGTCAAATCTGTGTTCTCAACCACTTCACTACACTGCCACTCTGGGAAGTGCCCTTTCAACCGAGGAATGGACATCAGGGTTGAATCGTGAGAAGCTCCCAAGGTTTTAGTATGGGTCACTTCCAAAAAAGGACATGTGTGTGTATGTGTGTATGTGCATCATGTGCGTGTGTGTGCGTGTGTCTGGGGGACCATCCCTGAACTATCAAAAGGCTAAACTGTCATAAGGCAGTCCCAGAGCCTGGATGCTTTGGGGGAAAACATTGAATGTAGGTTTTGTAATTTATAATTTTGCCCAGATTCTTTTCTGTCCATTGATCATGCAATTTTGTGGTATTCTAGAATCTGCAAGTCAGCGGGAACTTAGAAGCAATTATCTCTACGGTGTTTCTAATATGTAGACTTTACTCTCAAATACTCTTGAGATAGGGGGTTTCTCCCTCACAATTTAGTATTATAAATTGGACACTACGGAGTGGCTGCTCTGCAGAAGGAGCTTTCTCACAGGTTATTACAATTCACTTTCTACATAGCCTTCTGAGATTGATATTATTTGTAGCTTTGGAAGCTCAGACAGGTAAAATAAGTTGCTTCATTTGTACAGCAGGTTAGTGGTGAAGTGGACTTTAACCCACAACTAACCATAACTCTCAGGCATGCACCCTTCCATGTGGGTCTGATGCTTTATCATACATGGAGTTATGTATGGGGGGAGGCCGGGGAACAAAGTGGGGCTCCTTCCAGTGGAGAGATCTAGGATACTTATGTTGCTTAAAGTTTAGAGAACATATTTATATGCCATGCTTTGCAGGCATCCACACACACCTTCCACCCATTGTATACTCTGTCCAGTCTTCTATGTCATGCTATATAACTCGTTCCTCAGATCCTAACTCAGCTGTGTGAATATTCCCATGGTAGCACTAAGCAGAAATAAGAACTTGACATACGCATCTCTACCGAAAAGAAATTTGCCTTCACTGTGATGTTTAAACAGTTTACTGAGAGGTCAGGCAAGGAAGGCAGTAAAACTGACACGACACAGCAGATGAGGCTCCTATCTGGGATTTATACACAAACCAGGAGTATGCCAAAGCCTGCACTTTTGGCTACACCATGCTGCTTTGTTCTTAAAACCTCAGTTAGGTCTGAAATTCCAGGATTCTCTAATGGAGACATTTCAGGCATCAGGATTGGCAGTTGAGAAGATGTATTAATTTGAGATACATATTCTTCCCCGACCTCCATTAGGCATCAATCAGCAAGCACCTTTGCCTTTTTGCAGTACTACCGTATCTTCAACTATTGACTCATCAGGCTTACTTACTTCTGATCCAAAATTTTTTTTTCATAAGTACTTTAGTATGTAATTCCCTAGCGTAAGAAATTAAGCTCTAAGTATAATTCAAAGATGTAGATGACAAATTAGTTGCAATTAGGGCAACACTGTCCCTGTCCCTGCCCAGAACCCTCCTTCATTAGAAGTCAGGAGTAGCTCAGACCTCCAAGCAGACACCCACTGCAGGCTACTTGTGGGAAGAGAAGGAAACTGCATGTTCATTAAAACAGGCCCCCTTGCAGGAGTCCTTGTTTCCATCAGTAGGAATCAGATAGGAGCCTGGTACTTTATGTTCTTGGCAAGCCCCCACCTACTGACCCTTCCTTCCCCTTTTCACTCACAGCGTGTCCTCCCATCCGCTTGGGGACAATTAGGACTAATCTGATTGTATCCTTTATAACAAGACCTTTTTTTTTTTTTTTTTTTTTGAGATGGAGTTTTGCTGAGTTTTTTTGAGATGGAGTTTTGTTGCCAGGCTGGAGTGCAGTGGTGCAATCTTGGCTCACTGCAACCTCCACCTCCTGGGTTCAAGCGATTCTCCTGCCTCAGCCTCCCAAGTAACTAGGACTACAGGAGCATGTCACCACGCCCAGCTAATTTTTGTATTTTTACTAGAGACAGGGTTTCACCATGTTGGCCAGGATAGTCTCAATCTCCTGGCCTCGTGATCCGCCTGCCTCGGCCTCCCAAAGTGCTGGGATTACAGGCGTGAGTCACCGCGCCTGGCCTTAAATCAAGACTTTTTGTTTTGTTTTGTTTTGTTTTTTTTGAGATGAAGTCTTGCTCTGTCGCCCAGGCTGGAGTGCAGTGGTGCGACCTCGGCTCACTGCAAGCTCCGCCTCCCGGATTCACGCCATTCTCCTGTCAGAGTAGCTGGGACTACAGGCGCCCGTCACCACGCCCGGCTAATTTTATTTTTATTTTTTATTTTTAGTAGAGACGGGGTTTCACCTTGTTAGCTAGGTCTCCCAAAGTGCTGGGATTACAGGTGTGAGCCACCTCACCTGGCCTTATACCAAGACTTTTAATTTACCCTCTTCTCTCACACTCAAACCTCCCTAAACTTTCTATATCACGTTTATGGACTGTGATGGTTAATACTGAGTGTCAACTTGATTGGATTGAAGGATGCAAAGTATTGATCCTGGGTGTGTCTGTGAGGGTGTTGCCAAAGGAGATTAACATTTGAGTCATTTTAACTGGGAAAGGCAGACCCACCCTTAATCTAGGTAGGCATAATCTAATCAGCTGCCAGTGCAGCTAGAATATAAAGCAGGCAGAAAAACGTGAAAACTAGACTGGCCTACCTTCCCAGCCTACATATTTCTCCCATGCTGGATGCTTCCTGCCCTTGAACATCAGACTCCAAGTTCTTCAGTTTTGGGACTTGGACTGGCTCTCCTTGTGCCTTAGCCTGCAGATGGCCTATTGTGATTGTGTGAGTTAATACTTCATAAATTCATATATGTATATATATATCCTATCAGTTCTGTCCCTCTAGAGAACTACCTGGACACAAACTTCTCCTTCTTCCCTTATGCTATAACCTTTCTCAACATGCCCTTTGATACTCAAGGTTAGTCATAAGCATGACACCCTGCATCCTCAACCTCTTCTTTGAATACTCTCTTCACCTTTTTGCTCTAAGGGAAACCTACCTCTCCTCTAAGGTTGCTGCTTTCCCTGCATCCCCCTTTCTTGCTCCTTTCTTCTGCTTAAAGTACAGTTTCTTTCTCTCTTCCATAAAAATATCCAATGCTTTTTGTCCTTGCAATAGTTTGCTGAGAATGATGGTTTCCAGCTTCATCCATGTCCCTACAAAGGACATGAACTCATCCTTTTTTATGGCTGCATAGTATTCCATGGTGTATATATGCCACATTTTCTTAATCCAGTCTATCATTGTTGGACATTTGGCTTGGTTCCAAGTCTTTGCTATTATGAATAGTGCCGCAATAAACCTACATGTGCATGTGTCTTTATAGCAGCATGATTTATAATCCTTTGGGTATATACCCAGTAATGGGATGGCTGGGTCAAATGGTATTTCTAGTTCTAGATCCCTGAGGAGTCGCCACACTGACTTCCACAATGTTTGAACTAGTTGACAGTCCCACCAACAGTGTAAAAGTGTTCCTATTTCTTCACATCCTCTCCAGCATCTGTTGTTTACTGACTTTTTAATGATTGCCATTCTAGACAAAAAACCAAACACCGCATGTTCTCACTCATAGGTGGGAATTGAACAATGAGAACACATGGACACAGGAAGGGGAACATCACACACTGGGGCCTGTTGTGGGGTGGGGGGAGGGGGGAGGGATAGCATTAGGAGATACACCTAATGTTAAATGACGAGTTAATGGGTGCAGCACACGAACATGGCACATGTATACATATGTAACTAACCTGCACGTTGTGCACATGTACCCTAAAACTTAAAGTATAATAAAAAATAAAATAAAAGAGAAAAAAACAGTATCCAATGCTGAATCTCTTGCCATCAACCATTACTACTGGCGGATGCAGTCATCTGCTGTCCCGGGTCACTTCACCTCATTCCTGAAGGTAGCAATGCCTGCTCACTGTGGCTTTTTCTAGCACTGCTTCTGTCTTAACGTTTGTTGATTTCAATATGCATAAGATGATTTTTCCAGCCCAGCCTCCATTTTTCTAGCCCAGCCTCCATTTTTCTATCAGGCCTTCACTTACATGGTTATGCCCCTGATCGTTTCCTTACCAATAACTATCCTAAATGTCAATTCCAAACATTTCACTCTATCAATCGCCTTCTTTATTGTCAGTGTGCTTCCTCTGGTACTTCAGTTTTAATAATCCCTCCACCCCCAAAATTGAATCCAGGCATCCTGCCATATTTCCACTCTCTGTCATCTCTTTTATTCTTCATCACCCACTTTGTCAAGCATAAATTTCATGGTGAGTCATTATAATCACTACCTTGTAAACATTTTAACTCTCTTCTGTCTCTCATGTTCCATTGCATTCTCTTTACTAAACAACTACTCTAGTTATGTCCAATTCTCCACCCCATCTTACCTTCTCTCCTACAACTGAGCATAGCAGAAGCAAGACATAACAACACTGACTGATTTCACTTTAAATTCTTGCTCACTGCCCTCAAGTGGACCATAATGCTGACCCATAATCCTCATACACCCCTCATCTATTCAGTCTCTCACTCTTTAGGCAATAATATCACACTTTTCCTGCTGTCTGAAAATATCCAGCACTGTCTGCACAATCCATATTCTCAAATGGTTATCTGGCTTCATGTTTCACTAAAAAAATAAAGCAACCCCAAGGAAGAGATGTACAGATGCCCATCTCCACTTTGCACCACCTACCTGCATCTGCAATACACTCTCTGCTTTCCTGATTCCTTTTTGGGGGAGAAGGGAGGTGACTGGTCTGTGCTCCTGTCTTATTAACATCTGTCCTCTTGCTTACTTTAGAACCTTGTTTCAGTAAAGTTCCCCCTTTTTGTTGAATCAACTTTCCCCTCTCTACTGATTCATCCCTATGAGCATACAAATAGGCTGCTTTCTTTCATCTGCAAAACCAGCTGAACAAACAAACCCTCTCCTGACCCCATGATGTCCTACATCTACTGCCCCATGTCTCTTCCCCTTACAGAAAAATTCCTGTAAAGAGTTGTGTGTCCTCATCCAAATTCTCTCTTCCCATTCTTAAATCCCTTCAGTCTGGCTTTTGACCTCACCTCTTCACAGAAATGGCTCTTGCCAAGGTAAAAGGTGACCTCCATATTGCCAAATCTGATGGCCAATTCCAAGTTCCTATCTTATTTGACTTAGCAGCATTAGACTATATCGTCACCTTTTTTACCTTTGAACACCTTCTGCGCCTGGTGTCCAGCCACTAAATATGCCTGGTTCTCTCCATACCTCAGTGGCTACTCTTCTAGTCTTCTTTGCTGTTCATCTTTATCTCCCTGGTTGCCAAACACTGGAGACCAGAGTCCAGACCTTGGAACTCTTCTCTTTTCTATCCACACTTATTCCATAGGTGATCCAGTTCTAGCCTCACGGCTTTTACACCAACTATTGGTCAACAATGTCCAGTATGTGTAGTTGAGAATGTTTCCATTAACTCCAAACTCATATATTCAACTGTCTAGATGACAACCTCACCTGGATGTCCAATAGGTGTCTCAAATGTCATATAGCCATAGAAGAATTCCTGATTTCCCATTCCTTGGCAAAATTCCAGCTCCTCTTGCAGACTTTTCTCTCTCAGTTGTTCAGAACGGAATTCGTATTTTCTTACTCATTTATTTCATCCCAACACTGCTCTTTATCTTATAATACATTCATGACCCGGTGTCAAATCTTGTCTTGCCAATCTAAAATACATCCGCATTTCATTTTCTCACCACCCCCACTGTTGCCAACATGCAATAAACGATAATCATCGCTCACTTGAGTTATTGGAATATCTTCCTTTTGGTTTTCCTGCTTCCACTCTTACCTTTCCTATATGTTAAACATAGCAACTAGTGTGATCCAATTATAACCTAGATTAGAGGATACAGAGTGAGAGTGAAAGTTATTCCCATGCTCTACAATGTTCTACATAACCTAGCTCTGAACTCATTTCCTGGTACTCTTTCCATTGTTATTGCCATGCTCTACAATGGCCTACATGACCTAGCTCTGAACTCATTTCCTTGTACTTTTTTCATTATACCCTCCTTCCTAGGTGCACTGACCTCCTCACTGTTCTTGAAAGTGGCAAGCATATCCCCATCTGAAGACTTCTGCATTTTCTGTTTCCTCTTTCAGAAATGCTATCTCCCCAAATAGCTGCATGATTTTCTCCCTTATTTCCTTCAAGTCTTAGTTGAAATATTGACTTCTTGGTCAACTTCAATTCCTACACACCTTTTCTATTCCCTTTTCTTGCTTAATTGTTTTCTTCTTAGCATTTATTACATCCAACATTCTCAACTTACAATAATATCTAAGTTATTGCCTACTTCTTTATCACCAGAATGTAGTCTTTCTGGGGGTAGTTATTGTTTATTTTATTTATTGTTGCATCTCTAGCTCTCTAGATCAGTAACCAAAACACAGAAAGTGCATAGGAAATAGTTACTGACCTAATGAATGAATGGGGGATGAAGGAATGAGGGTAGAAAAAAGGAGAGAAAATAGTATGTTGTTCTGTTCTTGCATTGCTATAAAGGAATACCTGAGACTGGGTAATTTATAAAGAAAATAGATTTAATTGTCTCATGATTCTGTAGGCTGTACAGGAAGCATAGCCCCAGCATCTGCTCTTGGTGAGGGCATGAGGAAGCTTACAATCATGGCGGAAAGCAAAGGGGGAGCTGGTGTGTCACATGGTGAGTGTGGGTGCAAAATGGGGGAGGAGGTGCCACACTCTTAAACAACCAGATCTGAAGTGAACTCAGAGCGAGAACTTCACTCATTATTGCGAGGACAGCACCAAGCCATTCGTAAGGGATCTGCCCCTGTGACGCAAGCATCTCCCACCAGGTCCCACCTCCAACACTGGGAATCACATTTCAGCATGAGATTTGAATGATTGATCCAAATTGATATGCTGACCATAGCAATAGGAAGAATAGAGATTAACTTTGAATCTAGAAGAATGAAACAAAGTAAAGCCTTACTAAAAGAATAAACTTGATAAGTATATGATTTTATGATATAAATTATTATATTAATTTTTTAAATCAGTTATATCAAGTAACAATTTTATTACAGTACATCAATATAGATTTGGTGACATTTTAAATTTTGACAGAATGAAATTAGTGGAGGAAATAAAATTCTTGATCCAGATTTCAGTATCTTTCTTTACCAAGTCTTTTAGCTTTGCCCCAAGGAAATGTAGCAGCAGCATTAGAGTTCAATTACCTCTCTAACCTAGCAGGAAGAGGGTAGGTAGGAGTTGTAAGCTTGTGAAAACTGGGCCCAGCTATTTTTTGCAATTTAACTTATGCATTATCAGAAGGACTCAGATCATGATTAGGCAATCCTCTAAGATGCCATAGTTTTCTTGAATTACAAAATTATAGTTATTTTGGTATTTTTATCAATATAGGTGAGAATTATAGTTATTTTGCCCTACAGAAGAAAAAGATTACTGTTATTATAATGCTATGGAAATTAGTCACATGCTGATAAAAGTTATGCCAGCCTGAATACGTAGCTACGAATGCTATTTATGCTTTGACTATTATTCCTCACAGTTGGAAGGCTGGGAAGCCCCATGGGCTTTGATCAAGGAACTTCTAAAGGCTGAAAAGAACTAGGGACTGAAAAGCCCGTGGAGTTTTCTTGGTGACTTTAAGCCTTTTGATTTGGAACAAAGATGATAATTTGTCTGCAAGTGTTCAGACTTTAGTATCTACCTTCCAGATGGTTTATTATAGCAACCATCAGAAAATTTTTTTCTGGAGAACTGAAGCCACATGTGTATTTATAGTTAATTTCCATGTCATTTGCATGTGCCTACATTCACCCTGTTTTCTATTTTCAGGATATATTCACTGCAAAATGTGTTGTTGATACCTCGAGGTTTATTATTTTATCAGAGTCTTTCTTTTCCCTTGATACCCTTTTATTAAAGCATTACCATTGAGGTGACTTCTGGACATCATAGAGGGTCAGTGGGTTTGGGGGCTGGAAGGCTTAGGTAAATACTAGACTACAGTGTCTATGCTAAGACTTAATAATTGATATAGTTTGGCTGTATCACCACCCAAATCTCATCTTGAATTGTAGCTCCCATAATTCCCACATGTTGTGGGAGGGACCTGGTGGGAAATAATTAAATCTGGGGGCGGTTTCCCCCATACTGTTCTCGTGGTAGTGAATAAGTCTCACGAGATCTGATAGTTTTATAAGGAGAAACCTCTTTTGCTTGGTTCTCATTTCTCTCTTGCCTGCCACCATGTAAGATGTCCCTTGCTCTTCTGCCATGATTGTGAGGCTTCCCCAGCCATGTGGAACTGTGAGTTCATTAAACCTCTTTTTCTTTATAAATTACCCACTCTTGGGTATGTCTTTATCAACAGCGTGAAAACAGACTAATATAATGATGTAATAGCCACAGTGGTATCTCCTGCTGCTCCAGTTCGTACTTATATCTTGCTTTTGGTTCCTCCCTCCTTTATCTGCTATTAATATTTTAGTCATCCTTTGAGGTTTAGTGCACACACTGCTACCTCCCCTGAGAGTACTCCTTGGCTTGCCCAGTATTTTTAAAAAATTTCTTTGTAATATTTATTTTTCTTGGTCTTGCTACGCAGCTGTGGCTAGGCAGGTTGACCTGTCTGTCTCACCTATTAAATTAGAAGCTCTTTGAAGTCAGGGACCAGTTCTCAATATCCTTTCAGTAACCTGTACAATGTCCAGCACTGTGCTTCTTTCATGTGAGCTGCTCAAAACTCATGTGTTGAATAAATAAGCAGGTATTATTAAGCATATCTTCCTCTTTGCACTCCACATGGTCGTCTGCGTGGCCTTTTGACCTTGGCATTTTCAGAATATCCGAAATATCAGAATGGTGCCATGCTTTAAAGGGTATCTAATTCAATATGTGGCTTAATTTAAGTTAAAATCCTATCCTAGAGTCCCACACGGCATCCCCTTTTAACTGCAATTTTCTAATTCTTAGGTCCAGAAACACTCAAGAGCTTTCTATTTTGAACAATGAAGTCCTCACACATGTCTTACTGGGTGAGTTCGGCCCACTACATAACAATTTAAATTTTCTCATGTTGATTGGCATGTCAATTCCTGCATCCCAGCTCAAAAAGCATTCAGATTTTCATTCCAAAAACTTCTCTGATCTGATGCATTGGAGCTTTTAAAGAATATATTTTGGGGATAATAAAAAAGTGCAAGAGTAAAATCCTGGTTTTCCTATTTACCTGACAGGCATGGGATCTAGCTGGGTCTAAGGTGAGAATTATATTTACCTTTCAGGGCTGTTGTAAGGATTTATTGACAATGTGTGTGAAGTGGCTTTACAGTCCCTGGAACAAAGTGTTGTCAAATATAAGGTAAATTTGTCCAATCAATTAGCCAACAACTACTGCTAATCATTTGCACTATGTAAATCTTAATATTAGGCATTAAATAGGGAGAGAGCTATAAGGCATGCATATAATGGTTTCCCCATAAATAGACCACATTGTGAAAGCACTTTTGTTCCATTTACAAACAGGATTATTTCTCATGCTGCAGCTATTTTGGGAAAGTGGTTTGTAATGAAGCAACAAGTTCTGATTCCATCTGTCATGGGATACAATTTAACTGGGGCCATTTCACGGGAATTGGAATGTTTAGAAGCCCGTGGGTGGTATGAACCAACACTTCAGGTTTATTTTAAGTTTAAAAATCCCAATTTATGCTAAAATTATCCCATATGGACAGGGGAAACAGATGAGATCAAGTTTCATTTTGATATGATTTTCCTATCTACCTACTGCCCAAATTCCATTATTTTTAAAAAGAAATGAATTTGCAATGAGATAATGAAGATTTTTTTTTATTTGTTCTCTACTGCCCTTAGCTGATACGGTGATAAACTAACCCCTATACATTTAACATGGATATTTAATAATCCTGATAGTTTTAAAATACAACATATATTTTGAAAGAAACAAAAAAATCATTGCTTTCTGTTCTTCCCATTCGTAGGCATTGCACAGTGAACTGATGAAAAAGTAAATAAAACAGAAGCCCCACCCTACCTCTTTAGTGATAATCTCATAATTCAATTCATTCTGAACCAACAGGTTGCTATGGTAGCAGGCGACTCAGGGTTACAACATTGAACCATTCGTTCTACAATGTGACATCAGTGCAGTGCAGGAGGCGCTTCAAAATTCATGGCAGTGGTGAGAGCAATTTTGTGCTTTAAACTGCAGGCTCCCTGCATCTTTAAGAAAATAAAAATAACAAGGTGGCAATGACAGCCTGAGCCTCTTTAATAATTTAGCAGCTTTTCCAGGGTGCCAAGTGCAGTAAGCTGTGATCTGTGCTTTTTATTTACTGAGTTTAAGACTTGATCCCAGTAAGACTCATATTATTAAAGAAAAGCTACATGCAACAAAAAATGAACAAGAAGGGCTTCTAATTACGTGTTCTAGGTTTCTATTCATTTCCAGTCAGAGAGAAGCTAACGGTTTAATTTTTTTAAATGTGTATGTTCAGACACACTGAAACTGTGTTATAACTAGAACCCTTGGAACACAGAATTCAGTATGAAATGTTCACTTTTGCATCTATTCATTATGTGAAAAATGCCTTCCTAATATAAGGTAATATATACGTAAATATCACATATACATAATATATGATACATAATATGTGAAGATATTATAAATATATATTATGCACATGTGCATAATATATGTATACTAAAAGGCATTTTTGATATAACAAAGTCATATGAAGTACTCCACATGTATTAATATTACTTATACACCTATGTAAATATATATGATCATTTAGCCTCGCTATTTAAAGTCCTAAGTTTAATAATTGCTAATACCGTCTAATATACCCTCCCTGTTTTCTCCCATATAGAGTTATTATCTCTCCTTTACCCAATTGAAATCCTAACCTTTTCTGTGGATGCAGCTATAACCACAAAATTAAAGAAAAATAGCTAAGCCAATAGGTCAGCCTGATTTCATAAGTGCACAGTTTATTCTTATTTGCTATGACTTGGAGCATCTTGGGACTGGGCTGCATTAGGATTAGAGATGTGTAGGGTCTAGTCCATTCTGAAACTTGATGTATCTCCAAGGAGATGCTCCAATTGGGGAACTCAGGGGAGGAAGCATGTTCTACCAGGATGTTTTGTGCCTCAATGACTTGGCATATTTCATTCCTTCCACCTGCATGATCCTCCACTCTTATTTTTCTGCCAAGCTTTTTTGTTCATTTTTAAGATATGACTTGTGAACTCTTTTCCCACATTGCTTCCTGTTCCAAACACCCTGCCTTTTACAGCCTAGTTAATAGAAAAAAAAAAGAAACAATGAAATCTTTTCCTTCTTTACAGTAACTACTCCAACTGCACTTACCATATTCTATTGCAATTGTCTGTGTATATGTAACTCTAGGATAAAACATTGAGCTCTTTGAGAACATGCAACATGTAGTGAAGAACTAAGTAACTTTTTGTTTTGTTTTGGCATGCTCAGCATCTCATTCCACCTTTCTTCTGGTCATATCACCACACCTTGCTTTGGAAACCTGCCTCTCTCATGTACGCACATCAGGACTGGTAAACTTAGCATCTCCCAACCTACAACCGCAATGCCACATGGAGCCTCTAGATTGATCAATCATGGTAGCTCATCCTCTCAACCACAGGGAAGGTTCAAGGATGGTCATATGGCCCAAGCTGGGCTAATCAATATGAATGTTATAAGAGAGAATGTCTTGAGACTTTGAATATTTTATGCCTGAATATATCTATTGCCTTGTTGGATGGCCAGGCTTGAGGCTGATGAAGGGCATGGCAGATGTAGTCATGTGTCACTTACTGAGGGAGACATGTGCTGGGAAATGCAGCATTAGATGATTTTATCTTTATTTTATTTTATTTTATTTTTTGAGATGGAGTTTTTTGCTCTTGTTGCCCAGGCTGGAGTGCCACAGTGTGATCTCGGCTCACTGCAGCCTCTGCCCCACTGGGTTGAAGTGATCCTCTCCTACCTCAGCTTCCCGAGTAGCTTGGGTTACAGGCACGCACCACCATGCCTGGCTAATTTTTTAATATTTTTAGTAGAGATGGGGTTTCACCATATTGACCAGGCTGATCTCCAGTTCCTGATCTCAGGTGACCCACCCGCCTCAGCCTCCCAAAGTGCTGGGATCACAGGTGTGAGGTACTGCACCTGGCCTATTTTATCATTGTGTGAACACCATAGAGTGTGCTTACACAAACCTGTATGTATAGTCTATTACGCATGTAGACTATATGCTGTAGCCTATTGCTCCTGGGCTACACACCCATACAGCATGTATCTATGCTGATAGCTGTAGGTGGTTGTAGCACAATGGTAAGTATTTGTGTACCCAAACATATCTAAGCATTAAAAAGATAGAGTAAAATATGGTATAAAAGATTAAACATGGTACACTTGTATAGGGCGTTTGCTATGAATAGAGCTTGCAGGGCTGGAAGCTGCTCTGGGTGAGTCAATGAGTGAGGGTGAGTGAATGGGAAGGCCTAGGACTGTACACAACTGTAGACTTTATGAACACTGTACATTTAGGCTATACTATATTTATCAAAAGATTTTTCCTTCTTCAATAATAAATTAACCTGGCCAGGCGAGGTAGCTCACACCTATAATCCCAGCACTTTGGGAGGCCAAGGCAGGCGGATCATCTGAGGTCAAGAGTTCAAGACCAGCTTGGCCAACATGGTGAAACCCCATCTCTACTAAAAATACTAGCTGGGTGTGGTGGCAGGCACCTGTAATCCCAGCTACTCAGGAGGCTGAGGCAGGAGAATTGCTTGAACCCAGGAGGCAGAGGTTGCAGTCAGCCGAGGTCACGCCACTGCACTCCAGCCTGGGTGACAGAGTGAGACTCCATCTCAAAACAAAAACAACAAAACTAAGACACAAACACACACTTTAGTCTAGGCCCACACAGGGTTAAGATCATCAATATCACTGTCTTCCACCTGTATATTTTGTACCACTGGAAGGTCTTCAGGGGCAATAACATGCATGGAACTGTCATCTATGATAACAATGTCTTCTTCTGGAATACCCCCTGAAGGACCTGCCTGAGGCTGTTTTACAGCTAATTTTTTTAAATAAGTAGGAATACACTCTAAAATACTGATACAAATATTGTATAATAAATACATAAACTGATGACATTGTTGTTTCTTATCATTAAGAATCATGTACTGTATGTAATTGTATGTACTATACTTTTACATGACTGTCAGAATAGTAGGTGGGTTTACACCAGCATCAACACAAATGCATGAATAATGTATTGTGGTATGAGGTATAATGTCACTAGGTGATGAGACTTTTTCAACTTCATTATAATCTTATGGGACCACTGTTGTAGGTGTGGTCCATATGTGGTTTTGTGGCACGTGACTGTACTTAGAGTAAAGGGCTCCTGGGGAAACTGAGGTGAGGCTGGATTTGCCAGGATCCACTAACAAGCACAGACAAAGCTGAGAGGGAATGGACTGTGGGTCAGGTCAGGCACAGACTTCAGCTTGAAAAGCCAGCAGGACAAGGGTCCCTCAGTTGGACAAGGGACATCGTCTCAGGGTGCCAGTAGGATGCTCTGGGAAGCAGACCCCAAGATGAAGGTGGGAATATGAAATGTACATTGGAAAGGAACACCCCTGAAAGAAAAAGGGAGGAAGCAGGATGGAAGGGGCAAGCTCTGAGATGAGATACAGAGACACAGACACGGAAGTCACTGGCAGTCCCATGGGATGCTCCAGATGCTCTCTTCATCTGGAAGAATGGCCCTGCTGTGCATGGAAATGGCCAGGCCCCATCCCACTTGCTCAGGCATGGCATACGCCACCACAGGAAGAATATGGCTGGGTGATCACGTCCTTGCTCAGACACTGGATAGGGCCCCGCACAGGAAGAGTGTGAGCCCGGCTTGAAAGTTGAGGCAGACCCTGAAGGAACTAACAGGTGGAGGCTCTCAGACAACCCCTTGCAGTTGGGCAGGGGGTTGTTTCTTGAAGGGGGATTTGAGAGATGCACTTTTAAGTCTGAAACACCCAGAGACCAGAGTGAGATGGTGACATTTCATCAGGGAACACCCACTCTTTCCTGGGGTTATGAGGACACATAAGTCTTCCTCCTATCCTGACCCTATTTGAAGGAGGAAAGCAGAGGAGATGGGAGATTAAGAGACCTAGTATTTTTAACAAATGGAAAGCTATTTCCTAAAGAGACTGTTTAATATATTGTTCTGTGGTTTAATTTGTTTTTCTACTAATCCAGTGATGAAAGCGCAGGAGAAGAACTGCTTTCGTTACAGGCAAAATAAAGATACTATATTTTTCTCTTTATAGATAAGTAGTAGTTGAATTTTGTGGCACTGTCATCAGTATTATTATTACTGTTGGATTCATAATGTAGTGCCAGCAAATAGCTACAGAGAATACTTTTGCTGTGAGTTTGAGCAAAGTACTTCCAGGAAATAGTTATTTTTAAGATTTTATATATTTTGTAATTTTTTCCTTTTTTGACAGTGGGCAGAGTTGTTGGAAAGAAAAGCAGTTGCTCCTTCTTTTTTCTTTCCTTTGATAATGTGTTTCTTCCCTTGCATTTACATTTTAAATCAAGAGTAGAGAGTAAGGAAAATTGCGTCCTCGCAGTGAATGTATGTTGGATGGTGACTTTCATCTGAGGATTTCAAAGGAATGCAGTTTATTGGTTGCATGTTACATATTGTAGCTCATGTATTTTTTTCTGCACTGCAGGACACAAACACTCAGACAGTCTGGCTGACTTCTCTGTAATGGAAGACACAGCTCAAAGCCATGAGTCATGTGACTCGTCCAGGCTACAAGAGAAATAACAGCAGGCTATTGGAGCTGAAGTCAGGAGAACGGGAGCTTAGTTTTCTACTGAATTCATTCTATTTCATACCACTTCAACCCGTTCATTCATTTATGTATTCATTCATTCTTTCACTTTCATTTTGCTTTTTAAATCACTCATTATTTGTTGCTTATTAAACGCAGGGCACTAATGGTTAGCATGGTAAAGAAAAATAAACATTGAATTTTGCCTTTGAGTTGGTGACAGTCTAGTTAGGGCAACTGCCTTATAAAAATGCTTATTTGGGGGAAAAAACTATAAAATAAAGCTACATCTAAGCTATTAGAGATGCATGAGGAGTAAGACATTTAGAGAATTGTCTGTGGAACAGCTTGGATTTCCCTGCTTTGCACAGTAGACCCAGATACCTGAAATGGACAAACAAAACAACAAAACAAATGCATCAAATCAAATAAAAACAAAATAAAAAACACATAAAGCAGAACTAGGTTACAGGCATCCTGTGAAGTCCTAGTAGCTTCTATTCAAACTATCCAGGCACGTTTTGGTGCCCCCCTCCCCACACCTCATGCATCATGATATCCTCTTTATCTTCTTTGAGGATTTTGGAACTATCTAAAACATCCTGGGAACTGGGATCTGGAAATCACAAGGTGCTGTGTCAGCCCTGACGCTGGCTCTGATTTCTACAGGTGCTTTGGAAAGATGATGGCAGGAGAGGAGCTTGAGGCTAGGAGCCTGATTTACTTCCTGTGGACTTGCACCCTAGCCCAGTGCTTCTCACACTTGACTGTGCACACGAGTCACCTGGAAATCTTGTTAGAATGCATATCCTGGGCCAGGTGTGGTGGCTCATGCCTGCAATCCCAGCGCTTTGGGAGGCCAATGGGAGCGGATCACCTGACGTCAGAAGTTCAAGACTAGCCTGGCCAACATGGAGAAACCCCGCCTCTACTAAAAAAAATACAAAAATTAGCCAGGCCCAGTGGTGCACACCTGTAATCCCAGCTACTCAGGAGGCTGAGACAGGAAAATTGCTTGAACTCAGGAGGCGGAGGTTGTGCTGATCATGCCACTGCACTCCAGCCTGGAAGACAGAGCTCAACTCCATCTAAAAAAAAAAAAAAAAATGCAGATTCTGGTCCAATAGGTCATGGGAGGTGGGCTGAGATTGTTCATGTGTAACAAGCTCCTGGATGAGGTTGATGTGGCTGTCTGAGCCCTACACTTTGAGTAGCAAAGCTGAGGGATGTATTGTCTCTGAGTGGGGCTAGGGCTAGGGTTAGGTAGAGCAGATGTGACACTCCTGTAACTCTATTGTTCCTCCGGACACTATACTTAGTTGGGAGCAATTGAGACATAAATGGATTCTCTTTGTCATCACTGAATTTTCTGTTTTCTCCTCCTGGGACCTGTTTCTGGCTTCCACTGGACCCCAGTATCCTTATATACTCATCATTATCTTCTTCCTCTAAGAACAGCAGGTGAGGAATCAGAAGACCCGGCTCCATATATTGGCCCAAATTAACTGTATATGTCAGATAATTACATTGCTCCAGTCCCAGTTTCTTCATTTGTAAAAATAGTCAGTGACCAGATGATTTACAGGACTCATCCACTGCAGCAGTAGGATTTACGAGCCTGGGAACGCCTTGTTCATGAAGATACTGTTGTCATTTTCTATGGTGGTATTGATTCCACTCTGAGGATCGTATTGGATTTATACTTAACTCAAATGGTGGAATGAAAGGCTTAGATCCTGATAATAGACTACCCTAAATAGCATATAGGTGGCAAATAGGGAAGGTTGTACTTCATAACTTAAGTATAAAAGCTTAAGTGAGGAACTTTAAGTATAAAAGCTTTCTCTTCCTCCATAAGGTGCCATATGTGGTTTTGAGTGGGAACAAAAGAAGAGGGAACAAGTCATTTGTCTATCAAGAAATAGCATCATTCAAGCTTAAGCCTTTTGAGAGTGGTACAGAGGTCATGGTAGGAAGGTGAAAAGGTCCCAAGGGCATGTATTCATGCATGCAGAGCAACATCCTGGCTCTATAGTAATCACATCCATTGACTGCAAAAGAAACAAACAGGTGACTCATGAAATCTTCAATAGGTCATTGGGCATCAGGAAGCACAGCATTTTCTGCTACAAAGTTAATGAAATTGATTCATCCAATCAAACATTCTACAAGTTGACATGCTCTCTGTCTCTAGTCTTCTCTGCCTCATTCTGATGAGCAACTTCCTTGGATCACTGGGAACAATTCTCCCAGCGATAGGAAAGGTAAGAAGAATATGGGGTTATCCAATTTGAAGAGACATTACTTTCTTTTCTTCTTAAAATTTTTATATAGATTTAGGGAGTGTGATTGCCGTTTTGTTACATGGATATATTGCACAGTGGTGAAGTCTGGGCTTTTAGTGTATCCATCACCCTAATAATGTTTTTGTTCCCATTAGGTAATTTCTCATCTCTCAGCTCTCTGCCACCCTCCCTCTTTTATTTTTATTTTTAGAGACAGGGTCTCACTCTGTTGCACAGGCTGGAGTGCAGTGGTGCTCTCATAGCTCAGAGCAACCTCCAACCCCTGGGCTCAAGCAAGCCTCCCAGCTCAGCTACCTGAGCAGCTGGGACTACAAGCACACACCACCATGCCCAGCTAATTTTTTAATTTACTATTTTGTAGAGATGGTGGTCTCACTATGTTGCCCAGGCTGGTCTTGAACTCCTGGCCTCAAGCGATCCTCCCACCTTGGCCTCCCAAAGTGCTGGGATTACAGGTGTAAGCCACCACACCTGGACCTCTTCTATCTGAGTGAAGAAACATTAATTTAAAAGGGAAATAAACAAGGAGGTTTTAAAAATTCCTTTCTCACCTTGTGCATACACAGGACTCAGGGTTGCCTCCAGGACAATAATTTCCATACATGTGTCTTCGAACATATTAGGTACTC
Organism: Homo sapiens; assembly: GCF_000001405.40. NCBI lineage: Eukaryota > Metazoa > Chordata > Mammalia > Primates > Hominidae > Homo > Homo sapiens. Next base: position 223,578,175 of record NC_000002.12, on the reverse strand, counting down.
AAACTTTTTTTTTTTTTTTTAGATGGAGTCTCACTCTGTCACCCAAGATGGAGTGCAGTGGTGCGATCTTGGCTCACTGCAACCTCCACCTCTTGGGTTCAAGCAATTCTCTTGCCTCAGCCTCCCAAGTAGCTGGGATTACAGTTGCTTGCCACCATGCCCAGCTAATTTTTGTATTTTTAGTAGAGATGGGGTTTCACCATGTTGGCCAGGCTGGTCTTGAACTCCTGACCTCAGGTGATCCACCAGCCTCAGCCTCCCAAATTGCTGGCATTACAGGCATGAGCCACCCTACCCGGGCATAGGTCCTCAAACATTTTATATGGAATGTAGCATTAACCAGAGAACCTTGATACTGAGGTCTTGTATCCTATGTAACCAAAGTGCTAGTCTTCAAAGAGAAGGCAGCTAGGATGTAGAGCCCTCAGAGAGCCAAGAGTAATGCCCCTCCCCTTGACTTGCATGGCACTTTCCACCTCATTTTCTTCCCTGCCACTGGAGCCTGAGTCCTTGGTCTATGCCAATGGATCAACACATGGGGTGGACTGTAGGAAGGAAGTAAACAGAAGACCCTATGTGCCTGCTTGCCAAGAGCAGTGCAGGTTTCAGTCTATTGTCCTGATGTCCCATCTGCTTAACATTTTTTTTTTTGATTTTTCATTTTTTAGTGACATGTTTTTATAATGAGTAGTTACATTTAGATAAGTTGGAAAGGGTTTATAGACCTTGACTCTGTACTTCCAGCTTCTGCCTTGGTCACATGGTTTTGAGATTCCTGTGCAGAGAACAGAGTTCTTACTTTAATATAGGGTTAAATCTGAAAGACAATTAGCAGTAACTTCTCTTTCCCCAGCTCCTTAAAGATGGATGGTAAAAGACACTTTCCTCAAAGACAGCAGGAAGAATAAAATCAAGGACACTCAGACATAAGGGGTTAGGAAAACCCAACTCTTCCCAGCTTCAGATGGTGGTGGGAGAAATATTTGAGGCTGTTGCCTTTGCTAGTTTTTGTTGTGTTACCAAGTTATGCCCTGACTTTTACTGTGACCTGTGAGATTCCGACATTTGTAGAGGCCAAGTGCAGTGACTCATTCCTGTAATCCCAACACTTTGGGAGGCTGACGTAAGCGAATAACTTGAGCCCAGATGTTTGAGACTGGCTTGGGCAACATGGTGAGACTCTGTCTCTACAAAAACTACAGAAATTAGCTGGATGTAGTGGCATGTGCCTGTAGTCCAAGCTACTTGGGAGGCGGAGGTGGGAGGATCGATTGAGCCTGGGAGGTCAAGGGTACAGTGAGCCATAATCACGCCACTGCACTACAGCCTGGATGACAGGGTGAGACCCCATCTCAAAAAACAAACAGACAAAAAAACTTGCCAGATTGCCAGTTGGCGGGGACTGGAGTCAGTGGGAAACTTCAGAAATTACAGGTTAGGTGAAAATAAACTGTATGTGGCATATGGACTAAACTATTTTTCCATAGAGTGCTTTGAGAGTTATCGAAACATTCTTGCTCTGGTGATTCTATCATTTGTTGTACATTGCAAGTCAATAGCTAATTATTAATTTTATTATCTCATAAGATATTGTTTTTTTTTTTAATTTTACAATAAACCTTTGGCACAGAAATAAGCTAAAGTGATAATAGTGCATGCTTAATAAAAAATTATGTGCTAATTTTCTCTTTCTCACAAAAGTTGATGATGAAATTTTAATTTGGCTTAATTGTGGATGTTGGCTACATTTGTCATCCACTATGGGAACTCCAGTAATAAAGCTGACCATAAGAAAATAAGAAGATGTAAATCTTCTAAAGTTTCAAAAGTCAGTCATTATTTTGTGGAAACTGTGCCCAAAGGCAATGACTTAATATGTGTAGTGGTAGAAGGCTTAGTTACATATGATGACTTTTTATTTAGATCAAATTACTGTGTTTATAAATTAATTTAACTCATTTTCAATTGTAAATGATAGCCATTAATGTGTTGGTTTCATAAGCAGAAGGACTTTTCAAGCAAAATATGCCAGTTTAATATCAGTGTTGTTAGATATTTTTGTAGAAAATTAATTAATTCATTTTAATATTTTTGCCATTTCTGATGTTTTTTTCCCCTGATCCCCCTGGGTGTTTAAGCCCATTTATAAATGCTTTTCTCATGACCTGGATCAAAGCAAGGCACAAAATTAGCCTAGATTAGAGAGGTGGGGAAAGAGACTCCATATTCTCATGGAAGGAGCTGCAAAGTCACATTGCAAAGATACCTAGGTATAAAGAGGAAGACAACTATGACCATCTTAACAATCAGCTATACATCTTTCCCCTAGAAAATTATACTCATTCCACATTACTGGAAGGAAAACAAAGAACATTATGCTTATAAATACTATAGATTATGTGTCCTAAATATGCCTTTAATTAATATTCCCTTCCCCAGTTCTATGACACTGTTGTAGGTTAGGGAAGCTTTATCATTTCCACCATGTTGGCCAGGCTGGTCTTGAACTCCTGGCCTCAACTGACCCACCTGCCTCAGCCTCCCAAAATGCTGGGATTACAGGGATGGGTCACCATGCCCAGCTTTACCTTAATAGACTCTTACCTATTTTCCTTTCATCCAATTTGACCCCACTCCAAAACATCCTCTCTGTTATTCCTATTCTGAGTATGTCACTTCATTGCTTAAAAGTTTTTAATAATTCCTTATGACATATGAGAAAGACTCTGCAATCATTTATCATGGCATTGTAAGGTGCTCAACAGTCTTGTATCTGTCTCTGTTTCTAGACTTCTCTCCCACCATGCTACAAAATGCATATTCGGGCTACAGTCGATTGTCCTACTTGTAGCTCTCCAAATATGCTATTATTTCTTACTTGACTGGAACTTTACAACTACTGTACCTTTGTCTGGAAAAAATCCTTCACTGCCTACCATCCCTTATTCCATCAACTTTCCTGTTTGGCAAACACTTATCCTTCAAAGTCTAGCTCATGTGTCATGTCCTCCAGGAAGCCTTTCTTGCAGCTCCAGATTGTGAGAGCTTTCTTCTATGTGCTTACATACTCCTCTGAATAATTCCATGATAATAGTTATCATGAGGTATCACAATTAACGTTTTGCTTCTCTAACTTGCTGCAAAGTCATAGAGGAACTATATTTGGACTTCTGATTATCTAGATCTTACAGTAGCGTATAGCCTGTAGTATATTTGTGTTGTGATCTTTTTCCATAGAGAATAAATGTAATTACACAAAAGGCAGACAATTTAAATTAACTCTGCTTTGAAGTATACCTATTTTCTCCCTTGTAATTACCTATCACTTCTAGAAATTGATTTAAATTTATCAAAGGAGGTGATAATGCAATTTTTAAATAAAGAAGATTATTACTTGTGGTAGTAAGTATAGCAATACCTCAACTTTTTAGTTCAAGTTTTATTCTACAACACTTAAAATTTAGGTCAGTTCTTTGATTTGTGCATTGAAAGGTTTTTCCTATGAGATTAAAAAATGGGCTCTCTAAAGAATTCTTCGGTAGGGGGAGGGGGCACTAATTCTATCTATATGAAAAAACTGTTACAGACATGTTTAAAATTTTTAAATTGAAATGATATAATATTAAAAAATAGAAAGCCCATCACTTAGGCTTAATTGATAATATGACTTTGTTTTATATGAATCATAACCATTCTACAAAGAAAATGTTAAAAATACACCTAAATTTTTCCCCACCGCTGTTCTATTCATCTCATTCTCCTCCCAGATGAAACCATTCATTCATTCACTGGTTTATTCAAAGATAAATGTTAAGCATCTACTATTTTTTGGGCAGTCTTCTAGGTGTAAGGAATAGCTGTAAATAAGTTCCTTCTTCGTGAAATGCCCAGTCTAGATTGTAGTTGTAAGCTCCATTCTCCAAGTTGATGTATATCACATCAAGGTATGGTTTTATACATTTATCATATATTGTATGTATTAGTAAATATTATGTATATATTATATAAATTAAAGGTTATATACTTTTATTAATATATAAATTTAGTATATATTATATTGAATGACATAAATGGTATACCATCAGGATATCTTTTTCCAACTTTTTTTTTTACTTATAGTTACATTTTGTGATTTTCCTTGTTTATCCTACTTAGTTCATTTATTTTATAGTATTTCATTATATGCTAGGACCACAGGTGATCCTAAATTTACCTTTAATCAGTATTCCCTTCTCCAATTATTTGGAGGGTCTCCCTACTTTTTGAGATCCTGATCTGAATATTTTTGGTCTTAATGACTATTGTATTAGTCCATTTTTGAAGCGATGTTGTTTGTTGACTGGTGGATAGTAAGGTTGCTTTTACTGTTTTGGTATCACAAAAATTGCATGAACGTTTTTGAATATGCTTCTTTATTCATATGAGTTTCTGTTAGACAGCTACAAACAAATTGCTGAGCTAAAGGACAGGAGCAATGTCAACTTCTAGGACTTGCTCTACTAAGTGTTTGGGACAATTTACACTCATTGGCAGTGTATGATTCCCATTTCCCCACATCATCACCAATACCCTAGTGATTTTTTTTCCTCCAATGTCATCGGTGACTTGAAAATATTGTTTACTGGTAGTCAATTCATCTTCTCTGTGAATTTCCTGTTTATATTTTTGTCCAATTTTCTATATGTGTATTTGTCTTTTTCATATTGGTTTGGTAAGATTTATTTTTTTTATTGTATGTATTTGAGGTGTTCGTGATAGTCAGATATACATATACATTGTGGAATAATCAACACAATCAGGCTAATCAGCATATCCATCACCTCAAATAGTTACCTTTTTTTTGGTGGTGAGGACTCAGGATCTACACTCTTGCCAAATTTCAAGTATACAGTACAGTATTGGTAGCTATATACTCACTGAATTGGGTGATGCCTGCCCACATTGGTTAGAGTGATTGTTTTTACTCAGTCTATTGATGCAAATGCTAATGTGTTCTGGAAATACCCTCACAGACATGTCTAGAAATAATGTTTTGCCAGCTATCTGAGTATCCCTTTGTCTGGTCAAGTTGAACATAAAATTAACCATCACAAATGCCGTGGAAATTTTGACAGAGAAGGCACTGAATCTGTTGATCACTTTGAGCAATATGGACATTTTAACAATATTAATTATTTCAATCCATGAGCACTGGGGGGTATTTTTGCATTTATTTGTGTCCTCAATTTCTTTCATCAATGTTTTATAGTTTTCAATGTACAGCTCTTCCACCTTCTAGTTAAATTTATTTCTAAATATGTTATTCTTTTTGATGCTATTGTAAATGGGGATTATTTTCTTATTTTTTTTCCTGTTAGCTAGTTATTTAGAGTCTAGAAATGCTACCGATTTTGTATGTTGATTTTTTGCCTTACAACTTTTCTGGACTTACTGATTAGTTCTAAGAATTTTTTTGTTGGAGTCTTTAAGATTTTCTATATACAAAATCACCTCAACTGTGAACAGGGATAATTTTACTTCTTTCTTGCTGATTAGGATGACTTTTATCTTGCTTGCTTTCTCTAGGATTTCCAGTCATGTGTCTAGAAGTGGTGAGGGTAGATATCCTTTTCTTGTTCCTAATCCTAGAGGAAAGGCTTTCAACTTTTCACTATTGAGTATGACATTAGCTGTGGGCTTGATATATGTGGCCTTTATTATGTTGATGTACATTTCATCTATACGTAATTTATTGAGAGTTTTAATCATGAAAGAATGTTGAATTTTGTCAAATTTTTTTTTCCTGCATCTACTGAGATGATCATATGGTTTTTATCCTTCGTTCTGTTAATGTGATATATCACTTCATTGATTTGTGTATGTTGAACCATTCTTGCATCTCATAGTAAATCCCACTTGATTGTGGTGTATAATTCTTTTAATGTGCTGTTGAATTTGGTTTGCTAGTATTTTGTTGAGGAGTTTTGGATCTATGTTCATGAGGGATTTGGCCTGGAATTTTCCTTTCTTGTAGTGTTCTTGTCTGGCTTTGGTATAAGGGTAATACCAGCCCCATAAAATGAATTTGGAAATGTTTTCTCCTCTTCAATTTTTGGAAGAGTTTAAATATGATTGGCATTCATTTTTCTTTAAATGTTTGGTAGAATTCATCAGTGACGCCATCTGGGGTCAGACCTTTTCTTTTTCGGAAGGTTTTTGACTGATTCAATCTCTTTACTTATTAGTCTGTTCTGATTTTGTATTTGTTTATGTTTCAGTCTTGGTAGTTATATGGCTTTAAAATCTCTTCTTTCAGACAGTGTGTCTTTTAACTTTCCTTATGATGTCTTATGTTGTGCATAAGCTCTTTCATTTTTAAGGTAGTTTAATCTCATATTTTTCTTTATAGTTTGTACAATTTAATACTTGTTTACTAAATCCTTTTCTGTCCTCATTACAGAAATCGCCTATATTTTCTCCCAAAAGTTAAAAAATCTTGCATAGGTTTTTAGTTCATGTGGATTTTTCTTTATAATAATGTGGTGTCAGACAGGGACCTAATATTATCTTTTGCATGTAGCTATTCACTTATCCCTTTTTAGTTAACTAGTTCATCTTTTCTCTTTGCAATGTCACACCAAATTGACTTGGGTTCCCCTTGCACTCAGCGATCTGGGGTTTTGATGGCTAAACACTTGAGTCACATTTGAATTTGAAGTACATAGCACTTCCTCTGCCCTGGCTGTATGACTGTAACTAGATTCTTCTTTACTCCTTAGAGGTTAAGTTACATTTTGGGGCAGGCATGGTGGCTCACACCTGTAATCCCAACACTTTGGGAGGCCGAGGCAGGAGGATTGCTTTAGCCCAGGAGTTCAAGGCTAGCCTGGGCAATATGGGCAATATGGTGAGCACTCATCTCTATTTAAAAAAATAAATAAAAACAAGAAAATAATAGGTTAAGTTACATTTAGCTGAAATCTTCGCTGTCTTAACTTGGGTGAATCTTTTGCCCTTTTGATCTCTTTTCTACTTACAGGCCATTGAGTTTCTCCTCTTATGTCAGATTGGTGCACAATTCCATTCCCAAGCTTTGCCCCTTGTTTCTTAATATTTTTACTGATGGCTTGAGATGTTGAGTAGAGAGGTCATCCTTCCCATACTACAGCACTCTGCCTCCATGGGGCTTTCATTCTGTTATTTGCTGATGATGCACTTACATGCCACTCTAAGGCCTCTGATCTGGACTCGTGGCACACAGCTCTAGGACATTTACGTCAGTTCCCTGCTCTGCCCTTTTCCTCTCAGATGTCCCCCTTTAAATCTCACTATATATGTAAAATACCAAACTATGCTTTTTAGGAGTCATTAGTTTGCTCCTCTAGAAGTTGCTTTTCAACTCAAAACAATTGGCTTGCAAGCTTTTTAGACAGAACCATCTGAAGGGAATGGTCAATATTCAATGGCTGTGTTAGTTTTATATTGCTTCATAACAAAGTGCCACAAACTTAGTCGATAAAACAACATGTTTATTATGTCACACTCTCCATGGGTGAGAAATACGGGCATGGCACAGCTGGGTTTTCTGTTAGGGTCTCACAGGCAGATGTCAGAGTGTCAGCTAAGGCTGTATTCTCACCTGGAGTTTGAGGTACTCTTCCCAGCTCCTTTATGCTGTTGGCAGAATTCAATTATTTGCAATTGCAGAAGTGTAGTCCTTGTTTTCTCTCACTCTTTCTTTTCTTTCCTTTCTTTCTTTCTTTCTTTCTTTCTTTCTTTCTTTCTTTCTTTCTTTCTTTCTTTCTTCTTTCTTTCTTTCTTTCTTTCTTCTTTCTTCTTTCTTTCTTTCTTTCATTCTTTCTTTCCTTCTTTCTTTCCTTCTTTCTTTCTTTATCTCTCTCTCTCTCTTTCTTTTTGCCAGCTTTGGGGTGGAGATTGCTCTCAGCTCCTAGGCATTTCCATTGGGTTCTAGCTATGTGGCCCCTCCATTAGCAATTTGCAACATGGCTATTTGCTTTTCTTCCAGGCCAACAGCAGCACATCTCTCTGAAGCTTCATGTTCTTGCAGAGAGAACACCTGATTAGTTAGACCCACCGAGGATAAGCTTCGTTTTTATTAACTCCAGCTAACTTGTTAGTAACCTAATTTCAGGAATAATAACCCAAAATATTCACTAGTGCCACCCATTCTCAAGGGAAGGAGACGATACACTGCAGGAACACCAAGGGGCTACCACATGTGGGGGCCATCCTAAAATTCTGCCCAGCATAGTCGGCTTGTGTTCTAAACCACTTTCCCCCTATTTGAATACTTGAATACAGTGTGTGCTCTTCCTGGTGGAGTTTTTGAGGAAAGTCCAATAAATAGAACCCTTCCCTCCTGTGTGAATTTTAAAAAATGAAACTGAGAATGTAAACAAAGGAGCCAGCATTTGCAGGAAAAAAATTTATCTTTATTACTGATAAAGTTAACGGCAATGTAGCTTAGTGATGAAATAAAAGTGCTGTTACTTCCTCTGCACACCCAATTTAGCGTCTGGGGCTCAGTTCAGGGCAAGCTTTAATCTGTAAAAAAATCATTGCCTCACACTGATCTAGGGAGGAGGAGGAAGATGAAATGCCATGTGTATAGCTTTTGATAGATTAATTCCACCCAAGACCAATGGCATTGCTCACCTACAGGTAACCTAATATATTTCCAGGGAGACAGAAGTTTTGGTCCAGAAGCTTAAAGGGCTTAGGGAAAATTCCTCTTCATGGAAACCAGAGATGGAGAAGAGAAGTTCCTCTCAGATAGTTATTTATGCTTTGAATCTGTCTCTAAAGGTCAGACTTTCCTAAGTTGAATAGTTTTAAAATAAATACCTTTTCTCTTCCCACCAGAACATCAGAAGCACTTGCTACTTACTGCTGATCAAGCGATGAAATGAAGAAAGCTATTTGGAAGATGTTCATTTCACATAAGAATGAATAATCTAAAGATTTGATGCATCAATCCAGGACATACTAGGTATGGCCAGGATGTTTTGGGCTGTGCAGGTGCTTCCTGTATTCACATGTGGAGCCTGGGAGGCTGACGAGCTCACTCACAGAGCCTGAGGTAAAGGAATCTATCACTTCATTCTCTCTGTCTTCCCATCTCTGAGCAAGAAAGACAATTTATTTTATTTTCATAGAAACTCAGTTCCCTAGTGCAAAATGATTTTAGATTATCACTAAACTGCATTAAAATGACATTGGCAAAAAATTAATGTATTTTGCTTTATACTACACTGGTAGCCAGAGGAAAATTTGTTTTCTTTGGGCTGAGTGGGAGGAGGCAAAGCATGTATACAACTCTGGCCACTCATTTCACCTTCCTGTCTAACTCAAAGTTTCTTTATCTGAGAAATAGGAAAAATATTCAGACTAGTCCATGAGTTTATGAAATATATGGCTTTGTTAAAAGAGTTACACAAATACAGTTTGTTATCAATTATCACTGAGGTGATTTAAAGCTAAATTCTCAAATTCTTTTCCAAAATATTGATATTTGAAGTCTATCAATTCCATAAAACATTGATTGAGATCATTTTTCACTTCATTTGACCAGGTATGAAGAAGTTTTTCTTCTTGAGCTTTACAGGGGATTGAAAAGATTGTTTAGTTTCCATCTATACCACTACTGAGGCTTTTATATTTATGATTTTCTTTGTTTAGTTTTAGTAGTGCATGACATAGTTATCTGCCTTCCATATTCTTCTAAATTTAAGAGTTTCAAAAATTTCAATTCAAGACTGTGGCATAGGCTGGGCGCGATGTTTCATGCCTATAATCCCAGCACTTTGGGAGGCCAAGGTGGGCAGATCACTTGAGGTTAGGAGTTCAAGAGCAGCCTGGCCAACATGGTAAAACCTCGTCTCTACTAAAAATACAAAAATTAGCCAGGCATGGTGGCCTGCGCCGGTAGTCCCAGCTACTTGGGAGACTAAGGCAAGAGAATCACTTGAACCGGGGAGGCAGAGGTTGCAGAGAGCCAAGATCATGCCACTGCACTCCAGCCTGGGCGACAGAGCGATACTCCATCTCAAAAAAAAAAAAAAAAAAAAAAAATGCCGTGGCAGAAGGTAACTGAGAAATAAAGGTAACTTGGACTTGAGGGATCCCAGAGGACTCATGCCTTCTGGATAAGAAAGAAAATCTATTTGTAAAGCTTCTATTGATATTAATGTCAGTGTCCTCTTTGTAATTTAGGGTTAAGTATTTACAATTCCACTATTCTATCTCTCACATTTTGAAAATTTAATTCAAAGCCCTTAAAGGATGAGTTTGCTTGGATTACTGTCCTCCCTTTGGCATCATTTGGATTCTTGAATCATGAGTGGTGATTTCCAGAATGTGAACAGAGTTCAATAAGCTTTGATTAGACCAATGTTTCCTGCCGATTTCAGAAAATCAGGGCCATACCAGAAATGTTATTTGTAGAGTAAACACTCCGGGATGTTTACAGAAGAGCCTCAAGAAGAGAGAAGAACAAAATGGTATTTGGTGCCTCCAATTTCCTCCAACCTTTGAAATGCTGAAGGGGAGGAGAATCGCTTGAACCCGGGACGTGGAGGTTGCAGTGAGCCAAGATGGTGCCACTGCACTCTAGCCTGGGTGACAGAGGGAGACTCTGTCTCAAAAAAAAAAAAAAAAAAAAAAACAAAAGAAGAAAGAAAGAAAGAAAAAGAAAGAAAGAAAGAAAAGGCTGAAGGGGGAATATCAGCATGCAATTCATCAGGCTGGGCAGGGCCATGGGCCTAGATGCTCCACCTGGCTACCTGACTACAAAGTGGCTAGTAGAAAAAAAAAATCAATTGACAACTGTAATTAACTATTGTATATTTACTATAATACACACACAAACACTAGAAATTAAAAAACACATTAAATTGGTTGCTAAGCTAAATAAGTCATTTAAATCAAGCACTCGGATATCTATTTTGCAAGTCATTTTCAATGTAAACCTCCAAGTTTGTCTCAAATTGTTCAGCTTTCTTCATCTATAAGTGAGGACTTCATGGGTGTTTGCTAATTTTATTAGCAAAGTGTTTTCCTGAGCAAGAATTATTTTGGGCATTCATTCATTCAAAATAAGCATTTATTAAGTAACTTTTGTGTATAAGATATCTCATTAAAAGCTTTATGATGACTTCCATGTGAAGGTATATAGGGACTTTAAAAAAATGGTTCCTATAAGTTGGGTGTGGTGACTCATGCCTGTAGTCCCAGCACTTTGGCAGACTGAGGTGGGAGGATTGCTTGAGGCCAGGAGTTCAAGACCAGCCTGAACAATATAGTGAGACCCCACCTCTCAAAAAAAATTATCTGGGAGTGGTGGCACATGCCTGTGGTTCCAGCTACTTGGGAGGCTGAGGTTGGAGGATTACTTGAGCCTGGGAGGTCAAAGCTGTAGTGAGTTGCTGCACTCCAGCCTCGGTGACAGAGCAAGACCCTGTCTCAGAAAAACAAAACAAAACAAAGCAAAAATCTATTTCTGTAGCAGGCACATTGCTTCATTAACACCACATCCTGCAATTGTATAAAGAATTGTATTCTAATTTTCAGCTGCCAGGACAACCTTTAGATGGTGCCACAATATGTCACAATGAGCAACCTACTTCCTAAAGTAGAATATCTGGGATGAGAGATTAAATATTTAAAATATTTCAAGAATGAGAATTTCTGTTAGCAGAGATCATTGAGAACCACCCACCAAGGCTAGGCCATTCATTCATTCATTGACTAACTCAAAAAGTAAATATGGAGGCTGGCTATGGTACCAAGAACTGTTGGTTCTCAGGGATACAACTGTGACATAGGCATAGCCCATAACTTCAGGCAGTTTAATTGAATGGGTATTTATAAAGCCTTTATCTTGCAGTGATACCACAGTGGTGGGTGTAGGCCATTATAGAGGTTTCCAGGAGGAGTGCTGACTGTATTTTTTGGTCTCAGGGTAAGCTTCCCAGATAAGGAATATTTGAGTCAAGTCAATAGTAGTGTTATCCAGATGACAGGGAAGATGGGAAGAGTGTTGCTGCAAGAGGGAATAGCATGTGCAAAATTCCAAATTGAGAGTGTGACCCAAATTCTGACGCTGCAAGAAACTTAGTATGCTGGGAACACAGGGTTGGTAAGGTGGGTTCTGTCAGAGATGAGAAATGAAGCTGAAAGAAGGCAGGGTAGGGCGAAGGGTCCTTTTTGAGTCAGGCTAAGGGATTTGACTTTTTTTCTGCGGACACTGTGGAGCAACGTTCTGGGCACTGGTGCTGATCACCTCTTTTGTGCTCAGCACTGCCCAGGCACTGTGGGAAATCATAACAAAGTGAAAAATTTGTTCTGTGGCCTCTGAAGAACTTTAGGTTAGCTGGGATGATAGCAGGAACAAAACAATTAGTGAGAAGTTGGGAACCAACAATTCTTGGTACATAACCTCCATCTTTATTTTCTGAGTTAGTCAATGAATGAATGAATGACCAGCATTAACCAAATGCTTGGCCTGGGGGTTCTGATCACCAAGAGTTGTGTTGTGGCTGGAAGCCAAAGAGCAGGAGGTCAGTGAGGGCAAAAGAGGATATGGGACAGCTACATGTAGAGAGTTACACCCTAATTAATTTCCATGTGGATTCCTACTGTTTACTGCTCTTCAAGCCAATCTAAGCGTTAAGTATCCTCCACATTTTTCGAGTCTATATAAAACACCATAAACTGTCCCCTTCCAATGGTGACAGTTGCTTATACAAAACTACTTTCTCTAACTAGTCTAACTAGCAGGGACTACATGAAGTTATTAAACATCTGTTTGCTTTTCTAAAGTTCTCATTTCCTTTTCACAGAGGGCTGTACAGATCAGGCAGTTAAAGAAGAATTGAATGTGGGTTGAACTCTTATCTTAAGAATTGGGGTGAAGCACACAAGTTTTTAGGTGATCCCATGTTGTAAAAACAGCTGTTGAGATACTCATTACAACCATTTTTATCCTTTTTGTTTTTGAGATGGAGTCTTACTCTGTCGCCCTAGGCTGGAGTGCAGTGGCACGATCTCTGCTCACTGCAACCTCCGTCTTCTGGGTTCAAGCCATTCTCCTTCCTCAGCCTCCCGAGTAGCTGGGATTGCAGGCATGTGCCACCACTCCTGGTTAATTTTTGTATGTTTAGTAGAGATGGGGTTTCACCATGTTGGCCAGGCAGGTCTTGAACTCCTGACCTCAGGTAATCCACCTGCCTCAGCCTCCCAAAGTGCTAGGATTACAGGAGTGAGCCACCATGCCCGGCCCCTTTTTCTTGTTATTCACCACATTTCAATACTATTTTTTAAGCCTTTGATTCAACAGAAGCTATTTTCTGATCAAATTATCCTTCATTTCTCACTGCATGTACCTAATAAGATAGAATACAAGGAAAGTAATTAATCAAAGCCGTAGTGGGCATCTGGAATGCACCTGGCCATGACTGCAATGCTAAGGCAGCCCTCCCAGTAAGAGGGTCATCCCTTATGGAGGGCACGTGCTCTTGCGTCCTTAAATTATTCTGTGCTATTCAGTAAAAACCACCAAATTGCTTTCTTTGCAATTACTCTGAAAAAAAAATTGTTCCATTAGAGGACATTCCCATAAAGCTCTTATTCAACTGCATAATTTCTTTTTAATCTATTATTTTTGAGGAGGACCTGAGGCATGAATAAGTTTTGTTTAAAACTCTAGTGATTCGCATCTTACCTTCACTGGGTGCCCAGGTTTCCTATCATTGGTGTATTTACCCATTGTTTCACTTATGGTTTTTTTTTTGTTTGTTTGTTTGTTTCATGTACAGTTTTTTTTTTCTTTTTTTTGGCATTTCCTTAAGAAATGTCAATATCTAGTTAGGCCAGATTCATGACAATGTTTCTTTCAATTATGTTATAGTAAATGGTCTGAAATTACTAGATTCAAGGAACATAATTCAAATGATATCTTGAGTTCAAAAAGAGACCATCCCAGGAAAGGCTATTATAGTGAAGCTATTTATTACTCATCTTTTCAACATTACAAGTTAAATAATTATATATTAGAAAAAAATCCCAGTTAGTAAAAACTGCTTAATATTCCTAATTCTAAATTAGGGGTAAGTATGAATATATTAGAAGTGTAGACTCACCCCTTTTCCTTCACAGTTCTTGGTAGTAATTTATTCTCACAAAGAACTGAAAGCCTCACAGGAGCCCTTATAATGGCCCATCAAGTTGCTTTTTACTGTGAAAGGCAGGGTCCCTGGCTATATTAAAAAAGGTCCCTTCCCTGATTTTCGCCCCAAATTGAAGACAACCAGACAAATGGAGCAGGGGCAGCCTGATTTCCTCACATGTTTATAGGCAGTGAAGTTGGAAGCTAGGAGGGAGGGAGGGAAAATGAGAGAGAGAAAGAAACAGAAAGAGAGAGAGAGAGAGAAAGAGAGATTGAGAAGGAATATCAGGCTGTCTCTGGAAGGCAGATGGAAAGGCACAGAACCTGTCCCTTTGTCCTGGATTCTTTCTAAACAACCTGATGAGTCATTCTTCCTCCCACACATGGGAAGCAGTGAGTAATCACTAAACATAGATGATGGAAGTGTCCACTACAACATGACACCTGCAGGGAGAAGAGAGAAAGCTCCACCACCTTTAAAATGAGAGGTCTAGCCCTTCATGGCCCATGTAAAGAGAATAAAGAGCAAATTTCACCTCTCCAGATGCTGCAGATTTTCTTCTTGCAGGCTTGGCAAAGCAAAGGCAACAATCTGAACTCCTTCTCACTTAGGAGATGTTTTGCTCTTAATTGAAAGGATGGTTACTACAAACAAATACCATGTGTATTACCAAGGTAGTTTTGTCCAACTCAATTTTAAATTTTATTTGAATGAAACATAATTCTTTATTCTCTAATGGGATTAATCTTTTATGCTACATCAGTATATTGTGGAGGGAGTTTGTTGAATGGGATGATCCTAGAATTCCCCAATTTTATTGGTCTCCTCTGGCCCTGACTTGAGGAGGGCTTGCAGATGAAAATTCCAGAGTGGAAGAACTGCTAATCATTCAAGGAAACATTGCTAAGTCCTAGACAAAGACCGTGGTAGTATGAGATGGCGAGAAAAGTGACAATTTTTAATTTGGTTGAACTAAAATGTAGGTTTGGATTCAATGATAGGTAGAGAGAAAGCTGCCTGAAAACAGGATTTTGGGGCTTTTGCAAAGTCCCTGTTCCCTAAATACCATCTCTACCTGTTTACTGATATTCTGCTAGTAATGAATAGAGCAAAAACATTTCACTTTGTTGTGTGCTCACTTCATGTCAGGCACTATTCTTTTTTTTTTTTTTTTTTTTTTTTTTTGAGACAGAGTCTCGCTGTTTCCCAGGCTGGAGTGCAGTGGTGCGATCTCGGCTCACTGCAAACTCCGCCTCCCGGGTTCACGCCATTCTCCTGCCTCAGCCTCCCGAGTAGCTGGGACTACAGGCGCCCACCACCACGCCTGGCTACTTTTTTTGTATTTTTAGTAGAGACGGGGTTTCACCATGTTAGCCAGGATGATCTCGATATCCTGACCTCGTGATCTGTCTTCCTCAGCCTCCCAAAGTGCTGGGATTACAGGTGTGAGCCACCGTGCCCAGCCTGTCAGGCACTATTCTAACAGTATAAACACACCACACACACACTGCTAGATATATTCAATCATCATTACAGTTTTTGATATAGCTATTGTTATTTCTACTTTATGGATGAGGCAACCGAGGCACAAAGAGGACAAGTCACTTATCTGTGGTCACATAGTTAGTAAAGAGCAGAAACAAAATTTGAACCCACAAGACTGGCTCATTGTCTAGGCCCTTATGACACTGATGTACTTTAAGTGGAAATTTCCCCAAGGCAGAGAGCTCATTGCCTGAGATTCATGTTGAGGGGTAAATGACTAATACAAGATTCTTCTCAAAGAGGAGACAGGAATGCAGGTGAGGTAGAGCTCTGGGACATTTGTAGTTCAGTTTCTGGTATTTTCTGATTTTTCCTTATGATTCTTTCTTTGAGCCATACATTATCTATACACGTGTTTTTAAGTTTCTAAGTATGTATAATTTTTTTAAAAGAAAGTTATCATTGAAAAACTAGATTTCAAACTTTATGGCCTGGTGGTGAAAATACAGTTGTTAGACATTTATTGGGACTTGTTCTGTGACCTAATCAATTTTATTCTCTGATTATTCCATGCAGAGTTTCATGTATATCTGTTAGATCAAGCTTGTCAATTGTGTTTATATAAATTGGTTGTTATAGATAACAATATACATATTAATGTCGATAATTTTGGAAGATATGCTAAATAGTTTTTCTTTGGTTTGTTAGCCAGTGGAATCTTGGAATTCATTTCTTCTCCCTTCATGCAGAAAGATATGATATTCTAATACTCTGTCAGAATCTTTACCCTAAAACAGTATGTATGGTTTATTTTTGTTGCATCAGTGTGGAAACATTTTCATTTACCCTGGTTAAGACCTGTTGTACTCTGAATCTGATAATTCATCTTTTGTTTTCAATTCTGTATAATTTTCAGGTATTCTATGGAAACTCCAAATTGAATGTGACAAATCTTCCTGGGTATGCATTTTGAGTGAAGGTTTGGGAAAAGAAAGCTTTAAAAACTGTTAAACACAGATATAAATGAAAAAAAAACTATGACAAAAGAAAATAAGTTCAAAGAATTTCAGAATTTCTTGAATTTTTCATTTTGCTGTGAGATCTCTCTTCTGGGGCTTGTGTTGCTTCTCTGCCATTAGGCTTGTCCTTTGTCCTGTAATGTCTTCGCATTGCCACTGGATTGGCTTTCACGGAGAAAATCAGTGTCTCTGGTCCTGAAGTTGTTGTTACTTTTCTTGATGACTAAGCGCTGACTGATTTACAGAAACCCAGTGGAGGATACTGTCTCTTGAAACTTTGAAATCCCTGGCCTATCTCTCATCAATGTTTCCTTGTTTTCTGGGAGCCTTTTGGCCATGCATCACTGATATTTTATGTCATGTCATTTCAATTAATGGAACAACTGACATTCCTCCTTTGGCAACGTGGGACCAATTTTAAATCAGGCAGTCCACGTGAGCAGTCTAGGTGCACAGTCTACAGTGACAGGTTCCCTGGGGATGGGGTTCTCTGGTGGCTGTTGTATAACACTTAGCAAATAAATAATAATGGGGGAAATTAACTTGGGAGCTGCTAGGCCACGCTATTGTTTACAATGTTTGCACAAGGGGTTGTGTGGGCGGCAATGTGGTGAAGTGGAAAGAGGCTGAAGCAAGTAGATCAGATTTTAAATCCAGGTTCCTTCCTTAATTGATGTATATTCTCAGGGAAATTGATTATGTTAAACTATTCAAAATTTACTTTCCTCATCTGTAAAATAGAGATATTATAGGTATCATATAAGGTTTAAGTGAAGAATAAATGATAACATATATAACAGAGCACCTGAATTATATTAGGTTTTTAATTAATTTAGTGCTTCCAAATTAAGTTTTTAATTAGTTGGCTCCTCCAGACCTATGCTGTAAGGTAGCTGCATTTCTTTGAGGTCGGTTATTCACCTTTCTAGACTGATGGACATACCTGTCAAATTTTGAGATGGAATTGGAAAATCTACAAGGTCTCTTTTGGCCTTAGTGCCATTTTATCAAAATTGCAGCATTTGAAATAATCAAATATAAATGAGTATTCAGAATTAAAGTTGTACTAAAAACACAAGGCTACATATATTTAGTTATTTTAAAAGTTTCAAATACAGCATGCAATAAGCTTTTAAAAATTAAAACCATTCAAAAGTAAGATCAAAAAAGGAAGTTCCCCATAACGCATAACATTAAACTTATAACAATACACTCTTCTCTCCATAAAAAAGCCACTCATACCAATTTGAGTATATTGTTAAAGACTTTCTTTCTATACAAACACATTTACATGGTTTTTAAAAACACAGATCAGATATTTTACACATATTGTTCTGAAAAATGCTTTTTGTTTTCCACTCCTTCCGTTTTTACCCTTTCCATATGCCATTCTTAGCATATGGCTTTCACCTTCCAGATCATCTCATAATTCAAGATAGCTACAGGAGCTAGCCATTGTATCACTAATACAGACAAGAGTGATGAAGAAATTGATGGGGAGAATGTAATTTAATCAGCCAGTCGCTCTTAATTAGCTTTTCCAGAAACCCATCGACTTCCGTTTGCACAACATTACCTACCCATCTCTCAAGAAAACCTTCATCTGGGCACATTGCTACTTTAAGTGAATTGGAATTCAGTCAGGAGGGAAAAGAAAGAAATGCATGTTGATTACCTTCTAACAAAAATCATGATTGGCGATTAATATCAGACTATTATAGCTGCCTCATTGTTTTCCATGACTGAGTAGTATTTCACAGAATACATCTGCCATACACTGTATAATGCTTAGACTATTATAAATAATTAGATTACAACAATTTTTTATATTGCAGATAATATTAACTATTGACTTCCGTATACAAATATCTGTTTGCATGTATCTTGGACAGTTTTATAGATTTGCTGGAATTTCTAATTTAAAAGACATGTATGTTGTAATTTTGTCATATGACACCAAGTTACAGTTGCAAAGTTTAATTTGTACTCTCTGTCAAGCCTACAAGTCCCAATTTACCTATATATATGCCTGCACTGGTTATTATCAGCATTTTCTATTTTTGCCAGTCTGATGGACAAAACTTGGCATCCATTGTTGTTTTAACTTGTGAGATTACTTGATTACTTTGTAGGTTAGGTATCTTTTCACATGCTAATTGGACTTGGTATTTTGTCCAATGATGCTTTAATAAAGCAAAGTCTGTGCATATTTAATATGTACAATCTGATGAGTTTGAAAATATGCAGACACCCATGATATCATTGTCACAATCAAGGTAATAGGCATATCCAACACCTCTCAAGGTTTCCTTGTGTCTCTTTGTTTTTGCTTTCATTTTTGATTTTCGGTAAGAACACAACATGAGATCTACCCTCTTGATAACTTTTAAAGTGCACAATACCATGTTATTAACTACAGGAACTATATTGTACAACAGCTCTCTAGAATTTATTCATCTAGTGTAGCTGACACTTTATACTCATTAAACAACAGCTTCCCATTTCCCACCCCCTCCAGCCTCTGGCAACAATTCTCTGCTTCTATGAGTTTGACTATTGTAGATACCTCATATAGGTGGAACCATGCAGTATTCACCCTGCTGTGAGTGGCTTATTTCACTTAGCGTGATGTCCTCTAGCTTTATCCATGTTTTCACAAGTGGCAGAATTTTCTTCTTTTTATAAACTAAACAAGAATGGGCACAGGGGCTCACACCTGTAATTCCAGCACTTTGGGAGGCCGAGGCGGGCAGTTCACTTGAACCCAGGAGTTAGAGACCAGCTTGGGCAAGATGGTAAAACCCCGTCTCTACCAAAAATGCAAAAAATTAGCTAGGGGTGGTAGCAGGCACCTGTAGTCTCAGCTACTCGGAAAGCTGAAGTGGGAGGATAGCTTGAGCCAGGGAAGCTGAGGCTGCAGTGAGCCATCATTGTGCCACTACACCCTAGCCTGGACCACAGAGCAAGAACCTGTCTCAAAAAAACCAAACCAAAACTAAACTGAACAATAGTCCATTGTGTGTTTATATCACATTTTAAAAATTCATTCATCTGGCTGGGTGCGGTGGCTCATGCCTGTAATTCCAGCACTTTGGGAGCCAAGGCAGGAGGATCACTTGAGGTCAAGAGTTCAAGACCAGCCTGGCCAACAATGGAGCAAAACCTTGTCTCAACTAAAAATACAAAAATTATTTGGGCATGGTGGCGTGCCTGTAGTCCCAGCTACTTGGGAGGCTGAGGTACTAGAATCACTTAAACCTGGGAGGTGGAAATTGCAGTGAGTCGAGATCAGGCCACTGCACTCCAGCCTGGGTTATAGAGCAAGACCCTGCCTCAAAAAAGAAAGAAAGAAAGAAAGAAATTCATTTATCTATTGATGTATACTTGGGTTGTTTCCCTGTGTGAACTGTGAACTGTTTTATTTTTATTTTTTTGAGATGGAGTTCTGCTCTGTCACCCAGGCTGGAGTGCAGTGGCATGATCTCGGTTCACTGCAACCTCTGCCTCCGGGGTTCAAGCCGATTCTCCTGCCTTAGCCACCCGAGTGGCTGGGACTACAGGTGCATGTCACCACACCCAGCTAATTTTTGTATTTTTAGTAGAGACGGGGTTTCACCACATTGGCCAGGCTGGTCTTGAACTTCTGACCTCAGGTGATCCACCTACCTTGGCCTCCCGAAGTGCTGGGATTACAGGTATGAGTCACTGTGCCCGGTTTGAACTGTTTTAAATAATGCTGCAATGAATATGGGCATGAAGACATCTCTTCAACATACTGATTTCATTTCCTTTGGATATATATGCAAAAGTGGGATGGCTGAATCCTAAGGTACTTCTTACTATTTCTTACATTTTTTTCCTCTTTAGATTATCTTAGGTCTTGTAGGTAGAGGATCATATCTAAGATAATTAGTTTTTGATTTCATTGTTCCCAAAATGAATTTATACCTTTATATTTTTCCATATTTTTTTCTTTGGCCAGGACTGCCCAGAGCAAAGGTGACAATGGCCATCTTTATCACCTTACTGATTTTTATGAACGTGCTTCAAATGTTTTACCTAGGTAAAGTGTTTGCTCTCAACTTCCATTAGGTGACATTTATAAAATAAATTTATTTTTATTTCTTACTTACTGATACCTTTGAAAGATAGAAACAGGTGTTGAATTTTATCAAATACTAAGTAACATGTCTTAAGATCTGTTAAAACAATTATTTGGGTGTCTCCTTTATCTTATTAAGGAATGTAATTTAATTGATTGTCTATAGTTTAATAAATTGGTTATAATTTAATTCATTGTTTATAGTTTTCTTCTTTATGTTTTCTTTTTTCTGTCTGGTTTTGGTACCAGGGTTATAGTTAGTTTCACTGAATGAGTTGGAAAGTATTCTATCAATTATTTTGTGTTCTGGAACAGGACATAGAAATTTGTATAACATAAGTATATTATCTATTCAGATTTGGATATGCCTATGGAATCTAAGTGTGATTCCATGCCTATGGAATCTAATCTGCCTATGGAATCTAAGTGTGATGTCTTTATTTTTTTTTTTGAGAAGGAACCTCACTCTGTCACCCAGGCTGGAGTGCAATGGTGTGATCTCAGCTCACTGCAACCTCCGCCTCCCGGGTTCAAGTGATTCTCCTGCCTCAGCTTCCTGAGTAGCTGGGACTACAGGCGCGTGCCACCACACCCAGCTAATTTTTATATTTTTAGTAGAGATGAGTTTTCACCATGTTGGCGAGGATGGTCTCGATCTCTTGACCTCATCATCTGCCCACCTCAGCTTCCCAAAGTGCTGGGATTACAGGCGTGAGCCACCGTGCCCTGTCTAAGTGTGATGTCTTTAAAAAATTTTAGTAGTCATTTGATCAAATTGTTACTTTTGCCAGTGTCTATTCATCTTTCCATGTCTTCTACTGCTTATTGAGTGAAATACACATATTTTTAAACTTTCTGAAAAATGCATCCATTTCATGTATATTTTCAAGATTTTTGGCATACATCTGTACAGAGCATTCTCTTATAGTTTGAGAAATCTCTCTCATGTCTACAGTTACAGTCCTGAGACCTTTTGTTATTCTGGGATTCTGATGAAAAAACTCCCTTGTTGGTCTGCATGGAGTTTCTTCAAATGTCAACCACCCCATGAGGATGGGAACTGTTTTCCACAAGAATGCAAATGCATTAAGAGCAGGAACTTCTGCCTGCCTAACACAGAGTGTGCACTCATTAATATTTGTTGATGAGTAAAAGTTGTAGATCAATATCGATTGTTTCATCTTTGACAACTTTTCTGCATTTTTAGAGCTGTAGTGACTGTATTTTTATATTTCTTCTGGAATTGTAATGGGACTTGGGACAGAGAATACTTATTTAGTTAGCAACTTTGAGCTGGCGGTCTGTGAACATCACTCCGTCGTGTGTGCGGTGGAGCACCATGAGCTCCTTCAGGTGGCATTAATGCCTAGGGATAATGACACACTCTTCCCTCAAGCAGTATTTGCCTTTTCTTTTTCGTTTATTCTTTCCCCTCCCCACAGTTCTTAGATAGTCACATACAAAAAAGGTAACTCCATTGAAAGGTTTAACACTCATTATTACTTAATTCTTTATAGCCCCTAATTGTCTCAGCTTTTCTTGATGATCTTATTCTCACTCCTTTGCAGTAGGACTCTCCTCACTTTCAGTGTTGTCCAATAAGTTTCCTCTGCCCCCAACTTCTCACATCATTCTTCATCCATGTCTTCAAATGTCATGCCCCTTTACAGTGTGATCAGATCTGGATTCCAAACTGAAAAGTGCACGTTACTGATTGGTCAGAACTTCCCGAAGCATTATTCTGTTATTTTTATTGATTTTTATTTTTTTTAACTCCTGGGTCAGAAACAACATAGCTTTATTCTAATCATTAAAGAAAAAACCCCAAATTCCCAAATTAGGGAATGAGGACACCAAAAGGTTGCATTATTTGAAAAGACACAACTAACCAAGCCAGTAAGTAAACACACAGACCAAAACCAAATACACAGAAATATAAATGGGTAATGAATTTGGGTATAGTGTATACAGGTATTTATACATTCTTGCAAATTTTCTGTTCATTTGAAATTACATCTCAGTAAAAAGTTAAAAAACAAGCAAACAAAAATCGTGTAAGCGCATGCATACAGAGAATCTTGAGTATATCAGTTATTCTGGAAGAGCTTTTCTTCCTCACCACTCATCCGCATCTTCCTGGAATGTGTTACCAGCTGTTGTTATGTGGTAAGATAGAGGTTGGTCCCAGGCTTCCCAGGTGCAACCACCAGGGAAGCGATCAGGAGACACAGAAAGCTTTCTTGAGAATAACAAGGTTAATACTCCCTGGTAAAAACACTTCCCTTTTTATCTGACCTCAGAAGCATTTCCCTTCAGTAAAAGGAGGTTCTGTGATGAAATGAGAATCATCTGAAATAACAGAATGCATTATATTTTCCCACATATTGTTATTTTTGTGTTATAGATTCCCTGGGTATCACAATACATTCCCAACTCTTCCCATTTAATCTTCCTATTTCCAAAGCGATGAAGCTGTGCCAGAGCTAATGGCTTCCTACGAAGTGCTGCAGCAGCAATTGCTTCCTCAGAGACAAAGCTGTTGGTGGAGACTTGAAGTGGATCTTTTCTGAACTCTTAGCTATATCAAGGAGAAGGCGGAGGTATACATCTCCCAGCACACTTGAAATGTGCCGTACGTGTCTACCCATAGCCTGGGTGGATGTGTACATGTGAAGAATAATCTTGCAAAAGGGCTTTGTGCAAAAATAAGGAAACGGGGGATGAGAAGTCACTGGCTGCTAGGTGGCCTTATCTATGCCAGCCGTTCCATGGATCAAGTATCAAGCCACTGGGAAGGGACAGCAGGCACAACCACGCCATCCTTAGAGGTCCAGCAGCAAGGAAAAATGAGATGAATCAACCATAGCTAGGTTCTCAGAGGAACAAAGACAGCTACCATAAGCAAAGGGTGGCTAAAGAAAACTAAAAGATGGCAGAGGTTGACATGATATCTGAAAGAATGCCAGGGAAAGAAAACAGATGGATGCCAGGTGGTGACAAGGATAACGCAGACACCAGGACAGTGAGGCACAATCCAAAATAGCAGGAAAAAGATGGTTTCTTCTGAAAACAAAACAAAGCATAAAACAGAGGTGGCGTGGTTCCACAGTCACCTTATCTGAAGTCTAGAAACGAGGAATGAGAAAAGTAAACACGTGGGACTGGCACGTGGTATCCTGTTAGCATCTCTTTCCAACTCTGCATTCAGTGGTGGCAGGTTGGTAGCTTGAAATCGACCACAGTGAGGGTATTTACACCACAGTAATCAGTAAATGTTACAAATCAGGGCTCTCCCACTCCAGAGTTGGTGGTTAAACTTTTACCAGCACACCATGGTGGCAGGGAGGAAGATTAGGTTCAGTGAGACGGCTGAATACCGACGTGGAGGGAAAGAAGACCTGTTAAGTGATGACGATTCCTAAGAGGATGTGGGTGAAGTAGAACATTCAATGTCCCTGGGAGAGAAGCAGGGGCTGCCCTTCTCTGAGGCTAAGCCCAAACCTCCAACTCCTTCTGTCACATCCTAAATCGGAGGGCTGAGCTGGAGACAACCAGGGGAACAGAGCCAAGTCCAGCTCTGAGCATGTTGCTTGCCCATCAAATTTCACTGAATTCCCACTTTGAAGCTCACAAAGTACTGACGGTAGGGCACAGGCTGAATATTGGTTAGAAGATTACTTTCCAGGGAAAATCAGGCTCCAAGTGAAAACTTTCATGAAAAAAATTATTTATTCTTTGAAGCCAGACTAAATGCTGATGTTCTGTTGAGAGTTTTATTTTGACCTTTTTTTTAAAAAAAAAACAAAAACGAAAAACTATCCATCAGCAATGAAGAGCTTTCTTTTTTCATAGCAAAAGCAGTCTGATAAACAGGACTTTAAATGAAGAAGGAAAAGATCAGTTGAATGCGTATCACTTGCAGAAACAGCAAAACAAAACACCAAAGCAAGTAGTTAGAAGCTCTTCTTTTTACAGGAGTTTTGGAAGCTAGTTGCCCAAGGGGGTGAACTAATATATGCCTCAATGGCATAGATTTATCCACAATTCACTTGGAGCATTCCCCCAAATCTAATCTTTATGAATGATCACCATTTAAATTTGGATAGCAGAACGCAAAGTCGTTGGTTCTCATGAAATTGTATGCTCTATGGTGGTGTTGCCTCATTTGCCTTCTTCATTGCTGTATCCCCGGCTCTTTGTACAGTAGTGACTTGCACAAAGTAGGCACCCAATAAATATGTGCTGAATGAGCCAATAGGTTAAGGAGGTTTTCCAGGCTGGAGTTTGACATCAATTGTCTGTGTTTCCCAACTTCAGGGGCATGTGTCAAATGCTCTTGGTAGTCCCACTGAAACTCTTCTCTCTAGATTTAAGGTGATAGACAAAGACTCCCCTTACAGCTCCCTAATGGAGAGGGACACAGGAAATTAGTAGCTTTCGAGCAACACTCGTCTGAAATCCTCCCTCAATCTCCAGTGTTCTAGCCCTTTTTCCCTCCTTATTATGGATGAAAGGTTTAAAAGATGGCTGATCTGGATCATTGAATTAGAAAGTTTAGCAGTGTGGTCTCCTTTGAATTTAATGTTTTCCTGCCTCAGCTGAAACTGACACAGAAACAGTCTCATTATAACATCCTCTTAGGTAATATCTTAGAAATTTAATTTGCATTTCTCTGAGTGGATTGAACACTAAAAAATATTGATAGGATTTGTGTGGGTGTGTGTATGTGTATGTGTTTGTGTGGATCACATCCTTGCTCAAATTTTGTGTTTTTTCACTTATTGATTTGTAAAAGCTCTTTGTATATTAAGGAATAAGCTCTTTGTCTTATGTCCAGAAGGTACGGAAACTGTATTTTATTCGTGTATTCCCAGACATATATGCTGCACAGATGAATGCACAAATTAGTAAGTATTAGAAATATCTTTCCACAGGGAGACTTTCATACAATTCTCCTTCATTGGCATCATAAAACCAGGGTAATAGGGCTATTGGCAATGTGAAAATAGAGATAAAGCCTGTATGTACATTTGAATCAATAATCATTTACAACACTCACAAGACAAACATGGACCTTCTGGTTGCCTTTAGTATCAATAAAGGCAAATTCAACTGACACATGAACATATAGATTTTTTTTTTTTTTGAGATGGAGTCTCTCTCTGTTGCCCAGGCTGGAGTGCAGTGGTGCGATCTTGGCTCACTTCAACCTCTGCCTCCCAGGTTCAAGCAATTCTCCTGTCTCAGCCTCCCAAGTAGCTGAGAATACAGATGCACACCACCACACCTGGCTAATTTTTGCATTTTTAGTAGAGACAGGGGTTTCACCATATTGGACTTGAACTCCTGACCTCAGGTGATCCACTTGCCTCGACCTCCCAAAGTTCTGGGCTTACAGGCATGAGCAACTGCATCCAGACTTAGACTTTTCATAATTTGACTTAGTTTGAAAAAGTGTGGAGAAGGAGAGCCTTCCTCGAACAAATACAGAATATTATTATTAGTACTAGCTGCCATTATTGAGCGCATGTTCTGTGCCAGACACAATGCTAAATGCTGTACATAAATAACAAAGAAACTCTACTTTGGAACTTCCCTTATCAGTAAACTGGTTCCTTTCTTGTTCCCCATGCACTTTTATGGCCTCAGAGAAGTGGGCCTGTTGGATGCCACTACCAGAAGAAGGATATAACATTGCAACGTCCCTTCCAGACAAAGAAAAGAGCCTGTGTGAAGACAGCATTGTTGGAAAACAACAAACGTTTGTGTTTTTTTTTTATTTGTTTGTTTTGTGTGGACATCTTTTTTTATTTTTAAAAAACTTTAATTTTAAGTTTGGGGTCTAATGCAAGTTTGCTGCCTAGATAAACTTGTGTTACGGGGGTTTGTTGTACAGATTATTTCATCACCCAGGTATTAAGCCTAGTACACATTAGTTATTTTTTCCTGATCCTCTCCCTCCTCCCATCCTCCACCTTCCAAACGGCCGCAGTGTGTCTGTGTCTTGTTCCCTACCATGTGTCCATGTGTTCTTATCATTCAGCTCCCACTTATAAGTGAGAACATGTTGGTATTTGGTTTTCTGTTTCTTTGTTAGTTTGCTAGGGATAATGGCCTCCAGCTCCATCCATGACCCTGCAAAGGACATGATCTCATTCCTTTTTATGGCTGCATAGTATTCTGTGGTGTATACGAACCACATTTTATTTATCCAGTCTGTTATTGATGGGAATTGAGGTTGATTCCATGTCTTTGTTATTGTGAATAGTAGTGCTGCAATGAACATACACGGGCATGTATCTTTATAATATAATAATTTATATTCCTCTGGGTATATACCCAGTAATGGGATTGCTGGGTCGAATGGTATTCCTGTGTTTAGGTCTTTGAGGAATTGCCACACTGTCTTCCACAATGGATGAACTAATTTACACTCCCACCGACAGTGTATAAGCATTCTTTTTTTTTCTCCACCATCTCACCAGCATCTGTTATTTTTTGACTTTTTAATAATAGTCATTCTGGCTGGTGTGAAATGGTATCTCATTGTTGTTTTGATTTGCATTTCTTTAAAGATCAGTGATGCTGAGCTTTTTTCATATGATTACAACAAATGTTTTGATACCTCTTTTTGAACCAAAGTTCCAGGGAGGGCCAGAGTAAGGAGAGTGTTATTGCAGAACGAGATATATTGGAAACAATGGTTCTGATCCCATTCCCTCTTTGAAACCCTGAGAGACAACTGCTAATGCTATTGGCTCCAGTGTTCAGGGGAGTGATAGCATAAAAAGGGAGTAGAGAGGTGGCCACACGTGCTAGCTCTGTTGAGCTGCACTTATCTCCAGTGGGATATCAAGGGACCCAGCAGTTCCTAAAAGCCTTTTCTGGTGGCAGAAAGGAGAGTAGCTAAGAATTCTCTGGGGGTAGAATTGCCAGGGACAGGGAAAGACAGGAGTCCTGGCACACCTGCACACTGAATTGGGACCCAGTGGGCAAGGCAAGTCTTGATCGAGCCAAATAAATAGATCATCATTGTGTCAGCTGCTGGCTTGAGCAGTGGGCAGCATAGAATGACCACTCCCAACCAGGTACAACCCTGTCACTTGGACCTTCACAGAACCCAGGCCAGGGCAGAACCAGACCAGCCAGCCACTCTGCAGTAGAGATCAGTGAATACCAGAGTTGGCACCTGGAGTTGTATCCCTTTTCCCTGCTACCGTTAAGTCATCCTAGTAATCCTCCTTGCAGAAGAGAAGTAGGGTGGAAGATTTGACGAGGTGAATGTGTACATGAAATACGCTGTGTTACCCCAAGGATACTCTTAACTGGAAGGAATTGAGAGCTCTTAAACGGCAGAGTTCAGGGTTTTGTTGTTTGTGTTGTTTCTTTTTTCTACTCTTGGTGGGTTGGGTGGGAATTCTTAGGGAGAAGATGTCATCAGTTAGAAATAAGAACTAATTTTTCTCAGTACATTGACTAGGGGGCCAGAATACTTATTTGCAACTCTAGTACCTATCAAGTACCTCATTTAAATTTTTACCAAAAAAATTTTTACCTGGGTGTCTAACAAATGAGGACACTGAAATTTAGTGAGAGTAAGTGATTTTTCCTATGGCCCTTCACTGAACCAGGTGGTGAAACCTATATCCAAATAAAACTTGGAATTTGGAGTCTTAAGCCCTATAGTATTAATATTTTGTTAACTGTTAGATGAAGCATTGCAACAGTAGGAAATCCCTTTCTTAAGTTTTGGGGTGCTTTCAGGGTTAGCATGGTAGGAGCAGAGAACCCAGAAATGGTCTGTTCAGCTTAGAGTGAATGTTCTGAGCTTGAGATCCATTGCTGATGCGGCACTGCACTGTGGGGTTATGAATTGCTTCTGGCTTGGCATCAAAGCGGAAATGCGTGGGAATGCACACTGGGTTGGCTGGGCTCCTGCCCTGGGTGAATGTGGTGCAGATGGTCCTACTGAGGATGAAAAGCCCGGTGGAGAGATGTTCAATAGGTTAATTGTGCACGTTCTTGGATGAGTCAGCCTGTAATTGCTGATACCAATATGTTCGGCGTTGCTGCCTCAGGGGCTTGGTGTGTGAGTCAGATGATGGAAATGAGGATAAAGTTGGCCTTGTTTCCTGAAATCTTAGAAACCGAATAATAAGTTTTTGAACTTGGTATGTGATCAAAATCACTTTGGGAGAAAGATGAAAAGACAGAATGAAAAACTTGTGAGTAATATTTCTCTATGCATTGTGAAGGTAATGGAATTGAGCAGCTAATTATAATGTAACTGGCTATTAGTCTTTATGAAGGTGAATGCAATCAGCCTAACCTAATTTTAAATCTTAATTCTCCTTCCCCAAGCCATATTTTCTATTCACAGCCTCAGAATGCACCTTAGAAAGCCAAGGAAGTCCTTAAGACTGTATGTAATTGCATAGGTCAATGGTTGCAGAAAAGGTGGGTAAATTCAACCTGCTGATATTTTGCGTTTGTCTGACATGAATTTTTTTGTCCTTTTGATTTAATTTTACTTTTTGAATATGTGATTCAAAAGGTGTACTCATAGAATTCTCATTTCTATCCCTATTCCCCTGACCCTGTTGCTACTCAGCCCTGTAAGTAACAATTTTCATTTGTTTTATCAGTTTTTAAAATATATATACACAAAAGTATCATATTATGCCATGTGCACTGTTTTGCATCTTATGCTTATAACTTTGCAATATATACGGAATTTTGAAATTCATTCCATACCCATTCATGAAGCTCTTTCTCATTCTTTTTTATAGCTGCAAAGTACCCCATTGTGAGGATGAACCATAGTTTATTCAATAGGTCTCTAGTTGTTGAATATTTGGATGGTTTTCAATCTTTTACAGCTATCAATGATGCCTACGTGAATAACTTTGTGCCTATGTTGTTTCCTTTTGTGGGAAATAGTTTCAGGTAGGTTTCTAGAAATGGGATTGCTAGGTCATAGGATAAAAATGCATATAATTTTGTAAGATATTTGCAATTGTCCAGCTTAGATTTGTACGATTTTGTACATTCACCAGGAATGACCATAGTGTCTGCTACCTCACGACCTTGCCAGCAGCATGTTTTCTCAAGCATTTGGTTTTCGTCAATCTGTAAGTGAGACATGGTATTTCGGTGTTGTACTTTGCATTTGTTTTATTATGAGAAAAATTGAGCCTCTTTTCTTGCTTACATGTCAATTCGTATGTGTCTTTTTTTCTGAACTATGTGTTCAAGTCTTTTTTCATTTTTTAGGTGCAATGTAATTAATTTTTACTTGTTTATTTTTAATTTTTAAAACAGCTTTATTGAGGTATAATTGGTACATAAAAATGCACATACTTAATGTGTACATAAAAATTGACGAGTTTAGGCTGGGCATGGTAGCCCATGGCTGTAATGCCAGCAGTTTGGGAGGCCAAGGCAGGTGGATCACTTGAGGTCAAGAGTTTGAGACCAGCGCAGACAACATGGTGAAACCCTGTCTCTATTAAAAGAGAGACGGGCTAAAGATTAGCTGGATGTGGTGGTGCATGCCTGTAGTCCAGCTACTCAGGAGGCTGAGGCAAGAGAATCACTTGAACCCTGGAGGCAGAGGTTGCAGTGAGCCAAGATCACCCCACTGCACTCCAGCCTGGGCCACAGAGCAAGGCTCTGTCTCAAAAAAAAAAAATTGATGAGTTTAGATGTATGTAAACATCCCTGATACCGTCAACTACAATCAAGGTAATAGACACATCCAACATCTATCTCCCAAAGTTTCCCTATGTCCTTTTGTTTTGTTTTGTTTTTGTAAGAACACATAACATGAGATCCATTCTCCTAACAAATTTTGATGTGCACAAACAATATTGTCAACTACAGCATTGTACTGTACAGGAGATCTCTAGAACTTATTCATCTAGCATAACAGAGACTAGAGCCATTGAACAGCATCTCCTCATCTCCCCTTCTCCCCAGCTCCTGGCAAGCAGCATTCTACTCTCTGCTTCTATGAGTGTGACTATTTTAGATGCTTCATATAATAGGAAATATGCAGTATTTGTCCTTCTTTGACTGGTCTTGTTTTAGTTAGCATAATATCATCTAGATTCATCCATGTTGTCTCAAATGGAAGAATTTCCTTATTGTTTAAGTCTGATTAATTTCATTGTATGTCTATACCACATTTTCTGTATTCATTCTTTCATTCATTCATTCATTCATTCATAGACATTTGGGTTGTTTCCATGTACTGGCTATTGTGAATAATGCTGCCATGAACTTGGGAGTGCAGTTATCTCTCTGAGATAAAAATTTTATTTCCTTCAGACATATAACTGGCAGTGGAATTACTGGATGGTCATTCTTTTTTTAATTTTTTTGAGAAATTGGAACCCTTGTGCACAGTTGATGGAAATGTAAATGCTGCAGCTGTGGACAACAATACAGAGCTTCCCCTTTTGTCCATTTTTGTATTAGGTTTTTGGTGCTTCTTTTTTCTTATTTTTAGGGACTTATTTACAAATTAACAAGGTTAGTACTTTGTCTAACCAAATTTGTCTAAGCAAATATTTTCTCCCAGTTTATAATTTACCTTCCTACTTTTCTGACAGCATTTTTCTCCATGCAAAAAGTTTTATTTTACACTGCTGTAGTTGAATGTATCAATCTTTTTCTTTCTATTTGTGTACTTTCTATTTCATTTAATTGGGCCCCAGGACCACTCTGTTTTAATTATGCAGCCTGCATACTGAGTTTTAATCTGGCAGAATTCGTCTCTACTCATTTCTCCTTTTTAGGGTTTTCCTAGATTTTCTCGAATGGTTAAAATGCATGTAATCTTTACAATCAACTTATTTAGTTCCAGAAAAGCAAACGCCTTAGTTTTTAAAATTGGGGTCTCATTAAATTTATATAATGGGAAGTCCTGACAAGTTTATGATGTTGAATTGTTTTGTTCAAGAATAAGGATGTTTTTGCATTTATCCCAATCTAATTTTGTCTTTTGGGGGAAATATTTGAAAGCCTTCTTCATTTGACTGTTTCAAATTTTTCATCTTTTCTTTTTTTGCATGTGTGGTTATAAATAGGGTTATGTTCTAGCTGATTAAAGTTTGTATATATAAGATTACTAATTTTTGTATGCTGGTATTCTATCTTTCTAGCTTACTAATTTTTTTTCTGTTTTTACTAATTTTAGCATTGATACTCTTGGCCTTTTTTTCCAGGGCACTATTTCATCATCTGCAAACATAGATAGTGTAATGTCTTCTTTTCTAATTTCTGTGCCTGCAATTGCCACAGAGTGTTTATTTATTGATATTTGAATTGCTTTCTGTGGTAGAGCATATGCTCTCCATCTGCCTTATCTCTTCCACTGCCTCCTGTTCCTCTCAGCCTGCTTCATTCATTTACGTGGCTTGCGTGGCTCCTGAAGGCATTGAAATTCATGACCCCTGTCAAAGGTTCACAACACTGACCTAACCTGAACAGCTGCTGCTGCCCTTATGGTGCAGTTCTTTCATTCTATTGGAGGTTAGTTTGGTCAGCATGATGAGGATGGGTCAGCCCCATAGACTTGAATTGGTTTGGAGAAACTATTTACTGTACTCTTTTGGGATGGATACCCCAGAAAAGCAGAGAAGGAATCCAGAATTGAAGTCAGAGATGTTAGGTGCAAAGGTCATGCTAAAAGGAGCAAGAACAAGATAATAAACAGAAACAGTCGTGAGTAAGGACCCAGAAAAGGGTAGATCAATATAGGATCAGGCCAGAAATGTGTAGAATGATTTCATTACTCATGGGTAGATGTATGTACCTTACTTTTACGAGGCAGTGGATGCCTGGGTATTTGGGCTTATAGGGCTGACTAAGAGTCTCAAGATCAAAACAGATAATAGTGGTCACAACAAATTTTTAATATTGAGTTGTAAAAGGGTTCTAGGATTTTTTTTCCAGGTTGTTTGTTGAGAAGGGCAAGGGCATAGTATCTGCCCTTTTGATCAGCACCATCTACAACTTTCTGTAATGAAAGAAATGTTTTATAGTCTGCATTGTCCAGTGAGGTAGTCACTAGCCCCATGAGGCTACAGAGCACCTGAAATGCAGCTAGTGCAACTGAGGACCTGAATCTCTAACTCTATTTAATTTTAATTAATTTAAATTTAAATGATGTGGCTAGTGGCTACTGTATTACACACAGCAACCCTAGAATCTTTAAAAGGACAAAGGGTACAAATGCATGGCAGAGGGTGCCTGTGACTTCAGTTTTGTGTCAACCACATTCAACATGCATCATAACACAACAGTGACCTCTCATTTGTAATAGATTTGTAACAAAATGTAATAATAATGTAATATAATCGTAATTTATAATAGAGTTTAATAATTTACATTTTATAAGGCTCTCCCATAGTTAGCTTATGTTACACTGAAATGACTCTGTGAATGATGATAATCCATGTTCATAGACAAGGAAAGGAGTTAAAAAATAATGACAGAATTTATCTAAAGCTGTGAAAATTATTAGTTTCAAATGTGTGCCTTGAATTCCAGGTTTAATCTTCATTCCATTAACATAAAAATGCACTTGCTAGCTCCAAAAATAGTCATTGGCCAGGTACGGTGGCTCACACCTGTAATCCCAGCACTTTGGGAGGCCGAGGCAGGTGGATCACAAGGCCAGGAGATCAAGACCATCCTGGCCAACATGGCGAAACCTCATCTCTACTAAAAATACAAAAAAATTAGCCAGGTGTGGTGATGCGCACCTGTAGTCCCAGCTACTTGGGGGGCTGAGGCAGGGGGACTGCTTGAACCCAGGAGGCGGAGGTTGCAGCAAGCCAAGATCATGCCACTGCACTCCAGCCTGGTGATAGAGCAAGACTCTGTCTCAAAAAAAAAAAAAAGTCATTAAAAAATGTTAGTTTTATAACACTAAGCACACATTTGCCGTATGGCCTGGAAATCCCTTGCCTGTATATTTACCCAAGAGAAATAAAGCCACATATTCACACAGAAACCTGTACATGAATATTTACAGCAGCTTTAGTCACAATTGCTAAAAACTGGAATGAACCCAAGTGTCGTCTGATTACCAAATGGGAAAATAAATGGTGGTACGTACACATAATGAAGTACTATTTGGCAATAAAAAAGATCTATTGATACATGCAACCTCATGGAGAAATTTCAAATGCATTATGCTAAGTGATAGAAACCAGACTCAAAAAGTTACATGCCTTTTGATTCCATTGATCAGATTTGAAACTATAAGCTATAGTTTTGGTTTTTCCAGAATATCAGATTCCAAGCCGAAACTATAGGGAAATAGAACAGATCAGTGGTTTACAGAGGCTGGGGGTAGGGCTGACTACAAAAGGAGCATGAGAATATTTTAGTGGTTAATGAAAATGCACTATATCTTTATTATGGTGATGATTATTTGACTATATGCATGTTATTAAACCCAGAAGTATTCACTAAATTGAGTGAATTTTATTGCAAAATATACCTCAATAAACCCTTACATATTTGGGCTTATTGAGCTTTGTATGCATATATGTATACGCCTTCTTTCCTTCCATTGGAGGTTAGTTTGGTCAGCGTGATGAGGATAGGTGAGCAACATAACCTTGAATTGGTTTGGAGAAACTGACTATTTACTGTACTCATTTTCACTGTACACAATTTCATACATTTCTTTCACTGATTCTAGAAGCCATGTACACATTGGCCGGATAACCTTTTATTTTGCACAGAAATTGACGCTAATCTCAATGCATATATGTATATGCAAACAAAGCTCAATAAACAAAATAGATAAATATATATATGCATACGAACCTCAGTAAACAAAATAGATACAAAATATCTGTATAATATGTTAGAACTGTATCCTTGGCTGGTGGGAAAGGGGGAAGAAGATTTGACCGGACATGCTCAGGACTGTAGTAATGGATCAGGAGCAGTTGGCCAGCAATCTAAAAAGTGATAACTAAAGAGATGTAATCAGATTTCTGAGAAATTGATCAGGTGGGTTGTGGGCTTAGCACGGGACCTCCAGGGCAGTGAGAACACGTTGGTGGAAACTTCTGAAGGGGGGAGCAGGAATAGCTACAGTTGTTGGCTAAAATAGGATACAACCAGCATTAGGGACCATTAGAACAGTGTCTGACCCTATGGATCCTACCTGTCTCATTCACTACTGAATCCTCAGCCCCTAGCTGAATGCCGGGCATTAGTTGGTGCTCACTATAGGAACCACCTCACTATGAATTAAGGATATCGAAATATCATGTTGTACACCTTACATATATGTAGTGAAAATAATTGTTGAAAGAAGAAATAAATTATCTTAGAAAGTGGATAGGACTGAGTTAGTTGGTTGCAGCTTATGGTCAGAAGCTGGCAGGGCTGAGTAGGAAGGGTCTGAGGAACTCCTATAATTGTAATTCCAGTTACCTCAATTGGTGAGCTCTTTAGACTGGGACGTTTATTCTGGCTCTCTATGCCAAAAACCAAGCATGATGGCAAAAGGCTGGAATAGCATTTGGTTCCATCATGTTCCTGTTTATGTAACCAGTACTTGTTTCTCAAGTTTTCACACACAGAAGCTGTTCCTCTCAAGACTGGGGTGTTTTGCAGAGGGGTTTCTGTCCTTCCAAATATGCGCTCATCTTCCCGCTGGTGTTCATCGTGTTTGCTAAGACAGTTTCTATGGCAAAGGCCCACCAGCCAAGTGATAATTACATACAGTAAATATTTCAAACAGATAAACTTGACATAGAAGCAGCTGCTTCTCACCAAACACAAGGCAGGAGTGTGTGATCTGAGCGGCATTTTGCACCTCCGTTCCTGGAACGCGATGGCTGGCTTTTGCTGTTGGCCTTTGTGGCCAAAAAGATCTGAAATCCATCCACAGTGTATATACATTTAGGAATATTCTGAAGTACTGAAAGTAGTATAGAAGATATTTTATAAAATGGAAGGTTAGCAGACATGTTACAATAAAAAGATGATTTTGGAATCAGCTGGAGTCCTGCTACTGATTGCTTGTAAAGTGATATTCCTGTTAGATTTTATATATATTTTTAAGCTGTTACAGGAAAGAAATGTGGGCAGGCTTAGCTTGGCTTGATGGCTTATCATGAAGACCGAAGGTTAGCTTCTTTCTACGTCGCACAGGGACCTTAAAACCTTTTGAACGATTTTTTTTGTTTGTTTTTGACAGGACTGGTCATCATTCACTCTTTAGAGGCACACACATGCCTACCTATTTCCTACCTATTTTTCTTTATGAAATAGAAATTGCAGTCTTCACCTGCCAATTTCATACATTTCTTTCATTGATTCTGGAAACCATGTACACATTGGCCAGATAACCTTTTTATTTTGCACAGAAATTGAAGCTAATCTCAATTAACATTTAAAGCATGGAACTTAAATGTTTAAGTACTCAGGCCTTATGATCTCCTCAGCTGTGGCTTGTTCACACTAAGCCAAATCTCACCTTCTCTCCAATATCTTTCTTTACAGTATTGAGAGAGAAGTTGCTTTCCTTGTTTTACGGTTTCTTAAGGAGTTTCCATCTAGTAATGCCTGAGGCCTCCTGTTTTCCCCTTTGTCTTCCTTCCAGAGAACTATGCTTTACCCGCAGCTGTATGAGGATATAAAGAGCAATTGCTGAAGTGCAGAGCTCTCCAGCTCATGGTAAAGATCACATGTGTCCTCTCTTCCTTCATTCCTTTAAAATCAACAAATGCTTTTGAAGATCAACTATGTGCAAAAACAACAGTGGTAGGGGTTACAGCAGGCAAAGGCATCTACAGTGGTTTATAGTGAATCCATGCTCCATCAAATTTGGAAAAATGCTGCAAGCATTTAGCCCAGTTTTTTAATTCTTCCAGGATTTCTATAACTTCCCAGGTTCACTTCAGCCTTCTCTAATACTA
Source organism: Homo sapiens (assembly GCF_000001405.40). Classification (NCBI taxonomy): domain Eukaryota; kingdom Metazoa; phylum Chordata; class Mammalia; order Primates; family Hominidae; genus Homo; species Homo sapiens. The sequence goes on along the minus strand of NC_000002.12, from coordinate 223,541,451 downwards.
TATTATGAGACAAAATGCATGGCTGTGTGTGCATGGATGCATGCCAAACTACATTTTGAGTAGAGTATCCAGGGAAATTGGGACTTGTAGTTTTATTTCAGACATGTCTCTGATTTTGGTGTTAAATAATTAATGGATATCTACACTAGAAAACACAGTGCAGATATTTAGAATGAAGATGCAAATGTATATTTAATAACATGAAAAGATGTACATGTGTGTTAGGCCATTCTTGCATTGCTATAAAGAGATAGCCGAGGCTAGGTAATTTATAAAGAAAAGAGGCTTAATTGGCTTATAGTTCTGTAGGTTGTACCAGAAGCATGGCACTGGCATCTGCTTGGCTTCTGGTGAGGCCTCAGGAAACTTAAATCATGGTGGAGGGTGAAGGGGGAGTAGGCATCTCACACGGCAGAGTGGGAGCAAGAAGAGGGGAGAGGGGAAGTGCCACACACTTTTAAACAACCAGCTCTCATGAGAACTCACTCAGTATCTGGAGGACAGCACCAGGTGGTTGGCGCTAAACCATTCATGAGATGTCTACCCCCATGATTCAATCACCTCCCATCACACCCTGCCTCCAACACTGGGGATTACATTTCAACATGAGGTTTAGTACATTTCAAACTACACCAACATACTTCATTGTTGAGTGAAGAAAAGCAAATTACAAAATATTTAATACATTTCAAGATGATTCCCTTTGTGAAAAGAATATAAGTAGGTGTATACACATTTATAGGTTTATAGGTACAAGTATATATTGACTAAAGAAAGTCCAGAAGATTATAGCTAAAGCATGAATGATGTGATTACTGATAGGTAGCATCACAGAAGATTAAGCTCTCATTGACTTTTTTTCCCCAAGTAATTTCTATAAGAAACATGTGGTCTTGTGTATAGAGGCATAACCAATAAAAATGGTTAAAGTAAAGGAACATGCAATGGTGTGAGAGGGATTCCATGCCACTGTCAGTCTTTGCACACATGAGTCCTCCTCGGGACACTTTCCCTCAAGGAAATAAAGAGACTGGCATTTGGAAACTTGATTTTCTTTCTCTCTTTCTTCTTTCTTTCTTTTCCTTCTTTCTTTCTCTCTTTTCTTTTCATTTCTTTCCTTCCTTCCTTCCTTCTCTTTTCTTTTTTTTCTCCTTCCTTCCTTCCTTCCTTCTTTCTTTTCTCTTTTCTTTTCTTTTCTTTCTTTTCTTTCTGATGGAGTATTGCTCTTTCTCCCAGGCTGGAGTGCAGTGGTGCGATCTCGGCTCACTGCAATCTCCAACTCCCAGGTTCAAGTGATTCTTCTGCCTCAGCCTCCCAAGTAGCTGGGATTACTGGCACTCACCACCACCCTTGGTTAATTTTTTTTTGTATTTTTAGTAGAGACAGGGTTTCCTCATATTAGCTAGGCTGGTTTCAAACTCCTGACCTCAAGTGATCCACCTGCCTCGGCCTCCCAAAGTGCTAGGATCACAGGCATGAGCCACCATGCCTGGTCAGAAACTTGATTTTCTTTAATGAAACAATGATATACACAGCCTTTTTAAGAGTAATTACTTTTTTTTTTTTTTAGATGGAGTCTCACTCTTTTCACCCAGGCTGGAGTACAGCGGTGAGATCTCAGCTCACTGCAATCTCCACCTCCCAGATTCAAGTGCTTCTCGGGCCTCAGCCTCCTTAGTAGATTGGATTACAGGCATGCACCACCACACTCAGCTAATTTTTGTGTTTTTAGTGGAGACAAGGTTTCACCATGTTGGCCAGGCTGGTCTCGAACTCCCGACCTCAGGTGATCTGCCTACTTCTGCCTCCCAAAGTGTTGGGATTACAGGAGTGAGCCACTGCACCTGGGCTAATTTTAATTACCTCTGTTCTTAAATGGATTTACTTAAATTCAGAGAATATCCACAGTTCTTTCATACTGAAACTTACGCAGAAAAAAAAATAACAGGATGTGAAATGGGTAAGACAAAGAAATAATCTCTCAAGCTCTTCGTACAAAGTTTGATTAAGAGAGAGTGTCTGCAACTCTCTGCTTTGCTCCCAGCTGGGTCTGCTGTTCTAGTGAGCGCCAGCAGTTATTCTCGTTTTCTGCAGTATTCCCAGGCTGCCAAAAGGCTCTGCTCTGTAAGCTGAGAAAGACTCAACAGCTACAACACTGGTGTTCACAGCAGCAAGGTTTATTTCCTCACAAGATGATATTCCTGGGTTTGCATACGTTTGCTCTTTTCAGTGAACCATGTCCTCTAAATGTCACCTTGCTTCCATTCAGCACGGTCTGTGTTCCGACTGTCCAGGGGCTTCCAGGAACAGCCCACAGATTGATGGCTTGCTGAAAGCTCCCTCGTTATCTTTCACTGTAAATTCCTTTCATCAGTAATCTCTTGTGCCCTGGATGCAGCACTTCTTTGTACGCGTGCTGTGAAATAAAATCTCAGATAATGTGTGTGCTAATTTTCTTTCTTCCCTCCCTACCCCCATTATCCCCACAATGTGACCTCAGAGCTAATTGTTTGTTTGATTGTGAAGAACTAGTTTGGACCCTGGCACGGGTTTCATGATTTATGATAGAACTCAAGAGATCTTGGTCTGTGAAGAAAAAAATGTCCTCTGTTAACTCACAAAAGGGGCTGTCTTGGCCCATATACTCCTTTTAGTTTAAAAAGCACAGGAAGAATAGGAAATAGAGAATTCTTACCACATACTTACAGAGGGATAGGTAATGTTATGTTTTTCTGTTAGGAAGAAGAGACTTGGTTATCTAGCAAGCTCACAGTCACTGTTGGGAGCCAGCTAGGGCTGCTTTTAAAATACACTTGGGATGTTGGGAACTGGAGGACCCTAAAGGTAGCAAGGATGCAACTATTTTAATATTTTGGCTTCAAACCTTGGACTTGTGTGGAAGTTTGTGAAGTATAATTAGCTATTCTAAACACAAACATTTCACTTTATATTTTTCCTTTTTCATATCAGGGCATGCAGGTAAAAGCAGAATTCAGGAACCAGGAAAACAAGAAGTGCTGTAATGTAATACAACCCTCTATTCTGTTATGACTCAGCAGAATCACAAGATTTGAGCTCTGGAGGTGTTTTCTGTCCATCAAACAAACGAAGCCCACTCCACCAAGGTAGTATGTATATAACAATTATCTTCAGCTTCTCAAACAGTCACACACAAGGCAAAAAAACAAACAACTCCCCTCCCCATGAAACAGGGGCCAAGGTCTGAGAATACACATGACAATTGAATGGCTGCCAACACTGCTTCTTTCTCGGAGTTTGCCTGAAAGTCTTTTTCTTTTTTTTGTGTGTGAATAACTAAAGAAGAGGCAGCTGCCACAGCGAATAGGATTCAAAAACCCATTAATATTGGTGACTCATCAGCCAGATTCTTTTCTCCATGTCTGAAAATGTCAGGAAATTAAAAAGGCACCATGGCATCTCCAGGAGACGAATCCCAAATCAGAGCTGTAACCACTTCTAAATATTCTTGGCCTCATTTGGAAATTGGCTGTCACCTGAGACATGGCCTGGTTTGTAGTCCCATCTGTGGGGGGCAGGACAGACTATCAACTCACTGAGTGAGCCACTTAGCCCACCTTCCAGCAGTGCTGGAATTATGGGGTTGGAGGTATTGCTTGTTATTTGTGGAGTAGATAAGGTAACTAGGTGTGGCCTGGGTACTCAGTGAGGCTTCCTTTAGAGAAGGAAAGACAGCGGTAGTCAAAAGCTGAAGCCACATGCACCCTTCACTTAACTAAATGACCAGCTGAATAAGACATAGGTAGAGATAGATATTCAGAAACATCTGGATAATGGCTCTTTAATTTGTAGTCTTTCTCTGAAGATTTAATCCTAACATTTGAATTCCCAGTCACTTAAAACAGACCCTATGATCTCATTTTAATTCAATGAGCTTCCTTAATCTACAATATGGAGACCAGCCACTTTTTGTGTATATAATGAGCAAAAAATGTATCTTCAGAAAAATAAAATTTCAAATCCTTCTTACAACACTGGAATGAGAAAAATATCTAGAAACCATAATGTTGCTTGTAAGGTTGTCAGGTTCTTGGCTAAAGTGAATCTTGGCTAGAATTCATTTATTTAATGAGCTCATTTTTAACTGGAGTTCCAGCTCTGAGCATGGATGACACGAGTAGCTAAGAAGAGTCTCTGTTCAAAAAGGAAAAACATGTCTATGAACATCTGTACTACAGCATGGGCTATGGGAATCAGGGGAGGTTCAAGGGAGTTTATAGCAGGTGAGCCATGCTTTGATGGACAGGTAGCAAGGGGCATGTTGAGATGGTGAGGAACCATCTGGGTAGAGTGCAGGAGGAGAGGCTTAGAGTTCGGAAAATAGCCAGGCTGAGGTTTGGTGTCTAGTGGGAAAATGAAATTGGAACGGTAAATTATGGAAAGCCTTGAAAGCTAAAAGGAACAGTTTGGATGTCATTTTGTGGTCAATGAAAAGTCACTGAAAGTTTCTCATCAGGAATAAGAGGATTCTTTTGTTTATTTACTTTACCAATATTTATTGAGTACTTACCATGTGCATTAATCACAGGCATGCTTGACTTAGCAGTGTAAAAAGAAGCCCTTGTTGGCTTGTACTCAAGGAGAGAGAAGACAGATAAGAAGCAAAGAGAAAATAGACACAACACAGTAGAGTGAAGAAGTGTGCTATTTTAGATAGGACTGTGGTAAGGGAAGGCCTTTCAGAGTCAATGTCATTTGGTGAACGAGCTGAAACAAGTGACAGAGTGAGTGAATCATGTATGTCCGAGGGAAAGTCAGTCCAGCCAATGTCATTCCAGCAAATGCCAAGGCCCTGAGGCAGGAACCCATGCAAGGAAGACCAAGGAGGCCAGTACAGTAGAACAGAATGAGCAGGAATAAATTAGAAGAGAGTGAGGTCAGAGATGATTGGGAGCTGGACCCTTTCCAGCCATTTGATGGACTTTGGGTTTTACTCTTCATGAGATAACAGCCATTGGAGGGTTTTGAGTACGAAAGTCACTACGTCTCAGTTATTTTTCTAAGACATCTCTCTAGAGAATAGATTTTAGAAAGACAAGGACAGAATCACGAAGAGCAGTCAGGAGGTTTTTGCAATAATACAAGGGGGAAGTGAAGGTGGGTTAAACCTGGGTGGCAGTGATGAAGGCGGTGAGTAGGGGTCAGATTCTGGACACACTTTGAAGGCAGAGCCAGTGGGATTGCTGATAGGCTGGATAGGGCAAGTGAGAGAAACAAAAAGGCCAACAATTGCTGCAAAGCTTTTGCCTTGAATAATAACAGAATGTAGGTGACATAACTCAGTTGGGAAAAACTGTGTAAGGAATGGGTGTGGAGGGATCAGGAGTTTGGCCTGAGCAAATTGGATATAAGCAGATTAGTAGCTATCTACTAATATTGAGTAGATATTAAGTAGAGAGCAGAGGATTTGAATCAGGAGTTTAAGGGGAAGCCAAGGCTGTATATATACATCTAAGAATTATTAGTATATAGATGACATTTCAAACATGAATGTTGTGAGCTCACTTACTGATTGAAGGAAGATGTAGAAGTTTCCAGAATGGAACTAACAGTACTCCAGTGTCTTAAGGCTAAAGAAATGAGGAATATCCCTTTATTAATTCTAAGAAGGAGAAGTAGCCATGTAGCAGAGGAACCAAGAAAAGAGTGGAGTCCTCACAAATTCCTTGAGGACGGCATCATTGTTACCATCATCACCTCTTTAAAAAGTGGATCCATGTTTCCATAGCTGGTATGTAGCAGTGCCCATGCTACTAACCATTATACATACTGCCTGTCATGAAGAGGTAAGGGTTACCTTCATGAGGTGGAAACACAAAAAAGCATTTTGTTTTATAACCAGGTTTTTGAGCTCCATAGTCCAAAGCTATGTCTGACTCATGAATCTACTCCAGTATTTCTGGAAAGGAGGAAACTCAATTATCCTGGTGCTACATCAAGGAGGGAAGAATTGATTTTGAGACTACAGGGTAAGATTTTTAACAGCAGAAGGCATTGCAGTATTTTTTATAGACGTTAGCTAAATAGTTTACTATTAATGGTTGAACAAAAGAATAATTTACTGTTAATTGTTGAACAAATGAAAATGCTATAGTAGGAAATTCTAGTAGTAAACCGAGATTAATTTTATTCTGATTGAGACAACGAAGATATTGGGCTGCTAATTATATTGGGGAGTGAATTGATGTATCTCATTTTGCTTTTATCATATAGAATAACTGGCTCTATACCTTGTTTTTCTAACAACCTAAGCTACGTTGTTTCCAGTTCTGGCCCTGGATTATTGGACTCATTGAGTGACATTTGGCAAGTCACTAAACATCTCTGGACTCCAGTTTACCCGTCCAAACCTCAGGGGTCACGTGAGTGAGATCCCTTTCAAGACCCCTTTCTATTAGGTTACTGCAAAAGTAGTTGCAGTGTTTGCTATTAAAAGTAACGTCAAAACCACAATTACTTTTGCACCAACCTATATTTCTAGCATCTAGCATCCATACCTCACTATTTATGGCAAATTTATTCCTATATTGAATTCCTACAATGCAATGCACAACTCCCAAATGTTACATCTTTTGAGCCCTCTAAATTACTTTAAAATAGACATGCTGAAGGTGACAGCCCTGTAGATAAAAATGTTAAATACTCCAAGTCAGGTTGAACAATTCCTGAAAACTCATGTTCTTTGTAATTTTTCCTTTTGGCTTTAATTTTCTGGGTAAAGGAAAAATGCCAACCTTTCCCTCCTCTAAACTCTCACAGCACTTTATTTTTGTCTGTCTTAGAACATTGATTGCTTAAAAACTTATTTGCACCTACACACCTTAAGTGTTTCCGTTATGAAGCTGTGGTTGAATCAACCATCTCCTCAGTGTATTCTTTCAAACTCAGTGTATTCTTTTGCAGGGGCTGCCAGAACAAAGTACCAATGGGTGGCTTAAACAACAGACATTTATTTTCTTGCAGTTCTGGATTGCTAGAAATCTGAGATTAAAGTGTTAGCAGGATTGATTTCTTTTGAGGCCTTTGTCCTTGGCTTATAGATGGCCAACTTCTGCTGTGTCCTCATTTGATTTTCCTTTTGTATGTCAATGTCCTATTCTCCTCTTTTCATGACACCAGTCATATTGGATAGGCCCATCGTAATGACCTCATTTTAACTTAATCCCTTTGTTAAAGGACCCATCTCCAAATATAATCACATTTTGAGATACTGGAGTTAGGATGACAACATATGACTTTTCAGGGGACACAATTCAGTCTATAAGATTCAGGAAGCACAAGTCTCCAATTCCCAACTTGATCTTGTTTCTGTGCACCACAGTGCTTACTGCTCACCCTCCATTCCTGAGAAGTTGCATCTGTACTCAGCTGATTTATAGGTAAGGTGGGATTCAAAAGTGATATTAGTAATACAAGAAATAGAAGCTAATCTTTGCAGTTTAGTCAGTACTTATGCCTATCTACCAAGATGTGCTTCACTCCAACTTTATAGACTTTCTAAACTTTATGGACTTTACTCTAACTTTATATAGACTTCCACTCAATCTTTATGGAACTTTGAGGCTCTAACCTAAAATACAGATAGTGTGTTTTTGATGAGCAAAATCATTCTTGGCCTTATGGCAACATTTTGCTCTGAATAGGATTCTGTTGGTTTGAAACACAGCATTTCACTTGCTCTTTTGGAAGTATATTCCATATTGTTTACCTGATGCTCAGAGGTAAATGTATAAAATGTATAAAAATGCTTGACCCTTCTCATACCTGGAGAAAGCCATGATCCATTCAACATGGTATTTAATTTCTGATAACTATGACAAAAGAAGGCAGAAAATATTGCCTTAACAGCTGTGTTTCCCTGAACAACCCATTATAGCTCTCCCATCTAAGGTTCTTTAAATCATTTTGGAGTCTCTTAGAGAATTTTAAGCCCAAGGAAACTGTTAAGAAAAAGGCTTCCATATTTTGAGTTAAAGGTATTATTTCAATGGCATTCGGGAAACAGCAAATGAGTTTAGTGTGTTCATGTTTCAACTTAGGTCCTACTCTTGGAGCTAGAAGATCAGAGCTTAAGTCACAGGTAGGCTCAGACCTTGGGAAATTAACTCCACCACTTCTGAGTCTTAATTCTTGAAGTCAGCAATTAGTGTAATGATTTTCTGCCATTCTTAACTCTTGGATAGTGTGAAATACAAACTGACAGAATTTGTTATTTTTAATAAGTTTAAGAGCGGGCTGGTCAGCTGCTGTCATCTAGGCTTGCTCATGGGTCTATGGTCAGCTGTGAAAGGTCTAGGATGATCTCAGGTGGACAACTCAGCTCTGTTCCTTGTGTGATCTTGTGTTCCAACAGGCTAGTTTCCTCAAAGACACAGGAACAAGAAGGAGAGAATAGAATCAAGGTATTTGGAGGCCTTGGCTCAGAACTAGTGCCCTATCACTTCTTCCTCATTGCATTGGGCAAAACATGTGACAAGCCAGCCCAGATTCTCCAGCCAGCGTTATGTTGAAATCTCAACTCCAACCCTAAGCCTACCTCTTCCTGGTCATGATCACTTCTGCTGGTTGTAGCCTTTATCACTACTGCCTACCAAAATTCAAATTCAAATATGGGCCCTCCCCTTCTGCTATGTCACTTTCCATCTCTTCTTCTTCTGTTATCTCTACAGCCACTTGCTTCCCTACCACTGTCCCTGTCTTGGAGGAATAGGAAGAGAAGACTCCATTCTTGACTAGAGAAGCTTCAAAATCATTTGAAACTGAGTGTTGACACAAGGCAAAATCAGATTGGGGCCATTTTGCAAACCATCTACTATCACAAAAATAACTGAAAAATTAGGCCATTGTTCCCATACAATTTGTGACCACTGTCTTTCTTAGAATCTCCATGTACACAGTAAAACATTTTCCCATGATTTGATTCTAGTTTCTTGCCCTTTTTAGACGTGGAAACCACGCAGATAAGCTTCTTACTCTGTAAGGTTACTATTTGGTGTTTTCTATCACTTCTAATTGAAAAGATACTGCATTTTTAAAAGTATAAAATTTGGGATGACTCAGGGGAAATTTTAAGAGTTCCATTAGAAACCACATGTGGCATACTTCACAGTTGCAATATAAACACAATGAAAAGTGTACACTTTATTCTTTCCCTTCTTGAGAAGGCCATTATTATTTCCATTTCATTGTTTTCAAAATAATTGAAAATGGTCAATTTTATGTTCCTCTATGGTAAACATATTGAGTGGAAAATTTCAAATTTAGCTATTTCTCCTACTTGAGAACATGATTTGCATTGTAAGTCATTTGCAATAAATGAACTGCTTGGACTATTAAACTGGAGGATCTCAGAATATATATATTTGTCAGCTATGATTTAAATCCCACCTTTTTTCAAAAAGAGATCCTAGTCATTTATAATAAAATGAATATATAGTAAGTTGTTTAAAATAGTTACAGAAGCGTGAAGAAGAGGGAAAAGTGAAAACAGAAAAAAGTTCAAGCCAACAAAATTACTGTAATTTAGCATTAAATTAGGCTTTATGCCTCCTAATTAGAAAGAAACAATTGAACTTCCAAGTCAGGAAAGTTCAATTTATTCTCTAGAGTAATGCTTTTATCCCAGGGTTAATAACACAATAGTGCCACAAATAATTTGCTGTTAATAACTGTTAAAGTTGTTGAAGTATTTCTTTTTTAAAATATAGATAGAATGGTGTTTGGAAAAAACTCTCAAATGTTTTTTTCTTTGCCCTCACAACACACAATAAACACAGACTTTTGTGACCAAATGTGTGTGTGTGGGAGGGTTTCTCTCCACCACCAAGTGAGCAATTAATCCTGCATCAGATACCAACTGGATGTCCTCCAATTCAGTGCCAACACTATCTACCTGGAGATAGCATCAGGTCCCACAAATTGAGGGTTCAGTCCCACGAAACTGCCCTCTTCACTTCAGACACCAGTCTGAAGTCTGGGCCTTCAGAATTTCTGACCCACTGGCTTCAAGTTGGGGTTCCCATGACTCCTCTTTGGGTTTCGTTAATTTACTGGAACAAATCTCAGGCAAATGCTTATGTTTTACTGTTTTATTATAGAGGATATTACAAAGGATATAGATGAAGTGTTGCACACGGAGAGGTAGTAATGCATGATTTTTCTCAACCCCTTTATTGGACTTGTGATGGGGATACCCCATCTATATGGCCCATCATGCTCAACCTCTTGTAGGAGGGAGCTCGTGAGTGAGTGTGGGATCTAGCTGGCTGCTTTGGGCACCAGCAGAAGCAAGCTCCATGCAGGCCCCATGGTGGCACCCAGGTGGAGGTGTCTGCAACCCCCGAAACCCCAGAGCACATGTACAATGTTCTCTTAGCTCCACCATCTGTGGACAGCAGTGTGTTACCAGCTCAGTGGGCCCCTTGCCTCATCACGTGAGGCAGCTGGCCTCTGCCAGTGAGGGCAAAGGGCCAGTGCGACTTCCTTTTTTTGGTACCTGAACTTGGTGGGTCCTGAGCTCTTGTCCAGTGTCCAAGAAGAATGAGGTTGCTGGAACACTTGAAGGATGGTGAAGGTGGAGAATTTTATTAAGCAATGGAAATGGCTTTCAGAGGAGAGGAGAGCTGGAGAGAGGATGGGGTGGGCAGGTAATCTTTCCCCAAAGTCCAGCTGGCTCTGGCTGGCTCTTCCCTGACATCAAGCCACCTCTCCAAAGTTAAACCATCTCTCCTCCGAAGTACAGTTGCCCCTCTGAAGTCAAGTTACCTCTCTCCAGTCAAGTGGCTTCTGTCTCTCTACTGACTGAATTTGGGGTCTTTATAAGCACAGGATGGGGAATGGGGAAGGCCTTAGGTAGTTTTGGAAAAGACAACGTTTGATTGGTAAAAAGACATCATTTGGAAAGAGCCAATCAGGAGACAGCAGGCAAACAGTGATAGAAGTTCTCACTTTGGGCCACGGGTTTCAGGCTTTTCAGCTTGAAGGTGGGGTTTCACCAGGGATCTGCCCCTGTCTGCCTAGGATTTCTCTGCATCCTGCCTCTCTCAGTAGAAGTGAAAGAGTATGTTAAGGAGCTTCCGTGTCCTCCCTGGAAGCGCCACCCTCCAATAACCTCCACGTGTTCAGCTATTTGGAAGCTCTCTGAACCCTGTTCTCTTGAGTTCTTAAAGAGGATTCATTAGGCATTGATTAAACCATTGGCCATAGGTGACCAACTTGACTTTCAGCTCCTCCCCTATCCCCAGAAGAGAGATTGGGGAGGGGACTGTCAGTCCCACCCCCCATTCATATTTTTGTTTTTCCTGTGACCAGCCCTCATCTTAAAGCTGTCAGTCACCATTAGCATACAAAAAGATAGCACTTGAGGGATTCCAAGGATTTTAGAAGTTCTATGCCAGGAAATAAGAAAGAAGACCAAATATATATTTCACAATATCACAGATGGATTCATTTTCACCCACTTACTTTTTGAAGTGGGAAAGAAAGGCATGTGTGTACAACTAGGTTGCTGTTTTATATCTATAGGAATCTAGCTATGTGTAAAATGTAAAAGTCATCTGATACACACGTCGGAGTGGTGAAAAGATTGAAAGCTGCTGCCCACAAAGATTCTTTGCCTGTGACCAGTTAATGCATATTGGTTCTTTACCTGAATTTGCAACCTTGGGAGAATATAATGAACTTTCAAAATCCACAGCTGTCCAGGGATCGCCTGTAAGGGGATGGTCATCAGCAGCAAATAGACAATACTAATGATGTCACCACCACCTGGAATAAAGCACTTTCAAAGGTGTTTCCCGCTTATTATTTCATCTTGGCCTCCTAAATTCATAAGAGGTTTAGGAAGGTATTTTTTTTCATTTCACTGATGAGCAATCAGGACCCAGAGAGATGAAATACCTTGCAGAAGTTCACGTCTTTTAGGAACTAGAGCTAGCCTGATTATTTTTGCTCCTGAAATTGCTGGACTGCTCTGAATGACCTGAATTTATCTTGGTAGAGACCAGAGATCTCCATTGAAGGTTCTTCTTGATTGGATAAAACCAACTTTGGCTTGAGAGAGTCTCACACTCACTTTGAACTGTGACTTATAACCTTACAGCTGGCCAGGGCAAAGACCCCCTGGCTCAAGCTGTCTCTGTGCTCAGTGCATTGAACCATTTATGTGAATATCCCAAGGAGTTGCCAGGACTGAACTGGAAGAGTTAAGGTCTTCCCCAAAATGCCTGGTCTTGCCAGAGCAACTGACTCTAAAGGCTGGCTTGTTACTGACCCTGGGTTCTTGGACCTTCAATGCAATATAAGTTGACATGAGGCCCAAAGAGTTTGCCCAGACAAGTCTTTATTGGAACTTACACCAGGGCATAAAGGAGGCAGCAACAGAGAGAGAGAATTTTCTGGCTGGCTCCCCAGAGGGAGATGAAAAGACAGTTTTAAAAGGGCTGCAGAGGGAAAGGAATGGTGTTTGGGTATGCAGAGGCAGGGAACTGTTAGCACTTGGGCAGTTTGATAACATGCTTCTTCATATGTTGCATGTCTCATTTGCATGTTAAGTCTCTACCCCTGGGTGTGATTTTTAGTATGTGATTTTTAGTAATGAAGCTGAGGTTAAGGGTTGGTCATCTCCTGGTCTTGTGCATATGTGGGAGTTAGGGTGGACTCTCTTGAGTAAGATTTATGGTGGGAATTGCTTATTTTAGCTTCTTCAATTTCCTGTAGTCAGTGGCTATGGCACCATGCACAAGATTATGATGCAGGGTCTGAATGATCTGATTGGGGTCTCTGCTGGCCAGGAGCCCTTCCCCTCACCAGCTTGCAGTCCTTGATGGGACATGGTTGGGGGAAAGTCCCATTCTTATTCTGTCTCAGGCTGATAATTAAAAGGAATACCTGCTATGTCACCATGTATCTAGACCTCATTACTGAAATACCATTAGACAAGAAGAGACTAGAAGACAAAGCATTATGCTGTCTCTATCTTGTTTTTTTTTCACATGATTCACTAGTTAGATAATTATTGAATTTAAAGCATTTTTAAATCCTGAAATAAAAAATTTTATCTAAAGCAACAGAAAGCAGATGGTGTATGTGAATAAGAGAACCAGCTCAGAGTTATACACAGCTGTATTCTCTTCTCTGCTGCCAGAAGTGGAATTTGATTATGTCCGTGATTCACTTCCAAAATGACACATCGTTAACATCCTAGTGTAACACCAAGCTTTTGGCAGCGATGAAGCTAATCTTTGTCCTGAAAATAATACCGCCTTCTCCTCCTTACTCAGGAAATTAATTCAGTGACGAATTGGAGTGCAGTGTTCTTCATTAGCATCAAGATTTTCTTTAATAACTAGGAAAAAGCAGTGAAAATAATAAGTGTTTACAAAGATAATCAATAATGCCAGAATGCAATAACTGAGATTCTATCAATATCAGGTTCATCTTGGGGTAGATGTCTAGTGTACTGCTTTAGAGGGTAGCCTCTGGCATCTGACAACTCTGAGTTTAAATTCCTAATTACTGTGTGAGATCAGAAAGTTGTCTCACTTTTCTCCTTTAAAATCAGATAATAGTCCCTGGTGTATGATGTTCCCCTTCCTGTGTCCATGTGTTCTCATTGTTCAATTCCCACCTATAAGTGAGAACATGTGGTGTTTGGTTTTTTGTCCTTGCGATAGTTTGCTGAGAATGATGGTTTCCAGCTTCATCCATGTCCCTACAAAGAACATGAACTCATCACTTTTTATGGCTGCATAGTATTCCATGGTGTATATGTGCCACATTTTCGGGGGAGGGATAGCATTAGGAGATATATCTAATGCTAAATGATGAGTTAATGGGTGCAGCACACCAACATGGCACATGTATGCATATGTAACAAACCTGCACATTGTGCACATGTACCCTAAAACTTAAAGTATAATAAAAAAAAAATCTGATAATAGGCCGGGCGCAGTGGCTCACGCCTGTAATCCCAGCACTTTGGGAGGCCGAGGCAGGCGGATCATGAGGTCAGGAGATCGAGACCATCCTGGCTAACACGGTGAAAAACCCCATCTCTACTAAAAAAATACAAAAAAAAATTAGCCGGGTGTGGTGGCGGGTGCCTGTAGTCCCAACTATTCGGGAGGCTGAGGCAGGAGAATGGTGTGAACTCAGGAGGCAGAGCTTGCAGTGAGCCAAGATCACGCCACTGAACTCCAGCCTGGGCAACAGAGCGAGACTCTGTCTCAAAAAAAAAAAAATGAGATAATAATACTTATCTTAAATAATTGTTGTGAGGATTAGGTAAGATTATGGAAGTAAATTTCTCACCACAGTACTAGGCATGTAGTGAGCGCTTAATAACTGATACTTGAAAACAAAAACTAATGGACTAAAAGATGGGTATATTATTGGGCTTTTTTGTTAATCACTTGCATAATTCTGAAGACGTCAAGTGAAACACAAGATATCCAGAATACTGTGGTACTTACACTTGGAAATTATATTTCTAACATCAGTACATGGTTGACTTTTTGGTACTTTCTATGGTGCTACCAATTAATGTCAGGAAATATAAATAGTAAGCTCAAACAACAATTACTTCTCTTTCCAATCTCTCTCTCTCCTTTTTTTTTTTTTGTACCTCTCTCAATCTTTCTCTGATGATAAGTGGCATTTAATCTACTAGGGCTGCCTGAACAAACCACACAATCTCTAAGCTCTCAGTAGCCAACAGCTAAATCTAAAAACAGGTGATTAAGCTGCTGGACTTAGAATTTAAAGTATAATTAAGAGTTTATAAGACTTGGATGCCAATAAGGACTCAATCTCATGATTTTCTTTTTAATAAATAAGAGTTTACAAGACTTGGATGTTAATAATGACTCAATCTCATGATTTTCTTTTTAAGGTCACTGTTCATATGGGGATAGAAGGCTGGGATTTTAACATAATGCTCCATACCAAGATTTTGTGCCCCAATTCTTCCACCATCAGGGACTGTTGTTTCTTGGTACTGGAGGTGGTGTTTCAAATGATTACCAGGCAGTTAACAAGGAAACCCAGGTGCCTGATGTTTTATTCCAGCCTGTCTGACTCATTGCTCTGTGAGTGTTAAATGTCAGGCAACAAGAGAGCTGGTGACATCTTATGGAAAGCACAGATATGGAAGTCAGGGACTGATTTATACACTGGGTCTTGCCACTCATGATTTCTTGGATTCCAGTTTTATAATTTCACATCACTGAATAACAGTAGGGAGAGGCTTCTTCCTGAAGAACACTTCTTATCATGAATCAGCCATGTGGCCCAGGTTGAACTTCTTTGCTGGTAAATTGAGACTCTTGGCAGGAAAGTTAGGGGAGGGGAATACCTGCACTCTGGATGTGTGTTGAGGGGATGCCTTCAGTGCCTACCTTATGACAGACACCAAACATCAGTGGGTAGGAATCCTCACATCTCAAGACTTTGGGATTAAGCAGAATTTTCACTGGGGGACAGGGCCCAGATATACCTCCTGAGGTGTCAGAGAAGGTCAGGTGGATGGGTCAATGGGTGAATGGGTCTCCACAACCCTTCCCTCCTTGACAAGCACAGTTCAGTCACTCTAAGAACACACTAGCATTTCAACCCTGGCTGTTGCCACCACTGTCTATTAATGCACTTCATCTGTGTTGGTTCTTGGACTTTCCAAACAATCTGAGACCAACTAACAAGCTGCCTATGAAGGGATTTCCAGGGTAAACAAGAAAAGCTATTTGTACTTCATTAGTTACCTTTACTGGTATGAATAACCATATGGCCTTCTCGAGAGTTTCTGCCTCTGACCTAGAGATTTGTGTCTGTCCTACTATTTTATTTGCCTGTACTAAACCAAAAGTGAGATCAAGCCAGATATTGGCAGATAGATTTGAAGAACCACCTCCCATTTCTAATGATAACACCCCCTGTCGGATCTGGAAAGAATGTCTCTTTATTTCCATCATCTGGGCATCTTTTATATTCTAAGTCAGTAAACTAAATATACTTCACCAAAATGGGCTGAAAGAAATGACAGCAGCACACAAGCTACGAAGGCCCAGCATGTCCTGAGAGGGCATATGTTCAAATTAGCCATCTTTTACAGATGAGGGACCTGAGGCTCAGATCATCATGGCTAAGCATGTTCCTACAATGCACTTGGTTATAATTTCTTATTAAAAAAAAAACCCAACAGTTATGTTGGAATAGTTGAAAAAAATGTCACAACATGTGAAAATACTACAGATAGAATATATGATCATCACGAGACCTCAGTGAGATTATTTTCACTATTTTATTGTTAAGGATTGGATTCCAATCTTGGCTCTCATACTTATGCACCTTGAGTCGTTGTTCAAATCACTAACTTCTCCGGGATTCAGTATGAGGAGGTTAGACCATATTATATCTAAAGTTTCTCCCTGGGCTAAAATCATGTGATTTGAGAGTATCATATAGCATAATGTCTGTGAAAAGCATTGTGAATTATAAAGCAATATTCAAATATTGGTTGGTGTTGTTATCTCTCCATGTTCCCATCACAATGTAACCTCAAATGCCTTCAATAGAACATCATTTGTCTGAGTTTAAGTTTGGGGCACAAGCAGGGAATTAGATTATTCAGCAGAAATAATGAACCTGAAAATACCCTTATTGAGTGAGGAAAGACACATTTTCACAGTGTAGTTAGGACAAAACAATACTAGTGTTTATTTTTATAGGTAATTCATTTGCTGAGCAATCCTATAGAAACGTTTGGGTATATTTTATTCTCCATTGGCTATGATGGCATTAAGTCCAACTACATAATATTATTCTCAGAAATGAAACCAGATATCTGAATACTAAAATGAAATGGAGAAGAAAGAAATAAAGCTGAAATATAAATTGATTGGTCAAAAATTCTTTATTTTAAAATAATTTCACATGTAAGTAG
The DNA here is from genome assembly GCF_000001405.40 of Homo sapiens. NCBI lineage: Eukaryota > Metazoa > Chordata > Mammalia > Primates > Hominidae > Homo > Homo sapiens. Next base: position 223,524,476 of record NC_000002.12, on the reverse strand, counting down.
AATTAGAGTAATTGTTGATTTACTTACTGTGAAATTAAAAATATACTATGATATATTCTACTTACATTTGTAAAGTAACAAAACTCAGATGATACCTATTTAAGCTGTTGGTTGGATAATCTGTATTGAGAAAGCCGGACATGGTTTGCTTTTGCTGGCTTTTTGCTAGTGCAGACCTTAGGGTGGCTCATGGGAAGTAGCCTGACAATAGCATAGTTGTGGAAACTTGTTCAGCTTTGAAACAAGTCTTTGTGATCTTTGCTTCAATATGGAATGCACTGGTTCTGAGAGGTATGTTTAATCCCTTTTTCAAAAGACAATGTGGATGGTTCAACTCATGTTCCCTGTATAAGGATCCTAATTTAAATACAGCCACAGAAGCACTATGAATTCTTTCTGAGATGAGAAGGGATATAAACAAACCCAAAGACCAAGGAAATACATAGTTTTGTTGATTCTTACACTTTACATATGGTTTCCATTCCTTGCTTCAAAATACATTCGCTGAAATTATGAATGCACTCTAGTGCGGAAACATTGATTGAATTCCATGTTAGTTCAGGGTAGCAAGCCAATCAGGAAGTAGCATTATGGAGACTATTAATAACCTCAAATAGTGAGTCAAATTTGGCCCACAGTAGTAAGTCCTTAGAAAGTTAAATGCTGATGGAACCAGTGGAAATAAACAACCATCTTCCTCTGATTAGTAGATGTTAAGAAAACAAAAGGCAGTGCTGACAAAAATAGTGATTATATTGATTAGGTTGGGGCTCACATCCTTTACCCAGATGAATTCTGTTGGCCAACCTATACCTTCTTAAGGAATCGCAACATGAAATAAAGACAAGGTATGAGTCATAGTCCTGCGTGGTGTTGAAGAAACTGGCTTTTAAGTCATGATTCATGAGGACTTTACCTTTGGGAATTAAGAAGTCTTTCTTCTTCTCTAAAAGTTAAAGAAAGAGAAACTTTGATTCTTAATTGTTGTGATCCCATGGAACAACAAAACAAGTGCTTTCACGTTATTTTGATCATTTATATTTTGAATTATATTAAATACATGATTAAACTTCATATTCTATTTGTTTTAAATCTAAAGGAGTTAATTGTCTAGTAGTTCTGGCCTTGAGCTAGAAATTAGAAGTCCAGAAAGACTCATTTATTTGATTTTTAAATTAGCTGCCTTTGCTAAAAAGCCTAGGATAGAAGCACTAAGGCATCATTAAATATAAAAAATATTTAGGCCAAGAGATGACAGTAGTAATACAAACAAGAAACCAGGGCAGTTGAAAAACAGCCCTCAGATAATGGTGCCTCATTAGTATATTGGAACAGTCAGGATTTTAAATAACGGTCTAAAACAGAAACTGGGCCACTTGATTGAGACTGGGGTGAGGGTTATAAAGACAAGGTCCTACCACAAGAAAAACATTTTTGAGGCAAAAACTTTGTCTCTATTTCTTTGTGTTATAGACAAAAAATAACAGGTGGCAGAGTGCCACAACAAATCTCTACTGTGGAGAAGATAGTAGAGAAAAATCTGATCTCTGAGGTTGCCAGGATTGCAACTACAGCAGCTCTTAAATAAATCCAAAAAAGCACTGCATGTGTGGAGAGAATATTTGGCGTTCTTTGGTTGAATACCCAACATCTAATTTCAATAGTACTTCAGTTTCTTTCAAGGGTGTTACCTTTCCCTTATTCTGCATTTTTTGTGCGTGTGCAAGGTTAATTCCTTCTGCATGCCTCCATTTATAGAGCTGAGAGGTCCACAGCATTTTTCTCTTCATTCTGATGTTTCAATGGAATGAACTTATGACCTAATCTAGACTGACTGGGGGCTTTCTTTTAGGACGTTGAAACTTGAAAGTGTGAAGCAAGGGCGGAAGAAGAAATAGCTGAATAGAATTCTTTATGGTGGCAAGTATGGAGTAATAACCATATACATTTTGGTATGAGACAATTGTATGCTTCTGGGTCTTAGCCTTCTGATGTTCCTTTACTATCTGGGTCTCCTACTTCCATCAATTTTGTGAGGCCCTGAATTCTTTCCAATAACTTCCCTTTTGCTTAAGTGTCCATTTCTGTTACTTCCACCGTGGAACCACAGCTGTTCCACCATGGATGTTAAATATAGCCAGATTGCAGGAATAAATCTCTTCAATGAGCTCTAAGTTTCCTTGCAGAGTGGGGGTTGTTTGAAAGCTCACAGAGATATTTTAAGAGTGAAAGCACTTTGAAAGGAGATGCATAATATTAGTATTCATATACCTTAGATGTCTGATAATAATTCTTCTCAGGGATGAATGGCTCCTGGAAAATTTAAGACCTACTGAAATGCTACATAACCTAGACCTTGCAGGGTTGATAATAGAAACCACTTTTGTACCCACAGAAGAAAACTCGTAATTGTATGCAGAAACACACTGTGGTCTTGCTTTTATTATTAAATAGGAAATCTTACTGATCCTTGTTCATAGCATTTATGTGGTTAAATATCTACATAAAAGTAGTTAGTAAAATATAATGAATTAGTAACATACATTCAAAATTGGAAGAGACTAGAAATCACGCAGTCCAGTTCATTTCCTGATGCTCAGATCCCTTCTATAACACACCCTGAACAGCTGTGTTGTTGAAATCCCTTCTATAACACACCCTGAACAGCTGTGTTGTTGAGTGAACACCTTTAGTTATTGAGTGTTCACTACCTCGCTAGGCAGCCTACTCTGTTGCTGAATAACTATGCTTATTTACAATATTTTTCTTGACTTTGTACCCAAATATATTTTTCTTTAAATTGTATGTTTTTAGTAATCACAAAATTGGTCCCTGGTGATACAAAGAATAAATTTACTTCAAATATTTGCTTATAATTTCTTAAATTCTTTTTCTTTCTATATCTGTTCCGCTAATTAAAGATGAAAAATGAGGCAACACAGATGATATGATCTTTTATACAGAAAATCCTAAAGAAGCCACCAAAAATAACTGATGGTAGTAAACAAGTTCAGCAAAGTTGCAGGATACAAAGTCAATATACAAAAATTAATTGTATTTCCATACGATATAAATGAACAATTTGAAGATGAAGTTAAGAAAACAATTTCGTTTACAGCAGCATTGAAAGGAATAAAATACTAAGGATAGATTTTATCCTTATAAGAAGGGCAAATCTTATACACTGAAAATTAAAAATATTGTTGACAGAAAAAAGAATATCTAAATATCTCTATGTAGTCTTCTGACACCTCATTTTCATGAATCAAAAGATTTAATGTTATTAAGATGACAATATGACCCAAATTGATCCACAGATTTAACAAAATCCCTATTAAAATGATATCTAGCTCTTTGCAGAACTTGTCGATCTAATCCTGAAATTTATTTGAAAATGCTAGGAACCCAGGATAGTCAAAACAGTCTTGAAAAAGAACAAAGTTGGAAGACGCACAGTTCCTGATATAAAAACGTACTACAAACCTGCAGTAATCAAGACAGTGTGTTATTGGCATAAGAACAGACTAATAGGTTAATGTAATAAAATTGGAAGTCCAGAAATAAATCTTTACATTTATGGCCAATCAATTTTCAACAAGAGTGCCAACAGAATTCAACAGAGGAAAAGAACAGTCTTTTTAATGAGCAGTGGTGGTGCCAATGTATATTCACATACAAGAGAATAAAACTGGACCACTGTCTCACAGCACATACAAAAATTACAAAAAAAAAAAACCCTCAAAAAAGGGTCCTACACCTAAAAGTAATTTTTTAAATTGTTTTTTTATTTTTATTTTTTATTTTTTTAGTCCGAGTCTTACTCTGTCGCTCAGGCTGCAGTGCAGTGGCGCGATCTCGGCTCAATGCAACCTCCGCCCCAGGTTCAAGCGATTGTCCTGCCTCAGCCTCCCGAGTAGCTGGGACTACAGGCATGTGCCACCCTGCCCGGCTAATTTTTTGTAGTTTTAGTAGAGACAAGGTTTCACTGTGTTAGCCGGGATGGTATCTATCTCCTGACCTCTTGATCCGCCCACCTCGGCCTCCCAAAGTGCTGGGATTACAGGCGTGAGCCACTGCGCCCAGCCCTAAATGTAAAATTTAAAATTATAGCAATGACTCACGCCTGTAATCCTAGCAGTTTGGGAGGCTATGGCGGGTGTACGGCTTGAGCCCAGGAGTTTGAGACCAGCCTGGGCAGCATGGCGAAACCCCGTCTCTACAGAAAAACAAACAAAGATTACCCGGGCGTGGTGGTGCACACCGGTAGTCCCTGCTACTCAGGAGGCTGAGGTGGGAGGATTGCTTGAGGCCAGAACGTGGAGGTTGCAATGAGCCAAGATGGTGCTACTGTACTCCAGGCTGCGTGACAGAGCCAGATGCTGTCTCAAAAAAAAAAAAATAATAATAACAATAAAATAAAAATTAAAAAAATTTAAAATTATAAAGGTCTAAGGAGAAACATTGGATTAAATCTTTATGATCTTAGGTTGGGTGATGGTTACTTAGATATGACACCAAAAGCATGTGTGAAAAAAGTGAAAATAGATACACTGGACTTCAAATTTAACACTTTTTTTTTTTGCTGTAAATGATAGTATCAAGAAAATGAAAGGTCAAGTATAGAAGGAAAGGAAATATAAGAGACTTATATTCACAGTATGTAAAGAACTCTTAGAACTCAAAAATGAAAACACAAATAACCAAATTTCAAAAATGGGAAAAGCATTTGAATAGCCATTCCTCCACAGAAGATATACAAATGGCCAATAAGCACATGAAAAGTGCCCACTAGCCTTTAGGGAAATGTGACTCAAAACCACAAGATACCACTTTACATCCACTAAGATGGTTATAGTCAAACAATATCAAGCATTAGAGAGAATGTGGAGAAATTGCAACCCTCATATATTGCTTGTGGGAGTATAAATTATTGCAACTTTTTTGGAAAACTATTTAGCAGGTCCTCAAAATGTTAAACATGGGGATATCATATGACTCAACAATTTCATTCTTAGGTGTGTATCCAAGCTAAATAACAAAACATATGTCCACACAACAATGTGTACATGAATATTCATAGCAATATTATTCACAACAGACAAGAAGTGAAAACAACCCAGTGCTTATCCACTGATGAATAGATAAATAAAATGTTATATTCACGTAATGAAATATTATTTGTCCACAAAAAAGAATGAAAATATTTGTACACTTGTGTTCAGAGCAGCATTATTTTTAATGGCCAAACAACAAGCCAAATGCCCATCAAGAGATGAATGGATAAATATAATGTGGTATGTACATTTAATGACATATTATTCAGCTTTTAAAAGCAATGAAATTCTGATAAATGCTACAACATAGATGGACCTTGGAAACCATGTGCTGAATGAAAGAAGCCAGACACAAAAGACCACATATATATCATTCCATTTATATGAAATGTTCAGAATAGCTAAATCTATGGATACAGAAACAAAGTTAGTGGTTTCTTGGGGGAGCTTGGGGGAAATGGGGAGTGGCTGCTAATCAGTGTGGGGTTTCTTTCAAGGGTGATTAAAAATGTTTCAAGATTAGATATTGGGGTTTTACTACCCTGGGAATATATCAAAAAGCGTTGACTCGTACACTTTAACTGGGTGAATTTGAAGGTATGTGAATTTTATCTCAATGAGGCAATTTAAAATAAGTTAAAACAACAAACAAACAAAAAATGGGCAAGACCAAGTATAAATCTTTTGACAGTTTAGATATTCCTTTTCTGTTATTCTCCATCTCCATCACCCTGTGTGATTTTTTTGTAGCAGCATTCAAAAATTTTGTAATTCTACCATTTGCTTCCTTATTATTGCCTGTTTTGTTTACTAGCTTTTGAGTTTCTTGAGGGCAGGAATTATTTCTAGCTTGTTTACCACTGTATCCTCAGCACTTAATATAGTGCCGGACCCATAGATATTCAATAAACATTTGTTATTGTTGGTGGGCAAGTTGAAAGTCACTTCTAAGCTGAAACGAATACGTTAGTTGACTCATGCGGTAATGTCCAAATGGTTAAGTTTTCATCGAGTAATCTAAGCTGCTCTATATTGCTCATGAAAATATTTTGGACCACATAAACAGTCATGTAGAAATCTAATACTTAATATCCATGGTATTGCACTGGAACATTAACAAAATGGAATTAGTTGAGTTGGCATAATGTTCTTGATGAACCTGAAACAGCACAGGAGTTTCACATGATGGAGACGAGTTTATCAAGAGTTCAAGAAACTCAAGGACCGTGTATCAGCAAAAAGCTTTACACGTAATTCTCGTGCCAATGATTCCCAAAACATTGACATTCCAATAATGATGATATTACAGCATTCTTCAGTTTACAAAGATCTTTCACATGTATTTTCATTTGGCCAATAGCCAAGCGAATATAAGTCCCTCCCAAAATCTAGACAATAGCCTGGGGTCCTCCTGCTAGTAAAGATTCTAGTTACCTAATCACTGTGTATAAAAAAGGACAATGCTATCAGATGTCAGTAATAGGAACCCTGGAGTCACTGACCATCTTTTAAATTCTTCAGGGACACTTACAAATCCTGCAGGGAAACTCCGTGCTTCATTCATCCAGAATCTTGCTCTCTGTTATCTTACTTTCTGGCTTCCCTGCATGGTATCCTTTAATAGATATCACCTATCCATGATCCCCCTCTCTCAAAACATTTTCTTAGGATCCATGGGCTAATCACTATTCCCTGCTAACAAAGCTATCACCAGGTAGTTTCCTTATCATCTCCACTTTCCTAAAGTCCATTGTGGACTCATCATTGTTGTGATGACCATTTCCTAGTGGTGGGAACTTTGATCTTTCTATTTGGGTCTTTTTAAAAACCATCTAAAGATATATGTGGTCTTATTTCCTAGTCAAACAGTGATTATCTTTGATCCAAATCAGTCATTACAATTTTTTCTTTATACTAAATGTTAATATTGATAATTATTAAGAAAAGAGAAAAGAGGATTGGAAATAGGAAGTAAATGAATACTGGAACAAAGATAAAATTTTTCTTTGCTGTCTTAGTTGGGAGAAGGCCAAAATGAAGCCAATATTGCTTTATATTCCTGCCTCTTAATAAAGAGGAATTTTTGCTTTCTGCTTTGGGGACTAATCATTTAATTTTAAGCATGTCATTGCTTTTATAATAGGTACAAACATTAAAATATTGCCATTTAGAATAAGTAAGTGAAAATGATTACTCGACCCTAACCTTTAAATGGGACAGAACAAATATTTCTCACTCTCAAGACCATTTGATTGACTTGGTAAATGTTTCCTAAGCCTGTGGCTTAACAAGAACAGATTTTATTTTTTTAAATAAAGAACTTCACAGAAACCTACAAGATTTATCTAAGTATTCTCTTCCATATAAGTAAATGCCCAAGCTCTATAACTGAAACAGATTTATTGCCCCTCCCTCAAAATTATTTTAAAAATTAAAGAAGTGCTTTGAATCCCATGGGAAGGGAAGGCAGGGGATCAGATTTGAATTTCTTCACCAGTTGCCCTTTAGATGATCATTACTTGCTTGTGTTTTGGAGGAAAAATGTAAGATGAGTTAGAATGATTTCTCCTTGATCATGAACTTAAGACAGTATAAAAAAATAAAACTTTAACCTAGATTTTCTTTCCCAAACACACAAAAATCAAGTTATTTTCCCATTACAGAATGACTGTTATGTGAACAGGAATCAATGAAAACTCCTGCTGAACAGAATTATTTGTTGGGTAGAATTTGCTGTTAAAAAATTCAACAAAGCAATGTTCTTTGCATCATTCCTTTAGATGTGAAAATTGCTTTGTTGTATAGAATGCTTCTCTGCAACGGTTTTTGACTCTACTAGCACTTCAAGATTCTATTATTCGGTATGTTGTTTCATGGTATTAAGATCTCTTCCTTCCTAGAGAAAATGTTAACAAGGTTGAAATTAATGTAAGCTGATCTTTGACTTCCAATATTTCAAGGGATCTGATGATTTTAGGGCGTGATTTTGGTGCATTACTATTTCTTCTCTTGGCTTGATTATTGTATAGTACTTTGGATATTGTTCAGTCTTTTCTTTCATAGTAAATAAAATGATTTAAACTGTGGAAATGAACACTGGATTTGGCATTAAATGAAGAGAAGTTGAACACTACCTCTGGCACTTACTAATTGTTTGAGCTTGAAAAATCCACTCAAATTCTCTGTATTCTGATTTCCTCAAGCAGAATATGGAGATAGATTGTAGTCCCTGAAATGCAATAATGCAAGTGAAATGTCTAGAAACTAGAAAGCACAAACAAGTATTATGTAGCTTTATTACTGTGAACTAGTTAACCTCCAAAGGTTCATTTTTCAGTTAGTTATTTATTAACGGCAGAACTGTTATTTATTAATATTTATTATTTTATTGAAAACGTACTATACGGAAGAGATTCTCAAATTTATTCAGATGGTGGCACACATGAATGGCATGGTGCTCTTCACAGAACACCATGAAATACTGACATATTTAATTTCATCACAGGAAGTAGTAACATTCAACTAATCAAAAATATGCATTAAGCCTATGGATATAATGTCAAATCATAACCAAGAGCACACACATCCATGAAAATAGTTTTTCAATTTATATCTTAGATTCCCTGTTCATTCATCATTGGTAATTTTTCTGTCATCTGTTAGGCTTACTTGCAGATAAGAAGCAATAGTTGGCAAAGATTTAAGAAATATTAATGAGGAAAATTCTATTTTTTCCCCTTTTTCCTTTTTTTGTAGAGACAGGGTCTCACTATGTTGCCCAGACTGGTCTCAAACCCCTAGGCTCAAGCAAACCTTCCATCTCGGCCTCTCAAAGTGCTGGGATTACAGGGATGAACCACCATACCTGGCCCAGAAATTTTTAAATTGGTAATATATTCCAAGAGTATAGATTCAACTCCTCTCTCCCTCAACTCTTCACTGTAATTGAGACAGGACTAACTCATGAATCTTCAGAGTTGTGTGGGAGCAGAGATTGAGGATCACCATCATAAAGAATGATTGTGTACCCAGGCCAGCCCACAAACATCTAATTAATCCATAATGTGGCTGTTCTAAAGATTATCTATTTATCTATTGAGATAGAGGTAGAGATAGGGACAGAAATAAAATTGGGGCTTGTGGGACAAATGTCCCAGACTCTGCCCAAATCTCTTTTGAGACTATATTTTGCAACTACAGACTGCACAGACATAATAAATACCCAATACATATGTGTTGGATAAATTAATGAAAGTATAAAGGAATAAAATGGGATTAGGGCCAGGAACAAGACTTTACAGAAGGGAGAGAAAATTAGAGATAGTGGATAAATTAGTAAAAATATATTCTGATGTAGGTATAAAGCCCTTCCCATGTCTTTTGAGCTTTATCTACATTTTCATGCTCGCTATGCAGGAGAGGAGGATTTCAATGAATAAATACAGGGTTCATTGGTAGAGACAGTGTACTTTGAAAAAGTGAGGGGCCATGTAAGAGAGGAAAGAACTGAGTGGATGCCCCTGGAGGGAGGCTCTCTTACATGCCCACTGAGAAGATGGGGATGACTGGTACAGCTGGGATGCATGGGAGATTGTGAGGTTGGACCAGCCCTGGGCTCCTGCTCTTTCAAGAGCAGTGAGAAAGCATGAAAGCAAGTGTCCAGGGCCTCTCACAGCATATGAAGCTAAACAAGCCCTGATGTGTTTTGGATCTCTGTCCCCACTCAAATCTTATGTTTAATTTAATCCTCAGTGTTGGAGGTGGGGCTTGGTGGGAGGTGATTGGATCCTGGGGTGCGGTTTCTCATGGTTTAACAACATGCGCTTTGGTGCTGTCATCAGGATAGTGAGTTCTCCTGGGATCTGGTTGTTTAAAGGTGTGTGGCACCTCCCCCCTTTCTCTCTGTCCTATTCTGGCCATGTAAGGCAAGCCTGCTTCCTCTTCACCTTCTGCCAGGATTGTAAGTTTCCTGAGGCCTCCTCAGAAGTTGAGCAGATGCCAGCACCATGCTTCGTGTACAACCTGCAGATCAATGAACCAATTAAATCTTTTCTTTATAAATCACGTAGTCTCAGGTATTTCTTTATAGCAGTGTGAGAACAGACTAATACAAGCCCCAATAGTCTTTTGTGCCCTAATGTGACTCACCAACCACTTTGTTTGTTTTTTTCTCCATCTGGCAACAGGAACTTGGCAATCCCATGGATCCCATGAATCCTTTGGTTCTGAAGTATAGAAATGTTTTGGCTCCTTGGGGCCATACCAATAGGGGCTGGCTAACAAAGATGGCAGTAACAGCACAGGTCATTTATAAACTCAGTGTTTTTAGATTAGAAAAATGCTGTTTTTGAAATGTCGATGAAGGTAAGTTCTAATCATCTTTATGGGTGCTTTTAGGATTAAAGAAAAGCAGCTTATGGATTCTTCCTTTACATAATAATGAAAAACACTGAGGCTGAAAGCCCTAAGAAAGCTTCTATTGTTGCTTATGTTAGAAAGAAATAGTCTTACTACTCCAGCGAAGACTTGTTTAATGTAAAAAATGCACTGTTTCTCTTCTTCTCTCTTTCCCTATTATCTCACCTAACCTTATCTACATAATCTCAGAAATGTATACTATTGCCCAAAATCTCTTGGCTATTTGGCCAAATAATTCCCTGAACTAGAAGAGTCAGGCTTAAAAACATGTCCTTGATTTAGGAAAATTTGATAATCTGTCTTGCATCTTCTACTGACACATGCTGATTAATTACTAAATCAGAAGTGAGAAGTTAAATTGTTTTCCTTGGAAACATCTCTGTTTCTATGGCTTGTGCATGAAATTTTCATCAGGCTTTTACCTTCTTCTCCTCCTGACCATAATGCATCATGGCATAAAGCACCTTATGCTCACTCAAAGATCACCAAACTCGGGGTCAGGGGACTGAATTCTGATACAGACATGACCCCATTGGATAAGTAACCCTACTTCTGTGGACTTTTATTTCCTCATCTTTAAAATAAGAGAATGAGATGTAGGGAATACTGTCATACTCTGAGCCAGAACTATGCTCCATCTTCCATAGGCACCAGGGTCCTGGACCTGGCAGAGCTCAGCTACCCTCCTCTCTATTGTGCTTAGAAGCTGATGTGTATGTATAGATGCCCTAATTTCCCTAAAGAATTGGCAATGCATGTGTTATTCATGAATAAATTAATAAAGACAGTAGGGATTTTCACGCTCAGTGCAAGATGGCTCATTATGCTGGCAATGTCAAATTTGCCAAAAAAACAAAAACAGAAACAGCTTCCCTCAGGTAGTGCTGAAAGAAGGACAAAAAATAAAGATAGCAACTTAGTTATGGGCAAATATACCTCATGGAAATTGTGCAGGACAGAGTGGCATCATAGCCATGACATGGTATAATGATGAAAGATAAATGGTCTGATGTGTTGCCCCCAGCCCCTCTCAACCTATTTAGGGGCACTCAGGAGGGTGGCTGGCTCCCATGATTATCTGCATATCCATGATTATCTGGAAACCAAAGGAAATTAAGAAAAGCAGATTTTTTTAAAAATTTTTTTTTGAGACAGAGTCTTGCTGTGTCACCCAGGCTGGAGTGCAATGGCGCAATCTTAGCTCACTGCAACCTCCGCCTCCCAGGTTCAAGTGATTCTCCTGCCTCAACCTCCCGAGTAGCTGGGATTACAGGCACCCGCCACCATGCCCAGCTAGTTTTTGTATTTTTTAGTAGAGACAGGGTTTCACCATGTTGGTCAGGCTGATCTCGAACTCCTGACCTCGACTCCTCGTAGCCATAGCTGACCAAAATCCTTAGAAAGGTGTACTTAATGTGTTATGAGATGAGAATAGTCACTAAATTGGATAGTAAGTCTATCCATTTTCCCTTTCCTTCTCTCTTTCTGTCTCTTTGAGCCCTTTCCTTCCTCCTTCATTCATCTTTTCTCTCCCTCCTTCCCTTTCTTCCACAAATATTTATTTAAAGTCTACTATGTGTCTAAAAGTGTTTTGGTGCTGAGAAAGGAGACCAACACAATCCTATCCTTATGAAACCTGATGGCTAGGATGAGTGTTTTAAAGAAGTGCAGTGTAACTGGCATATCCCGAGGAGGTTAACCTAGGCTGGAGTGTCAAGGAGGATTTCCCAGAGGACAGTAGTGTTAAAGATGGAAACGCTGAGTAACCTGTGTGGACCGAGGAGTGGAGGGCTGAGAAAGGGTGGGAGAGGAACTTTCCATGAGACATAAAAGTGTGCACAAAGAATCGAAGACAGGGAAATGTAAGCTTTAAAAACAAACAAAACAAAACAAACATCATTCTCATCAACCACAACAAAAACAGTAGAGTGTAAGGCAGAGATTGAGGGAAAGTGATGCAAGAGGAAAGATGATGCTAGTGGACATTATCACTTACCTGGGAATAAAATTTAAGTCGTTATAATTAGTAATCACTGAGAATCAATTTAACCCAAGAGTCATATAACTATTTTAGGAGAATGAGAGATAATTGGAGAACTAGGAAGAGGGCAAGAGAGAATTTAATAGGTAACATATAAAACTGGAAAAATAGCTGTGTGATTGTGTTATTTGAAAGTTTTGAGATACAGATTTTTAAAAAATAGCTAAAGGAGATGATAGTGAATGTCAACAAAGAGGAGTGGGGAAAAAAGAGGTGATTTTTTTTTCCTCTGCCGTAAACCCGGTATAATTTAACTTTAGAAATAATGTGCATGTTTTATTTTTGCTTTAAAAAATAATGCTTAAAAAAGCAAAGACAAATGCAGTGGTATGCACTATTTTCTTTTACTGGAATATTCTGGAGAAGCACAAATCAGTAACTTTATCTGACAATCTGGGTTTCAATAATTAAATTCTTCAGTGCAGGAAATAGCTTCTATTTCAGAAGGGCAAGCATGGTAACCAGTGAGCTGCAGTCCTCCTGCAAAATAGTCGCAAAACTTGCCAGAGGTCTCATGAACACCTGCCAGTCAAACCCTGGAGTGTGGTCCTCTTCCCTGGCCAGCCCTCATCTCTTCTTCCTTGCCTTTTGACCCCGACACATGGGAATTTAGTCCAATTCTTCCCTCACTGCTTCCACCTACTTCTCCAGATCAGCAGCCCCCACTGCCCTGTGGCTGTTAGAACGATGGAAAACCTTTCCAGCTTCTGGCCTCCCTGCTGTTTCTGAAGTAAGCAAGCAACCTCTTTTGGCGTCTTGGACTTTTTATATCTCCCTTCTTCAGATAGCAGATGGGGAGTGACAAAAATAACCAATGTTAGGGAAATGACTGGGCTCTAAGCATCTCTCAGAGTAAGTTCTAGCCCAAGTGGTCATGGTGTTCACTAAACAGCAACAGAGCCTAGTTTGATCTTCTCCTACTGCTTCTTAGCTTCCTGTTCTGAGGAGGTCTTAGGGCTGCCTGCTCTGTAAAAAGGTGGATCCATGTAATTATCAGTTTTATCACGAAACAATCAGACTCATCATTCAACACATACTGTTATTCATGTGGTTCTATGGGCACTAGCCTCCTGGCTGTTACTAGAACACATCAAACACCCTCCCGCCTCAGGGTCCTCTCTCCCTGGAAGACGCCTCTCACAGATAACCACATGGTGCAAACTTTGATTTCTTTCAGATCTTTTCTCCAACATCACCTTGTCCGTGTGGCCTTTCCTGACCACTTTATTTAAAATTACAACCTTCTCCAAGCAGTCCTTGTCCCCAGTCCTGCTTTTCATTTTCTGTAGCACTTATTGTCATTTAAAATGCTGTATTTTACTTATTTGTTCATTGCCTGTCTTTCCCTTCTAGAAGGAAAGCTCATGACAACAGGAAATTTTATCTCTTTTGTATCCCAGGTGTCTAGAACAGTATCTGGCATATACTAAGTGCTCAGTAAGTATTTTTTGAATACATGAAATAATAATATCAATCAATAGTAGATCTTAAGCTCAAGTCCAGTGAATTGTCCAATTTATTGAGCATTTTCCATCAAATAAAGACCAAAAATGTGAGAAATACTTTTGATCGATTCAACATTTTACCTCAGGTCCAAATAATGGATAATGTAAGAGGGAGGAGAGTTATGATCATTTTCTAATAGAGTAGTGGGTATTCAATAAATATTTTCTGGATGACAGCTATGGATGGCAGAGGACATGGTTCCACTGAAATATATATTCTCACGTTGCCCCTAAAATTCAAATAAATTCATTGTAAGTGAAGAGTCTTAGAAGCTGAGCATAAAGGATGTGTGAGGTGTAAGGAGAGGAAGCAGAGGCTAAGCAGCTGGCACCAGATTATGTTTAGTCCTTTTGGCCATGTGAAATATCTGTGATCTTTAACATGAAGTGATTTGGTCAGGTTTGTGCTCCCTGGTGGAAGTGGGGAAGATGGATCAGGAAGCCTGGGCAGCAATGGCTAGGTCAATCAGTTGATGGTCATATTTCAGGTTAGACGTGATGAGGACCCGAATAAGGCATTGATAGTGTGATGGAGGGGAAGGTGCAGAAATTTCAATATTCATCAAGTCAAACCTTCATACACTTCCGGTGGGGTTGTAAAATGGCACGGCAACTTTGGAAAACTGTTTGGCAGTTTCTCAAATATTAAACTTGGAGTACCCTGTGATCCAGAAATCTGACTCCTTAAGTATCTACCCAATAGAATTGAAAACACATCCATACAAAAACATGCATATGAACGTTTATAACAGCAGTATTCATAATAGCCCAAAGTGGAAACAACCTAAATGTCCATTGGAAGGATAAACACAATATGGTATATCCTCCTTATAGTGGAATATTATCAGCCATAAAAAGGGATAAAGAGCTGATACATGTTATTATGTGGATGAACCTTGAAAACATTATGCTAAGTGAGAGAAGCCAGTCACAACAGACCACACATTGTATGATTTCATTTATATGAATTATTCAGAATAGCCAAATCCTGGAGACAAAAAGTCAATTGATAGGCACTTGGGAGAGGTACAGGGACTGACTGTTAATGGGTACAGGATTTGTTTTTGGGGTAATGAAGAAAATGTTCTGGAAATAGAGAGTGGTGATGGTTTCACAACTCTGTGAATATAATAAGAGCCACTTGACTACATTTTAAAAGGGTGATTTTTGTGGTATATGAATTATGTATCTATAATGCCATTATTTTAAAAAAGGACATTCAGCAAGTAAAATGGACAGATCTTAGTGACCTCTGGTTGTGGAGGAGGAAGGCAAAGGTAGAGTAGAAGAAACTCGAGCCTTTCAGTTTATATAGCTGATGAGCAGATGATGCTCCTTTCCCAAAGAAAGCATTTTTAGGAAAAATTGGGGGGATAGGTAGGGAGATGTTAAGAAATAAATAGGAGGCTGGACAAGCGGTGCCCAGGGAGTGAACCAATGGATGGAGTAAAAAGTAAAGATTTTTTTGTTTTGTTTTTTAGAAAAACATTTAAAAAATATTTCTGGGGAAGGAGAAGTGATGGAAAGAGTACACTGCTCTTTAAAAATATAACCAAATAAATCAAATTTGATTAAGATGACAAGTATAAATTGGTCAACCAAGAAATACTAAGAAGTAACAAAAAAAAAGTCATTTGGA
This sequence comes from Homo sapiens, assembly GCF_000001405.40. Lineage (NCBI taxonomy): Eukaryota > Metazoa > Chordata > Mammalia > Primates > Hominidae > Homo > Homo sapiens. The sequence goes on along the minus strand of NC_000002.12, from coordinate 223,508,819 downwards.
AAGAATAGGTTAGAAATGGCACAACTTTAACAAAGAGATTTATTTTGGCCCATGAAATTTAGTTCATATTTTACCACATTCCACTGGATAAACTGCATGGCCAAAATGAAAAAAAAAGTTAAAGTCAAATCTGATCTTTAGAGACTTTATGGGTTTAGAGGTCCAGAAGAAACATTCTCAGACATAAACATGCAGATCTTATTTCGTGCCAATTCTGTCAACTTTAGAATCTGATAAGAGCATGAATACTTAGAATAAAACTGACTTTCTTCATAGGCTGCACAATTACCAGCACTGGCTTCTCCTGACCCAGCTCGCTACCGTTTTCACTGGTGCAGGGACAAAGTAAAAGGGTTGGATCTCAGGCCTGTCTCCACATCTAAGCTCTGAGGCTAAGCCTTCCTCCCTAGGACTCCTCCATGTTGCCATGGTATCTTTGAGTCACCAATACCACATCTCTAACCTTTATGGCACAGGATAGTTTGAGTTAGAAGGAGTTGGAGATGAAATTCCTGTTTTTATGCAGGATACTGTGTCCCCTTCCAATCAGGTGAGCTCATTCATGCATTAAAGGCCAACCCCAAAGAAGTGTGGGAGAACCATGTGACTTCAAACCATTGCTCTATGCACTGAAGCCTATGTTTAAAGTCATATTAATAGTTATCAGTATTTGGATATCCACTAGGTGCCAAATTGAATATAAAAAACCAAAGCTTAGTTATTCAGATGGAATAAGCCACATGGCTGGTAAAAGGTAGAATCAGGATTGGGCATAGGGCCACCCATACCTAAATCACACTTTTTTTTTTTTCACTGCATTAGGTATTTTCCCAATCCCCATCATTAATAGCAAACATTATCAGTTTCCCCTGTGCATTTTTTCCTGAACATTATCCCAAGGCTTGGATATCATAATACTCAGAGTCCCATAGCTCTCTGCAGCTCTCGGAAACACCGTATTGGTCCCAGAGCCCATCAGCAATGCTGCCTTTAAGCACCGTGTCATCTAAACCATTTTATATATATATAATACTTTAAGTTCTAGGGTACATGTGCACAACGTGCAGGTTTGTTACATAGGTATACAACCATTTTAAATAGACAGGATTATATCCTGATATCAATTCCATCCATCTTTTGAGAAATTGCTTCCTTTTCTTTCCAAACTGCCCTTTGGCAGCCCAGCCTTGCATAGCTAACACCCCTCCTGTTTGGTAGAGCCACACTCACATTTCATTTAGGAATTACTTTATTCAGAAGTATTTAAGCTCAACTTTCTGACTTTGGAGACATGAAGCACAAAGAAGAAAACTTGAAGCAATACCTGATTAACGCTGAATAATTCAGAATTAATCAACGTGTATTCTAAGCTGAATGCCTAAGCTAACACATTCAGAATATGAGCCATCTGATCACTCAGAAAAAAAGAAGAGAAACTGAAGTTCAAACAGATTTAGAATCAACATTTTAATTGTAGCAACACTTCATAGTCTTCTCATTTTCTTTGTTTCTACAAATGTATTTTCTCCCCTGATCCTTATATTTTATTTTATTTTTCTCTATGATAGTATTTATTTTAAGCTGTACTATCATGTTGTTACTCCTCAGTTCTCCACAGCAACAGAGAGGTATCTGGCAGCATGAGCCAACAGAGTTATAGGCAGGGCCAGAGGTAGAGTGAGCAGCCATTACTAAGAACAAGAGGTTTTGTGGAAGAAAATGCAGCTCTAGAAATTGATGAAAACTCAGAAAGCAACAGGTGATGTCATCCCATAAAAGTCAAGGCCTTGTGGGATACAAAGAAGTACTATCAGGCAAGCAATAGTCATAAAAATAATTGCATTATTTACTTATTTTTTAAAAATAATGACAAAGAGGACTAATTTATAACCCACCAACGTATTATGTAATGTCCTCTTTATCACATTAATCTTCATTCTAGAATCCTCTCACCTCCTACATCTGTAGCCACATCTTTTTTCTCTCCATTAATTCTCAGGTCTTCCTCTCTGCCCACCCACGAACACTCAAAAGTTCTTGTTAAATGATACTTTCTTTTTATTTTTCTCCCCTTCCCTCTTCCTTTTTGAATCCTTTCTTTCTCCCATCCTTTCCTATTTCCACAAATTTACATCACATATTTACTACAGAGAACAACTGTACTTATGCGGGTTATGAGAGTGAAGTACTTATGCCATGGGGGCTGCCAAGGTTGGAGATGTCTCATATAATTAGGTCTGCTTTTCCCCATGGTCCTTCCTTCTAGTGGGCAACACTTTGTCCTCAGAGTATCAACAACTCAAGCGATTCTAAAAAAAACCTCTTTTGATGCCTGTTTATGCTCTAAAGAAATGAAGAGCTCAATGTTCCTCTACTCACGTGATTGCCTGAAATCGTAGCTTATTTATCCAGTTTGAAGCAGTGCTGGACCTTCGGTGAGAAGAGAGACGTAGCTGAACATGTTTATAGAAGTGGAAGCCCTTCCTACATTTTTCAGAAACCCAACTTACCCATATCTCATCTGCAAAAACCCAGTGATTAGGTGAGTTGAGATTTAAGTCAGAAGTTCAATGTGTTAATCCATTTTGTGTTGCTATAGAAAAATACCTGAGACTGGGTAGTTGGCTCATGGTTCTGCAGACTGTACAAGCATGGCACCAGCATCTGCTCAGCTTCCAGTGAGGCCTCAGGAAGCTTCCAATCATGGTGGAAGGTAAAGGGGGAAGATGGTGAGAGAAGGAGCAAGAGGAGAAGGCGCCACGCTCTTTAAACAACCAGCTCTCACACGAACTAATAGAGTGAGAATTCACTCATTGCTGTGAGAATAGCATGAGGGATCTGCCTCCATCACCCCCACCTTCCACTATTGCCCTACTCCAACACGGGGGTAAAAATTTCAATATGAGACTTGGAGGGAACACACATCCAAACCATATCTTTCAATGAAGTCTTTGATCCTAGCTATGAGCCCCTCATTCTCCAGCATGCTAAAATATTCAGAAATTAATTTAAAAATATTTCACATATGTTAAAATAAGGTCATAAAAACTGGATGAGCATGACTGGGAACTTACTAAGCAATTGTGATCAGGCCCTAAGGCAAGTATAGTAAAATCAGTTATTGGGGAGTAGATTAGTTACCTGTTAGCTGTGCGAACTTGGGCAAACAACTCAGTTTCTTCAGCTTTAAAATGAGGGATTATGTAATCTAATCTCTATTAATCTTTTCAGCTCTAACACTTCAAGATGTTAAGTTACCTACCTGGATTGTTTTCATGTCTCATTTTCATGTCATCTCATAAACTTCTAAAGTTGTCCTACTTTCTCCTCTATATAGTTTTGGTCTGAAGAGACAAAGAGAATGTAATCCACATTTATTATGCCAGAGGAGACTGCAAGATTAATAGTATCTTCTCTAATTACTTTAATTAATACTATCATCTGTAATTACTTTAATTAATACTATCATCTCTAATTACTTTAACAAATGTTGTTTATTTCTCCTATTTTTCTGGACTACCTCTAGCTTTTTATATTTCTCATACCATTTAATTTTAAAGCACCCGACATTTTCTAAACCTTGAAGGTTATATTTTCCCTCTATGTGCATCTTGAAGAATTGTCTTTGTTTGCATTATGTATTTATGCTGTTTAGTTAAAAGCATTAGCTACTGTCTTAACTTGTATTCATGAGGCCTTTTTCAAAAAGAGTCTTGACTTTGTAGTTGGTGGACTGATAGATGTGGTTGCTAAAACGCTGACGTTCTAAAAATAAATCTTAGTTAAATTTACAATACAATTACATAACACCAAAAGGGAGAGTTCCAGAGGTATCCATTGAAAAGGTGTTTTTACCTTAGTTAATGATACTATGTTATTGGATTAATGCACTGAATTACTGAAGCTGTCCTCCTCTCCACCCTCTCCAATGTGGGGAAGTACTTTATGAAAAGTTGTCTGTCACACTTGACAAAACTAAAGCAAGAGCAATGATATGCAAATAATTTATTATCTATATTCTTAAAGAATTGTTAATTTTCACCTAATAGTAGGAAAATTAAGGATCTCTCAGATTTTCCAGTCATATGGGTTGAATTAGCATGAACCACACACACATGAATGTTTTGGTCTGGCCAGCAATTCCATTTACATGAAATCTTGCTTCACATTAGACAACAGAATGAAATAAGATGCCAGAAAAATAGAAATTATATATATATTTTAATTTTTATTTATTTATTTATTTTTATTATACTTTAAGTTCTAGGGTACATGTGCACAACATGCAGGTTTGTTACATAGGTATACATGTGCCATGTTGGTTTGCTGCACCCATCAACTCGTCATTTATACTAGGTATTTCTCCTAATGCTATCCCTCCCCCAGTCCGCCACCCCCCGACCGGCCCCTGTGTATGATGTTCCCCGCCCTGTGTCCATGTGTTGTCATTGTTCAACTCCCACCTATGAGTGAGAACATGTGGTGTTTGGTTTTCTGTCTTTGTGATAGTTTGCTTAGAATGATGGTTTCCAGCTTCATCCATTTTAAGGCTATGAGGGTCCCAGCCAATTTGCAAAATGAACTTTGATTCTCTCTGATTTTGATGGGGCCTTCTTCAGCCTTCTTCTTGCTAACATAGGAATGATGTTGGCTACCCGTGGTAGATTGCACATTTGGACCACTAATCCTTCCTTTGGCTCTCTCCTCATCATTTGTGACATGACTTTGCAGCTCCTCCCATCAAGTGTTGGAGTCTATTTTTCCAGTCCCGGAGTCTGCACTGGTCTTGTGACTTGCTTTGATCCAAGAAATGCTGTGGAAGCATTCCAGTGCCCATCCTAGAACCGAAAATATTTTGCAGGCCTCTACTTGCTCTTGGCTCCCTGTATGCATCATTTGAACAAACTCAGGCCAGCCTGCTGTATGATAAGAGCTCATATGGAGAAGTCAGCCGAATTGTTCCAGCCAAGCCTCCAGAAATGTGACCTAAGGCAGCCAAGAATGCCCCAAACTAGCCCAGATCAGAAGAATCACCCAGCTGAGCCCAATCTACTTTGTCACCCAAAAGATGTATAAGCTGGGCTAATGGTTGTTGCTTCATGCTTGTAAGTTTTGGGGAGGTTTTTTTTTAAGCAGCAGGAGATAAGTGACATACTATCCAAATTGCTTCACTGAGATGTTCTCTCATAATTTTCACCTAAAATTTCCCACGTTATAAACTTGTAGTTCATATTCCTTAACAATCCAAACTCTCCAAACGGCTTCATTTAAACAAACTGAACAGGTAAAGTACGTTCTGAATAGATGTGAATGATTCTCCTAGAGATAAGTTGCATTAAAAACGGAAACCACCCAAATTAGGAATTTGGGAATGATACCTGATTGTTCCTCCTTACCCCAAAACACTTCCAGGTTGGACAATGACAAGTAGTGAATGGAAATATTGGCCTCTTTGTCACCCCAGTTTTAATTTCTCTTAACATAGAGTTTCAGTAGGGAAGGTAGGAAATATTTATTTTTAACATTTAATTACCTCCTTCACACCTTTTGGAATTGAAGCATCCTCTTTTGGTGCATTAGTTTTTAATAAAATTATTCTTAATCTTTATTGAAAAAGAGTAATATATGCTCCCCCAAGAAAAGATAACTAATATACTTTTCCAGCTTATTTGATAAATAAAAGTTATATATATTTAAGGTATACAATGTGATGATTTGATTTATGTATACATTGTAAAATGATTACCACAAACAAACTAATGAACACAAACAAATCACCTCACATAGTTACCGTGAGTGTATATGTGTTGATAAGATCTACCTTTTTTTTTTTAGCAAATTTTAAGTACACAATGAAGTATAATTAACAATGGCCATCATACTGTATACTAGATACCCAGAATTTATTTATCTTATGATTGAAACTGTAAAAGCTAAACAACATTTATTCTTTTTGCATTCATCAAGCACTTATTTTAGGCTATGCATTGTTCTAAACTTTTATATACATTGATTTAGTTCATCTTATAGCAACATTATGCAGGAGATACTATTTCCACGTTTTGCAGATGAGGAAACTGAGACACAGAGAAGCCAGATGGTTGCCCAAGGTTGCACAGGCTGCATAGACCAAGCTTCACCCTGGTGTTCTACTATGTACTCCAAGGAGACACTTGGTATCATTATTAACAGCATATATTTCACTTATTTAAAATGCTTTGGATTTTTATATGGTAAACACAGTCTTAGACAAACATAATAAGCATATTGCAGTATTTAGTACATAATCATATTTTATAAAACAAAGTCATTTATAAAATATATTGGCCCCAAGTATCTCTCCCCTAATTTTTATATATCCTTTAATAAATCAGTTTGTGTGACCTAGATAGTTTCTAGAGCCATTCTCTAACTTAGAGCTTGACTGTACCTTTAATTGATAATAGAGTAATAGCTCTTTGCTGTATAAGTCTTGGAGGACTGATGAGATAATTTTGCAGAGTGCTTTTCAAGAGCAGAAAAATATAGTGTTATATTTCAACACATCTTTTTCTTTGCACTATTTTTATCGCTGAGTTTGAGCAGTAGGCAGATAATGAACTTACCCTTAACATGATAAAACTCAATCATGTATTTTAGACAATGAATCAGTCATTCTGTAATGTTCAATGGATAATTTAAATGCAGAATTTGCTACAGAAGGAAACCTTCTCTGCCTATATAAAAGCAAAAACATTTACCAGTAAAACAGACCTTTTTTCCAAGAGCTGTAAGGCAAGTGGATTCACCACTGTTGCAGCATCACAATATTCCTCATGAGAAAAATTAAATTCAGCAAATTGGTTGCATTTACAGTCCATGCAACATCTGCACTTAAATTATTAAGCATCACTAATGTTCTAGAATCTCCCCAAGAAAGCCAGAAACCAGGCTGCTTTGTAGGCTTTCTGTGATGACTCATCTTAGACTTAATGACAGAGACACAGAAGGTAAAAATCTGGTCTCACTTTACCTGCTTCCAGTCCTACTGCTGGACCAACCTATCAGCAGTACTTGGGTTAAAAATCCAACCAACCATAAAATTCCACAGAAACTGAAGTACTTGGCAAATACCGTTCATGTGTCCTGGTCTGCAAGCGTTTGTGAATTTGGAACATATTCTAAGATTAAAACAAAGCTGTAAGTGATACCAGTGTTTAGAGAGCTAGTAGCATTATATAGCTCTGCGTAAACACCACCAGCTTCCTAACTATTGTACTAAGCCAACCTGCAGGACTAGCACTGCTTTAGTAGATTTATATTCTACTAAATTCCTCAGTTAGGATGGGCTGATTCAATTGCATTCACTTCTGATTTGAGCCATCACGTTCTAAGGCCATAGGTACTCATATCTAGATCTCAGGCATTTCACTTGACCTTGACAAACTTCGGACACCTCAGTGACCAGAGCTGGTTAAGAGACCAGCATTGTAGTTATGGCCAGCTCTAGAATGTGGTTAAATCTGGCTCTACAGCGGGATTTCCCAAGTGGAATCCTGGTTCTGCCACTTACTTAGCTATATGGGCGTGGGGCCAAAGAATAATCTCAGTGTCTCTGTTTCCTCATCTGTAAAATGAGGATAATAATAATACATACTATATAGGGTTGTTTGTAGTATCAGTGCATGCAGAGTGCTTGGAACAGTACTGACCATGCAGAAAATGCCCAATTTTTTTTTTATCACATTTATTATTATGGACAGAGTAGGAGTGAAAGTCCTTGCATTGCAGTGTCATTTTGATGGTTAAATGAGAACATATGTGTGTGTCAATGTGTATATATAGCACAATGCTGAACAAAAATTAAGCATCAGCAAAAGTGATTAATAACAGCTGCCATCTGTTGTGAGCTTACCTCATGGCAAGGACTGTGAAAGCGCCTTACGCATGTCCTCCTAGCAACTCTTCGAGGTAGAACTAGTAATACCAGTATTTTACTGAGGAAATAATTGAGGCATAGAGAAGTAACTTGACCAAAATCCGGGAAAAAACTGGCCATATTCATTACAATATTGTGCGCTGCTATGAAGGATAAACCCGTAACTCTTAGTGGCTTAATGTAATAGAATATTATTTTTCATGTAAAATCCAAAATGGGTGATTCTAATTGGTGAGAAGCCCTCCTCTAAGCAGCGATGCAAAGATTTAGGACCTTTCTCTGTTGTGGTTTTACAGTTTTTTACATTTGGTCTCCAAGGCCACCATTGTTTCTCTGCCTCGAGGAGGCAGAAGGAGAAAGAACGTGAAGAATTCCCTATGTTATACAGGCAAGGCTAAGCTGCACAGCACTTGTGTTGATGTTTCATTGACTAGAATGTAGTTATGGTCACACTTATCTGCAAGGGAGGCCAGGAAATGTAGCATTGTTGTGTGCTGAGGAAGCAGAGGATTTGGTGATAGGTCAGTTGTCTCCGTCATGGTGGCAGGGATGGGAATCAAACCCAGGCATGTCTGATCCCAATCAATTGGCCAATATACTCTCTTTCTGCCTTTATGTCCCCTCTTTTTCCAAAAGCAGCTTAGAAGACATAAAACATCATAAAAATGCAAATTGTTATCCCTATCATCTCCCTGGTATGCACTCAGCCTTCATAGAGCTGAATCCTCTGACCCCACTGTAATATAATTTGTATTAAAAATACTTTTATAGAGCTTGTATCATAAAAGAACAGCTTTAATGATCTGATTCATAAATATTCCATTTGTTTGGCTGCTAATACTCCTTAGTATTAGATCAACATGTGCCATTCACCGAAATTCACTCTTTGGATCTGTCGTCTACTGGGCGTTTCTGTATTTTTCAGGTTCTGTCTGCTGAATACTAAGTTAATTGAATCAACTATATCAAAAATTTCACCTTTTAAAGCCTCTAACTGAAAAATAGCAAACAGCCAATAGTGACTGAATTTTTGATTGTGTAGTTTAGAGGCTTGTAATTCTAGTCTATGACATTTAGATTTGCCCAGAATTAGATTGTCCTTCCACTGAAATTGCTTTTTGAAAAAAAAAAATTTTTAGCTTCAGACTGCATTAGCTTGTTTGAACATGCAAAAATTTCTAAAATATCATGGACAATTTGAGATATCAAATAAGAACATAGCACCCAGTTGTGTGTAGTACTAAATCTCCCTAAATGAGTTATACATAACAAGGCTCTGTAAGAGCGGGTGAATTTTCAGTCATCTGATTCCACTAGCTCTATATCACCTATGATAAGAATCAGGACTATCCAGTATTTCATACTTGGTAAAATGTCTCTTGATTACTATTCAACATAAAAGCAGAGCTTGAGAATATTGAAATTCTCTCCTCTTCTAGTGTGTGACATTTTGGAAAAGGTCACTTCATATGTCACAATATAGCATAACATTCCTCCAAGGAAGAACAGGCTCAAACTTCCATCTAAATGAAGACTGAAAGTGAAAACAAAGATGGGTGATTCTTCAGAGTTAACCCTAGTATCTGTGGCTGGTAGATTTTTAGAAGGAGAAATACAGGTAAGGAAGCATTCAGTCTCAGGGACTCACATGAGGTCAGGAATTATATAGCTATTCCACTCTATGGTAGACCGCTTTCACCCTCATTTTGGTCACTGCTGCTGTACAAGATGTCCTCCTTACCCTGGAATAAGCAGAGGACAATTCAGTGTCAGTTATGCTTGGTCTAAGGAGTTTCCTACCCGCAGTAGGGGATGAGATCGACAGAAACCTGCCACACATAGAACATTTGCCCTTAGAAATATTGAGGGAAAAAAATAGTGTAAGAAAGGCTCCACGATTATTGCCAGATGGGCAGTCTCTATTGATACCAACCACCTTCAATTGTTGCTATTTTTTTAGGGATATTAGAAAGTGGCATAAGTGGAGATCTCCTGGAAGGAGGAATATATCACACCGGCCACCCATCCTGGAGATGCTGGCATACCCTCCTGTACTGGGCACACCTTCACTGTCCACACGCACTGTCATTTCCACACCTTCTAACTGGGCCATGTTGCTGTCCCTGAGGAAAATAGAGAGGAGGTAGGAGGCACTACAGGTTGTTCTCATATCATTGCTAATTCAGAACTTTTCATTGTTTCCCACTTGAAATAATAAAATTCTTGAGTAGCTCCTATTGAGAGGCAACATAATGCCTCTTTTCTACCAGGGTTCATCCTTAGCAAAATCAGGTAGAATGAAAAAATGTGTTCATTGTCCTTCATTCATCATTCCCAGTTTTTTGCCTGGTTTGTAAGACAGATGACCTTCTACTTTCAGTACTGGCTATAGAATTATGTGAACTAAATGCCATAAGAGTCCACTGAAAGGTGTTATTAAGTGGGGCACGAGTACTTGTGGAAAACCTCAGAGACGAGGGTTTGACGCTGAGCTATTTGAGTAGATACAGGGGAGAGGAAAGGGCACCCCAAATCCATTCATTCTATTGGCCATAATCTTGAATGGATGACCAACTGACTGACTCTCAGATGAAAATGGTGAAAAGCTTTATAATGATATCTGCAACTAATGATATCTGCAACTAATATTTAGTCTTTGGAAGCACAACACATTATAACAATCTCATTTTCATGTTTCATAAAGTGTCATTCTTGCCATTATGAAAAAGAAAGCTATTTGTGCCACTGTGAAAATAATGTCTGGTAAAGACTACTGAGCCAAATTCTGATCTCTTTTGTCCCAGTGTTTTATAAAACTAAGGAGATTCAAGTAAGAGCTCCAAATGCAAAGGCTTGACTAAGTTAATTTTTTTTATATTAACGTTTAACAATGATATTCTGATTGTACAACAAAATCATACTAGAAAAAGGAGTGTACTCTAATGTATTTTTAAAAGAGAGAGAGTGTCGGGGGTGAGAGGAAGAGAAATCACTGGTAATTTATCATCATTAGAAATGAGTGCTCATAGAAGACACTATAGTAATCTGCTCAGAACCCTCTGCCATGGCTATGCACCCATGCCTCAGCTATGGAGAATTTGGCTGCAGACAGCTCATAGCTTTGCCCCAAACTGGAAATTGCCCTTAGCTGCAGGGTATTGCTTCACCAAGTTCACACTCTATCTTAGTCCATCAGCGTGCCAGTATGGTTAGGTTCTGGTGAGGGCACTCTTTTAGGTTTCAGGCTGCCAACTTCTTGCTGTGTCTTCACATGGTAGAAGAGGCAAACCAGCTCTCTGGGGGGTCCTTTATAAGGGCAGTGATCCTATTCATGATGTATTCACCCTCATCATCTAATTGCCTCCCAAAGTCTCATCTCCTAATACCATCATCTTTGGAGTTAAAATTTCAACATACAAATTTTGGGGGGACATAAATGTTCAGTCTATTGCACATACCCTGTAGGGGTGGCTCTGGTTAATGGCTGGTTGGTGTAGTTATAAAAGTTCTGGTGTAGTTATAAAAGTTCTGGCTTCAGCCGGGTGTGGTGGCTCACGCCTGTAATCCCAGCACTTTGGGAGGCCGAGATCGGTGAATCACAAGGTCAGGAGATTGAGACCCTCCTGGCTAACATGGTGAAACCTCGTGTCTACTAAAAATAATAAAAAAAAAATTAGCCAGGCATGGTGGTGCGTGTACCTGTAATCCCAGCTACACTGGAGACTGAGGCAGGAGAATTCCTTGAACCCAGGAGGTGGAGGTTGCAGTGAGCCGAGATCTTGCCACTGCACTCCAGCCTGGGTGGTAGAGTGAGATTCTGTCTAAAACAACAACAACAACAACAACAACAACAACAACAACAACAACAACAAAAACAGTTCTGGCTTCATTGTCTAAATTTGGAGAAACTCTGAAGGGCCCTTCCTGTTCTGGAACACCCTGTGGAACTGTCTGAAGCATCCATTGCAACCACATTGCAGCACAGCTTCTCCCCTTGCCCAGTCTTGCTTCCCTCTATTCCATGATGACTAATCCCAGAGATCAATTCCAAAAAATCTCTGTGCAGGCAAAGCCTATCTCTAAGAACAGCATCCTTTATCATTTTGGTATATCTTTCTGTATTAGTCCACTTTCATATTGCTATGAAGAACTGCCTGAGACTGGATAATTTAAAAAGGAAAGAGGTTTAATCGACTCACAGTTCAGCATGGCTGTGGAGGCCTCAGGAAACTTACAATCATGGTGGAAGGCTAAGGGGAAAGCAAGGCACCTTCTTCCCAAGGTGGCAGAAAGGAGAAGTGCTGAGTGAAGGGGGAAGAGCCCCTTATAAAACCATCAGATCTTGTGAGAACTCACTGACTATCACGAGAACAGAATGGGGGAAACCGTCCCCATGATCCCATTACCTCCACCTGGTCTCTCCCTTGACACGTGGGGATTGCGGGGATTATAATTCAAGATGAGATCTGGGTAGGGACACAAAGCCTAAACATCACTTTCCCAGTGTATATTTTGCCAAATTGGGATCACACTCAATATATGCATTTTGTAATCTGTTTCTTTTTATTTATATTTTAAACATTTTAATTTTGTTGATTCGTTTTTAAAGTACACGTTATTTAGTAATTTCATCACATTTCTGTTTTGTTTTTTTTTGAGACGGGGTCTTGCTCTGTCACCCAGGCTGGAGTGCAGTGGCATGATCTCAGCTCACTGCAAGCTCCACCTCCCAGGTTCACGCCATTCTCCTGCCTCAGCCTCCCGAGTAGCTGGGACTACAGGCGATCGCCACCACGCCCAGCTAATTTTTTGTATTTTTAGCAGAGACGGGGTTTCACCATGTTAGCCAGGATGGTCTCGATCTCCTGATCTTGTGATCCGCCCTCCTTGGCCTCCCAAAGTGCTGGGATTACAGGGGTGAGCCACCGCGCCCGGCCAATTTCATCACATTTCAATAAATGGATGTGTCATAATTTATTTAACCACTCTCTAACTCTTCAATATTTATGTTGTTTCCAATTTTTCCATACCCAAAATAATACCATGATGGCCTCAAACAGCTTTATAAATCTTTGACCACTTAAGCTTATTTCATGAGGTTATATCCTCAGAAGAGGAATTACTGAGTCCGAGAATATAAAGCCTGTCAAGAATTTCAACATATGTTGCTAAATTGCTTTTCAGAAATGGTTTCAATATTATGTTTTAATGGATTTATATTTCCACTACTATATAGGATAGTACTGATCTTATCATTTTCTTGACAGAATTGAGTATTTATTTATCCTTAATTCAGTTTGGGCATTGCTCTTTAACACCAACTTGCTGCTTGTGGGTTGAAGTCTAAAATTAGCCATTTCATTAGACGTTACCTTCTCTTCCAAGATTCATGCAAACTTGCTACCTCACTATTCAGTACTTTGATGTAGGCCCATGCTATAAAATCTGTACATCAATGTCATGCTAAGCACTTCCCCTTACTTTGAATTAGAGTTATTTTTGGAGACTCCGATTATTAATTTCTTTTTTTAAACTTACTGAATTAGAAAAAACATGATGACTAATTTCTTTTTTTTCATATGCTTAAATTCAGGCCCAGGTTACTCATTTCTCGATCTTATTAATCTCTATATTTTCCCTAGCACCAAATATGAGTCCTTGTATATAACAAGTATGCAATAAAAGTATTTTGTAACATAATTCATTGTCTGTGGTCGTTCATCAGCATGTAAACTATGCAGTTTTTCACTTGGTGGGGCAAAGAATCAGTGCAAATCACTGAAGTATCCAGTTAACTACTCATCTTCCTCCATTATAGATGCAATAGTCTTCTACAGAGCAACTGTGAACCAATTTGATGAACAAATCCTTTGATGCTAATGTATTTTGTTTTGTAATTTTGGTGCTGAGATCAGTTGACTCTTAGTGCTTAAAGAGTTCAAAGCAGAAGTCACAAAGAATATGATTTTCTCATTTACTTTTTAAAATTAATATATGTATTTCTATAAATATATGTTCCTAAAGCTATAGTCTTAGAAATTAACAGTAATTAATATATTAACATAGCAAAGTAAATATCTAATGACATTTGTTTGACAATGAAGTAAAATCTACTTTGGGCAACAGAAGTCGGTGGTTATTGTTAATAATTGATCTGAATAAGATTAATGATTTAACCAAATTGTGGTGACTGTTTTGTTCAGTCCACATGGAACTGTATTTTAAGTAGCTTAGACCAAATTCTCCCCCTATGCATTTCTATTCAAGGGGAAAATCCAAAAATCTGTTCTGTTTTAGAGAACATAAAATTGCAATTTCCCACTCTGACTCAGATCTCCCGTTTCTATTCACTTACTGAGTTCTTTATAGAAAATACATGTTGGCTAAAATCAATGAAGCAACTCTAAAACTCCTAAACAATACGCTGGTACAAAATAATTAGCTTGGGAGCTCTAATGTTTCAGTGGGTAAGCAGGCCAATTTTCTCATCCAATACTCAAAAACTCTAAAATGTTGGGTAGTAGGCATTCATTTTTGAAAGGCAGTGTTGAATCTAGGATATTTTTATTTACAAGTTTACCAGTGGTTATATGGCAGTAAAATTCATTTATAGAGAAAGGATTTTCTATTCCCTCCAGTTCACAACGTAAAACTGCAGTGGGCCATTTTGTGATAAATTTAAGATGGGTAGGAGTTTAAGAGCAAGGCGAAAGTGAGGAAACTCAAGGATAGCAATCATAACCATTTTCTCAAAGTTACTGCCATGAGTCTGCAAGCACCAAGATTAAATGCCTCTGCTATAAACCCCTCAAGGCTCTCTTCCTTGATTTCCATGCAAATAGAAACAGGCAAGAGAGAAATGAGTTGCCTTCAATAATCAAAACAAATCAATGTGCTAATGAGAGAAAGGGTAAAAAACATAGATAGCATCTCCATCCCAGGAAGGTAAATGGATGTCATCATAAAATCAAAATACGATTGCACTTTATTAATCTAGAGCCATCAGTAAAAATCTTCCAATAGTAGCTACCTGCAATTTAGTAAGATAAGTCTTAATGCTTCCACCTCTTTCAAAGAGAGGTAGAGAGCAAATCCAAGATTGTATGATGAACGCTCATATATTTCTTCACATTGGTGAGATCTAAAAAGGATACTTAAAATGAGAATGTGACATGATTATAGAATGTAAATTGACTTACTGCTAGGATTTGCAAGTAGGTAAAAGCTTGTACAGGCATCAGTACAAACCAATGTAGTGTCTTATGAGGGATATGCCTAACCACAAAATAGTGGATTAAAAGGTTGAACTATTTCTTAAAGCTCTGGCAATTAAGGAATAGCTGCTGGCTCACATGATGTATTCATGATATTACTCAAACACATGGTAAATACAACTTGTTATCTTAAAACATGACTAAATCTATTCAAAATATACTGTGTCAGAGTATATAAACAAACTTGGGTTAGTTGAAATTAGTGGGTAATCATGGCTAAATTATCAACACTATGCCAAATTTGGTTCCAGTTGACTATTACACATTCTGAACCTAACATATTCTGAATTTATGGACTTTTGCACTACAGGTGATTTTCTTTTTCATTTCTTTTTCTCTCTCTCTTTTGTGTGTGTGTGTGTGTGTGTGTGTGTGTAGTTTTGCTATTATCACCCAGGCTGGAGTGCAATGGTGTGATCTCAGCTCACTGCCACCTCCGCTGTGGTGAATCAAGCAATTCTCCTGCCTCAACCTCCCCAGTAGCTGGGATTACAGGTGTCCGCCACCATGTCCAGCTAATGTTTGTATTTTTAGTAGAGACGGGGTTTCACCATGTTGTCCAGGCTGGTCTCGAACTCCTGACCTCAGGTGATCCACCCACCTAAGCCTCCCAAAGTCCTGGGATTACAGGCGTGAGCCACTGTGCCTGGCCCAGGTGATTTTTAAATACTATTACTGCTTTTTTGTTTGTTTGTGTCAGTTAATGTGTTTTTAAATGTAGGGTAGAACCAAATAGAAATAGGAATATTTTTGGGAAAAAAAATCTCTCTTTACTCTTAACCTACCAAATTTGCAATAAGTATCCACCATTTGCCTGGGAAGAGAGGGAAAAATTATAGAGGCAGAGAAACGTCTAATTTACCATCAATGTTTAGAGAGAAAGCATTTGGATTGCTAAAAAAAAAATTTAGATTAAATTATGTTAGATACAACAATCACTGAGGATTGACCTTTTAAGAAATCTGGTAAGTGTGCTTCTCTAAAACATCAGAATTTTCACTCTGACTGCTAGCCAAAATTTAGCTTTGTAATTCCTTTGTCTAAATGTTTCTAAACTCTGCATTACACACACACTTAAGCATACGCCTTCCAGGAAACCAGAACAGAGATTGGAGAGGAGAGACTTAAATGTGGGGAGATGTCTTTCGGAGCCCTCAATTGTCAGTTGAAAACATTCTACTATACCTCCAGGGAGACCTGGAAAGTTGGAGGCATTCATGACTTGGAATTTGATAGAATAGATGTTGTGGTAGGCAGGATAATTACCCCCACCCCCAAAGTTTTCCATGTCCCAATCTTTGGAACCTGTAAATATGTTCGGTTACATGGCAAAGGAAAATTAAAGTTGCAAATGAATTAAAGTTGCTAATCAGCTGACCTTAGATAGGGAGATCATCCTAGATTATCCAGGTAGGTCCAATGGAATCACAAGTGTTCTTAAATGCAGAAGAGGGAGGCAGAGGGGCCAGAGTCAGACGAGGAGGCGTAATAAAAAAGTGAGGTCAGAGTAATGCAATGTGCAAGATGCTAAACCCTCATTGCTCACCTTGAAGATAGAGGGAAGGGACCATGAGACAAAGAGTAAAGGCAGCCTCTAGAAGCTAGAAAATGCAAGAAAACAGATGCTCCACCAAAGCCTCTGGAAAGGAATGCAGCCCTGCTGATGCACTATTTTAGCCCAGTGAGAGCTATGTCAGACTTGCGACAAACAAAATGGCAAGATAACAAATTTATATTAAGTCACTAAATTTGTGCTAACTTGTTATGGCAGCAATAGGAAAGTAAAATGAACAGATTGGGGTGCTGCTGGAACACATGTCTACAAATGCCAAAGTGGCTTTGGAACGGGGCAGCAGGAAGAGTCTGGAAAAATTTTGAGGATGATAGAAAATGCCTAGATTGTCTTAAACAAACTAAATATGAGTCTATATGTTAATGACTGTGCTAGTGAGGGTGTGGAAGGAAGAGAGGCACATGTTACTGAAAACTGGAAGGAAAGGGATTCTTGTATAGTGGTGGAAAACTTATCAGGATTGTGTCCTACAGGTGTGTGGAAAGCAGAATTTATAAAAGATGAAATTGGACATTTGGCTGAGGAAATTCCAAATGGTGCATTAAAGGTGTGGCCTTGTGACTTCTGCAGCCTCCAGTAAAATGCAAGAGGACCCCGGTGTATATTGTTCTCCTCCCTGTTTCCATATGTTCTCATTGTTCAGCTCCCACTTATAAGTGAGAACATATAGTCCTGCATTAGTTTGCTGAGGATAATGGCTTCCATCTCCATCCATGTCCCTGCAAAGGACATGATCTCATTCCTTTTTATGGTTGCATAGTATTCCATGGTGTATATGTACCATATTTTCTTTATCCAGTCTATCATTGATGGGCATTTGGGTTGTTGGGGGGTTAGGTGGGGGAAGGAGAGCATTAGGAAAAATAGCTAATGCATGCTGGGCTTAATACCTAGGTGATGGGTTGATAGGTGCAGCAAACCATCATGGCAGACGTTTACCTATGTAACAAACCTGCACATCCTGCACATGTACCCCAGAACTTAAAATAAAAATAAAAATTAAAAAAAGAGGAAAAAAGTACACTGAGAAACCAGGATTGATGTTCATGAAATTCTCAGCCTATTCATATTGCAAAAAGTCAGAATGTTCACTTACAAAAAAGCTATTTGAAGAGATTAAATGTATGACTTACTTATCTCCTCAGGCATCTTAGCAGAAGTTAAAAACAGAGATGGGATTATCTAGGAAAGATCTGTAGAGAAGCCTCTCATCTAATGAAGTGAATCTCTGTGATATACATAGGAAGCCCACAAGTTTCTTAAGGATTTTCTATCGGTAGAAACACAGCTTAGACTTAAAAATACAGACAGTACATAAAATAAAAGTGGATGGCCGAGAGAGAAGGAAGAGGCAATTCAGTAGCTTGACAATAAACAAGCCAGAAACATTGGAGCAGATGTTAGTTTAAAGTAGAATTCACCCAGAGAAGTCCTTTTATTTCTTCCTGAAAGAATTGAAAGAATTAAAGACTCTTGGAAGTAGAAAGTACTAGTAGGTAATAAGAATTCAGAGCTATTCACAAAAACTTAAGACACTGGTGGGGACAAAGTAAAAAAGTAATGTTTGGATGATTACATATTGATGCTATTTAATATAATAGCAGTTATATAACAATTCCTTTGGTAAGATGTATATAAAAGCTTTTAGTTTGACTAGTATTACAACACTTTTTGTTAAAACAGACCATTCGAAGATGGGACTCTTCTGTAATCAGTCCAATATATGACTATCCAAAGTCACAAGAATATGTACAGATTGACCAAAGTTGTGATGACTTTATATTGCTAAATCCTTCAATTAATAGAGAGACAGTCTTGATTTGAAAGAACAGTGGAGGGCAATACTTTCAAATAGTTCTGCTTATTTAACCTTTCCCGCTTTACCTCTTAAATTCCTAATATAAAAACAGCTAACATTTGTGAAAGATTTATTATATTCCAGGTTCCATGCCTTATGCCACTTAAATAAATTATTTCTGACATTTCCACAAGACACAATAAGGGAGGTATCTCTACCATCCCTATTTCTCAGATGAGGAGATTGAAGCACAAAGAATTGAACTAATTTGCCCAAGTAGTAGGTTGAAAATTAGGGATTCAGATTCAGCTCCACAGGACTCCAGAAACACAGCTGTTAGTCACAACATTATCCCTTTTAAGTATCTGAAAATTAACAGCTCGTATTCAAAGCTCTCTGATAAAATTGAAGAGGAGCATGCCATTCTAAAGCACAGGTTCTTCAATATAGTAAATAGGTATAGAATCTTCATTATAATCCTCCTGTCTGTGTTTAGGGAGATAAAAAAGAATGCAATAGAAAATGCCCTCTCTATGTTGAGATAATAGCCCATGCACCTCCAGAAAGGAAGAGCCATCATCACTAATATTGATTACGTACATATCATGACCCCAATACTGGGCCAAGTGCCTTCCATACTTTGTCTTGTTTAATCCTCACACTTGAGAGAGCCTGTTTTGCAAGAGGAAGAAACTGAGGCACAGAACGCTTACCAGTTGGCTTGAGGCCCCACAGCTGGTGACTGGTTCTGAGCCAAGGCTCTAGAGTCATCCTGAGACCACTGTGATTTCCAGCTTAGGTGTAACTATTTCTTTCTTTCTTTTTCTTTTTTTTTTTTGCATAGGAAAAAATATGCCAAGTTAAATAACCTATTTATTTTGGGTTCTATTTAAATAAATGTTGGGTGGGATTTGGGAGGGAAAAAATGCAGTTGCACAGCATGGAGAGGGCATGAATGCTTTGTGCCTGAAATATCCTCTGGCAGCTCAAGACAAGTTCTAGATTGTTCCTGATGGGCTATCACCTCATTCTATCCCAGTGTTGAATACGCCATTCACATTGTTGAATGTTTTCCTCACCTCATTTGTATGAACCACCTGAAAATCCGGGACAGTTTTCCCCTCATCCATTTTCAACACATTAGTATTGCTGTCTCCCCAGTCTGCTATCTCAAACTGCAGCTGGCGCCTCGGGTCTGTGTGGGCTCCTGAGTCATAAAGAGTGGGTACTTAGCAACTAGATCTGATAAGCACAGGATGTTCTATCTTTAATGGATGATTTACAGTTTGAGTTTGGCCTTCTGTATCATTTGTTAACATTTTAGACTGTAAACTGATCTAAAAACAGTCTAGATTGGGGAATAGACAGGAAATCATCTCTAATCAAGGTCTAACTGACAAATATTGTGGTCTGAAATTTACCCTAACATTTTAGTATGTTTTTTTCCCCCTTTTTAGCACTGATAGTAACTTAAGCTGTATAATAACAAATTTTAGAGGTTGACTCAATATTTCCCTGGTCTAATTTTCTTCTTCATGTTGAGGGAAAAAAGAAATGAGTTGTTGCTAAGAAATACTAATAGCTACCAACTGGTTTCCTGATGCTTGAGCAAGCTTAGAAACCTGTCAATAGTACATTACGAATTAAAGCCAGTTCAGATAATTTCACAGCCACATCAATCATTGAATATTATTGAAATTTAAAAAATTTGATTCTAACAAAATAATTCTAACTACAGAAAATTCACACCTCTACATTGATAATACCAAAAACTTGGCAGCCACCAAGCTATCCAATCACAGGTTAATCACTGAGTAAACTGTGTCTATCTTCTTAATTAAATCCTACAAATACTTTGAAAATGATGTTTCAAAGAATATATAATAAAAATGTTTATGATATAAGGTTGAGTTAAAGAAGCAAAACAAAACTGAATACATAAAATAATTGTTATTAGAAAAATGCGTGAACACGTTGATTGGGGGCAAGTCAGACTGCTTTAAGTAAGTGTGTTTTGGTGATGGAGGTTATAGGAAATTAACCCCTTCCCCACTCCATCTATTATTTCTTTTGACAATGTATTTCCAAATGCTCTTTAATAAGCCAGTACTGTTTTTGTAATGAGAATTATTTCTTGAGTAGCAACATCACTGTGATCCCAAGGCTAAATCCCAATGCTAGCTAGGTATGTATTAATTTTCTCTGAAAGTCTTGGGTTTAATCAAAGGCCACAGTCCCAGAGAGAAGAGGAATCTCTTGGATTGAGGATATAGGATTAACTCTTCTTCCTTAGCAGAGTCTCTAAATAAGAATCAAAAATTTATTTCCAACATAGGAAAAAAGAACACATTGGGCACATGATTATCAGATCAATTTAGTTGTGTTCTGTCAGATGAAAACTAAAAATGTAGATGAGTTTTGGTGGGTATTGCAATATCTTTAAAATAATTACTCAAAGTTTGCCAAACATTTCTGCAGAAAGGTAGGCCCTGTTCTAAGGGTGATGTGGGGACACTTGAGTCATCTGTCATCTTGAAAGCCCAATACTGGCTGATCTTGATAGTAAGCAGATGAGCGGTTATTGTTACCATAATTGGATTTTGTTAGGATGGGAGACAGAAATAGAGATGAATCTATTTTCTTCTCTTAGAGATTTGACATTTTAAAATATATCCCTGCCAGTGGAGAATTTGGTGAAGACTGCTCTTTTATAGTGGAACTCTTAAAGAAAAACATGTTGTGTGATGATTCATGTGAGGATGGCAGCCTATTTAAATGAGGACAAGGTATTATTTTAATGCTGAAAGGGGCCTAGGAGTATCTGACACTTCAGAGGAAAAGCATTTGCATTTGTAAATTAAGTTGATTGAACCATCATTGAAAAATGGAAGGCAGCATACAGAGAGTGTGGCCAACTTTGGAATTAAACAAAGCTGGGTTTGAATCCTTTATCCAATGCATATTGTCCATATGCAAATAAATCCGAATATATTGCACCTCTTTGAGCCTCAATTTGTTTATAGAAAATAAATGACAATAACAAAAATAAAAATGACCAGGCACCATGTCAAACACTTTATGTTATCTCATTTAATTCTTACATTGAATGCAGGAGGAAAGTACCATTATGAAGAAATAAAACTATGTATGTATATAAAACATCTGGCACATTCTAGAGCACATACAGATGGGCACATTAAGTTTAACCCCTTTCCCTTAACAGTAAGATTCACAGTCCTGGACCACAACCTACTAAATCATGAATAGTGAGTGGTTAGTCAGAGTGCATAGCTTTTGCTGTTTTTTACACATTTGGACATGCATGGATAATTTCAGCTTACTAGAAGCAGATCCTGAGACAAGGATTTAAGTGCAAGCTTATTTGAGGAGTGCAGAAGTGAGAGAGGGAAAGGAGAAAAGTCAATAGAGGGTGACTTGATAAGTGGGTCACTGCTTTGGACATTTGGGGCTCAGTCCCACTGGGGATCTTCTATGAGACTGTGTAGAAAATAACTCAAAATTTATTTTCAGGAGACAACAGAGCTAGAAAACTCGTCACTGCTTGAGGGGCACCCCTGGGGCATTAATTTCTCTTGCTTCTGTCTACTCCGTGTTCATTTTGGCCGAGCAAGATCCTACACCCAGAAAGGGACCTATCAGGTAACCTATGAGGTGAACAGAGGGGACGCTGACAGCTTCTGCTATCACTACACAGCACCGTTAGTTTTTTTTTTTTTTTTTTTCTGAGACGGAGTCTTGCTCTGTAGCCCAGGCTGGAGTGCAGTGGCCGATCTTGGCTCACTGTAAGCTCCGCCTCCCGGGTTCACGCTATTCTCCTGCCTCAGCTTCCCAAGTAGCTGGGACTACAGGTGCCTGCCACCATGCCCAGCTATTTTTTTTGTATTTTTAGTAGAGACAGGGTTTCACCATGTTAGCCAGGATGGTCTCGATCTCCTGACCCTGTGATCCGCCCACCTCGGCCTCCCAAAGTGCTGGGATTACAGGCGTGCGCCACTGTGCCCGGCCAACACACAGCACCTTTAGTAACAACGGAATGTCAAGTTTACTCTGGAAAGAAAGGGTCACCAAATTGCAATAATTGTAACTTCCTTCATTTGAGAAGCTCCTGTTCCTGAACGTTTGTGCCTTGCCTAGACTCAGCAGAAATCACACCATGTCTTTGCATATACATGAGCTATAGACACACAAAGGGACCATTTAACAGATTATTTGAGTTGTTCAAACAAACAAATAAAACCTGTTGCTACTTGTCCCCAGCTGTGCACTCCAGGCAAGGACACAACTGTGACATATTAGGCATGGTTGTCACCAAGAAGAGAACATCAGCAGAGAGATGGTGGAAGGGAAGGAGAAAGGAATTTACAGTGTAGGACCCCAAAAACAAATGGAACTCAGGGACCTGGAAGAACTCAGAGCAGACTGTCCTGCAATAGCATAACCAGCAAGTGACAAATTCACTTTCCAAGTAATGCAATGGCATAGAGGCAGTAAGTGTTTGGAACTAGGCAGTGAACATGCTGAAAACGATGACTCTTGAAATCTGACCAAACCCTGTGCTATGTCTCAAGGTGATTTGCCGGGACTTACCCCAGCAAGTGGTTCACACATGATATCTACTATGCTGGTCTTCTGGCAAACTGGGCAAAGAGCAGGCCCAGTGTAGGGGATTGAGAAGGAGTTACTAGAGCAACTGAGGGAGAGACACAGGTCCTGGAGAGCAAGCATGGAGATGGGAGGGATTCGGCAGTCCAATTCATTCAACAAGTCTCCAAAAAAGGAAGAAATCATTGGCTCTGCTTTTCACGAGCTCATGTTTTAGGAGGAGAGAGGGATGTGCAAGTCAACAATTCAAATCTCTTCTGGTAAATACAGAATATAGCCACGATACAGGTTAAAAGGGAGGATGCTTTGGGATGACAGAGGAAGCACAGTTAGTTAGGGTCACGGGAGGTTAGATAACACACCCTGTATTTGCTAATGCCTTTTGGAGTTTGGAAGGAGATTCAGCATGAATATTTAGTCTGGGTATGTGGGATGGATGGGTCAACCTGGAAACAGAAAGGGTATCAAATGTAAGCTGCTATATCAAATATTCTTTCCCTATAGAGAAAGAGAAAACAAGGGCAGGGAAAGTGGGGCACCAGCCCACTGGCAAGCAAAGTTAAATAAGCCAACATGTAGTACCACATCCTGTGGATGCAAATTTACTCTTTAGTAATAAAATTTCTTTATCCTAGCAACTGGTAGTATGTTTCAAAAATTTTATGGACATTTTCTAAGAAAAGAAGGAGTTGGTTTCGCTCATTATTGATTTTTTTCATCTTTAATGTATTTGCACGAGCTCATCAAAACTTTAGAGCTACTGGCATAGCACCGCTCTGTGACCTGACCTAGGGATGTTGTCTCAAGAAGGGAAGGGATGTTTGAGAGGGACGTTTGAGAGAGACATTCCTCCCTATCTTGAGAAAGCCTGATGTGTGTGTGTGTGTATGTATGTGTGTGTGTTTGCATGTGGCAGCTGAGGAGACGTCCTATTAATCTCTCTTTCATTGAAAACCTTGTCTCCTCTCTAAAGGGCACTCTGAGAACACTTGCCTTTGTTCAGCCAAGCCCATTTTCCCTTATCAGAGAGATATAAGGGAAGGTCTTTGCTGTACACAGGAGGGACACTTCGGCACCCACTTTTATAAACTGCATCATCTAATAGATGTTGGAAGTGCATTCCACTCAGCTGGCTGCGGTATCAGGACTTGGTTTCTTGGACAATGATCACACACATCCAATGTCAGGAAACCAGAAAACCACCTGGCTACATCTTGAGTACAATCTGATGCTATCACCCATGGCCTGGAACAAACACAGCTATGCCTAACGCCCCTTGGATTCTGGGTGGAGGTGTGAAACGTCCTCCTGCCAGCTTCTTGGCACTGGGAGACAGAACATCCTGGGGATCTATGATTGTCCATTAGAAAGAGCTGAGAAGAGGCTAGAACAGAGAGAGAGAGCTGACAATAGTAACTAAAGGATAAGAATAAAACCAATTTGATAAGTTTCATTCTAAGGTAATTCTTCCCGAGTCAATTTAGACATGTATTTGGCGATACTTTATTATTAGACACTGTGCTCTAGGATGCCCTAAATATGGATTTGGATAAAACAATGCTTGTAAACATTTAATTGTTTTGCATTTGTTTTAATATATTAAATACAAAAAAAATCAATAATGAGTGAAGCCAACTCTTTCCTTCCCTGGAAAATGTTCAAAAAAATTGGAAGTATACTATTAGTGACCAGAATAAAGGAATTCTATTTTTAAAACAGTGGAATATATATAAACAGGCACTAAGAAAGCCTAGAGAAATATCTGAACGCAGCTGAACTCACTTGGAGACCCCAAGTGAATAAAGAAGGCCAAAATTAAGTAGATTAGTGGATGAACACTCCTAAACTGTGTTTCTCAAATTTAGTGTGCATATGAACAACCGGGCATCTTGTTAAACGTATTGCTGGTTCAGTAGCTCTTAGGTAGGGCACAAGAATCTGCATTTCTAACATGGTCAATTTGTTTTTCTTTTTCTTTTTTTTTTTGAGACGGAGTCTTGCTCTGTTGCCTTAGCTGGAGTGCAATGGTGTGATCTCGGCTTACTGCAACCTCTGCCTCCCAGGTTCAAGTGATTCTCCCACCTCAGCCTCCCAAGTAAGTGGGATTACAGGCACCCACCATCATGCCTGGCTATTTTTTTTTTTTTTTTTTTTGTAGTTTTGCAGAGACGAGATTTCACCATATAGGCCAGGCTGGTCTTGAACTCCTGACCTCATGTGATTCACCTGCTTTGGCCTCCCAAAGTGCTGGGATTACAGGCATGAGCCACCACACCCTGCCAACATAGTCGATTTCTAATAGGCAGATGCTTACTGTTTGGACAGTTACACTTCGAGTAGCAAGGGTCTGAAGTGATAACTGGTTTATGACTCTACGTCATGGGCCTCCAGTTACTGTGCCACTCTAAAAATATGACTTTCTGCATATTCGTCTGTTAAAGATAAAGAACTTTGACATCATCCTACTATGAGGAATCTCTGCAAGCAGAAAATCAATAGTAGAAAGTAAATCTACAAGACCTGTGACTATCCAAGTTTTACACTTAGTAACTGTGTGACCCTGAATGAGTTATTTAACCTGCTTCACACTCAGTTTCCTCAGTTGTAAAATGCATAGAACAATCTCTGTATTGCTATATCTAGAGGTAGTTTCTTTTTTTTTTTTTCATTATACTTTAAGTTCTAGGGTACATGCGCACAACGTGCAGGTTTGTTACATATGTATACATGTGCTATGTTGGTGTGCTGCATCCATTAACTCGTCATTGACATTAGGTATATCTCCTAATGCTATCCCTCCCTCCTTCCCCTACCCCACGACAGGCCCCAGTGTGTGATGTTCCCCTTCCTGTGTCCAAGTGTTCTCATGGTTCAATTCCCACCTATGAGTGAGAACATACAGTGTTTGGTTTTTTGTCCTTGTGATAGTTTGCTGAGAATGATGGTTTCCAGCTTCATCCATGTCCCTACAAAGGACATGAACTCATCCTTTTTTATGGCTGCATAGTATTCCATGGTGTATATGTGCCACATTTTCTTAATCCAGTCTATCATTGATGGACATTTGGGTTGGTTCCAAGTCTTTGCTATTGTTAATAGTGCCACAATAAACATACGTGTGCATGTGTCTTTATAGCAGCATGATTTATAATCCTTTGGGTATATACCCAGTAATGGGATGGCTGGGTCAAATGGTATTCCTAGTTCTAGATCCTTGAGGAATTACCACACTGTCTTCCACGATGGTTGAACTAGTTTACAGTCCCACCAACAGTGTAAAAGTGTTCCTATTTCTCTACATCCTTTCCAGCACCTGTTGTTCCCTGACTTTTTAATGATCACCATCCTAACTGGTGTGAGATGTTATCTCATTGTGGTTTTGATTTGCATTTCTCTGATGGCCAGAGGTAGTTTCTAAGATCAAATGACATGGCTAACATTAATTGAGTGCTTAGTATTTGTCAAAAACTGTGATAAACCCTTTAAATGTATTAGCTCATTTAATATTTGTAACAATTCAACAAAGTAAGAACTATTATTATCAGAGCCTCTCCAAGGGTATGTGGGGCTCCTGGAAAATATTTCCAATTTGGTTTAAAGCTGTATTACAAAGTTCATGAAGAATGTGAAGAATACAGTTGAAGATTTAGAATTAGGAGTAGAGAATAGGAACGTACATATAGTTATTGCCCAATCGGACAATGTGAGGGTTCTTTGTAGTGTTCAGGCAGGTCCAGGAATCATCTCTTCATGTCCTTTGTTATCAAACGTACTACTCTTGGCAACTTAATATCTCCCACCACAGGAAAAAAATGGCAATGTGATGTGCATTAGTTTTCCAAGCTACATAAAAAATTACTACAAAGTGGCTTAAAACAACACCCATGTATTAGCTCACAGTTCTCTAGGGCAGAAGTCTAGGCAAGGCATAGCTGGGTTCCCTGCCTGGGTCTCACAGGCTGCAATCAGGATGTTGACTGTGGTATAAAAGGTTAGTGCAAAAGTAATTGCGGTTCTTTCCATTACTTTCAATGGTTTTTGCTACTAATTTCAATAGCAAAAACCACAATTACTTTTGCACCGACCTAATTATGTTAGTCCGTGTTCACACTGCTGATAGACATATCCAAGGCCGGGTCATTTATAAAGAAAAGGAGGTTTAATGGACTCACAGTTCCATGTGGCTGGGGAGGTCTCACAATCATGGCAGAAGGCAAAAGGCACACATGGCAGCAGGCAAGAGAGAACTTGCGTAGGGAAACTCCTCCTTATAAAACCATCAGATCTTGTGAGACTTATTCACTATCACGAGAACAGCATGGGAAAGACCTGCCCCCATGATTCTATTACCTCCCACCGGGTCCCTCCCACAACATGTGGGAATTATGGGAGCTACAATTCAAGATGAGATTTGACTGGGAAAACAACCAAACCATATCACTAATATATTCCTTTCTGGAGGCTGTGGGGACAAATCTGCTTCCAAGAACCTTCAAGTTGTTATGAGGATCACTCCAAAATAGTATTTTTATGTGGCTGCCGGACTGAGGTCTTCAGTTCGATGCTGGCTGTCAGGCAGGGGTTGCTTATAGCTCCTAGAGGCCACCCATTTATTGCTACATCGCTCCTTTCCATAAGCTGTCTCATACTTCAGATTTCTTTTGTTAGGAAGAACTCAGACTTTTAAGGACGTATCTGGTGAGATCTGGTCCACTCAAGATAATCTCTCTTTCTTAAAGTCAAACGTGCCACATAATATCAACTAATCACAGGAGTAAAATAGATCATTTCCACAGTCTCAGTGGAACAGGAATCTTGGGGGGCCATCTCAGAATTCTGCCTGCAAAACCATAGCTCTTTGGAACCATTTGTATTAAAACAATAGAGACCTTCTTACCACTATACTTTCCTAATGTCATTTATTTAATGCTGATTATATAATCATTTATAACCATGCATTGTCCATGTGCTACCCAAGAATAGTTATTTGCAGTGGCTCTCTAAAAGCTTATCATTATTTGTTGATGATTACAAATACGAGTCTTACTCAGAATATGCAGAAAAATAATGTGAATAATAATTCATTTTCTGGTTATGTTCATTTAACACTCAGAGTTTTGTAGCATAAATGTGCAAAACACATTTTCCAACTATATCTCCTCTTGAAATCTTTAGGTTGTAATCAATGCATTCCTAGACTGCGAACTCTTTCAATGTTGACTGCAGCTCTGCCATCTACATAACCTGAGGAAAGGAAGAGGACTATGCGCAGACTGACAAGAGCAGTCCCATTTGTATTAATACAAGGAATGGTCAGTCCTCATCTGGAATGACTTAGGACTGATAGATGTGCATTTACACCACTACATTGATTGGAGGAAAGAAAGGACATTGATTGGAAGGACCCACTGGCATTGCGGAGGAATGGCCTTACAAAATGAGATGGTCATGACCATCCCTGGAGAATCTGACATATGGAGTGAAGACTGTAGAGAGGATGTGCTGACTGCTCTAAGTGTCATCAATGAGGGTACACAGAATAAAAGAATGTCTGCCACTAGCACTACCCCTTGGGTGCTATAGACCAAAGGTGGCATCATGACTAGAATCCAAATGGCAAGAGCCAATTAATATGCCCACACACAGAACTTAAAACCAAGGGTTGGCAATAGACCATGCACAGTTCAGAGCCCTTAACTTGTACTCTGTTGGAGGTCAGTGAGAGTTGCCCTGAGACACCATGAGACTGGTGACCCAGTATCATGGGATCCCATGAAATAAATACTGCTCAGGTCAGCAAAAGCAATCTCCATGCCAGGCCATACTTCTGGAAATGGAGGCCCAGATGACCTCATAGGTGAAACTCCTAGAGCTCTGCATTGTATCTGGTCAACCCCATATGCATGGTAGAGGGCTTGAGAGCTCTCTTACGGGGACAAATGGAGCTTCTGGGTTATATGGATCCTGGTCTAGATTTGGGGTCCCCTGCCTGGATAGCACTGCCAGCCCTGGCCAGTTGTAGGTACTGGAAGGGTACATAAAAATTTTTAAGGAACCCTTTTCCTTCCTACCCTCCACAAGGCAGTACCCAAGGCAGGGGCTTTACCTGCTTGCATCTAATGGTGGTACTACTTATTATCATTCTTGTTTTACAGATGAGCAAACTGAGATAGGAAGAAATTAAGTAATTTTTCCAAAGTTAAACTACTAGTAAGTAGCAAGATATACAATCATAGAATCTAGTTCCTGTACTCATAACCAATATACTACATGGTCTCTGAAGTACTGTAGTATATATGAAAGAACTTTTTGAGAATGAAAAATGTTATTTCTCAAATTTCATAAAATACAGAAGTGCTTCAAAAAATGCATTCTAGTTATAAACGTAAAGAGCTGTGAAGGCCAATTATTACATATAAAAATACCATGAACCCCCACCAGTCATTTAACCAATTAAAAATAAACACTGCAGGAAATATATGGGGAGAAAGATGTAGTAGGAAGAGAGTTCTGGCAGCAAAAACCATGAGCTTTCATGCAAGGCAGGATACTCTGCTTTACTTATGGCTGAGACCTTGATCAAGAAGACTTAGAATAAGACTGAAGACTGTGATTTACATGGTCAGAAAAGAGCTACAGAGCAGCTGGATATTGATATCATTCTTCTTGCTTAATGAGGGAGACGAAGAATAAGTTAGAGGTTTTTAGAAACACATCACAAAGGAAACTTCCATGGTAGAATCTGGCCTGAACTCAGCAACAGACCGACTGTGTCAATTGATCTAGAGGCAGTTTCATGAAGTGTCAGAGTAGCAGCAACAATTTGCTCCTAACATTAGAGACCTCATTCGTATGCTTAAAAGAGCTACTGATGAAGAAGTTGTGATTCCGATAGTGATGGAGAAACTAAATCTCACATAAATAAAAATTATAAGCCTTTGAAAAAAATATTTAAAAACTTTTTGAAGGCACTAAAAACATAAATGAAGTTAAAGGGAATATGAGCAGTAAAAGGAAGGAAATGCATAGAATAAGTTCTACATTTATAACACTTTTCCATAAAGGCTCTTTCCAGTCTACATAATGGGGATGGCTAAAATTTATATACAAATCTACAGTCTTATTGGCTTGAGGTATCAGAGAACGCAATTTGGGCTGTCAGAAAGGGTGAAATTGAGAAAGAAGTCCTGAAAAGGGAGAAACAAAGGGAAAAATCACAAATTTGCACATAAACTTTTCTCAAATATCTGTCTGCTACAAAAGCTACATGTGTGCAAAGAAGACGACAAGGAGCACAGCAAAAAAGCACTGATTGGATGACTTCAAAAGCTAAGCAGACATTTTAGCTAGTGTCCACCACAAGGATTATGGAGTTTGGAGTTTGAATGCTGACAAGGTAGAAGGCCTTAAGTGTAAAGATTATGGTTCTAGGATTGGGATTAAGGGGAACATTAAAATAGATCCTGACATAGTTTGGATCTGTGTCCATGTTGAATTGTAATCCCCAGTGTTGCAGGTGGGGCCTGGTGGGAGGTGATTGGATTATGGGGGTGGATTTCTCTGTTGGTGCTGTTCTTGTGATAGTGAGTGAGTGAGCTACCATAGTAGCTTCATTGCTTATTGTGTTTTATCCTGATTCTCACATCTGACTCTAGCCCTCTCATGTTTTCACAGAACGTGCAACATGGCACCTCCTATTGCCATGAAAGTAAGAGCATGTCAGTTTAAAATAATCATTTTATCCCCAGAGTGAGCATAGTGCCTGGCTTCTAATAGTTATTCAATAAATTATCTCAAAACAATTAAATGAATGAGTGTTTTGCCCTAGATGTGTCTAATCACTGCTCCCATACATTCTATTCTATGTCTATTGCCTAGCCTACATTCCCTCTACTTCTTTACACCTTATTCATCCTTTATAGCCAGACTCAAGTGTTAACCCCTCTGTGAGTTTTTCCCAGATGATAATTCTGGTCTCTCCCTTCTCTGAACATATATTTAACTTTCAGTGAGATCATTACTCATTACAGAGGTAGGAGGCAGGGCTGGACTCTGGAGGCGGGGCTTGGGCACTGGACCAGATTAAAGACTAACTGAAACAGGGAAGAGGCAAAAGTGCCTCTTCATAAGACACACCCACCAATGCCATGTCAGTTTGCTGTTGCCATGGCAAAACCCAAAATTTATTGCTCCTTTATCATGGTAATGGCCTGATGATCTGAAAGTTACCACCCTTTTTCTAGAAATATCTAGAAATATCTGCATAATCTGCTCCTTAATTTGCATGTAATTAAAAGTGGGTATAAATATGACAGCAGAACTGCCTCTGAGCTGCTATTCTGGGCACACTGCCTATGGAGTATCCCTGTTCCACAAGGTTCAGTACCTCTGCTGCTGCTGTACATGGCTGCTTCAATAAAAGTTGCTGTTTAACACCATGAGTTCACCCTTGCATTCTTTTTTGGGTGAAGCCAAGAACCCTCCTGGGATAGGCCAGCCTCAATTTTGGGGTTTGCCTACCCTGCATCATCTAGCAACCACAAAGGGATGAAGACAGCAAGTGGAGGCAGCAAGACAGCAGAGATCGTGGCAATCAGTGGAGAGATGAGACAACGAGACAGCAAAGATGGTGGCAATCAGCAATTGGAGTGAGACAGAGGTGGTAGGACAGTGAGACAGCAAGAGGTGGTGAGACGATGGGATGGTGAGACAGAGAGAGGGAGCAACTGACAATAGACAATGAGACAACAATCAGAAGCTGCAGAGCTGTAACGCTGAGAAGCTGCTAACACTACAGAGCTGTAACACTAGCCAAAGGCTCTTTGAAGAGCCATCACCTTTCCTAGGGGCAGCAGAGCTGAGTGAAAGGGCAAGCAGCCATCATGCTGCCACCTTGTATGAGACCTGTCACTCCTACCAGCAGGCCTGCAGATCTCTGGTCCTCATGCTGGCCCCCCACATGCCAGCCACGCTCACTCAAGCTGAGAAAACCTGGAGAGACCTTCACCCCAGTCCCACATGGAAGATTGGGTAGCACTATTTTGACTCTTGCAGATGGGGCGAGTGTCTCATCTTCCTCCTAACCTCACAATATTGGGTAGGCTAGGGAATAAAAGCCTCTGGCTAAGTGGTCATTTAAAAATCCCTCATTATTTGAGTGCCCTAAAACATGTCCTTGTCACTCCTTCCCATGGTCCTTTGTCCTCTGACTCCGTTTTAGTGCTCCAACAACCAACAACCATTTTATTTTTAGTCTTAAAATGTATGTTATGTTCACAGTTATTTTATTTTATTTTATTTTATTTTATTTTATATTTTATTTTATTTTTTGCTTTCACTCCGTGGGCAACTGTTTAAGGCAGGACAATTTGTTGTGAGAGGTCCCCTGCTGTGCTGATTCTGGGATGCCAGATTCACATTGCTCTGTGTCCCCAGCCAGACCTCTCTGGTTCACTGTTGGCTGTCCCTCAGATGCTCCTGGGTTTTCTGCCTTTGGTCAGTCCCAGGTACTCCAGGATTTCTGGCATTTGATGCGGGTACCCTCATGGACTAATACTCAGATAGTTTGGGTTGTTGCCATTTGGTATTGTTGGCTGCCCTCCAGATGCTCTAGGGTTTTTGGCACTGGCATTCCTTCTAGGATTGTGGGTTGGAAGCCCACCCTAGGAGAATCCTGGTCTTGCTCTTTCTTATTTTCCACCCTAAAGTTATTGTTTCCTGTAACAGCATATTCTTTTTTATTGTCACTTTATTTACTCTTCCTTCTATACTTTGTTTAATAAAAATACATCTTTGGTTGTATTTTGTTCCCTGGCAAACATTTATAATCCTTATAATCATTAACATCTTGCTACCTATACTTAGACCTTTTCTGTGGGAAGTGGAAATCCAAAAGGGAAAAATAACAGGGGCCCAGTTGCTCTCCCTCTTGCTACATTAAAAAAACTTCTATGTCCAGAAAAACCTCTGTTAGTCATGGGGACAGTGACAAGCATCTCAGAAAACTCACTACTAAAGCGTCTCTTATGCTATTGGAGCAAATTTTTAGAATTCAGCTTAAAGAAAAAGGAATTCATTTTCTATTGCATCATTATTTGGGTTCAATACAACTTAGAAAACCAACAGATTTAGCCAAAACATGGTTCTAAATGTTATAATGATATTTCACAATTGAACTTACTTGGTTAAAAAAAAAAAAAAAAAGAAAGAAAGGAAGAAAAGAAAAGAAAAATGGAGAAGGTCTCTTATATATAGGCTTTTATGGTCCTTTACTGGCTCACATTACTTCCAGGCAACAGGAAAGCAGCAGTCGCCAACGTTTTTGGCACCAGGGACTTGTTTCATGGAAGACAGTTCTTCCATGGACCGGGGCTGGGAGGGGATGGTTTCAGGATGAAACTGTTCCACCTCAGATCATCAGGCATTAGTTACATTCTCATAAGGAGCGCACAATGTAGATCCCTCACACCCTCAGTTTGCAATACAGTTTGCACTCCTGTGAGAATCTAATGCTGTCATTGATCTGACAGGAGGCAGAGCTCAGCACATAATGCTTTCCTGCTGCTCCTGTCATTCACCTCCTGCTGTGTGGCACAGTTCTTAGCAGGCCACAGACTGGTACCAGTTCACAGCCTGGGGGTTGGGGACCCCTGGCCTAAGAGATCCCCTCCTAGCTGCTCCCCCTAGAAGGCCTACATTTTCCCCAGAGTCTTCTCAGATCCCCAATGCTGAGGGGTCTCCCACCAGTTTTCTAATGAAGGATCCCACCTCAAGATTGTCAGGCACACCTATTCCTTATTCAACTAGTTCCACCCTATACCCACCTCTGTCTGAGAAAGTAAGCTCAACAAGTACCACTGGAAGTGGAACCCCATATCAGCCCCTAAATTCAATCCTGCGTCCACGTGTCCATTGAGGAAGATAGCTGATAGAATGAGGGAACACTCTAAGTACATGTGCCATTTTCTCTGTCTAATTTGGCTTAATAAAAGGAAAAATTTGGTCAGCTTTCAGAGGATCTAGAAAAATTTGTGGAGGACTTTAAGCTGACCATGTTCTTTAACTTGTCATGACTTACTAATATTGTCATCCACTTGCTGTGCTGTGAGAAAAGAGTGAAGAAAAAAAGGTGTGATTAAGCCAGTCAATTATGACAAGGTTAGAGAAATAACTGAGGGAAAAAATAAAAATTTTGCTCTGTTTCAGGGTCATTTGGTTAGAGCACTCAGGATATATATTAACGCAGGCCGAGGCTCTCCAGAGGGGCAAGCTCTCTTGGTTATACATTTTATTACACAATCTGCCCCTAACATTAGGAGAAAGCTATGAAAAGCAGTAATGGGACCTCAAACCCCTATGGTCAACTTTTAAACACAGCCTTTAAAGTTTACAACAATAAAAGGCCAGGCGCAGTGGCTCACACCTGTAATCCCAGCACCTTTTTCCCAGCCAAGCCGGTGGATCACTTGGGGTCAGAAGTTCGAGACCAGCCTGGTGAAACCTGTCTCTACTAAAAATACAAAAATTAGCTGGGCATGGTAACATGTGCCTGTAATCCCAGCTACTCGGGAGGCTGAGGCAGGAGAGTCACTTGAACTCAGGAGGCAGAGGTTGCAGTGAGCCAAGATCGTGCCACTGCACACCAACCTGGGCAACACAGTGAGACTCTATCTCAAAAAACATTAAAAAAAAGTTTACAACAATACATACAGGGCAAAAAAGTGAAAAAAAGATAAAAACAAGTAGACAAAAAGTACAATTGTTAGCAGTTGCATTAAACCCCCTGCCACCTCAGAATTACCCATCCCAAAAAAGTGTTATGAGATTGGCATTTGGGAGGCCCAGACAAGAGCCCCTGACTTGGTGGCCACTAGGCCAGAATCAGTATGCCTACTGTAAGCAAAAGGACCATTGACAATGAGAATGTCCTAACTGTTCCCTGTGATTGAGAGAAAAAGACTCCCCATTAATACTATAGCTAACCTTCTTACATTAGCCCCAGTGAGCTACCTTGCTCAAGTAAGTTTAAAGAGGTCTTGGACCCTTGACTAGACAGATAGCTTCTCACAATGGCAGAGAAGTGGCCACCTGAACGTTTTTCTTCAGTGTCTTCACTGCTGGGTAAGCTCTATGGCAGCTTGGGGACTCCAGGGTGTCCTTTTGAGCAACATGGTTTACCCTGTCCCTTCCTTACTTGATGCTACAGGATCCTCTTCCCTGCTTCTTCCTGTCTTCCGTACCTACTGGGGCAAGCAAAGTTTCTGGATTTGTCATCAACATTCCGTCTTTTGATCTATCCAGAAAATCTCACAGCCAACTCCCCAGACCTTCTAACTAACCATAGTGATCCCAAAGTACCCAAGTCCCTACTTGTTATGTGGAACTCTCCACCACTTAATGGATTCCACATGAACACCCCCTGCCGCTATTACCTGGACTTGGGAAGGTGGGTATCTATATCTCCAGTTGATATGGTTTGACTGTGTCCACACCCAAATCTCATCTTGAATTGTAGCTCCCATAATCCCTGCGTGTCATGTGAGGGACCCAATGGGAGGTAATTGAATACTAGCGGCAGGTTTTTTTCCATGCTGTTCTGGTGATAGTGAGTAAGTCTCACGAGATAAAATGGTTTTATAAAGGGCAGTTCCCCTGCGCATGCTCTTTTGCCTGCTGCCATGTATAACATGACTTTGCTCCTCTTTCACCTTCTGTCATGATTGTTAAGCCTCCCCAGCCATGTGGAACTGTGAATCCATTAAACCTGTTTTTCTTTCTAAATTACCCAGTCTTGAGTACTTCTTCATTGCAGTATGAAAATGGACTAATACACAAGTGCACTAATGATTCTATCTTTTGCATCCACTGTTGTGTTAATGACCCAGAATGGAAGTTTCTCTGTGATGCTCTAATCCAACTCTAGTTGCCAAGTTCCCAAGGCTGCAGCAAAGTAAATGGGATTCCACTTGTAAGTGAGACCATATATAGTGCCTTCTCCTGGATCAGAACATAAACGGGAAAAAATAATTGCCTAATCTGAGATGGTGGAAGTACCAACCCCTTCTGGAAAACAAAGATTGTTCTACCACCCCAATTGGAATAGGGAAAGAATATATAGACCCAACTTGGCAGTGATATATAGACATCATACCCTGTAAGGCCTCTATTTTTGCTTCAAGTGGGCTCATTTTTGTTGAGGCCATGAATGGAAAAAGTCATACTCTGTAACCACTCCCAACTACATACGTAGACACCTGTTCTTTTAGGAGTAGCTCTCCCTGTATATAAAGAACTTGGAACAGAGGTGCATTTACATTGACTACCCTTGCCCCTTAAGGGGTCACAGTCTAACCCCATAGGACCCAGGAATACCAGAAGCAAGTGAACAATTGGATTAATTCTGGCAGGAACTGGGGTAGCAATAGGACTAGTAGCACCCTGGGGTGGCCTTGCCTATCATGAGTCAACCCTAAGAAAACTTAACTCAAACCCTAAAATCCTTAGCCACAAACACAAATCAGGCATTAGAGGGAATTGAAGAGTCCCTCGACAGTGTGGCAAATGTAATTCTCAATAACAGACTAGCATTGGATTATTTACTAGCTACACAAAGTGGAGTCTGTGCAGTTATTAATAAAACCTGCTGTACTTATATTAACAACTCTGGAAAGATCGAGGTTAACAGTTAAAAGAACTATGAGCAACCTACCTGGTTATAAAAAAAACCAGGGCATTGACCTCAGCAATATCTGGTTGACTATCAAACGTGCCTTCCCTCCCAGCACTTTGGAGGCTAACTCAGGTGGATTGCTTGAACTCAGGAGTTTGAGACCAACCTGGGGAACATGGCAAAACCCCATTTCTATGAAAAACTTAGCTGGGCATGGTAGCACGTGCCTGTGGTCCCAGCTACTCGGGAGGCTGAGGTGGGAGTATTGCTTGAGCCTGGGATGTGGAGATTGCAGTGAACCAAGACTGTACCACTGCACCCCAACCTGGATGATAGAGTGAGATTCCATCTCAAAAAAAAAAAAAAAAAAAGAAAAGAAAAAAAAGAGTGCCTTCCAAATTCTTATTTGGATTTTACCTCTCCTAGGTCCTCTGATATTTGCCTTCTTATTACTAATCTTTGGCTCTTGTTTGTTTAACTTCTTGGTAAAGTTTGTGTCTTCTAGATTATAACAGTTCCATGTAAAGAAAATGCTGGCACAAAGTTTCCAATCCATCCCATCTACTGATCTAAAGAATGAAAATGTCCTGATTCTGGACCCCTTAGATCAGGTG
Source organism: Homo sapiens (assembly GCF_000001405.40). Classification (NCBI taxonomy): domain Eukaryota; kingdom Metazoa; phylum Chordata; class Mammalia; order Primates; family Hominidae; genus Homo; species Homo sapiens. The sequence continues at coordinate 223,471,350 of NC_000002.12, read as the reverse complement.
TTCAGAGAGTTTTGCTCCTCCAGTGCTAGGCAGGGCCACTCTTTTGCACCTCTTAAGGTTAAGGAGGAGGAGTATCTAATCCTTTAGGGGGAAATAAGGTCAGAGGCAAACTCAACTCTGGAGGTAGGGCTTGGGCTCTGGACCAGATTGAAGACTAGCCACAACAGGGAAGAGGTGAAAGCAACTCTGCATGAGACATGCTCACCAGTTCCATGTCAGTTTACCATTGCCATGGGCATGCCCAGAAGTTACTGCCCCTTTCCATGGCAACAACCTGATGACCTGGAAGTTACCACTCTTTTTCTAGAAATGTCTGCGTAATCTGCCCCGTAATTTGCATGTAATTAAAAGTGGGTATAAATATGAGTGCAGAACTGCCTCTGAGCTGCTACTCTGGGTACACTGCCTATGGAGGTAGCCCTGTTCCACAAGGAGCAGTACCTTTCCTGCTACTGTGCAATGGGGCTTCAGTGAAAGTTACTGACACCACCGGCTCACCCTTGAATTCTTTCCTGAGTAAAGCTAAGAATCCTCCTGGACTAAGTCCCAGTTTTGAGGCTTGCCTGCGCTGTGTCACTACCATTTCTTATTTTGTCTTGGTTAATTCTACCTCCCCACTGGGTAGAAAGTTTCTTAATAACAGGTACCTTGCCTTGGGTCTCTCACAGTGCCTAGCACTGGTGTTTTTGTTTGTTTTTTGCAGCACAACCCTTGTCCTCAACCTAGTGAAACCAGATCCAGGTAGTTCATTCCTCCAAATAAAAGAAAGATCTATTTTGAATATGCTATTCTTTTCCTTCCCCGTGGCTCCTCCTTCCCTTCCAGAGACTCATGAAAAACAATAAATAAGGTACTGAAAAGCCCTGACCTTGTTTTCTAGACTCATCTTAGGGTTTTTAGGGCTTGTTCATGTGTTTCATGTTTGGTGGTCTATGACTTACTCTTGCACTGAAGGTCTTACTGGTTACATCATAAGTACCAAAAAGTCAGAGAATGTCCAATTTAGACACAAAGGATCAAAAATCCCAATCCTCTCCTCCAATCCATGAGGAATCTAGGACATGCCTGATTGCCCCAAGAAAACATAGTTCATACATGTGAGGAAGATAATGTTTTAAAACACATTTCAATGTTTTTTGCCCTTTTGTATTAACTTCAGTATGACCTTCCCCTGCTCCAGACCTATTCTTTCTGAGACATCTATTTCCTTCAGAGGATTAGGATTTTTAAAGTAAGCTTACAAAAAGAAAGATGATCCATTCTGTTCTTGCATACAAAGTGGCATTTTTGAGTCTGCAATCATAAAATTGTTTCTTAGAAGTCAGTTTTCACAGAAAGAGAAAATTATTTTAAAAATGCGTACAGCTATCATTAACCTATGATGAGCCAAGCCTGATGTTTGAATGACAGAATTTCTTCCATAGTGTTGAGACAAGATTTATCCCACCATTAAGACTGCACCGTGAGGCCTGGTGTTCCCAGGAGATAAATGGGGACTGGGGATGTGCTTAAGCACAGTCTGTAACAGAAAGGGAGATGAGGTGAAATCTTGCCCTTTTGTACTGGCGAAGTGTGGGAAAGAGACAGTGAGAAAAGAATCAGCTTTTTCTACATGAAATGCCACCTCAAAATTTACTGTCTTTAAACCAGCACCATTTATCTAGGTCATGATTCTGCAGATCATCAAATTGTGTTTACTGCTGCTAAGTAGTTTAGTCTCAGCTCGGCTTGCTCCTGTGTCTGGGATCAGCTGCCTGATAGACTGGTGGCTGCTAGACTAGGGTGATCTCAGCTGGGCCTGCTGGGGTTGCTCTCCTGGGACTGCTCATGTGGTGGTGACTGTATTCTGGGAGAGAAGACTGAGGGACACGTGACCTTTTGAGGCCTAGAGGCAGAAAGACATGACATCACTTCTGATGAATTTTGTTGGTTAAAGCCAATCATCATGCTAGCCAGAGTCAAAGGGTAGAGAGAGAGAGAGAGACTCCCCTTCTTGGTGGGAAAAACTGCAAAGTCACATTGCAAAGAAGCATGAAAGAAAATCATCGTGGCCATTTTTGTTAATGATTTTCCACAAGGATCATGATTTGTCAGTACCTGGTAACTCTTCCTTCTTCTATTGGAAGGTGTTACTAAATAGAATGAGAGGAAGACAGAAACCAAAGGAACCTGTCCTGACTCAGGTTTGGGTCTCTAGGAGGATTCCCCAGCATTGTCATTGGGAGAACAAAGGGTATGACCTGCTGGTTCAGAGGGAAACTTTGAGTCTAAACTCCTGAGTTTTCTCCTGATTCCTTGGTGATAACAGTGGAAGGTGTCCAAAAGTGTCAGCCTGCTCTGTAGAGGGCAGCTGGTGATGCTGGACAGTGACCTCTCAGATAGGTCATTGTGCTGGGGTCAAAATGAGTCTGTGCCAAAGATTGCAGGGAGAGCACCTAGGCCAGGAATCAACTGAGCATCACAAGCAGACCCCAGGTGATGCCATGGTACCTGGCCATACTGAAAGAGGATAAACCACAAACCCTCTGTCTATAGACCTTAGCAACAAATTCCAGAAATGTGAGCAGTATACATTGGAAAACTCCATTGCCAGAAATCCAGCAAGTATCCAAAGAATAGCCTAAGAATACCCTTTATTGCCACAAAAGGACACAGGGTGCTCCCCATTCATACATCTTTAGAAGAGTGGGAAGGAAGACTGAACATTTATCTGAAAGGCTGATATGGTTTGGCTGTGTCCCCACCCAAAATTTCATCTTGAATTATAGCTCCCATAGTCCCCATGTGTCATGGGAGGGACCTGGTGGGAGGTAATGAATCATGGGGCCTGTCTTTCTTGTGCTGTTCTCGTGATAGTGATTAAGTCTCACGAGATCTGATGGGTTTATAAAGGGGAGTTCCCCTGCACATGCTCTCTTGCCTGGCACCATGTAAGATGTTACTTTGCTTCTCCTCTGCCTTCCGCTATGATTGTGAGGCCTCCCCAGCTATGGTGAACTGTGAGTCTGTTAAACCTCTTCCCTTTATAAGTTACCCAGTTTCAGGTATGTCTTTATTAGCAGCATGAGAACAGACTAATACAAAGGCATTGTTCAAACCAGAAGAAACTGAGGTTTTGTTAAGAGTAAATTTTTTCTTCCCTAACTCAGAGAAAGCTATAAAGATTTTGAATGTCCTCATCACAAAGAAATGATAAATGTTTAAGGTGATGCATATGCTAATTTCCTTGATTTTATCATTACGCAATTTACACATGTATTAAAATATGTTGTGTCCTGTAAATATGCACAATTATGTGTCAGTTGTAAAAAGAATAAAAGTAAAATAAAAGATGACTCTCAGAATGTTACCTCAAAATCAAAACCAAACCAAACCAAAGCAACAGCTATATTTTCTTTGTGCAGCTCCTGTGTCAAACAGCCTGAAACAGATAAGGTACAAATGTGACAAAATTTGATTTGTCTCCAACAATTACCCTCAACCACACTCAGATGAAACAGCCTTCTAGGTAGAACTGATAGCTTTCTTGTCACTTTCAATTAATAAAAAGTCTAATCCAAATAACTTCATTGTCTTGGAGGTGCCAAAGATTTCTTAAAGGAGACATGAAACATATAACCATAAAAATATTAATAAATTAGACTCTATTAAAATTAAGAACTTCTGTTCATCAAAAGACATCATTAAAAGGGAATAAAAAAGTAACTTACCAAGTAAGAGAAGATATTCACTTATGAATATTGAGATTCATATGGATTCATATCCAGAATATATAAGGAAGCCCTATATGTGAGTAAGACAACTCAAAAAAACGGATGAAAGATTAAACAAATATTTCAAAAAAGTAAGTATTGAGATGGCCAATAAACATATACAAAGTTGTTTAACTTCATTAGTCATCAGAAAAATACAAACTAAAACTATGAGATATTATTACCCAACCATTAGAATAGCTCAAATGAAACAGAAACTACCAAGTATAAAATTAAGATGTGAAACAATAGGCCTTCCACACAGTTCCTTAAAAAACTATTTGATAACTGATATAGTTTGGATGCTTGTCCCCTTGAAATCTCATGTTGGGTGTGATTCTCAGTGTCGAAAGTGGGGCTTGTTGGGAGATATTTCAGTCATGGGAGTAGATCCTTCATGAATGGCTTGGTGACTTTCTTGCAGTAATCAGTGAGTTAATGTAAAGTTTAGTTGTTTAAAAGAGTGTGGCACCTCTCCCTGTGCTCTTGCTCCCCCTGTCACTATGTGATGTTCTGGCTCCCCTTGGCCTTCATCTGTGATTATAAACTACCTGAGGTCCTCAATAGGAATAGATGCTGGCACTATGCTTCTTATACAGCCTGCAGAAACTCGAGCCAAAATAAACCTCTTTTCTTTGTAAATTACCCAGTTTCCGGTATTCTTCTATAGCAACACAAATGGACTAACACAGTAACATATGTCCAAACTGAAGATATGACCCAAAATTCCACTCCTGGGTACATATCAACCAGAAAAGTAAGCATATTTTCCACAAAGTACACATAGTAGAATATTCACTGTAAGTACTATTTTTGATACCTCTAAACTAGAAGCTATTTTATGTCCATAAACAATAGAATAGATAAATTGCAGTGTAGTTATATAGTAGAATATTTTACAAAGGTGCAAATACATGATCTACCAATACAAGTAAAAACACAAAAATGATTCTCAGCAACATAATGTTGAACGAAAGGAGTCAGACCCAAAATATACTATGTGATTTCATTTGTATAAAGTACAAAAACAGGTGAAACTAATGTATGTTGTTTAAATTCATGATATTGATTACTCTAGAGGGAGCAGGCTTTGAGAGTGGAAAGGAATAAGGGAGTATCTGGGGATTGGTAATATTTTGCTTCTTATCTGGATGTTGGTCACATTGGTGTGTTCAGTTTGTGAAAATTTAGCAATCTATACACCTCAGTGTACTTTTTAAAGTAGGTGTATTATATTTCAGTAAAAAGTTTTCAAAAGTCTGGTTCAGACCAATTTTAAATTGTAATCTCATACTTCCTTATCCCTTCACCAACACAGCTTTGTCTTACTTGAGGCTAAAAGTTCTGAGTAGGGATAGAATTTGGATGACTTTCTAAAGGCACCTGTACCACCCTTTCTAGTATTAACTTCTCTGGGGAGTTGGAGAGATGGAAAATGAGATAGAAGTAAAGAGAGCACCACTTTATTTTCCTTAACTGCCCATGTGATTGCACTATTGTTGATGGCCATTGCTCTTCTGGTCAGTTTGACCTTTTCTGTTACCCTTGGTGCAGCAGGGGAAGTGCTGGTTCTCAGAGGCATGCACATGAGTCAATTTGGAGGCACCGAGCCATGAGGTTTTCCTATTGCACAAGTTCCCTGGCACAGAAGACCTAGCTTTGCCTCTTTCATCATCACCCCCAACTGTTATCCCCAGAGTCACACTCCACAGCCTCTTGCCTCACCTCCCAGGGTTTCTGGCTTGCAGAAAGACACTTCGTGCCTAATTGTCTTCTGCAGTTGTATTAGTCTGTTCTCACACTGCTAATACAGACATACCCAAGACTGACTAATTTATAAAGGAAAGAGGTTTAATTGACTCACAGTTCCACATGGCCGGGGAGGCCTCACAATCATGGTGGAAGGCGAATGAGGAGCAAAGGCACATCTTACATGACAGCAGGCAAGAAGGCTTGTGCAGGGGAACCTCCATTTATAAAACCATCAGATCTCATGAGACTTATTCCCTACCACGAGAACAGTAGGGGGGAGACTGCTCCCATGATTCGATTATCTTCACCTGGCCCTGCCCTTGTTATGTGGGGATTATTACAATTCAAGGTGAGGTTTGGGTCGGGACACAGCCAAACCATATTAGCAGTTCTGGTTAATCCACAGAAAAGGTTCAGGCTGCTCCCTTTCTCCAGCTTGCCATTGATCTCTAATTTTCTTATCCTCTGGTAGGACAGACAATGGGTCTGAGTAGCCTAAGCTTATGTCCAATTTGAAACTGATGCTACCCCTTCTATAGGCACTGCAAATATTGATGAATGGATAAAGAATGGCACTCCAGATACTTATGAATGGATATTTATGAATGGATACTTATGAATGGAGAGCTGTTTCTTCCAGCTTTTCTGTGGTAGAGAGAATAATTCTTTCCTTCCTCCTTACAAAGACATCCATATCCTAATCTACAGAACCTTTGAATATGTTATATCACGTGGTAAGTAGGAATTAAGGTTGCTACTCAGCTGACCTTAAAATAAGGAGAGTATCCTGGATTATCTGGCAGACCTAGTGTAATCACAAAGGTCCTTAAATGTGGAAGAGGGAGGCAGGGTAACTAGTGTCAGAGCAGTGGAATGTGAGAAAGACTTGACTGGCTGTTGCAGGTTCTGAAGGTGAAGAAAGGGCCCATGGACCAGGGAATGTGGGCAGCTTGTAGAAGCTGGAAAAGGCAAGTAAATAGATATTCCCCTAGAGCCTCCAGAATGCAATGCAGCTCTGCCAACACCTTGATTTCAACCCAGTGGACCCATCTTAGACTTCTGACCTCCAGAACTGTAAGGTAATACATTTGCATTGTTTTAAGCCACTAATTTTGTGGTTGGTTGTTACAGCAGGAATGGTAAACTAATACACTCTCTTTTAGTTTGCAGGGAGAATGGATATAATCCCCTCCCAAAAGCTATGCAATTTCCTATAGGTGGGGTAAAGGCCCAGGATTCCATATGCTTTTCTCTTCTTTATCCTCTGGCCTCAAGTTCTCTCATGTTTATCTCCTAGAGAGGTGTATTAGTCTGGTCCCACATTGCTATGAAGAAATACCTGAGATTGGGTAATTTATAAAGAAAAGAGGTTTAACTGGCTCATGGTGATATAGGCTGTACAGGAAGCATGGTGCTGGCATCTGCTCAGCTTCTGAGGAGGCCTCATGAAACTTACCATCACAACAGAAGGTGAAGGAGAAGCCAGCACTTCACATGGCTGGAGCAGAAGGAAGAGAGAGAGGGTGGGGGAGGTGCTGCACATTTTTAGACAACCAGCTCTTGTGAGAACTGACTCACTATACAGTACCAAGGAGGGACGGTGCCAAACCATTCATGAGAACTCTAACCCCATGATCCAGTCACCTCCCACCAGGACCACCTCCAACACTGGAGATTACAATTACACATGAAATCTGGTAAGGAAACAGATCCGAACCATATAATTCTATCTCTGCCCCCCAACTCTAAAATCTCATGTCCCTCTCATTGTGAAATACAATTATGCCTTCCCAACAGTCCCCCAAAGTCTTAACTCATTCCATCATTAACATAAAAATCCAAACTCAAAAGTCTCATCTGAGACAAGGCAAGTCTGTTCCACCTATGAGCCTGTAAAACCAAAAACAAGTTAGTTACTCCCAAGACATAATGGGAGTACAGGCATTAAGAAATAATCCCATTCCAAAAGGGAGAAATTCACCAAAAGAAAGTGGCTACAGGCCCCATGCAAGCCTGAAACCCAGCAGGGCCATTATTATATCTCAAAGCTCCACAATAGTCTCCCTTGACTCCATATCTCACATACAGGGCACACTGGTGTAAGGGGTGGGCTCCCAAGGTCTTGGGCATCTCTGTCCATGAGGCTTTGCAGGATTCAGCTCCTGTGGTTAATCGCAAGGGCTGGTGTTGAGTGCCTGAGGCTTGTCCAGGTGCAGGGGGCAAGCTGTCAGTAGATTGTGACAGACCCCGTTGTGGGGTCTGGAGGATGGTGGCCCTCTTTTCACAGCTCCAAATGGCAGTGCCCCATTGGAGACTCTGTATGGGGGCTCCAACCCCTCATTTCCCCTCTGTGCTGCCCTAGTAGAGGTCCTCCATAAGGGCTTCGGCCTGGACATCCAAGCTTTTTCATACATCTTCAGAAATCTAGGCTTCCAAGCCTCAGCTATGACACTCTGCATGCCCAAAGGCTTACTACCACGTGGAAGCTGCCAAGGCCTATGGCTTTCACCCTCTGAAGCAGTGGCACGAGCTGTACCTGGGCCCCTTTTAACTCCAGCTGGAGCTGAAGTAGCTGGGATGCAGGGAGCAGTGTCCCAAAGCTGTGCAGGGCAGTAGGGCCCTGGGCCTGGCCCACTAAACCAAACTTTCCTCCTAGGTTTCTTAGCCTGTGGTGGGAGGGGCTGCCTAGAAGGTCTCTGAAATGTCTTCAAGGCCTTCTCCCCATTGTCTATTAGCACTTGGCTCCTCTTTTACTTATGAAAATTTCTGCAGCCTGCTTGAACTGCTCCCTTGAAAATGGCATTTTCTTTGCTATCACATGGCCAGGCTGCAAATTTTCCAATCTTTTATGCTCTTCTTTTCTTTTAAATATAAGTTCCAGTTTCAGGTCATTTCTTTGTTCACACATATAAGCATAGGTTGTTAGAAGTAGCCAGGCTATCCTGAATGTTTTGTTGCTTAAAATTTCTTCTGCCAAAAACCCTTAATCATTACTCTCAAGTTTAAAGTTCTACAGATCCCTAGAGCAGGGGCATAATGCAACTCTTACGTGCATCCATGTGAAGAGACCACCAAACAGGCTTTGTGTGAGCAATAAAGCTTTTTAATCACCTGAGTGCAGGTGGACTGAGTCTGAAAAAGGAGTCAGCAAAGGGAGGTGGGGTGGGCCAGTTTTATAGGATTTGGGTAGGTAGTGGAAAATTACAGTTAAAGGTGGTTTTCTCTTGCGGGCAGGGGCGGGGGTCACAAGGTGCTTGGTGGGGAGCTCCTGAGACTCATTGTCCAGGAGAAGGAATGTCACAAGGTCCATTGATCAGTTAGGGTGGGGCAGGAACAAATCACAATGGTGGAATGTCATCAGTTAAGGCAGGAACTGGCTGTTTCACTTCTTTTGTGGTTCTTCAGTTGTTTCAGGCCATCTGGATGTATACGTGCAGGTCACAGGGGTTATGATGGCTTAGCTTGGGCTCAGAGGCCTGACAGCAACTAGACTCTTTGCTAAAGCATAGCAAAAGTGACCTTTACTCCAGTTCCCAATAAGTTCCTCATTTCCATCTGAGACCTCCTCAGCCTCAACTTCACTCTCCATATCACTATCAACATTTTAGTTACAACCATTCAACAAGTCTTTTGGAAGTTCTAAACTTTTCCTCAACTTCCTGTCTTCTTCTGAGCCCTCCAAACCGTTCCAACCTCTGCCTGCCCATTATCCAGTTTCAAAGCTGCTTCCACATTTTCAGGTATCATTATAATAATGCCCCACTCCTCAGTACCAATTTTCCATATTAGTTTGTTCTTGCATTGCTATACATAAATACCTGAGACTGGATAATTTATTTAAAAAAGAGCTTTAATTGGCTCACAGTTCCACCGAATGTACAGGAAGCATGATGCTGGCATCTGCTTGGCTACCGAGGAGGCTTCGGGAAACTTGCAATCATGGCAGAAGGCAAAGAGGGAGCCAGCGCTTCACATGGCTGGAAAGGAGGAAGAGAGAGATGGTGGAAGGAGGTGTCACACACTTTTAAACAACCAGATCTGGTGAGAACTCACTCACTATACATTACCAAGGAGGCATGGTACTAAACCATTCATGAGAAGTCCACCCCCATGATCTAATCACCTCCCACTAGGCCCCACCTCAAAGACTGGGGATTACAGGTCAACATGAGATTTGGTAGGGACATAGATCCAAACCATATCAAGAGATTGGAGAGGAAGAAGATAGGTATTGGACATAGTGGCTGGGGGTAGCAGTATCTGTTTACATCTTTATAAGCTCTGGAGAGGTTGTCTCATCTTCATTTTTTGCAGCTCTTTTTAGGATGCAGTTACTTTCAGTATTTCAAGCCTCACTTTGGCTCTCTATGTCCAATTCCAAGGCAACAGAATAAGTCCAACAACAAGCTGTCACTTGGCATAACTGAGTAGCGACATGCACGTTAAAATTTTTCACTATATACCACATATGTAATCTCTATGGCTTGGGGCACTGATTCAAATCAGTTTTTTCCTGCTATTAATAATTTATTATTATTTTTTAGTGATAAATATGTATATATAGTTTAAAAGTCTAATACTAGTATGAGATTAATAAGAAAGCAGTGTCTTGCCTATATCTCAAGAAGAATCAGCCAATATCCAGTCCAGGGCTTGAGAGCTGGGTGGGGCAGGAAGCTGACTGCCTGGCTCTTTGGTATCCAGATTTCCACTCATTACCCTTGTTTTCAGCCCTATGATACACTGCTCCCTCAGCTTGCCTCTCCAGGAAAGTTACCTTACTCAGTGTCTGGGGGTGCAAATTTAGGGGTGTGAGTGCTCAATCAACTAGGTCTTGTGTTCCCAGCTCCACATCCTAGGCTTATTCAGAAGATTCTAACCCCTCTTATCACTGTGCCTTTGAGGGTCTATGGCATGAATCAGCTTGCTTGTTATTGTCATTTCCTCCACCCCCAACAGACAGTTTGGTTTCAACATTTCTGCTCTGTAAATGAGTTATGACTCATCCATCTATTTTCCAACTTCCAAAATTCTGTTGACAATCTGGCCTTCCCTCTTCTCTTCTCCTGCACTCTTGTCTTTGTAGACAGGCATAAAATTATTACCTTATGTCCTTTAACTGGTATTGAAAGAGGTGCTGGGGTGGAGCAAAGAATAAGCACATATGATCTGTCTGCCGTATTCGTCCACAAATCTCTTTCGTTTGTTTCTTAAAATCCTTAAATTGTGTATGAATATTACCTGCAGGAAATAATGCATGCATAACAATTCTACTTCTTTAGATTAAAAACAAGCTATTCCTCTCCTTTTGAACCACTTAAAAATTGCCTATAATCTAATGTGATTCAATAAATCTATAAAGCTTGTGTGCTCCCAGTAGCAATTGAGATAAAGCAGCAAGTGTGGCTGCCATTGGGGTCAGTTGGCAGCACCTGGTTGCCATGGTCACGGGCTCTTTAAAAATGGAGCAAATACTTAATGAAACACTATATCCTTCTCCTCAGCACTAGTCATTTATAGTATTCAAATATTTACAGGTATAGCAGACTCACTGAGTTTCAAAAATATAAAAATGGTCCTGCTTCCTAAAAAGCATATATTTGCTACTAGCAGTAAAAAGGACTTAAATAAATCAAATTCTTGCTTTTGACAAGCAGATGCTAAAAGAAAACTAAAATATCATCTTCTAGGACTTGATTTTAGTTTACCTTCAGAGATCATTCACTTCCCTACCAAAAGATTGACTTCATTTTTTAAAATTAGTTATGGATTACATCCATTTGGTGAATAAGGGTCCTACGATCTTTCTCTCTGCTTATTTACACTTAATATTAGTGACTATTAACATTAAATATAGATGTATTTTATGTCACCACAGATGGAGATTTCCATTTGAGATATCTTAGACTTTCAAATGACTTAGCAAACATCAAGCAGCCAATCGTTTTTCTCCAAAGATCCTTCTGCTGTGCTTTGACTCAGAGAGCCTAGAAAATTCTGAAGTGATGCTTCATTAGAAAAGTGTGGTAAATTCCAGAGGCGTACATGAGGAAAATGTAATTCTCTAGGTAGATTTATTTTTCTCTTTTCATTGGGGAAAGTTGTGAGGAGGTAATAAATTGGAGAACAAATTTGTGGTTGATTGAAGTTTCTCTGCTGCTTTCTGAGACAACTAGAATAGCTCAATGTAAACACACATTCCAACATTTATCCCAGGCAAAAATTATATATTTTAATACTGAAATTAGGAGAACAGTCGTTACTTTGTAGTCTATTGGTCTCTAGATGACAGGAAAAGATGAGCTCCCTCTGGTGGTGAATTTAACAATAATAATAAACAAATGTTATTGTTTAATAACTAAAAGACCTGATTGAATTTAAAGGATCATTCGGTTGTCAGCAAGAGGCATCCTCCAAATTACCATTTTAGATTCTTTCCCAGGCTCTGGTTGAGGGAAATAGGTCAACACAGAATATTTATCCTTTTATTTGGCTAGAGTCATCTGGGATTTGAAGTAAAAAGGTGACTCAAAAATCCAGGGGTAAATGTTTTGTCATCTAGTGCCTCTCTCTCATTCACTCACTCTCTCATTGAGTGTCCCATATGGGGAAATACAGGAATCTTGTGGGCTGAAGCTGCAATGCTGAGAAACTGACCTATTCTCCACCATCATTGTAGTTTATGGTGAATTGGCATATCCTTCTTGTCTTTGTGGTAGTTGGAGGAGGGATTCGTTGGTATTAACTTTTCTTCCGTTATGTGCAGCAAGCAGGATTTTACCCTGTTCTCTTGACTTTGTATAAAGGCGTAAAATTGTATACATTATATAGTTTTGCTGTTATAGAAGGAGGTTCTGGAATGGAGTAGAGAAAAACAAATGTGATCAGTCTGCTTTGTATACCATCTCTCCGCATTTTAATTAAAAAAGTATTTTTATACAGAATTGCAAAGAGGCTTAGATGTGATACATACTTTATATTTGGCTTTAAAAAATATGAAATTGGAACATCGAATAGAGGCTACCTTATAAAGTAATTATCTATAGTAAGTCCTTCCTCTGGGCAGCAGCTTTCCTTTTTAGTTCTAAATTTAAAGCCTTGAATGCAGGTTTTATCACTCAGTTTTCACATATATAAAATAACTAGAATGAAGACTATGAATTCACAATTACTCAAGAATCTATTCTTCTTTACAGCTTCTTGGGTTAAATTTTTTAATTTATTCATTAATGTAGTTATTAAAATAAAAGTTTTTAGGCTATCATTGAAAGGAAAGAGTAAAAATTTTAAGGCACCAATATTTTTGTGAAAATTAAATTTCAATGAGGAGTATATATTACTTTGCAGCATGATTGTGCATACATGAAGCATTCAATAAATGATCTTCATTTTTTAAAAATTCTAACAGCAAAAACATTCTGGCTACCACGATGTTTCTTTCTCAAAATAATATTCTTGAAGTTACAGTTTGATCCTGTCAAAATAAGACAAACAAATAAAAAACACCTGTCTTTCATATTATTATGACTTGAAGACTTAAAGTCGATTCCATCAAACTAAGACAGACATATAAGGAATCATATTCTGTCAGAATTATGGGAAAAAGATAAAGTCCTTTTGATGAGAATTGAAATGTGGTTTTCCTTTTTTTTCCTGTCAGAGTAAGGAAAAGACTGAGAGGCATATAATTTGAAATTTCTATATATCATACCATATATATCAGAAAGGTAAACCATCAGGGCTTGAAGCTGAATGCAGTGGTTGCAAGAGCTGGCTGTGCATCAGAATAACCTGGGGAGCTCATTAAAATCACAGAATCCTAAAGCTGCCTCCAGAGGGTCTAACGCAGCAGGTCTAGGGTGAGGCCAAGGTATCGATACTTTTGACAAGTGTCCTCCCATGACTCAAGCAGGGGCCCACCAGCAATATCCCAGAACCATTCCTCTCCACGGCTACCCCTTCTTGACTCTGAAATTCACATCCAAATAACAATAACTGTACTGCTATTGCCACTTTGTAAGAGGACCCTTCCTTGGCCATCCTACATGAGGAGCACTGCCCCATTACTCTCCATTGCCTAATCTTGTGTATCAGTCAGGATAGGCTTGGCTATGCTCCAAATTTTTATTGGCTTTAAATAATGAAAGTTATTTTTTTACTCACATTAATTTTCCAAGTATGGCAACACTTTAGCTAAGGCACCTTCCATGTGGTGGCTCAGCACTTCAGTTTTCTTCATCTCATGACACCTTCAAGTCAACATATGCTTTCCTGATTGCCACATCAAAGGAAGAAAGAGCTGGAGAGCTGAACACCAGCCATCCAATACTTTAGCTTGGCAGTTGCATTGCCGTTCTACTCACATGTTACTGGCTAGAACTAGTCAAATAGTGATGAATGACCAAGAGGGTGGAGAAGTACAACCCACATATACTCAGAAGTACAGGAAATCCAGATGTTTATTAGCAATGTTTATCCCACGATGTTTTATTTTTGTCTATCACACTCACCTATTTCTCATATCTTCTCCATCAATTTGTTCTTTCGATTTGTTTATTCTTGTCTGTCTTCTCACTAAATTGAAAAGTTTTTGAGATCAGAATCTTTATCACCAATGACTGTTACTCTGCCTGGGTTACAGTGAGCACATGAAGAAATGGATGAATACATGCAGAAGGAGGGTTACCGAATAGAATTCAGTCAGTCATTTAAATTAGGATAATAAGGGGGAAAACATCCCAGATACAATAACTGTTTGTTTCTTTAGCCTGTTTATTTCTTTAATTAGTTGATTAAACATTCATTGAGTACCTACATTCTTCAAGGCACACAAAACTGATTGTACCAATATAATCATAATCACACCTCAGATTTACAGTATCTTCTGGAAAAGAGGATTATAAAACACTAGAATCTTGTCATCTAATGATAAACTAGCAGTGATTACCTGTCTTACAAAAGCTTCATTATTTTCTAGACAATCCACACTAGGATTCCTCTCAACAGCAATCTCCCCAGAACTTATGATATGATTCAATTACATACAAGCTCTTAGGAATATATCTACAAGTCAACCACGGTTTAAGTAATGCTTTTGTTCTAAAGAGGTTCTCAGTGGGAGTAAGGAAATCCAGTCAGAGAGCTTTGGGAGCCATATTGGTTCTTCAGTGTATTTTCTCTCATTTCTAAATTCCCTCTAGTGTCCAAAAATAATACAGCCCATTGATATTGGTAGTGAATACCACGCCATCAATTTGAAAGTAGCAAATGAAACATTTTAAATATTCTTTTGAAAAACACAAGATAAATCTTTTAATTGAAAACTGTGTTAAAATGATATTCCTAATTTTTTTTCAAACACAAAAAGTATCTGAAAGGAAATAAACACAAATGGCTCATTAGCTCACTGTAACCACCTTTGCTATTAAAAATAATTGCATACAATGTATGCACATGGTCAGAAATTCAAACAGTATGGGAAGGCACGAAACAAAGATAGAAAGCCTCCTTTCTCTCCACCTTCAGTCTTACTCCTCTAAAGTAATTCCCATTAAAATGTCTAATGATTAATTTCAGGAAAAGTAGACAATCATATGTATCTTTAAGCATGTATAAATCTATATATTATGTTGCCTTTTTATAAATTATATAAAAGGTATCAAATTATATAAGGAATTTTGCACCTTAATCTTTCTGCTTGGTCTTAAGTATATTTCCACATCACTACCTACAAATATACCTGTTTTTTCACAGTTCCATATTATTCCTCCATTTGGTTACACTCTAGTTTCCTAGTCTCATGTTGATAAACATTCTACTACTAGAAATAATCCTGTATTGAACATGCCTGTAAATATGTTTTGTGAATGAAGTTTTTGGGTATACCTAAAGATAAATGGAAATTTCTGAGTCAAAGAGTACAATATCCACAGTGGGTTTTTTTTTTGGTTTGTTTTTTGTTTTGTTTTGTTTTGTTTTTAGAAACAGGGTCTTATTCGGTCATCCAGGCCAGAGTGCAGTGCAAGATCATAGTTCACTGCAGCCTTGATCTCCTGGGCTCAAACAATCCTTCCCCATCAGCCTTCTGGAGTAGCTAGGACTACCCAACAAAATTTTAATTTTTTTGTAGAGACAGGGCCTCACTATGTTGCCCCAGGCTGGTCTTGACTCCTGGCCTCAAGCAATCCTCTCATCTTGGCCTCCCAAAGTTCAGGGAGGCCAAAAGTGAGCCACACCACATCTGGCTAAGATTCATAATTATCAAAATATTACTAAATTCTCCTCTAAAGAAGCTATACCAATTATTTTTGGAGGTGTTAGCTTTTTATTGCCTATTTCGCTATCTTAAACATGAAATTAATGGTAGTGGAGAAATAAAGAAATATTTAGTTAATTTGGAATCCCAAGTCCAGAAATTTTTGTTTGTAATAGGTTTTCCTGAAGTTTTAATAAATGAAGTCTCAATTTAGAGCTTTTGTTTAGAATGTAAGTAAAGTAGCCTATATAATTCTGGGTGGATCCTTGGTACAATAAGGTATATGATTGTCTTTTATTCAAAGGTACAGACTTTTCAAACATAAAAGGATGTTTTAAACTTTTCAATAAATCAAAGTTCTTGACATTAATTTAATTGAAGATATGTTTAGTGATAAAAAACACAATTCCAAGTATGGTAAATTTTTTTTTTTTGCGTTTTTACATGAGATATCAAAATATTCCTATTTAAACTCAAAATCTATTCACTGGGACTTTTTACCTACTTAATGTTACATATACTTTGGAAAATCTTGTTTAGCAGAAAAACATAATTCACTTAAATTTTCACCAAATCAACTTTTATAAGGCATACCAATTTAAGTGCATATATATTTAATACTTCTCTGAAAAAAGAAAGCTTATATTACTATTGTGTGCATATGCTTGTTTATATTTACCATTGTGTGCATTTATTTTACTTTTGTTAAAGTCAAACACTAATACAAACTGCCTAGTCACTATATTAACTAAAGCAAGTATGAAGATTTACAAGTGAAATGAAACAAAGGTTT
Source organism: Homo sapiens (assembly GCF_000001405.40). Taxonomy (NCBI): domain Eukaryota; kingdom Metazoa; phylum Chordata; class Mammalia; order Primates; family Hominidae; genus Homo; species Homo sapiens. The sequence goes on along the minus strand of NC_000002.12, from coordinate 223,454,798 downwards.
ATTTCAAGCAGCTGTATGTAATTTTTATTCACAAATATCAGCAGTAATCCACCTAATAATATTATCCTCTACATACATTAGGATTCAGTGCCTGAGCAGAATAATGTCTATTGCTAGGACTTTATCCAGATAATATCTATGCACTCATGCTCACATATAACAGTCAATCAAAATTTTCTAGTCCAGACAATATGAACCAGCCTTATTTACCAGCTACCTGAAAAACTTACTTTTATGGGCTGCATGTCTGAAACTCAAATATTAAAAAGAAATAAAAATAAAAAATAGATTGTATATGACATCCATACACAGATCTATATACCCACAAATAGTTTATCAGCTGTACTAATCTGTTAGGGCTTCCATAACAAAATACCATACGCTGGGTGGCTTGAACAATAGACATTTATTTTTCTGTCAGTACTGGAGGCTGGAAGTCCAAGATCAAGGTGTTGGCAGGGTTGGTTTCTTCTGAGGTCTCCCTCCTTGGCTTGCAGACGGCCGCCTTCTTGCTGTGTCTTCACATGGCCTTTTCATGGTGAGTGGGCCTCCCTAGTCTCTCTCTCTGTATGTCTTAATCTCCTCTTCTTATAAGGACACTCATCAGATTAGATTAGGGCCCACTCAAATGAACTCATTTAATCATCTCTTTAAAGGCCATATCTCTAAGTACAGTCATATTTTAAAGTACTGGGGGCTAGGACTTCAATATATGAATTTGAGGGGAAGCACAATATCAATTTACCTCAAAGCCCATAACACCAATCTACCTCAAAAATAATCTACGGTATTACAAATAATATGAAGAAAGGAATTTGCCTACACCAGAAGTTTAGGTAATGTTAATGAACAAGAATGATCTGGTGAATAGATAGGATAAATTAGGAATTATTCACACTTGTTCTATAGTGTATAGAAGAGTATAGTATAGTATAGTATAGTATAGTATAGTATAGTATAGTATAGTACAATACAGTATAATATACCTTCAACAGTGGCTGAAAGCCCAGGTTCTGGAGCTATTAGTTATGACTGTGAATTACACAATTTACTAATTATGATCTTAGGCAAAATACTAAAGGAAACTTTTTTTTCCTGTTTCCTACCCTTGAAAATGGGAATAAAAATCATGCCTCCCTCATGTGGATTGTGCTGGATTGAGTCCATATATGTAAAATCCTTAAAACAGTATCTGGCATGTGGTATGGGCTATAAGTCTTTGCTAATTTTGTTGTTGCTGTTAAGAATTAATTAACCTGCATTCGATACCTGGAGAATTTCTGTAGATTAGAGCGGATCAAGCAGAAAAAGATGAGCAGGAATGGTATAAAAGAGACCAAGGTGGTATATATAAGACAATTTTTGCTTTTGTCAGGAACATGGTGATATTTTAGGGGTGCAAGAGTGAAATCTTGAAACTTGGAGCAGCCTGACATACAGTAGGACATTCAGATGAGGTCATTTTGACATGACGTTTTGATAGCAGTGACATTTTAATGTGATCATCTTATCTTGGACACATAAAGCAGCTGCTTCAAAATGTAAAAGCCCTGTTTTATTACCAAATAAAGGGGGCAAAGCAGAAACCCCTGACTACTCCTCACCTTTGAAAAGCATTACTCCCTGACACCCATCCCTCCCTTCTTGGCTTGTCCCTTTCATGGACATGTCGATGTTGTGCTTATTTTTATTCTTCCTAATTTAACTCATAATAAGTACTTATGCCATTGCAATAAAAATATAAAAAATATCAAAGATTCTTAGGATGTTTTCCACTTTTTTTTTCCTCAAAGTATACTTTGGAACACAAACATTGCTAGATGTGTCGGGTTTTTTGCTCCTGCTAACCTGCAACCCTTCAAAACAGGTATTTCAAGGAAGTGGCAGTCAGGTGAGCTGCAGTTCAGTTCAAACGCAATAAAGCTCTGAACCAAAGATTAATTCTCGACTAGCCATTAATCAAAACCAAAGACAACTCTGCTACCTTTCATAGAAAATTGTCAATTACAAATTGGCTCTAGCAAAATCATTAAATCACTCTTCTGCCTCTAAAGAAAATATAATAAAACATAATTTCAGAAAATGATACTCATTAGAAATTGGACAAAAGATTGATGGGCTGAATTTATTAAATGACTAAACTGTAGGAAAGCTGTCATATCATTCTTATGAATTTTTACAATAAAATACCTAGATTACCCTGGGACAGTACACACATGAGACGGCATAAGAAAGGATGGGTTAGGCCAATGTTACTTCATTGCCCATTTTAAAAATCAGTTGATTCCAGGGCAAATTTTAAGGCAAAGCTCAGCAGAAACGTCTCTAAAACCCGAAACACACCTTACTATGTTTGTTTCTGCTTCTGAAGAGACCAGAAAGCAAAAGAGGGCACAGAAATCTGAAATGATGCAGCCTGGCTCATGGCACAGCGTGGGGTTAGCAAGTCTTGTGGGTCACAACCCGCAGAGCCACAGACAGAGGCTTTGCTTCTTGCCTAAAGTAAAAGACCACAGAATCAGGTCATGCCTTCTTTTTATCCTTACATTGTTTTGGCCTAAGCCCCTCCTGACCTAAATGGGCCAGAAAAAATAAGTCCCTTCCAGATGTGCCCCGAGCTTTCTCCGGGAGGTGGTCAAAGGCCTGCCCTGGCACCCGAGGACCATTGTGTCATCTTTCTCTACTCCTACCTTGTTGTCTTGCCGCCCACTCCAAGCTGCCCCTGTGCCTGTGACCCTGCGCCAGCTCTGCCTGCAGGGGACCACTGTCTCTGTTGGAAATTGCCCTTATTCCTCCTCTGCAGCTTCCAAAGCACGGTACTGGCCCTTCTAATTCTTCACATCACAGTTCAAAGCTGGTGTATTATAAAGTCTATTAACTATTCACAAGACCCTCTGAAGGCTTGGAAGAGAGAGGAGGGCCAGGGGAGAGCAGAGAGAGAGAAGCATCCAAATCCGCACCCTTCCAAAACAGGACACAAGAAGCATTTGAAAAATTACCCACATAGGGGCCAGGTGCGGAGGCTCACACCTGTAATCCCAGCACTTTGGGAGGCCGAGGTGAGCGGATCACGAGGTCAGGAGTTTGAGACCAGCCTGACCAACATGGTAAAACCCCGTCTGTACTAAAAATACAAAAATTAGCGGGGCGTGGTGGAGCGCACCTGTAATCACACCTACTCAGGAGGCTGAGGCAGGAGAATAGCTTGAACCCGGGAGGCAGAGGCTGCAGTGAGCGGAGATCGTGCCACTGCACTCCAACCTGGGCGACAGAGCGAGACTCTGTCTAAAAAAAAAAAAATACCCACATACTAGTCCATAACAATATTCTAATAAACAACAAAGAATTCGATAGGACATGGGCCCCATTCTCTAGCCACAGGAAAATACATTTAAAAATCAGAAATAATAAGAAATTTAAAAAAACCCCACATATTTCTGCACTAAAAATCCCCAGATATCACTGTAAAAATTATGAAATATACAGCATTAAATGAATCACAACAAAACAGCACATATTAAAACAGGAGATATAACCAATACAATTCTTATAATTAGCCTTAAAAAAAATGAGCAACCTGGACTTTGCAGGCCGTGGACAAACTCCTGCTTCACTCGGAAAAGGCATCAAATTGTTAGAAATTTTTATGGCCATGTTTTACCAAACCTTCTAGAACTGATAATCTCTGTTTCATACGAACTGTTTCTGAGATCTACACAGGTTACACTTTATCTCCTTTCATTATCATTTCTTCTTTAAGCCTTTCTATGATCTCTTGTTTTAGAGAAGCCATACTGTATTAAGTTATCAGGTTTCATGGAGTGCTATTTATTGAGTATTTTTATTTGTTGAGATTAAATTAAATCAATTGAATTCAGATCATATGTATCTTAGTCTTTGCTTATTATGTTTTCTCTCTTCCATTTTTGAAATATTTTTTCTTATGTCCTAACCTCTTTTTCTTTCTTTCTTCTTTTTTTTTTTTTTGTTGAGACAGAGTCTCGCTCTGTCACCCAGTCTAAAGTTCAGTGGTGCCATCTTGGCTCACTGCAACCTCCACCTCCCAGGTTGAAGTGATTCTCCTGGCTCAGCCTCCCGAGTAGCTGGGATTATAGGCGTGCGGCACCACGCTTGGCTGAGTTTTGTATTTTTAGTAGAGATGCAGTTTCACCATGTTGATGGGGCTGGTCTCGAACTCCTGACCTACCTCAAGTGATCCATCCACCTCAGCCTCCCAAAGCATTGAGATTACAGGCCTGAGCCACCATGCCCGGCTCCTAACCTCTTTGTGTTTTTTTTGTTAATTTTTAATTATTGCTTCTCATGTTTGAATGAGGGTGGTTTTCCTGGGTCAGTGATTTTCAGAAAAGCAGAGCAGGGGAGCTACCAGAGGATGCTGCAGAGTAGCAGTCAGCTTAGACTTTGGTCTGTTGGCTCTGAACATTTTTCTGTCAATATTTTTCGCCAGGGATTTAATTATCTTCCAGGAAGATAGTCTTCCCTGCTCAAGTTCAAGTCCCACATGTGTGACCAGTCTTGATCAGCTGCACAGCACCTGCCATTTCTTCACCCTTTGGCTGCACCATCAGCTGGCTTCTTGCAGAGATGCCATGTCTTCCTCTCTATTCTTGCAGCCCTAGCTCTCCTGTCCTTCTTAGATTTTAAGTAGAATTCAGGGAAGTCCTCATAGTCTGCCCATGGTCCCTGATGAAGTCAGAGGCTCTGCCCCAAATCTGCAGTGGCAGGCTGCATACTCCCACACTCAGAGTCAGTATTTAGTGCACTTAGCCACCCATCTTTATTTGTGTGGTGTGAGGTTATGGGTACTTCATAGTCTTATGTGAACAAGAAATTTATTTGTTTTCTCTCCTAGTTGCTTTTGGGTGGATTCAGAGAGGCGATGTGAGAAAAGATGTCTTCACACCACTATTTAAAACTGGGAGACCCCAGCATTGTTTTAGTTATTGAGGACTATAGGGCAGACAGATTTTCTGGCCCACACATCCACACCTAGGTAATTTATTACAGGGAGTTGGTGTCAAAAATTCCAACTTCGGAAAATGAGTTACGGATGAGTGTACATTACTGCTTTAAAAATATTCTCATGGCTGGGTCAAAACAGCCTCATCATAACATCTTTGACATTAAAGCAGCTGTATGAAAACAGAGAAGCATCCAAGTGTCATGTGCCTGCTGATAAAATGCTGAGTAGAGACCACGGGGGGAATGAACTTTATTCTTTGGTGAGGATGAGGATTTTATGCCAAAGTTGGCTGACAGTCTCAAGGTAGGTGTCAGAAAGGTTACTCGTCACACATTTCAACTTGTCCAAACTCCCATTGGGGTTGCACAAGGCTTTGAAAAGAATAGCAACCATGACTCTAATTGTGCTTCAGCAGCCACTGGTGAGAACTCCTGTGTTTCTCCCGAGTAGTCTGAAAGGTCCCTAGACTCACATTTCCCTCTCCTACTGCAGGTCGGACTATTGACATGTTGGAGGTCATTTTTCAGGGTTAACAAGAGGCAGGATTGAGGTTAACCTGGGCAGTGATGATTGGCTATGAACTTGGAAATCATCCCCATTGGGAGGGTGGGCTAGTTTTACACATGGTTAATATGCGTAGTTTATATTCAAAGTCTGTAAGAAGCTCCTTGGGTCATAATATCTCCCTCACTGGATTTCTCCCTATGCCTGCAATCTGTGATAATTCCTTTAATTATTGGCATCTGAAGGGTTCTTTGAATTGAAAGGACAGGAGATAGTGAAAGGAAGAGGAGCTTACCCTTTGGAGACAGATCCTGAGGTCTAATCCTGACTGTGTTCCTTACTAATTGTTTAACCTTGGCAAGATACTTAACTCCTTGGACCTGCAATTTTTCCATTTGTATAGGGTGCTAATAATAACAGCTATGTTGTAGGGTTGTCAGGAGGAATATGTAACATCTAGCAAAAAAGTAGGTGCCCAGGAAATGGACACTTTAGTACTTGAAACATCTGAGACAGCACACTGAGCTGTAAAAGAGATGTCACTATCGTAGTTTACTAGCTCCTTGGAGAAAGATGTCAGAGAAACTAGGATAAAACACAAGTTTTTCAAGAAGAGAGAGACAAAAACTAGTATGGGACACTTTCAACTAGTAGGAATTTCTGAACCTCATAAAAGACCCAGAGTTGTTTTAGTATTTGACACCAGGGCCAAAGGGAAAGCATTAGAGAATTAAGCATTGACCCAGGAATGAATGAGAATGCTTTTGGGAATGTTTAAAGTAAAATACTCTGAGTCCAAAGGGAAGAGAATAGGAGAAGATTTAAACAGCACAAGTTATGAGACCACAAGCCTTGTGCTATGGTCAGGATGACTGACCAAGGGACAAGCTGTTGATTGGGAAATGCTGCCTCTAGGGTTTGGCTTCCCTGATCAATAACATCTAGAAAGTGTGGCACTTCCAGATTTTTTTCTCTCTTCCAAGTTCCACCCAGGAAAACGGGTATAAATTAGGATCGGCTCATGTGAACAGCTCACAAGTCAATAAGATGTATTTTGGAAAGAATATTTACCTCATTTCAGATAAACTACCACTCCCAAGGCATGGAACAATGCACTGGCAACCTGCAGGGAACATCCTACCTTCCCAGTGAATATCCAGATGATCACATATTCTGACATTACTTGACTACAAATGCTTATTTACAAACCATACCAACGTATAAATTATATAGATTTACATAATTTTGCTCATAAAATGCAGGTTTTAGAAATGTGACTCCATACATTCATAATTCTTTTACAATGCACACTTTTCCTCTGTAATTCCTGATATCCATCATGTCTTAGGCTTGAAAAATAACCTTATTCAAATCACATTTATTTTATGGTTGTCACTTTCTTCATCTTTAAAGTGAGGTATTTAACATTATAATTTCCTACCTTCAACTCTTGTACCCTGCAAGACTGAACTTCATAGATGGTTGTGTATGTTCATCATAGTTAGCCGTGAAAATGTATAAACATTGTCACATACATACATGGTTAAGAGCATAGCTTTTATGTTGCTATAGTAATACCAAAATCATATCTGTAACAAGGTCCACAAACACAATTACGCTGGCAAAACCCTGATGTGATTAGGCTTTACTTTGAATATGTGCAGTTGATGCCTGAAGGGTCTTTAATCAAAAGTATTTTTTAAAAGATGTATAATTTCTAATAGAGGTGCAAAGTCTTCTCCAATTGTTCCTCAGGAAAGATGGAAAATGATTCAAAACATCAAATTTTCACCACACTGTGGCAAAGGTGGAATAAATTGTATAAATGTCTCTGCCTAGAAGAAGTTTTTTAAAAAGTAGAGGAGTCAAATGAATGAAATTATGAAGTTTGAAATGAGGCTTTCAGAAAAATCACCTTTTTTTCATAGTTAATTTCCTCTGACACAAGTTTCTTCCACCAGGTACATCTTCTTTCCTTTAAAAAGCTTATATAAACATTGATAGAAACATGAAGTTCCAGGAATATTTAATGTGATGAGGAAAATGACTGGTACTTCTTAGATATTTAGCAAATATTATTCTCTTTCCTGAGGATTTGACCTTCTTATTTACAGTTTCCATTTTTCAGAATGGAATTTTTAAATATCAATAAAAAGTTAAGAAATTTGATGTTGTAGATCTATATTTTAGTTAGTTGCCTAAGGATTAACATTTACCATTTAGAAGATCTTTCTAAAAAAATCTGTGTTAACATCTTAGTAAAACAGTAATGTGAACTTAATTAACTTTAAAATGGAATTGAATTGTTATTATTGAATATGTCTCAGGCTGTAGACCATCATTCAAAACCTTATAGCAGTACCTGTTAACACAGAACATGGGAGAGATGGGGAATAAATATGCATTGTACTGTGAATAATACTCCTATGAAAAAATACCTGAGACTGGGTAATTTATAAAGAAAAAGAGATTTAATGGACTCACAGTTCCACACGGCTGGGGAGGCCTCACAATTGTGGCGGAAGGTGAAGGAAGAGCAAAGGCACATCTTACATGGTGGCAGGCAAGAGAGAGTGCAGGGGAATTGCCCTTTATAAAACCATCAGACTCATGAGACTTATTCACTATCACAAGAACAGCTTGGGAAAAACCTGCCCCCAGGATTCCATTACCTCCCACGAGATCCCTCCCATGACAAGTGGGGATTATGGGAGCCACATTTCCAGATGAGATTTGGGTGGGGACACAGCCAAATCATGTCATGCACTTATGTCAGAAAATAATCTAAAAACAAATGGATTTTAAAAAATATAAGGTTGCAGTGAGCCAACATCGCACCATTGCACTCCAGCCTGGGTGACAGGAGTGAGAGTCTGTCTCAAAAAAAAATACATATATATACATATATATGTGTATATGTGTGTGTGTGTGTGTGTGTGTGTGTGTGTGTGTGTATATATGTATATATATATAAAATAAGGGCAGGTGCAGTGGCTCATGCCTGTAATCCCAGCACTTTGAGAGCCTGAAGCAGCAGCATCACTTGAGCCCAGGAATTCAAGATCAGCCTGGCAACATAGGGAGAATACATCTCTACAAAAAAATAGAAACATTAGCCAAATGCGGTGGCATGCGCCTATAGTCCCAGCTACTCAGGTGGTTGAGATGCGAGGATCAATTGAATCCAGGAGATCGAGGCTGCAGGGAGCCATGATGATGCCACTGCACTCAGACTGGGTGACAGAGTGAGACCTTGTCTCAAAAAAATGTAATTTAAATTAAAAAATTAAAAAATAATAAATATCTTGTTTTTCTTATTTGTTCTAAAAATTAAAAATGCATTTATAAATTGAAGGCTCAGATTAATTGGTTTAGTTAATTGATGCTTAACTGTATCATAATAGAAAAATATTTATTTTATTAGTAAGCATGACAACAAGATTCAGTGAATTAAATCTGAAATAAATTTGATTTTCATGTTTTAAAAATACTTAATAAGTATTAATTGTAGCTTATAAAAAAGGAGTCAATATTTTCCTTTTTGGCATAAAGAGAATAGTGTTTATTCTATTATATATCATGTTACTGACTAACTTTTATACCTATGGTAGAACTTACTCATAAATAGAAAATGAGAATTGACTAGGATGGTCCAACTAGTCTGAATAGCATTTATAAACACTCCCTTGAGATTTGAAGTCAATGGCAAAGCAGATCTCCAAGTTAAATAAACATATCTTAGGAACTAAAGTATGGATGACTCAAATAGCTATTTTTTTAAGAGAGTCAATATTAGAAATATTGGCTTTTTTTTCAACTATCAGGATTTATATGAACTGGAAGCATTTCTGTCTATTCCTAAAGGAATATGTTGCAACTCTACAGAAACACCATAGTGAATTTTAGTAAACAAGCTTTTCACTCTTTTCATGTAAGACATTTTATTTAGGAAAAAATAATTTATAAAATATAAATGGAAGTTTTATTAGAATTGGGAGTATTTTTTATTCAAATTGAGTATCTTATTAAAACCATTTTCCATCTGTAGTCAGAGGCAGGGATGGCTTCATCAGTCAAGGTTTATTTAATCTGCTGGGCTCAGCCATGGTCAGGAAGGATCTAAAAGTGGGTACAGCAACATCTCACCATATGCCACTTCTCTAATAAAGTCAATTATCTAAACATAGCATGACCGAGAAAATGCTGTTTAGAATTCCTTAGGACAAGAAATTAAAATTAAAATAAAACAGAAATCACAAAATCCTCTTGTATAGTAAAGGAGCATACTCATTTTACTATAAGGGACGACCCTTAGAGCCTATTTATTTATCCCCATTTTGGGTGAAATTCTAACGAGCTTTGAATTGTGCAACAAGGGAATTTTAGTGATTAAATGCAGTAACTTAATTTAGAGAAGGGTTAATAATAATAACAACAAAATGATGAGGGTGATGATGCTTTTCCTTCTTTAATTTATTCCAAGTTTGGAAACTGAACTTTAGAGAATCAGTAACTTGCCCAAGGCATTCAATTAAGTGTGTATGAAGCACCCACTCCACTCTAGACATGTTCTGGGTGCCTGAGTTTTGCCAGTGGGCAAAGTGGACAAAAATCAACACTCTCACAGAGCTCACATTTTAGGAAAGACAGAGGATACATAAGAATATAATTAATAAAGAAAATATTTGGTGTGTTAGAAGGCAGTAAGTTATATACAAAAAAGAAATGTGGAATAAGATAAAAAGGGAGGGGTCAGGTGTATTGAGGTGTGGTATGATTTTAAGAGCCTCAGGGGTACGAGTGAGATTTGGCAGAATTGAAATTCAGGGAGGAGTTGGCCATGGAGTTACAGAGGAAGAGACTTGCAGGCTGAGGGAAACTTGTGGCAAAGCCCACAAGACTGGGATATGTCTTGAATATTCTGAAAAACAAGGGAGCTTTGGCTGGCATAGATTGTGAGCAAGGTGGAGGAATGGTAGGCATGAGGTCAGAAACAGGCCAAGTCAGATGATGTTTCTAGGCCACTGTAAGGTCTCTGGCTGTTACTCTGAGTAAAATGAGACTGAGGTTTTCAGTAGAGGAGGGCATGATCTGATCCACAGTTTTAGGTCATTCTAGGTTGCCAGCTGAGGACAGACTGCAGGAAAGCAAGGGTAGAAGCAAGAAGACTAGTTAGGAAGCCACTGTGGCAATTCAGTTGAGAGATGATAGCAGCTTGGATCAGGGAGGTGTTAAGAGTCAGGGCATGGATCTATTGTGAAGGCAAATTCAATAGGAATTTCTGGCAGATTGCACATGGGGTATGTTAAAAGGTAACCTTAAGCACATTAAAATTTTAACGAGTTTATTTGCACAAACAGTGATTCCTTAATCAAGCAGCATCTGATTGCAAGCAGTTCAGGGCTCCACTGAGGGAGCCCAGGGGGAACACTCTCAAGAGGTGTTAGAGGAAGCAAGACAAAGAAAATATTTGATTGGTTAAAGTAGCAAGTTCCTAGTTAGATGTTAGTTGGTGATTTCTGATTGGTTAAGCTTAAGTTTTGTCTTATTGTTTGCATTGAGTTGGGATTGGGTTTGCTTATTAGCAACACAAGGCTCTGGAGCCAGCTCAGTCTAATGACCTCACAAGTATAATTGTAATGCTGTGAAGAAGTGGAAGGAGTTACTGATGGCAAAAATGCTTTGGCCAGTCAACTGGAAGGATGGTGTTGCTTTCCCCTGAGATGGGTTTGTGAGAAAGGATGAGTTCAGCTTTGGGCATGTTGGATTGCGCTGACATTCAAGGGGGAATGAAGGCTGGAAATTGTACATGTGAGTCTAGAATTGGACATAGAAGTCTGGGCTAGAGATGGAAGTTTGAGAGTCATTAGCAGGCTGATGACTTACCAGTTACTATTTAGTAACTAGAATGAGGATTTAAACTTTGCCTGGTTGCTTTTAGTCTCTTATAATTCATAACCACTTTTTCCAATTAATAAATAATTCAGATCGAAGTCTTTGGCTATTAATCACGACTTCCCCCACCCCATCGGTACCTTCTAATCAAGAAAATGAAAATGTATTAAAAGAAAGCTGTACGACAGCAGGAGTTATATTCATGCTGAAACCTTACTGCTAAGTGATTAAATGCACTTTCACCCTGAAGTTTGAGTTTGCTTAAATTGGCTGCTTCACAACAGTAAAGAATTTAGAGTCGGTCAGTCTGCTTCCTGGAATTCACATTCTGATTTACAGTTTTTAATCTTGAAGCAAAAATCTAAAGACAGTGGCATAGAAACCTGCTGTTCTGCTTCCAGTCTGCAGACATGGGAATGACATCACTGCCCTGCTTCACTCCAAGCCAGGCATGGATGAATTTGTGGAGACACAAAAGATGCACATCTTAAAAGACCTCCCAGGCATTATTCAGAGTCCCCATCCTGATGAAGGCACCTCTATTTATAGAGTAGGGTCCTGCCATCTGGTTGTGAGGGAAAATCTTCACTATCTCCCCTGATAATATAGAGGACATAGTAAAAAATGTCCTTTTCTAAAAAGTTAAGTTGGAGGAAAAAAATTTCACTGGTTTTGCAGCTGATTTTTTCATCAAAACTTACAGAAATGAGAGTCCAGTAAAGGTTTCTAAGGGTTTAGTGAAGGAATGCCCTGCAGCTTCATGCCAAAAGCAGACAAAATACAGCACAGTGCCTGGACCGGGGAGTGGCTGGATCTAAGAGAGGTTTAGTTTCTCCAAGACAGAGAAGACAGCAGGGTTCCTGCAATTTCTGCTTTAGTACCAGGGCCTCTGAGTTCCCTGGTCATTATATAATGAACCTTTAGAGATGTGGTCAGTCCTCCAAAGAATGGCCTAGACTTGGGGGCTGGGGCCCTACACACTAATACAAAGCCCAGAGGGAAAGATGATTAAGCCCCAGGCTGGCACAGAAGAGCCGCCATCTTCAAGTGCATGTGGACACAGGCTCAGGGTACCTCAGGGGTGAGCTGTGTGCCCTGGAGCTCAGAGAGCCCATGTCCAAATGTTCTAACTTGCACTGGTTCCCTTGGCCTGTGCCATACCCTGGGATAGACAGTAGCTCACAAACATGTCTGAGATTCAACTTCCTTTGACCAAATGGGGCCTGAGAAACACAGAATTGATTTTTTTTTTTTTTTTGAAACGGAGTTTCGCTCTTGTTGCCCAGGCTGAAGTGCAATGGCACGATCTTGGCTCACTGCAACCTCTGCCTCCCAGGTTCAAGTGATTCTCCTGCCTCAGCCTCCCGAGTAGCTGGGATTACAGGTGCCTGCCACCACGCCTTGCTAATTTTTGTATTTTTAGTAGAGACTGGGTTCCACCATGTTGGCCAGGCTGGTCTTGAACTCTTGACCTAAGGTGATCCACCTGCCTCTGCCTCCCAAAGTGCTGGGATTACAGGAGTGAGCCACTGCGCCTGGCTTATTTTATTTTTTTATAGAAATAAAAGAATGTGACACATTTGCACTCTGGAGTTATATACTGAAATGCATTTATCCTCCACAAAAGGCTCCTTAAATATTCATTGAAAGTTATTTCTTTAGTGCTGTTATTCGCCATTTCCTTTCCCCATTCCCTCTCCCAACTCTGTATTTCTCCCAGTCCCTTTAATGCACATTTCGGTTTCCCACATCCATACTGTTTGTACACCCTTCAAATATTAACTCCTCAGTAAAGCCTCCTTGATTTCCTCAAAATAATTGTCCCCATCCATTTCTATTTATGTTAGTTAGAGCATTCTATTTTAACACTTTTATGGAAAACATTATATTAGGTTCTGCACGTTTATGATCCTTACTAATATTATTACTTCAGAGCAGCAACCAAATGTTTTTAATCTTTCTCAGCCCATTACTTAGGTTAGTGTCTTGCTCGTTTCAAGCTCAATAAATAAATTGTTGTTTGTTTAATTAAAAGTCTATGGAGGCAAGGCAAGGAAATAAAAGTCAGAGAGGTTGGGAAAAAATTAAATTATTCCTCTTTGCAGCTGACTTAATTTTATTCAAAGAAGATCATAAGAAACCTACAGGAAAACTTCTAGAACTAGTCAGTGAGTGTAGTGAGATTGCAGGGTACAAGGTCAACAGCAAAGAAAATCAAATCATATTTCTATATGTGAACAATTAATAATGGGAATCTGAAATTTAAAACATAATGCAATATATAATTGCTCTAAAATAAAACACTTAGGTACAAATCTATTAAAATATGTACACAATTTGTATGCTGAAAACTACAGAATAATAATCAAAGAAATAAAAAAGACCTAAATAAATGGAAAGACATACCGTGCTCATGAACTGGAAGACTCAACATAGTAAAGATGTCAATTCTCCTCAAATTGATCTATAGGCTTAATGCAGTTCCTATCAATATTCAGGATTCTTTGTAGGTATAGATAAAATGATTGCAAAATTTATATGTGTAATGCAAAGGAACAAGAATAGACAAAACAAATTTGAAAAAGAAGAATATGGTTGGAGAAATCACACTTCCCAAATTTAAGGCTTCTACAGTTATAGTAGTCAAGACGGTGTGGTATTGACAGATGAACACACATAAATCAATAGAAGAGAAGAGAAGAGAAGAGAAGAAAATCCTGGATAGACCCACTCAAGTACAGCCAACTGGTACTTGACAAAGATGCAAAAGCAACTCAATGGAGAAAAGATCATCTTTTCAACAATTGGTATTGAAACAATTGGACATTGAAAGGCAAAATAATGAACTCTGACATAAACCTCACATGTTATGCAAAAATTAACTCAAAGTGGATTATAGATGTAAATGCACACATGCAACTTTAAAACTTTGAAGAACAAATTTTTATTACTAAGCATTAGGGAGACTTCTTAGAATTAAACCAAAGTCAAAATTTACCTAAGAAAATTTGATAAATAAGACGTTATCAAAATTAACTATTGATTTTCAAAAGACATTGTTAAGAGAATGAAAAGAAAAACCAGAGAGTGGGAGAAAACATTTGCATGTTATATATCTAAATGCTTATATCTGTAATATATATGAAACTCTCTAAACACAAAAATACGAAAACAAAAATTTAATTAACTAATGAGCTAAAGACTTGACCAAACACTTCACAAAGGAAGATATGCAGATGGAAAATAGCCACATAAAAATGTAGTTAGCATCATTAGCCATTAGGGATATACAAATTAAAACACCAATGAGATACCAGTACATGCCTGCTAGAATGGCTAAAATAAGAAATGGTGAATAAAAAATAAAATTATAATGTACCAAATGCTGGCAAGCAATTGCATCTCCCATGCATTGCTGATGCAAATGCAAATGGTACACCCATCTGGAAAATACATGAATGTTCAGAGCAGTATTATTTGTAATGGCCACAATCTGGAAACCAGCCAAATACTCTGCAACAGATGAATAAATACATAAGTTGTGGTATATTCGTATAATGAAATATTACTCAGTAATAAAAAGGATGAACAATTAATGCACACCACACTTGGATAGATCTCAAGGACATTATATTGCAAGAAAAAAGCCAGCCTCAAAGTGATACATATTCCATAATTCCATGTATAAAATATTCTCAGAGTGACAAAATTATAGGGATAGAGAATCAATCAGGGGTTTCCAGGTGTTAGGACTGGGCGAATAATGTGTGTAGAAAGAAGTAGTGGGAGGGAGTGTTTGTGTGTGTGTGTGTGCACATGTGTGTGATGATGGAACAGTTTTGTATCCTGATTGTATTGAATGTTACTCAGATCTATGCACAGAATAAAACTTTATAGAGCTGCATACAAAAAAAGAGTGGATGCAAAAACTGGTGAAATAAGGTCTAGACCTGTGTTAATATTTGGTTAGTGCAAAAGCAATTGTGGTTTTTTGCTATTACTTTTAATGGCAAAACCGCAATAAATTTTGCACCAACCTAATAGTATTGTACCAGCACTGATTTCCTGGTGTTGAAAATATACTATGGTTATGGTTATGTAAGATATTATCATTGGAAGAAGCTAGATTAAAGGTACATGTAAATCCACTGTGTACTCTGTGTACTCTTGTGAATCTTGAAATATTTAAAAATAAACTGTTGGTGAGAATGTAAATTAGTTTAGCCACTGTGGAAAGCAGTCTGGAGATTATTCAAAGAACTTAAAACAGAGCTACCATTCAGCCCAGCAATCCCAATACTGGAATTCTATGCAAAAAGAAAATAAATCATTCTACCAAAAGTCACATGCAGTTGTATGTTTATCGCTGTGCTATTTACAATTCGCAAAGACATGGAATCAACCCAGGTGTCTATCAATGGTAGACTGGATAAAGAGAATGTGGCACATATACATCACGGAATACCACACAGCCACAAAAAGAATGAAATCATGTCCTTTGCAGCAACATGCATGGAGTTGTAGACTATAATCCTAAGCAAATTAACACAGGAACAGAAAAGCAAATACTGCATGTTCTCACTTATAAGTGGAAGCTAAGCATTGAACATATATGGATATAAATATGGGAACAATAAGCACTGTGGACTACTAGAGGTTGGAGGGAGGAGGAGTGAGTTAAAAAAAAAAAAAAACTACCTTCAGGTGCTATGCTCACTACCAGAATGACGGGATCTGTACTCCAAACCTCACCATTATGCAATATTCCCAAGCAACAAATCTGCTCATGTGTCCCCTGTATCTAAAAATAAAAGTTAAAAATTTTTAAATTAATTTATTTATTTATTTATTTTGAGATGGAGTCTTGTTCTGTCACCCAGGCTGGAGTGCAGTGTGTGATCTTGGCTCACTGCAACCTCCACCTCCCAGGTTCAAGTGATCCTCCTGCCTCAGCCTCCCATGTAGCTGGGACTACAGGCACATGCCACCACGCCCAGCTGAGTTTTGTATTTTTAGTAGAGATGGGGTTTCACCATGTTGGACAGGCAGGTCTAGAACTCCTGACGTCAGGTGATCGGCCCACCTTGACCTCCAAAAGCGCTGGGATTATAGGCATGAGCCACTGCGTCCAGCCTAAAAATTTTTTAAAAAGTCACCTTTTTAAAAGTTCATGAAGGTCAGGGCGTTTATGGGAACTCTGTATTTTCTTGTCAATTTTTCTGTGAACCACTCTAAAAGATAAAGTCTGTTGAAAAAAATAAAATAAAATAAAATAAAGGTAAAAATAAAGCTCCAGCCACAACAACAAAAAGGTTTATGGAAGACCTGCTTCACGGGATGGTAAATGTTGATAGCAGCATAGTTGTCTTGTATTGCTCCAAGAAAAGGCTCAAGTTATGCATGAATATATGTCACAGAAATAACAGATTGTCTCTTAATAACAGCTCATCCATAACACACGACCATAAAACTCTTGTTGACATGCCAAATGTCCCATCCTGTAATTGCGTTTTCCAGAATATTTGCAGATCAATTCAGACTATCAGCCACTGCTTAGGTTATAGTTAATGAGGCGGTGTTGGGATTATAAAACTCAAGTGAGCCTTCAGAAAATATACTCTTTTTTTCTTTTTTTTTTAGATGGAGTTTTCATTCTTGTTGCCCAGGCTGGAGTGCAGTGGTGCGATCTTGGTTCACTGCAACCTCTGCCTCCCAGGTTCAAGTGATTCTCCTGCCTCAGCCTCCCAAGTAGCTGGGATTATAGACATGTGCCACCACACCTGGCTAATTGATATATTTTTAGGAAAGACGGGGTTTCGCCATGTTGGCCAGGCTAGTCTTGAACTCCTGACATCAAGTGATCCACCAGTCTTGGCCTCCCAAAGAGCTGGGATTCAGGTGTGAGCCACCATGCTGGCCAGAAAATATACTTTCAAATCCATTCAAGGGAAGTCCAGAAATTAGTGTAGCCATTCACATAAACTTGCATTAGGAGCATTAGAAGATTTGGGCTATTTGCGTGAGTGTAGAAATCAAATTCAAATTTATATCGTTTAGTTAAGGTTGCGAGACTTCAGAATTCTTTAGGATTTACAACAGCTCCTGAGAAATGGCTGCAATTACAAATGAAAGGCATATGTCTAATGATACCTTTTACAATATTTCCTTGAGAGAGAACCTTTGCCAAAGGTGTTAAGATCTCCATGCATCCTTCTAGCTTATTCTGATTACAGGGCTCCTGGTGTCAGAAGCTGTTTTGTGAGTGCTGATTTTGGCTTGTCTACAGAAAGTTTCCACCAGTTAACAAAAGGGGGTAATAAAAAACACCTCTTGGCAAAGATCCGGCTGTTTTGAGACATATTCACACAATCAGGAGCCCATCCACTCATTTCCCAAGGAATCTGTCAAAGCATCTCAAATCGAACTAAGAAAAGCAAATAAAATTCCACCTGGATCTAGCCAATGAATCCATTTATTACAAGTTAGAACCATAACTTCACCTAGAAGAGGAAATATTTAAGAAAAATGGAAGTACATTTATCATTTATCATGTAAGGGGCCCTTGAGTTCCCTACACAGATGCAAGTTGCTATACAAATCATGCTGGTGCTGAAGCTTAATTTTAGAGAGAAATTTTGAGGGGACTACTAAAAACCACACTCATATCAAATATCCACAGTCAATCAATACTGTGTTTGGAAGAAGGTCTTAAAACACTAAACCTTCCACAAGCTTGACAGCAGCTGGGATTTGAGGTTACTTCTTTACACACCCATGCAAAAGCCACCCATCAAGCGACAATAAAAGGAAAGCACGCTTAGCCCTCAAATTTCCCGTACTTTAAATAGACCCTGAATTCAAGGACCCAGGAATAGGAACAGCTATCAGAATTGAGAAAGGCCTTCAAAACTAGTTCACATCATTTTTATACATTAAGATTCTTCAAGAAAATAAGATAAATGTGAAACCAAAACTTCTGGTGCCAACTTTTTCAGGTCTTGCAGCGATGCTGGAGCAACATTTTTCCAAAAGTAAAAATATTGTAAGACTTTCCTAGCAATAATCAATGTACCCCATGTTTTTGTTCTTTTCCACCCCAACATACTATTTACTCAGGTACATCCTCATCTGCTAGAAAATGTTGCTTCATAACCCTGGAATCACCCATGGAGATATTTTCTCAAAACCTCCTAAGTTACTGACTTCTTTCTTAGAATGCAAATGAGTCATTGATTTCCAATATGTGCCATCATGTTATGATAGACATGAGCTAATCTTTCAGATTCTCAATGCTTCTTCACCTTAGCATATTACTCACATTTGCCAGGTGAAACTGAATTACTATCCATCTCAATTATGTATACATGTCCCTCACTCATTGTCAAAGAAGACCCTGATATCATTATAGGAGCCATGATAATTCACTATTACCTCTCTTTCCACATCTTTTTAACCTGTGTCCATCAGTTTGAGATTTTTTTTTTAGACGGAGTTTTGCTCTTGTCACCCAGGCTGGAGTGCAGTGGCATGATATTGGCTCACTGCAACCTCTGCCTCCCGGGTTCAAGCAATTCTCCTGCCTTAGCCTCCCAAGTAGCTGGGATTACAGGTGCCTGCCACCACGCCTGGCTAATTTTTTGTATTTTTAGTAGAGACGGGGTTTCACCATGTTGGGCAGGCTGGTCTCAAACTCTTGACCTCAGGTGATCCGCCCGCCTTGGCCTCCCAAAGTGCTGGGATTACAGGCATGAAGCACTGCACCCAGCAGAGATATCTTATTTTTAAGAGTATTCTCTCTTAATTATGTCATCACCAATGCATTTGGGGGGTCTTGTTTTTAATGTTTATAACTAAGCCTACATTTATAATCCCAGAAAAGAATTGGCTGTAAATGTGAGATGTGGTTGAGTTAATTTTCACTACAAATAATGATTTACCTCTTCAGTTGATAAAGTTGTATAACCATGTTTCTTGACTCACTGGACAAGTTGGATATGAAGGGAATGCTTGGTGTCTGATAAGGACATAGCTTAAAAATTCAGATGAGGAAATATGAACTCTGTGACCAGAAGAGTTGACGCTCATAAGAAAATAAGGTTGCTATATAGAAGTTTTTTTGTTTTGTTTGTTTGTTTTTCACATTACTGTCATACTAGATGCAGCACATTTGGGAACTGTACATAATACAAATGAATGTTCAGTATAAATATAATCTACAGATGCTTCAGAGTTTCCTTGTGTCCTAGAACTAATTGTGATATTGAAACAACCGCAGGGCATAAAGCATGCATTGTAGTACAACTACAGTGGGTTTGTAGTAGTACAACTGCATATGGGTTTGTGCAGTAGGCAGGCTAAGGGGTTTTGCTATGCATTGTAGTACAACTGAAACACCTGTTTTTCCCTGAGAAATGACTAAGGAACTTGGTTAAGGAGCTCCTCAGTTCTAGGCACTCTAAGAATCTATCATTTCAACTTAGTTGCAAAATCTTTTGTAAATGTAACTCTCTCTCAATGTGGTTTTGAGGGCTGAAAATTTTTACATTGGTTCTTTCTTTGAGTTGTGCAAGCATGGTTGAGTCCACAGGCACTGTGTAGCACATGTGGACTCCACGAAGTCTTAGAGGAGGATGTGAACATGAACAGCACAGACTTAGGAGAAACATTGCCCGGGTGTGAATCTTAGCCTGCCTATCTCATAAACCCATAGTTAACTTCCCTGTGCTTCGGTTTTCTCATTTTCAAAATGAAGGATAATAAAACCTAATTTACAGGGTTGCTCAAAGAGTGGAATGAATTGGTATGTTAGTGTTTAGAACAGTCCCTACTATGCTTAAATGTGAAGATAGTAACAGCATTCCGTTAGGATGGCTGTTTACTTTGTTTTTCCCACTTAAGACACTAGAACTTTTACATTGGTATTTACATAAAACTAAACCTGAGTAGTGGGAATTTCAAGTAGAGGAACATCAGAAATGTTAAATTTAGAAGGTCAAACCCACATCATGGAATAAGAAACATATCTGTATATTTATATCATTTACCGTTATGGATATTGACACATATACACATCCACATACATGTGCTAATATATATCCTAACATAATCATAAAGCATAAAGCTAACTTAGGCCTACATTATTTTTAAAATATGAATATCACATATTAAGTTCTGCTGTCAACATTCTATCTATCTCATTTAGACACTGGTCTGATCCTTCCACATGGAACATTAAAAAACCTTCAAAACCATAATTTAGAGTAGAAACATCATATCTCACCTTACAGTTATACCTTAATTTATTTGATAATGTTTAACATCACTAAAAATACAAGCAAATTTAAAATAATTAAATAATATTTTCATCGATTAAATTAATTTTTAAAAATCATAATACCTAATTTTGTATGTGTATGTTGTAAAATAGCATTCACTTAACTTTTATGGAGGACAACTTGAAAATATATACCAAGATTCTTAAAAAGGTTCATAGCCTTTGTTCTAATAATTTATTCTAAAGTAATAATAGACAGATGCATAACACTTTGTATACAAGGATATTTATCACATTTTTTTTGCAAACTGTATGCCCAATAATACAATTGTGCATTTTGTCCTTCTCACTTTTTTACTTCCCATTATTAGTGAGAAAATTGTGTAGTCAATATTGAGACCGGACGCTTTGATTTACTTCTCTCTAAGTCCTTAGTCTCCCCACTGCTTGCATGAATGGTGAAATAGTTTCTATTGCGATAAAAGATGATTGCATGTGATTGCCTATTGATGTCATGAATCTCAGCAAACCCTACGCCCACCAACAGAAGCCTTGGATAGAAAGTTCTCCCTTGATGCTTTTGAATTAGAACTGAGAGTCATTCAGTGAGTTCGCCATGTTTTATGTTTTTGTAAGGATCTTTGTTAGAGGATTTTATCAAAGTGATTATAATTGAATAATATTGCTTTCAGGGATTCTTGCAAAATGATGATGACAATGATCATTCAAATTAGCAAAAGGCTTCTCTACATTACCTTTGAAGTACAAAAAACCCCAAAACCAAATAAAAATATCTATGGCCACTTCCAGGAACCAATAATTCCCTGTAAAAATGGATGGGAATCAAAATGAGATTTTTAGTGCTACTATAACAAAAATTAAATACACAATGCAAAACTTGAATAAATATATTGTCACGTATTGATTTGTAAACATTAAGTTCACTAAATAAAAACAGTTGATTTGAGAGAATGAGACAAATGATATAATTTCATAAATATCTGATTTTTACTAAATTGTAAAAGCTCTATGAAAATAATTTTCTAGTCTAGTTTACTTAGATATAATAAGTGATTCAAGTAAATACTAACATACTTGCTACATCTTGGGAATCTAAATGTCAAATTTTCTGCAAAAAATATTCTTAAAGCTTTTCTTGTACATAACTTAGGCATTTCAATGGATACTAATTCAACAACAACACAACCAAAATCTTACAAGACATTTTAATGATATTTTGAGACATTCTGAATGTCAATTTTAAGTGCATATATATATATATATATATATACACATATTTTTTTTAAGGCAAGGTCTCACTCTATCGCCCAGGCTGGAGTGCAGTAGCACCATCTCGGCTCACTGCAACCTCTGCCTCCTGTGTTCAAGCAATTCTCCCGCCTCAGCCTCCAGAGTAACTAGGACTACAGGCATGCACCTCCATGCCCAGCTAAATTTTTTGTATTTTTAGCAGAGATGGGGTTTCACCAAGTAGGCCAGGCTGGTCTTGAACTCCTGACTTCAAGTGATCTTCCTGCCTTGGCCTTCCAAAGTGCTGGGATTACAGGCATAAACCACTGTGCCCGGCCTTAAGGTTATATTTTAATGAAAGATTTTCCCAAATAATCCAGTCAATATCTTGAAAGTTACACTGCCTACATTTGTTTGTCCACAATTGATGAGAGAGAGAAAGAGAGACAGGTATGCACAGAAAGTGATTTTCAACTGACCAAAGACATGATTGATTATTTAAAATCATGCGTTTTAAATATCAGGTCGAAACTGTCTGAAATGATGTATCCCCCAAAGCAACATAGCACAAAATTTTAATGAACATATTAAACCTATAAAGACAAATAAATTCTCTTATGGAAACACCTTAGTATGTCAGTATTTGATTGACTGAGAGGAAGAAGTAAAGTGTGCCATTTAATCAATGACTTGAATTATGGGTTAGATCTAGATTTAATTTCTCTAAACAAAAATACGATTAAAAATTTGGACAACTTACAAGCAAAACAGTGACACATATTTTTAGTTTAAAAACAATAACAAACTAGTGTGTGTATTTGAATGAGACTAGTTGACAAAGGGGGAATAGAAAGGAAAGTAAAAAAATATAGAGCAAACATTTTAAATAAATACACACGATGAACAGAATTAATGTATACTGTACATGTGGGGAAATTAAAGTTTAAGAATGCATTTATGTGCCTCATCATTATCCCCCAGGGTAATGTAGTGGAAGACTTTCCAAGAAATATGAAAAAGAGATACTGGTAAACGAGGTAAATTAATCTACAAGAGAGACAGAATTGTTTGGAGAAAGATCAATAGCACACAGTTCCAGTCTTAAAAATTCCATTTACAGAAATCTTCAGTGGCTGCTATTGCCTCCAAGGGATGTACTCCCAAGGGATCAATACTAATGTTCAAAGCCTTGACAATATATCCCCAAGTCATCTGTCCAGCTTCATTTCTCACCATGTGCCCTACTCTGTTGAACTTAACATGTGTTCCTGACTTCATAGCATCACTCATATTATTCCTCTGCCTAATATGCTCTCTGCCAATTTCCACACTCTCCTGTAATGACACCTGTTAATATCCTACCCAACTTCCAGGCTCAGCTGAAAGACCACTTTGTCTATGAATTCCCTTAATTACTCCAACTAGAAATGATTTGAGCCTTTTTGAATCCTCCATATAACCCTCTTAGTGCAACTCCTTTCCCTTTATCCTACTGTATTTTGTGTAGTCATTTCTAATTTTTTCTATCTCCTTCTAAAGAATAAATTCCTGAGGGATAAAGAATTTTACATACTCCTCTGCAGTAAAAGGTTTTTTTACTGTAAGGTTTTCAAAACTGTTATATGCTTATTTGTATTATTAATCTCCAAGAAATGGTGATTAGGACATAGTATTTCCTAAACTTTTTCTTCACTGAATCTTTTTCTCCTTGAATGATTATTTGTATTTCTTGAAAAGTGTTCAACAAAATCCTTCCAATATTAATAATCTCACCATTTCAGATTTTAAAAACTATTTGGCTGTACTCTCTAAGCTTTTAGTAATTCCAAGCACTTGAAATTATCTATAAAATTCAAAATTCTTAGCATTGTCTTTCCATTTTATTACTATTTTTGGTGTAAAGCTTGTTATAATATCTTGAATAAAAGGTGGTCCTGATATTTTAGTTAAAAAAAAAGAAAATAGTGTTCAAAAAATTTAGGAAATCCAGTTACCAGTTATTTTAAACTTAAGAAGAACCAAAGATCAAAACTGATTTTATAAGTTCACTCACTCACTCATGAATAAATATTTATTAAATGTCTAAGACCTTCCCAACATTGTTTTAGATGCTGAAGATATTGGAGAAAATAAGTAAAATCTCTGTCTTCATGGAGCTCATATTTTGGTGGTACATTTTTCTTTTAAGGAAATTAATAGGAAAAGAAAGGCTAGATTTTTCCATTAGCCTGTTTACTTATTGCTTCTTGTGTTCTTCATTATTTTCTGCACATTTGGCTTTTCATGTAGTGTCATTTTTACAGTTTGAAAAATTTTCCTAATTATTTTGTGTAGTGCAGGTGTACTTGAGACAAATTCTCTTAGTTTTTGTTTGTCTGAGAACTAAGTATTTCTCTCTCATATATGAATGATATTTTTCCTGGATATAGAATTTTAGGTTGATATTTTTTCTTCCAATGTTTTAAAGTTGCCATTCTATTGTTTTCCCTCTTACGTTATTTCTAATGAGAAGACCTAAAATCAAATACTCTGCTCTGTATGTAACATGTCATGTATTTCCTGGCTGACTTTAAGATTTTTTTCATTTTGGTTTCAATAGTATATGTTTTCAGCATATATCATAAAACATGTACTATATCAGATAATGATAAATGTTAAAAAATTAAAAGAGAAGGGGAATAAGAAATGTAAGAGAGATGGTATGTTAGTCTGTTCATGGGCTGCTAATAAAAACATACCCAAGACTGGGTAGTTTATAAAGGAAAGGGGTTTAATTGACTCACAGTTCCACATGGCTGGGGAGTCCTCACAATCATGGCGGAAGGTAAATGAGGAGCAGACTCATGTCTCACCTGGTGGCAGGCAAGAGAGCTTGTTCAGGGGAACTCCCATTTATAAAACCATCAGATCTCGTGAGACTTATTCACTACCACGAGAACAGTATGGAGGAGACCGCCCCCATGATTCAATTATCTCCACCTGGCCCTGCCCTTGGCATGTGGGGATTATTACAATTCAATGTAAGATTTGGATGGGGACACAGCCAAATCATATTAGATGGTGTGTGTGTGTTGAAGTTTTAGATGGAGTTGCCTGGAAAAGCCTCATTGAGAATGTAATAGAGACATGATAAAAAGAACACTGAGATTTTTAGATGTGGTATTAGATAAGTCATTCAAATTTATAATGTCTCAGTTTCCTCTGTTTGAAATGAGTGGGTAGAGTGAAAATCAGGTGAAGTGAAAATCAGGTTAATTTAATAAACATTCACGGATAAACAAAATGTAAAACTAAGCCTTGTCAGGATCATAGTGCCAGTAGTAAATTAACTTCTTGGCAAAATAAAACACAACCTTTTAAAGAAAAAACCATAATCCAGATGTTTTATAACATATCATCTGTAGTATCCAGACTACAATGAGAAATTATTAGAGATAAAAAGAATTAGAAATTGTGTCCTATAATCAAGAAATAAAGCTGTCAATTAAAAAGTAGGCCCCAGCATGACAAAGTTGTTAGAATAAGGAGACAAGAACCTTGTAGCAGGTATTCTAAGTATGCTCAATGACTTAAAATAAAACTTTTTAATATATGAAACAATTACTACTAGACCAAAGAAATGAGACAGACAGCCACACATTAATAATGGGGGACTTAATACTCCACTGATAGCACTGGACAGGTCATCAAGACAGAAAGCCAACAAAGAAACAATGGACTTAAACTGTACCCTAGAACAAACGGAATAACAGATATCTACAGAACATTCTACCCAACAACTGCAGAATAAACATTCTATTCATCAGCACATAGAACATTATCTAAGGTGGTCCATATGATAGGCCACAAAATACATCTCAGTACATTAAAAAAATTCAAAATTATATCAAGTACTCTCTCAGACAACAGTGGAATAAAATTAAAAATCAACTCCAAAAGGAACCCTCAAAACCCCACAAATACATGGAAATTAAATAATCTGCTCTTGAATGATCACTGGGACAAGAATGAAATCAAGATGGGAATTTAAACATTCTTTGAACTGAATGATAATAGTGACACAAACTATTAAAAGCTCTGGGATACAGCAAAAGCGGTGCTAAGAAGAGAGTTCATAGCATTAAATGTCTACATCAAAAAGTCTTTAAGAGCACAAGTAGACAATCTAAGGCCATACCTCACGGAACTAGAGAAACAAGAACAAACCAAACCCAAACCCAGCAGAAGAAAAGACGTAACGAAGATTGGAGCAGGACTAAATGAAATTGAAACAAACAAACAAAAAAATACAAAAGATAAATGAAACCAAAATCTGCTTCCTTTTGAAAAGATAAATACAGTTGATCGACCACTAGCAGGATAAAACAAGAAAAGAAGAGAGAAGATCCAAGTAAGCTCAATTAGAAACAAAATGGGATATATTAGACTGATGTCACAGAAATACAAAAGATCATTCAAGGTTACTATGAACACTTTTATGTGTATAAACTAGAAAACCCAGAGGAAATGGAAAAATTCCTAAAAATATACAGCCCTCCTAGGTTAAGCAAGAAGAAATAGAAACTCTGAACAGACCAATAAAAAGCAGCAAGACTGAAATGGCAATTAAAAAGTTACCAACAAAAAACGTCCAGAACCAGACAGATTCACCACTGAATTCTATCAGACATTCAAAGAAGAATTGTTACCAATCCTATTGGCAGTATTCCAAGTGATAGAGAAAGAGGGAATTCTCCTTAAATCATTCTATGAAGCCAGTATCTCCCTAATAACCAAAACCAGGGAAGGACATAATAAAAAAAGAAAACTACAGACCAATATCCCTGATGAACATAGATGCAAAAGTCTTCCGCAAAATACCAGCTAACCAAATCCAACAGTATATCAAAAAGATAATCCACCATGATCAAGTGGATTTCATATCAGGGATGCAGGGATAGTTTATTATCCTCAAGTCAATAAATGTGATACACCATATAAACAGAATTAAAAACAAAAATCACATGATCATCTCAATAGATGGAGAAAAACCATTTGACAACATTCAGCATGGCTTTATGATTAAAACCCTCAGCAAAATTGGCACAGAAGGGACATAGCTTAAGGTAATAAAAGCCATCTATGACAAACCCACAGCCAACATTATACTTAATGGAGAAAAGTTGAAAGCATTTCCCCTGAGAACAGGAACAAGACAAGGATGTCCACTTTCACCACTTCTATTCAACATAGTACTGGAAGTCCTAGCCAGTGCAATCAGACAAGAGAAAGAAATCAAGGGCATCCAAATTGGTAAAGAGGAAGTCAAACTGTTGCTGTTTGCCAATGACATAACTGTATACATAGAAAACCCTAAAGACTCATCCGAAAAGCTCCTAGAACTGGTAAGTGAGTTCAGTAAAGTTTCAGGGTACAAAATTAACGTACACAAATCAGTAGCTCTGTTATACACCAACAGTGACTAAGCTGGGAATCAAATCAAGAACTCAACCTCTTTTACAATAGCTACAAAAAACATAAAATACTTAGGAATATACTTAACCAAGGAGGTGAAAGACCTCTACAAGAAAAACTACAAAACACTGCTGTTAGAAATCATAGATGACACAAACAAATGGAAACACATCCTATGCTCATGGCTGGGTAGACTCAATATTGTGAAAATGACCATACTGACAAAAGCAATCTACAAATTCAATGCAATTTCCATCAAAATAACACCATCATTCTTCACAGAACTAGAAAAAACAACCCTAAAATGCATGTGGACCCAAAAAAAGGGCCCTCATAGCCAAAGAAAGACTCAGCAAAAAGAACAAATCTGGAGGCATCACATTACCTGATTTCTAAATATACTATAAGGCCATAGTCACCAAAACAGCATGGTACTGGTTTAAAAATAGGAATATAGATCAATGAGAACAAATAGATAATCCAGAAATAAATCCAAATACTTATAGTCAACTGATCTTTGACAAAGTGAACAAAAACATAAAGTGGGAAAAGGATATCCTATTCAACAAGTGGTGCTGGGATAATTGACAAGCCACATGTAGAAGAATAAAACTGGGTCCTCATCTCTCACCTTATACAAAAATCAACTCAAGAGAAATCAAAGACTTAAATCTAAGACCTGTAACCATAAAAATTCTAGAAGATAACATTGGAAAAACCCTTCTAGACATTGCCTTAGGCAAAGACTTCATGACCAAGAACCCAAAAGCAAATGCAACAAAAACAAAAATAAATAGATGATATCCAATTAAACTAAAAAGCTTCTGCACAGCAAAAGAAATAATCAGCAGAGTTAACAGACAACCCATAGAGTGGGAAAAATCTTTGCAATCTATATTTCTGACAAAGGATTAATATTGAGAATCTACAAGAAATTCAAACAAATCAACAAGAAAAAAGCAAACAATCTCATCAAAAAGTATGTTAAGGATATGAACAGACAGTTCTCCAAAGAATATATACAAATGGCCAACGAACATATAAAAAATGCTCAACATCACTAATTATCCGGGAAATGCAAATCAAAACCTCAATTCAATACCACCTTACTCCTGCAAGAATGGCCATATTCAAAAAATCAAAAGAAAATAGATGTTGGCATGGTTGTGGTGAAAAGGGAGCATTTTTACACTGTTGGTGGGAATGTAAACTAGTGCAACCACTATGGAAAACAGTGTGGAGGTTTCTTAAAGAACTAAAAGTAGATCTACCATTTGATCCAGCAATCCCACTCCTTGGTATTTTACCCAGAGGAAAAGTAGTGGTTATGCAAAAAAAAAAAAAAAAAAAAAGACACTGGCACATGCATAGATATATAAAATGTGATATATATATGTATCATATATATCACATTATATATATATATAAATGGAATACTACTTAGCCATTAAAAGGAATGAAATAATGGCATTTGCAGCAATCTGGATGGAATTAGGGACCATTATTCTAAGTGAAATAACTCAGGAGTGGAAAACCAAACATCATATGTTCTCACTCATAAGTGGGAGCTAAGCTATGAGGACACAAAGGCATAAGGATACTATGGACTTTGGGGATTGTGGGGAATGAGTGGGAGGGGGTGAGGGATAAAAGATTACACATTGGGTACAATGTACACTGCTCCGGTGGTGAGTGCACCAAAATCTCAGAAATCACCACTAAAGAACTTATCCATGTAACCAAATACCATCTGCTTTCCCTAAAACCTATTAAAATTAAAAAAAAATTTAAACAAATGGCCAAGAAACATATGAAAAAAAAGCTCAGCATCACTAATTATCAGGGAAATGCAAATCAAAACCACAATGAGATGCCACATTACTCCTGAAGAATAGCCACCATTTGATTTGAAAATAAAAAGATAACAGATGTTGGAGTGAGTGCGGTGAAAAGGGAACACTTTTTACACTGCTGGTTGGAATGTAAACTAGTACAACCACTATGGAAAACAATAGAGCGATTCTTTAAAGAACTAAAAGTAGATCTACCATTTGATCCAGGATTCCCACTCCTTGGTATCTATCTACCCAGAGGAAAAGAAGTCATTATACGAAAAAAGACACTTGCATATGCATGTTTATAGCAGCACAACTTGCAATTGTAAAAATATGGAACCAGTCTAAATGTCCATTATCCAATGAGTGGATAAAGAAAATGTGGTGTATATATATATATATACTGTGGAATACTAATCAGCCATAAAAACGAATGAAATAATGGCATTCACAACAACACGGAGGGAGTTGTAAACTATTATTCTAAGTGCAGTAACTCAGGAATGGAAAACAAAACATCATATGTTCTCACTTATAAGTGGGAGCTAAGCTTCATAATGGCATAAGAATGATACAATGGATTTGGGAGGGGTGGGAGGGGAGTGAAGGATAAAAGACTACACATTGGGTACAGTGTACACCGCTGGGCTGATGGGTGCACCAAAATCTCAGGAATCACCACTAAGGAACTTTTCCATGCCACCAAACACCACCCTTTCCTCCAAAACTATTGAAATAAAAATAAAAATTAGAAAATATGGTTTTAGGAAGAACAAATTTGGAAACTCCATATGGAAATGGAAACTAATAAAAGAACCAAATACAAATTCTGGAGCTGTAACTTTTAATATATGACATAAAAAATTCAATGGATAAGCTTAATAGAAAATTGAAGAGGCAGAACAAAAGTTGAATTAACTTAAAAACAGATCTATAGACATTTTTCAAGATGAAGAACAGACATTAAAAAAAAGAATTGAAATAATAATGTGCAGGCCATGGCCCGGTGCGGTGGCTTATGCCTGTAATCCCAGCACTTTGGGAGGCCAAGGTGGGTGGGTTACTTGAAGCCAGGAGTTCCAGACCAGCCTGGCCAACATGGAGAAACCCTGTCTCTACTAAAAATACAAAAATTAGTCGAGTATGGTGGCATATGCCTGTAATCCTTGCTACTCAGGAGACTGAGGCACGAGAATTGCTTGAGCCCTGGAGGCAGAGGTCGCAGTGAGCTGAGATCATGCCGCTGCACTACAGCCTGGGTAACACAGCGATACGCTGTCTCAAAAAGAAAAAAAAAGTTCAGGTTTCAGAGACTTGTGGGAGAATATCAATTAGTTTCATATATGTGTAACTGGAGTTTCAGAAGACAGGATAAAGAGAATGGTACAGAAAAAAAGTCTTGATGAAGTAGTTCTTAAGGCCAACTCTTCATCAGAAATACATGAAAGAAGAAAATAAAATGAAAACCTTAAAATACTGAGAGAAAGAAATGTCAATCCAGAATTCTATATCAAAGAGAAATATACATGTACAAGGTAAAATACTTGATTTTTAGATAAACAAAAGCTGAGAGAATTTGTCGCAAACACACTTGCACTACACAAAATAGTTAAGAATATTTTCAGACTGTAAAATATGATGCTGTTTTAGTTGGTTCTCGCAGTGCTATAAAGAAATACCTGAGAATGGGTATTTTATAAAGAAGAGAAGTTTAATTGGCTCATGGCTCTGCGGGCTGCATAGGAAGCATAGTGGCTTCAGCTTCTGGGGAGGCCTCGGGAAGTTTCCAATCATGGTGGAAGGCAAAGTGAGAGCAGGCAAGTCTTACATGGCAGGAACAGTAGCAAGAGAGCAAGGTGGGGGGTGCTACGGACTTTTAAAAGACCAGATCTCATAAGAACGCACCCACTATCATGAGAGCAGCACCAACGGGATGGTGCTAAACCATTCACGAGAAATCTGCCCTCATTATCCAATCACCTCCCACCAGGCCCCACCTCCAACGTTGGCGATTACAATTGAACATGAGATTTAGGGGAGGATACAGTTCCAAACTGTATCAGATGCTATATGTAAAACCACATATAGAGGAAATAATGAAGAACACAAGAAGCAGTAAATAAATGAGTTAGCATGAAAGACTAGCCTTAAAGTCTCCTATTAATTCCCTTAAAAGAAAAATGCCTGTCCAAAACAAAAAAGTTATGTCATTGTAGGAAGTAAAGTAAAATATAGTACCACATTTGCAGGAAGAAAGGAGTAAATGGGATTGTATTATTATATGACTGTTATTGAGGAGTGGTGAGTACTATGAAGTGTAAAGAGTGAATTTTGAGTAGAAAATTATTAATTGCAAGCATATTTTGTTAAGTGAAGGATGCATATTATAGTCCCTAAGTTGACCATCCCCCCACCCCCCAAAATACATGAGTTTAAAATCTAATAAAAGAAACAAATAGAATAATTTAAAAATTGATTGACCTAAATAAAGGAAAAGGGTAACAGTGAAACAGAAAATAAAACAAAAACTATATATTTAAACAATATATAACAGAACAATAATAAAATAAAAAACAGATGGAACAAATTAAAAACAAATAACAATAGGATAAATTTAAATTCAACCCTATCAATAATTATATAAAATATATATAGGCTACACATTTTAATGTAAAGGAAGAGATTGTCATATTGGATAAAAAATAAGACCCATATATATGTAGCTACCCAAGATGCTCCTTAAATATAATGACACAGAGGAGTTAAAAGTACTAGGATGAAAAGAGATAGACTGTGCATATAATAAGCATTTGAAAGTAGGCAGATATGGCTATATTACTATCAGACAAAGTAGGCTTCAAGAAAAGCGCCATTACCACAACATACATAATGATAGAAGGAAAAATACAACAATCCTAAGTGGATATGCCTATAAAGATGATTAAAATACATAATGAAAAACTGACAGAAATAAAGGAAGACATAGGCAAACCCACATTCATGACTGAAGATTTTAACCATCCTCTTTTAGTAAATATTTATAAAATAGGTAAGGATATAGAAGTCATGAATGTACACTTAGAAGACTTGATTTAATTAACATTTCTAGCACACTATGCTCACAACTTCAGAATAAGTACATTTCTAAGTGCATATAGCGTCTTCATAGTCTTTATGGATCATAAAATTAGTCTATATAAAAAGGTGAAATATTATCTGTAGTAAAATTATATTAAAAACAAAAAGTAAAGTAACCAAGAAACACTCCAAATATATACAAATAACTCATAACTGAAAGTAGAAATCACGATGGAAATTTTAAGATATTTGTAATTAAAATAAAATAAATGCACAATATTCAAAATGTGTGGGATGTTGCTAAAGGGGTAGTTAGATGAATATTTATAGTTTTAATTGCCTATACTAGACAACAAGAACTTTTTAACAACAATAATTTAAATTTCTACCTCAGGAAGCTAGACAAAGAAGAGTAAATTAAACCCGAAGTACACAGAAAGAAGGAAATAATAAATATAAGAGCAATAATTAATAAAATAGAGAAAAGACCCAAAAATGGAGAAAAATCAACCAAAACAACTGTTGGTTCTTTGAAAAGAACAATAAAATTGATCAACCTCCAGTGAAATTGATGAATCATCTAGTTGTTATAAAAATTTCAGCAAAATAAGAGAACTTTCTCAATCTTAAGAAGTTATCTGTGAGATATCTACACCTAATATCGTATTTAATCATGCTATATTAAACACTTTCTTACTAATCTTAGGAAAAGGGTAAGGATATCTGCTCATTTAGTAAACGTTGTATCAACAAGAGAGCTATACCAATTTCACATATTTGAGCACTCAGTAATGCTAAGATATCCTTTTTCTCTAAATTGATCTACACATGTTGCACAATCCCAATTAGTATCTCAGCCAATTTTACTAGAATGTGGAAATGCAAAAGCCCTACCATAGCCACAATTTTGAAAAAAAAAAAAAAAATAAGAGTTGGAGAACTTATACTACATGATTGTAAGGCTTACTATAAAGCTTCAGTAGTCAAGACAGTGTGGTACTTACATAAAGTTTTGCAATTAGATCAATGGAACAAAATCAAGAGGCCAGAAATATATGAGAAATTGATTTGGACAAAATTGTCAAAGCAATTCAATAGGAAAAGAAAAAATCTCTCCAACAGTGAAGCAACGCTAAATATTCACCAGGGAAAACAAGAGCTGCAACTTCTATTCCATACCCAACAATTAATTCAAGATGAATCATAGACCTAGAAGTAAAAGCTAAAATTATAAAACTTCTAAAACAAAGCTTCTAAAAGAAAACACAAGAAAATCTCTGGAATCTTAGTAGAGGTAGATATAAACAGGCAATACATGCACTGAACAGAAGAAAAATGATAAATTGGACTTTGTCTTGGTAAAATTGATCATCAAAAGACCATTAAAAATGAAAAAGCAAGACACAAATTAGAAGAAAATATTTTCAATGCAGGTATCTCACAAATACCTGTATCCAGAATATATTGAGAACTCTTACAATTCAAGGGTCTGTTTTGTGAATAAATTCTTCACAAAATATATGAATGATTAACAAAGTGTACAAAAAGATGCTCAATGCCGGGCGTGGTGGCTCATGCCTATAATCTCAGAACTTTGGGAGGCCAAGGTGGGCAGATCATATGAGGTTAGGAGGTTGAGACTAGCCTGGCCAATATGGCAAAACCCCATCTCTACTAAAAGTACAAAAATTAGCTGCGCATGGTGGTGCATGCCTGTAATCCCAGCTACTCGGGGCGCTGAGGCATGAGAATCGCTTGAACCCGGGAGGTGGAGGTTGCAGTGAGCTGAGATTGCGCCACTGCACTCCAGCCTGGGTGACAGATTCAAACTGTTTCTCAAAAAAAAAAAAAAAATGCTCAGCATCATAAGTTATTGGAAAAAGTGCACATTAAAACTACAATAAGGACATCACACACAAATTTTAAAATATGAACAACAAATATCAAATGGTAAAGAGGTGAAACATCTGGAAATCATATTGCTGGTGGCAGTATAATAATAAAACTACTTTTGGAGAACTGTAATCTATTTCTTACAAAGTTCACATATGCTCTCCTATGACCTGGCATTTCCACTTTGAGGTATTTATCTGAGAGAAATGAAAATATATCCACAAGAAGACTTATACATGCATGTTAATTGTAAGTTTATTTATTATAGTCCTAAATTGAAACCAACCCAAATGTTCATCAACAGATGAACAAATAGACAAATTGTGATATATTCATATAATAGAATACTTCTCAGCAATAAAAAATCAAATTGCTGATACATGGAAAAACATGGATGCATTTTACAGACATGTTGAACTAAAGAAGCCAAACAGTGAAGTGTACATACTGTATGATTTCATTTTTAAGAATTTGTGTTAGTCCATTTTGCGTGACTATAAAGTAATACCTAAGGCTGGATAGTTTATAAAGAAAATAGTTTTATTTGGTTCATGGCTCTGCAGCCTGTACAAGAAGCATGGCACCAGCGTCTGCTTCTGGTTAGGGCATCAGGAAGCTTTCAATCATGTAGGAAGGCAAAATGGGAGCCGGCATATCACATGGTGAGAGAGGGAGCAAGAGAGAGGGGAGGAGGTGCCAGACTCTTTTAAAAGATCAGCTCCTGTGTGATCTAATAGAGCGAGAACTCACTACCATGTGAAGGGCTCCAAGCCATTCATGAGGAATCTGACCCCACGACCCAAACACCTCCCATGAGCTCAGCCCCACCTCCAAATTTGGGGATCACAATTCAATATGAGGTTTGGAGGAGACAAACATCCAAACTATGTCGGAAGTACTAGGACAGATGAAAGTCGTCTATAGTGATAGAAATTAGATTAATAGTGCTTGGGGCAGGGGATAGGGTGAGGAAGTAGTAATTAATTTGCCAAGGATAAAGGGGGGACTCTCTGGGTAATATAAACAGTCCCTGTGCTGATTGAGTTGGTGGCTACATGGTGTACACATATCTCAAATCTCATCAAACCTCATACTTAAAATATGAACAATTATTATATGTAAATTATTATACCTCAATGTAGTTTATTAACAATTAAAAAATAGAAATTAATCAAAGAATACACAGCACAGTAGCTGGCACACAGTGTTAATAAATTTTTAGTAATTGCATGATTGCCTTTGCTAAGTGTTGGCAAGGTACAAAAAAGGGAAAAAAAATTCAGTCTTCCCTGTTCTAGCACGTCTTTCTGGTTCTAAACATTTTGGGCACAAAATGTTGTCACATGTTCTACATCGCATTATTCTCACAGTGTAAAAGTTATACAGACTAAAAGAGAAGAGTCAGGATCATTTTCAGAACAACTCTGACCCAAATTTCTTTGAGAAATACTACCAAATGCATTAATAATAATGTTTTATTTACCTCTGTGTCTCTGGCACAGATCAGAGAGTCCCACACATAATGAGACTGATCAATTTTGGTGAATGATGAATGAATGAATGACAATTCATAGAGCTAATATTAACTTTGGATCTAACGAGGCAAAGCCATGGCTGTTAGGCTGAGTTCCCAAACTCTGTTAGGCCATGTGTCTAAGCCTTTAACCAATTTGGCTCTACTCCTCATTCATCTTGTCTATGGCAACATGTAAGCATGGACAACAGAACTTACTTTTCCTTTGGTGGATTTTCATGGCCTATTTATTATGGTTCCTATAGAGTATTAATATATCACATTTTGTCCTTGTGCCCAGCTTGCTCTGAATAAATAATCTTTCAGAGTTAGAATAGGCCTCAGGGACTAATCCAACTGCCTCATTTTCAGATTTAAAATATCTTGGCCCCAAAAGTGATTTGCTTAGGATTATGCAGAATGTTGATGGAAAATCCAATTCTGTTCAACTCTTAGTTTGGTATGTTTAGTAGCCTAAACATCTCACTAAGAAAATTAAAAAACAAAACAAAACACTTTTATTATCATTTAGAAAGAAAAAGGAAGGAGACAGAGAAAGAAAAGGAGGGAGGAAGGAAAGAAAACAGGAGGGAAGGAAGGGGAAAGTGAGAACGCAAGCTCATCCTTCCTAGGCTTGCCAAAACTCTATCACAAAGAAAGAATCAAAGACCCATGAAATGAAAATGTGGTGGTCACACCAGATTCTCGTTTTCACGTATTTTGCTTGCTTCCAGCTGCTTTTCTTTCAGGCTAGTCCAAATTCTTTTCAGGCCTGTGTGTCTATGCTAATTAATGGTTAACTTTAACTTTCTATTAAAACTCTGCAGGGCTGGCCGCCAAAAGTCGAATGTTAAAATATTTAAAAGCCCTGTCTTTATAGCAGCATGATTTATAGTCATTTGGGTATATGCCCAGTAATGGGATGGCTGGGTCAAATGGTATTTCTAGTTCTAGATCCCTGAGGAATCGCCACACTGACTTCCACAGTGGTTGAACTAGTTTACAGTCCCACCAACAGTGTAAACATACGTATGTTTATTGCGGCATTATTCACAATAGCAAAGACTTGGAACCAACCCAAATGTCCAACAATGATAGACTGGATTAAGAAAATGTGGCACATATACACCATGGAATACTATGCAGCCATAAAAAATGATGAGTTCGTGTCCTTTGTAGGGACATGGATGAAATTGGAAATCATCATTCTCAGTAAACTATCGCAAGAACAAAAAACCAAACACCGCATATTCTCACTCATAGGTGGGAATTGAACAATGAGATCACATGGACACAGGAAGGGGAATATCACACTCTGGGGACTGTGGTGGGGTGGGGGGAGGGGGGAGGGATAGCATTAGGAGATATACCTAATGCTAGATGACGAGTTAGTGGGTGCAGCGCACCAGCATGGCACATATATATATATGTAACTAACCTGCACAATGTGCACATGTACCCTAAAACTTAAAGTATAATAAAAAAAATAGGAAAAAAAAAAAAAAGAAAATATTTAAAAGCCCTTAAGCCCGGGGCACAAGCTGATCAGCAGCAGGAGGCAGAAAGACAATTTCTCCCTGGTCCTGGATGGCTAAATTAAGGACGCTGAGTGCGCTGTGCTCCTTTGGAAACTTTTCTTCTGACTTGTTTCCATTTTCAAAGCCCGTACATCAGAGAATCAGGGCCCACTGGTCTGGCCGGTGTGATTTTGGATCATCCAGCTCCTTATCATATGTACTCACAGTGCCTTGAGAATGACATAATAGTATCCAAATGAGGCCAAGCTTCGTTAGATTAAGTGAAAGTCTTGGGGTAAAAGAGATTTAATGTCACCCTTTGCACACAGCTAAATTACAATTGAAAGGCCAACTAAATAGGCCCAAATGTGGCTACTTTGTAACCAGTGGTGGATATTACTAAATGACAATGGATTGAGTTTGATTAATTAACTAGGAATATCATTTGTCTTCTTGCTGGCCTGGCTGGTAAGTTACAAATCA
Organism: Homo sapiens; assembly: GCF_000001405.40. NCBI lineage: Eukaryota > Metazoa > Chordata > Mammalia > Primates > Hominidae > Homo > Homo sapiens. The sequence continues at coordinate 223,417,117 of NC_000002.12, read as the reverse complement.
GAGGGAATTTGGGCTGAGAGAGAGACAGAAAATGATTCAGCAAAGACAGTTTGATGCCTTTGTTCTCATACAATCACATGTTTTGAAAATTGTGTTGGGGACTAAGGGAGATATTTCAATAATATGAAAATGTTGATTGGTGTGAATCATCGTTCTCTGCACATCATTAAAAGCCAGTGGGTGGAAATATACAATGTGTCTCTTGCCAGAGGCAAAAGACTTAGAAGAGATAACAGTATGTTCCACTCGTTCTAAAAAAAGAAAGGTAAAAAAGCATTATAGGGATCCTTAAGGAGTATGGACCATGTTCTCAAAAAGGGGTTCCATAAGAATTTTAATCTCACCTTTGACAATACCTCTGTATCCATGTTCTGAGCACATTTATAAATATCTATTGAAAAAAAGCTAGCTTATTTTATTTTTCATAAAGTAAAATAAATGTATTCCCAGAATAGAGAGATGCAGTTTTCTTAGAGAACACATTCACTCAATAAATGCAAGCTACAACAACTTCCAAGACACATTTCAGAGAAAAAGTATGATTTTTTTTTCTTTTTTTTTTTTTTTTTTTTTTGAGATGGAGTCTGGCTCTGTCGGCCAGGCTGGAGTGCAGTGGTGCCATCTCGGCTCACTGCAAGCTCCGCCTCCCGGGTTCACGCCATTCTCCTGCCTCAGCCTCCCGAGTAGCTGGGACCACAGGCGCCCGCCACCGTGCCCAGCTAATTTTTTGTATTTTCGGTAGAGACGGTGTTTCACCGTGTTAGCCAGGATGGTCTCGATCTCCTGACCTCGAGATCCACCCGCCTTGGCCTCCCAAAGTGCTGGGATTACAGGCGTGAGCCACGGCACCCGGCCAAGTATGATCTTTAAAGCATTGTAAATGTCAGTCTTTCTGCAATAGCTTTTTCCTATGCCTACCATGTACTCCATGATCTGTTATGGGCACTCCTTTAGGTGCTTTACTAATGGTAAGTCATTTAATTTTCATAACCATCCTATGAAGAGAAAATTGCTATTATTCCCATATCACATTGTAAAGTGAGCCTCATTGTGGATCATGAACTTGGTCAAGTTGCACAACTAGGGAGGGTTGGAATAAGCATCCAGACCCATGCTCACTGGCTCCAGGTTCCATATTCTTTTTTTTTTTTTTTTGAGATGGAGTCTTGCTCTGTCTCCCAGGTTGGAGTGCAGTGGTGCCAACTCGGCTCACTGCAAGCTCCGCCTCCCGGGTTCACGCCATTCTCCTGCCTCAGCCTCCCGAGTAGCTGGGACCACAGGCGCCTGCCACCGCTCCCGGCTAATTTTTTGTATTTTCAGTAGGGAAGGGTTTCACCGTGTTAGCCAGGATGGTCTTGATCTCCTGACCTCGTGATCTACCTGCCTCAGCCTCCCAAAGTGCTGGGATTACAGGCGTGAGCCACTGCGCCCAGCCCAGTTTCCATATTCTTAAGCAAAATACTGTCCTATGCCACTTTAGGAAGTAGGTTGGAAAGAATGAAACTCCTTGCATTGACAAGTTTTGAATCTAGGATTCCAGGGAAGTCCAGCTATCTTTAGAATCACTCACACAGATTTTGATGACTAAATGCTTGAACTTGCATCTACCCATTTGAAAACCAGAATAATAACACCTATGTATAATATTACTGAAAAATTAAATAACTTTGCATGCATGTAAAGTGTCTGGAACTTAGTTTACCAAATTGTTGTTAGCTGTATTCCCTGATTGATGTTAGGGGTACAAAGTTGAGTACAGCATAAGCCCAAAGGCCTTGGTTTCCAAGAGTGGTTCTCAGACCAGCATCACCAACATCACCAGCATCACCAGCATCATCACCAGGGGGCTTGTTAGAAATGTACAATCTCAGGCACTAACCCAGGCCTCTGAAGTAAAAACCTGCCTTTTAACACCATTTCCAGAGATTTGTGAACACATTAATGTTTTAGAAGTACCACATGACACGCACACAGTTTTCACTACCTGACATTTTGCTTCCCCTTTCTCTGTAACCTACATGTACAATGACCTCCCAAACAGAATTCTCTGGGAAAGTCCTAATTTCAAATACTTCTTCCTGTTATCAGATATGAGTGGATTAGACCACATGTTCTGGTATTGGGTTTGGAAAAAATGATCTGTGTATATGTTTTGTGTTTCAACATTTTTCTATTTTTCTATGCTACAAAAATGCCTTTAATCTTAACTCCTAGTTCCAGCATCTGCTCCATCTGTCTTGGTTCTGCCTGTCCACATTCCTAAGGGGTTGTTCTTGGGGCAGGCTATGGGCTGCTGTGCCAGATTTCATGGTGCGGTTACACAATGCAGCGTTCTTTGGAGCACTGCATCTCCTCCTCCCAGAACCCCTCAAAGGGGCAGAGAAAGCTAGAATCAACTATGCACAGTTTTAAAAGCTAAAATTTAGTCAGAAGACTGAAATACCTATTTGTACTAAAAAAAAAACAAAGAAAGAAAGAAAGAAAAGAAAACCCAGACCAAAAAAAAAAACAAAAACACAACAAAACAGTTGACAAGGGGGTTAAGAGGCAAAAAAGGAGCCATAGAAATAGATACGAAACGTAGGAAGGGATCTTAAGATAATCACAGAGGAGACTTCAGTAAAGACAGTTTCTTAGGAAACGAAAACAAATGCTGTTTCCTGGTAGACGATGGTGTGAATGTGAACGTCAAAACAACCCACAAGATACTTCTTAAAGGTAAAATTGCTCCATGGATGGAATTGCATTTGGTTTAACTTAATAACAAAGGATATCTGAAAGCTACTATTGATAATAAATTGCAACAAATGGCAGGTCCACAGACAAATGCACCATGCCCTACAGTCGAGGATGCCATATATCCCCCTGTGCCTTTAAAGTACATTCCGGCAGGGCACAGTGTCTTACGCCTACAATGCCAGCTCTTTGGAAGGCCAAGGCAGGCAGATCACTTGAGGTAAAGAGTTTGAGACCATACCTGGCCAACAGGGTGAAACCCCGTCTCTACTAAAAATACAAAAACTAGCTGGGTGTGGTGATGAGTGCCTGTAATCCCAGCTACTTGGGAGGCTGAGGCAAGAGAATTGCTTGAACCCGGGCAGCAGAGGTTTCAGTGAGCTGAGATTGTGCCACTGCACTCCAGCCTGGACAACAAGAGCAAAACTCCATCTCAAAAAAAAAAAAAAAAAAAAAAGTACATTCCTATCTATGCCGTATTTCCCCTGTCCTTGAACCTTTACAATACAACTAAACTTGGCAGTTTGATGTTCAAAGAGCACTGTTTTGGGAGTCAGGAGAACCTGATTCATTCATGAGTTGCCTTCACCTGCCATTTCACCTCTCTGTGTCTCAGTGTTCTCATCTCTTAAATGTGACAGTTTGACAGTCAGTATCCAAGATTCCTCTTATTCTAAGGTTCTTGGCTTTAAAGATTTCACAGCCATCTTCATGACAGGGTGCCTCAGGCCTTAAAGCCAGGATTGCTTCTTGTTCAGAAGCCACATATGTTGCCCTTGTCAACTCATCTTCTGCTCAGAGTATTTGGCACACAGAGCATCACCACCACAGTTCTTTGTTTATAGCTTGATAAAAGGCTCTAGCTCCTGTAGCAGGGAAGTGAGGGAAGCTAATGAAGCAAGGTCTTTAGAGAAAGAGGAGAAGTGGCATTTAGGGAGGGGAATGAGAAGAGAGGAAAGAGGAAAAACAGTGGAAGAAATAGTAGTCAGGACACTCTAGAAAAGTCTGCCACTGCTCAAGGAACCTGATTACCATCGGGTGGGAAGGTAGAGAAGGAGGGAGGGAGCACGAGAGGAAGAAAGAAAAAAGGAAGAAAGGAAGGCATCAAAGTGACAAAGAGAAGAGGGAGGAAAGGCAGGTCCAGGGGCATGGCAAGGTAGATGCCAAGTAAGAGAAATAGCCATTTAATTTCTCCCACCCTCATTTTCACCTCAGCTGCAAACACAGACCCAAAACCTAAAAAGACAAAGGCTATTAGAAGACTGCAACCCAGGCAATGATGTTGTTCAATGCAGACCAGATTGACTGCTCACATCTGATGTCCTATTTAGTGAGATGGCCCAATTTTGCTTTTGAAGAGAATGCCACCTTCCCTTCTCCTTCCCAAGAGAATTTGCTGTTTTCATTTGTTATCTTGAATAGTCCTTCCTGCCACAAAAGGTGGAGTTCACATTTATTTTTAAAAAGTGCTTATTTCATGTGGTTTGACATAAGAGCAGTATTTTAGCTAGGAGTCCAGAGCCTCAATCGATTTCAAGGAGACCTGGAGCTATTGACAGAGTGCTTCCTGCCGCGCTTTCTAGAAGTAAGAAATTCAACTGAAAACAAGATATGCCAGCATCCATCAAAGGAGCAGGTGGCAAAAAAACTGAAATATTATGGGGAAGCCAAGATCTGAGTTCTAGCCCATGCTTGAAATAAAGTCATTGTTTGACCTTGAGAAGGCTGAACTCTCTGAGCATTAGTTTTCATATAAAGAGATGGAAAAATATCAGTACTTATTTTCTCAAGGATGTTGCAAGCTTCCATCAATCTTCTTAGAAATGCACATTGTTTTAGTACCTATGACTTTCTCTTTCCTGATAGTCCCCATCAAATAAGAAATACTTTTCTCTCACTTTGGAAAGGTTTGAAAATTGCTTTACCTGGATATCTTATTTTCAATTCAATTTGAAGAAAGTCAAATACATTTCAGTAACATAAGGAAAGATCCTACTGCATAGCAATTGGAAAAAAAAACCTTAAAACGATACTTGGTCTTCAAGAGAGAGACAAATCAGAATTGATTCAAAGGTTATATTGTGTAATCTTAGAGAGAGAAAATTGGCTTATTCCTTTTATATTTCACTGTAACTAGAATTTGCCTAATAGAATATCCAACTTGAATAGCTATTTTGTACATATGCTGGTGTTCTAAACTATTTAAGCTCAGTTTATTTTCTTTAAATCCTTATTTATATAACTTTACTTAGTAGATCCTTCTCTTCATTTCAGAGTGAAAGTGGCAGAAGAATATCACGCAGTAGTTTGGGCAATGTGGAGTCTTAATTCATCAGATCTCTCACCAAACCTTGTAATTAAAATGACAAGAGATCTTAGGGAATATCTTTTTCTGAAACTTTCATTTTGCAAATAGCATAAGGCCAAGTTAATTTCTTTCAGTTATATGAACAGTTAGTAGTAGGATTGGAATTTGAACTCACTTTTCATTAGACTACTCTGCCTTTCTCATCAAAAGATTTTCATTATTGCTAGTGAGCAAAATTGATATTTCCATTGATTGCTTCGAGGTGGGCCAGGATTACAACGGCCATACTAAATTATTGGCATCAACCAAGACAAAGCTGTAGGTTACATTGCACTGGCCAAGGATAAAACTGAAGAAAAGTTGCCTGACAATGAAAAGAGGGGTTTAGTAGGCGAAGGCTTCACTGGCTCTTTTTCTCATTGCTTGCTGTGGCTTTGCCCCCCACACTTACTAACAACGTGGACACTTTCACCAGAGGACTTCTGATTGTCCTTCCTTTAATGGAGGCAGTTACTTTTCTGGCTAGCTACTTTCAACTTCTCCCTGATCTCCCAGGATTTTCAGCAAATCCAAAAGTTTGTTGAAGCTACACTTCTCCGGGTCATCTTCTTGGGAGAGATTCCATTTAGGATGACTTTAGGCAGGCTCTATTCTAAAGGTCTCTATCTGGTGGGAAGGAATCATGTGATCCAGTAGTACAGCTCACTCCCATTGCAGCCTTCTTTCTCTCTTTGCTCTGTCATCTCCAACTGACCTCTCGCGTTTAGATTTCTCCCACCTAGGTTGGAAATGTTACTACCTGTGTCTCTCGAACTCAATGTCAAACTCTCTGAGCTATTGTCTTGAAGCTCTCTCTCAGTTGGCTTAATGTGAAGGGGATACATATCCACCTCCCTGGGGTGATGTTGCACAGCACACCAAAAGCCCTCTCTACAAAGTCTTCCTGGCAATCCACTGCCACCTCTTTTCCTTGACTTATCTAAACTTCAGTTTTCTCATTTATAAAATGGAAATAATCATATCATCAAACTTTCAGAATCATTGTGAGGATTACATAAGATTAATAATATGACAGTGCTTTGAAAATTATAGTGTGCCAGATACACTTCAATTATTACTACAGCATTATTTCTCATTGCAGACTCATCTAAAAATTCAGCTAATTTAAAATCAAAGATAGACTCAAATTTGCCCCGAGCCTCTCTCCATCCCTCCACCATTTCCTTCATTCTTAATTTTTCTGTAGAACCCAATCCTCTCAAACGCACTAGTCATTTAATGTATAGTTGTACACAAATCATTTGTCATTTGCAAATTCCTGCATAAATCTCTGATTTCAGGCTTTCCCAACCAAGCCAACAAAATTAGCATACTTACCTGGCACAGTCAAGCTCAGCCTAGGACTAATGATTTTTCCCTTCTTTCTATGAGGTTGATGTGCTTTGAAAATAGAAAACATATTAACATGATTTCAGTTTTTACAGATGGTATTTTTTTCACTTTTTCAAAATAATTTTGGTTTTGGAGATGAAAACCAATATAGCATTTCCCAGCATGGCACAATTAAGAAGAAATCTGCTACGATTCACGTGCCTTCTCACATGAGGGAATAAGAGGATCAGCCATATTGAAGAGAAACACCAATCACAATATAATAATTTGATTATAAGGAAAATATAAATATATATGTATATATACGTGTATGTGTATGTATATGTATATATACATACACATATATACACACATATATACATATATAAACATATATATATATGTTTATAAGGAAAATATGAATATATATGTATATATAGCCCTAAACTAAGCATGTTTGGCCATATAGAACTTGAAAATATAGATTGAGAGTCTTTAGTCTCCATTCTCCATCCTATCCACTGAATGCTGAAGAATGGCTTGTACAAAGTAGCTTCTATTTGAAACTATGGAACCAAACTGATTATTACTCCCCAGTCAGTGGCAAGATTCATCCTTTCATTCAGCTTTTGGAATTGGTTAAGAGCATAGTCTCTGACGACAAACTGCCTGAGTCCAATCCTGGTATAAAACCTGTGGTACTTCAGGCAAATTCCTTAACTTTTCTGTGTCTCAGTTTTCTCGTCTATAAAATGGGACAAGTAATAGGATTGCTGTGACAACTAAACTGCATTAATGCCTATAAAACACCAATAAAAATGCTTCATACACTGTAAGTGCTCATAAAGTGTTACTTAGAATATTGAACACTTATGTGCTCAGTGCTGGGTTTGACCTAATAGAATGATGGAAGATAAAACAAAACAACAGGCTCAGCTCTCCTGGTATTTACAGGGTGGTGGGGACACAAACATTAACTTAAGATTCGCATATTAATGTAAAATGTTTAATAACACATGCTAAAAAGAGAGATATAATGAGATACAAAAGAGAGATAATCAGGGCAGGGAGGGGTGAGGAAATGTTAGTGACTTAGCTGAGACCTAAAAGATAAATAGGAGTAGTCAGAGAGACAGAACATTCTAGACAGAGGGAACAGCATGGGAAGAAGTTCACTTGTAATAATGTGAGAATGCAATAGTCCAGGTGAACCATAAAGAACTAAGGTGATGGAAGGGGAGAAGGAGGTAAGTCAGTGATGGGTCAGATATAGAGGTAAAATCTATAGGACTTGGATTGGATAAGATGCACAAGGGAAAAGGAGGTATCAGGACTTTTTCTAAGATCCTGAAATATATACCAAGTTGAATGGTGATACCATTCACAAGAAAGTAAAAGTGATGCCAATGATTGTTATACTATTATTCTTTCTTCAAAGTGTATGCTGAGACTATACCTCATCCATTAAATGGCCTTTACTTACAGTGGAGGGGAGAAGGTAATTAACTTTATTTGAACTTCCTTACTTACAGCCTAGGGACCTTGTTTTACTTTTGTATCACACAGGAATGCTACAACTCTGAATAACAGAGAACTTGACAAACAGTGACGTTATTAGATAAGGAACAATTCATTTCACATAAGAAGTCTTGAGACAGCTAGTCTGGGTTGGCTCTAGCTGCTCAAGAAGGCCATCTAGAAAACAGTCTCCTTCTAATATCCTTCCATGCCATCTTTAGTTTGTTGTTTTATACTTACGGTTACAAAATAGCTGCAGCATCCCTAGGCAGCATATACTTTTCCCAAGCAGGAAGAAAAAAGTAGAACCAAAATCCTTTGTTTGTCATTTTAATTGAGAAGAGAAGCCCTTCCCAAGAGACTTCCATGTATAACTCACTAATAAGTGAGAAGTGGCTGGAGAGAAGAGGATTGGGAAGGGCATCGTATGTGCCAACCAATGGTTTTTACCACAGCTATTTTTAATTAACTTAATCTTTAAAATTATTCTACTATATACTTGGAAGCTGACACTTAAAGATTTTAAGTAAAGCTTGAACTTAACAGCAAATTAAGTTATAGAACCTGGGTTCAAACTTAGCATTCCTCAACCGTAAGGCTCAAACACTTCCAATCACTTTACACTATATTTTCTTGTACCTTAAAAAATTCTAGTCCAAGTTAGCGAAAAAAAAAAAGCAGAAACAGAAATTATTTTATCTCATAGTATATGGAGACTATTTAAAGGTATAATCATGAGAAAATGTGACTTCTGTCACAGTCTAAGTACCCACATATAATAGCATCCTGAAAACGCAGCCCTCAATGAGTTTAACGAGGTAACTTTAAAGGTTTCTGTTTTGGCAGTTTTATTCCACAGTAAAATATTATACCAAAGAGACATTGTTAACCAACCAAGACAGTAAGAAGAGTTTAAAAAATAGCAGCTGTTTTTAGGATTGCTGAACAACTCCTTGAAGAACATAAATTATCTTCCCAATTAAAAAAAAATATGGGGAAATGGGGGATTTAACGGAAAAAGTAAACTAGTAAGCAAGAGGAAAAGTACATATTTACTCCACATGTTATGTGTTGTATCAGGACATGCTTTTCTTCTCAGCTATATAGAAACTGGGACTTGCATTTCACTACCTTATGTAAAACCTGAAAAGTGAAAATCACATGTTTAAGTTAATGTGTGGTTTGAATGTATATTTTGAAAGCTAAAGTTATCTTCTACATTCCCTACCTGACTTTATTTGTGATTTAAATCAGGAAGAATATCCTTCTCATTTATTTCAACTGCCAAGTGCTGCTACTTTTAGTAGAAGAAAAGAAAATATATCATCAGAACTAGTCCAATTTTCTTTGATTGTAGTTTTGTAAATGAAGGCATCACCAAGTAGTGGACAGGGTAGGAAGGGAGATTTGCCATTTGCTGTCCAAAATCAGTTTGATTCAGTTGGGATGGAATATTTCCTTCTATACAGCAGATCTGTGGAAGGCTAGAGCTCAATCGACATAGAAGACTGACCATGTCTTCACTCCATGAAGAAAAAGCTTTTGTAAGTGAAAATGGAAACTTCTAATATGTGGCTGAAGATGCCAATAGGCACAATTTAGTTGTGGAAGATTTTTCAAAAATAATTCTGTGAGTAAACCTTTTTCCTCAAGTTCCTTTGGCTTACAGTGCCATAAATGAGGAAAGTGAGAAAGAAGCTGACATACTTTTGAGTTCCTCCCGTGTTCCAATTACTGCAGCTCTGGTTTATTCCCATTTTGCAGATGAAAAAATTGCATCTTAAAGAGGTTATGTGACTTGTTCAAAGTTATATTACTCATCAGCAGAAGTGCTGATGTCAGGTGCTGATGATCAGGTGTCAGTGACTCTCTCAACATTCTGGCCTCTCAGTTCCTTGACCTCTTTGTATTCAATGACCTCCTTAATTTCATTTCAGCCAATTACTCTCATTGTCATAGATCGTGACCTGGATCCGTGATTGCTCAGAAGGTTCTTCACCTACGAAATTATAAATGGTAAAAATCAGTTAGTTTCCTCTCTGACATCAGCAACCTCTCCATTCAGTGTTCTCATTCAACTACTCCAAATATCTTGCTTCTTCTCAGAATCTCCAATACATAGATATTTGCTCTCCCTCCATATACTTGCCCCGTTCTGTTTTCACTTTCTTCCCTCTGTGGTTTAAAATGCAAGATTCTTATATCAATTATGGTGTTGGATGCATTTAATTTATATTTCTAGATTCATTATCTATGCTTTTCTGTCTTTCTCTAATCTTTTGGCTTCATCAAAGAAATAAAAGATAACTGAAAATATCAGTAAAAAGGATGATGATAGAAATTATTTAATGATAGTAATGTTTTTTAAATGTGAAATTTAGAGAGACAGAAAAGAATATAAGCATTATATAGCCTGAAAATTTAGAAATTCTAACAACTAAAAAAAATGGAGGGGAAGAGGGAAAGACGTTGGACACGATAAATTTGCCTGTCTCATTTGTAATAGTTGTGTGTAAAGTGATATAATTTAAAGCAAACAAATCAAGTAATAAGTGTATAAGTATATTTAACAGTACAAAATCAAACAGTAAAAAAAATTATTGACTAACAATATTATTGATCACATTCATACACAAAAAGACAGCTGGCCTATGTACCAGAGTAGGAAGTTTAGAAATAAACCCAAATACATACCAGAATTCAGTGCAACATAAGAGTGGATTCTCAAATTACTGGAGAAAAGACAGAGCATCTGTATTAGTCAATTTTCACACTTCTATAAAGAAATACCCAAGACTGGTATTTTATTTATTTTTATTTTTTTCAGTGTGTCTTTTTAAAAATTATTATTATACTTTAAGTTCTAGGGTACATGTGCACATGGTGCAGGTTTGTTACATAGGTATACATGTGCCATGTTTGTTTGCTGCACCCATCAACTCATCATTTACATTAGGTATTTCTCCTAATGCTATCCCTCCCCCAGTCCCCCACCCTCGACAGGCCCCAGTGTGTGATGTTCCCCGCCCTGCATCCAAATGTTCTCATTGTTCAGTTCCCACCTATGAGTGAGAACATGTGGTGTTTGGTTTTCTGTCCTTGTGATAGCTTGCTGAAAATGATGGTTTCCAGCTTCATCCATGTCCCTGCAAGGGACATGAACTCATCCTTTTATATGGTTGCATAATATTCCGTGGTGTATATGTGCCACAATATCTTAATCCAGTCTATCATTGATGGACATTTGGGTTGGTTCCAAGACTTTTCTATTGTGAATAGTGCCATAATAAACATACATGTGCATGTGTCTTTATAGTAGCATGATTTATAATCCTTTGGGTATATACCCAGTAATGGGATTGCTGGGTCAGGTGGTATTTCTAGTTCTAGATCCTTGAGGAATTGCCACACCATCTTCCACAATGGTTGAACTAGTTTATGCTCCCACCAACAGTGTAAAAGTGTTCCTGTTTCTCCTCATCCTCTCCAGCACCTGTTGTTTCCTGACTTTTTAATGCTCACCATTCTAACTGGTGTGAGATGGTATCTCAGTATGATTTTGATTTGCATTTCTCTGATGACCAAGACTGGGTAATTTATAAAGGAAAGAGGTTTAATTGACTCAGTTCCACATGGTTGGGAAGGCCTCAGGAAACTTACAATTATGGTGGGAGGTGAAGGGGAAGCAAGCACCTTCTTCACAAGGCAGCAGGAAAGAGAAAGTGTGTGTGAAGGGGAACTGTCAAACACTTATAAAGCCATCAGATCTCATGAGAACTCACTCCCTATCATGAGAACAGCATGGGGAAAACTGCCACCATAATCCAATTACTTCCCAGCCTCCATACGTGGGGATTACAGGTCCCTCCCTTGTCATGTGGGAATTACAATTCGAGATAAGATTTGGGTGAGGACACAGAGCCAAACCACATAAGCATTCAATAAATGGTGTCGGGGCAAGTGGATAGTTTTCCAGATCAATGACTTGCATTGTACACCAGGATACAATCCAATTGAATTAAATGTTTAAATGCTTTTTTAAAAAGACAGTACTAAAACTAAAAAAATCCAGATATTATAAGAGAAAAGATTAATAAATTCTACTAATGTTTAAATAAAGTATTTTAATTTTTAAGCGAAAATTTCTACATGTCAAAAATACCATAAAAATCAAAGGCAATTAACATGGTAAAAAAATACAACTTATGTAACAAAGGGCTAATATCTGTAATATTGAGGAACTGAGAAGAAAATGGCTGAAAACCCAAGAGAGAAATGGACAAAGTGTATGATTCACAGTTCACAGGAAAGACATAAAAATCATTCTTAAAAATAAAGGATGCCCCACCTCATTCATTATGCAAGCAATGCAAGTTACAACTACACTGGCATGGCATACATTTCCTCTCTCATCAAAATGGCAAAAATCCAAATATTTGATTATACTATATGTTGTAAGAGTCTAGGGGAAAAGCTACTTTCATATACTGTGTTCAGAATTTTAATTATTATCACTCCTATGGAGGGCATCCTTGTACTCTATCATAATTACAAATGCACGTATGCTTTGTCCTAAGAAATCAACTTCTTGAAATTAACTTTATGGTTATTTCCACACACATAATAAATGAATGTATAAGGTTATTCACTTTACATTGTTTGTGATGGTAAAAACTAGAAACAATATAAAGGTACATCAATAGGAAATTGGGTAAATAATTAATAGAGCCATTAAAGATGGAGGAAACACACTTTGTATTGATGAGCTAGATATCCCCTGTTTGTCCTTCTAATCCAGGAGTTGAAAAACTACAGCTTGAAAGTCAAATCTGATCAATTTCTTGATTTCATAAACAAAGGCTTATTGGAACAAAGCAGAATTGAATGCTTGTGATAGAAACATTATGGCTCCCAAAGACTCAAATATTTACCATCTGGTCCTTTACAAAAATATTTGTTGGTCCCTATCTGATTCACTTTCAATTTTTCTCTACTCTGTTTTCTGCTCCTGAATGTCCACCTCTATGCACTGCATCCTGAGCTCTCTTGCTTCTAGTTTCCTGTGGGGATCAAGCCACTGAGTGGCACCAGCAGCAAACCAGAGTGTTGAAAGAGAGATAGCTGATCCCTCCATTTGGGGCTGTGGTGTAGCAGTGCTTTTATTCCTCTACCTAAGGTCACAACTTTTCATGCAACTCTTCAGGAATGGGGTCTGTGTGTGGAGTAGTCAACTGAAAAGACAGCAGAGAGAAGAGAGGAATATGGAGAAGATATTTCACTATCGTTTTTAATATACTTTATTTTTTAGGGCAGTTTTAGGCTCACAGACAAATTGAATGGAAAGTACAGAGTTCCCGTATGCCCAATGATTTTACACATGCACAATCTCCTTCACTATCAATATCTGGCATCAAAATGGCATATACGTTACAACTGATGAATCTACACTGGCACATCAGCATTACCCAAAGTCCATAATTTACATTAGGGTTTACTCTTAATGTTGTACATTTATTTCCTTGGATTTTAAAAATATTTGTTAAACCACAAGAATGTAACACCTGGTTAAAGATTAAATAAAATAAATATTTTAAGTGTTCAAAGTTAGAAAAATGGAATCAAAGAAAGTAACACAATGCTATAACATAAAATGAAGGAACCTTATTCAATCTTGGAATTAGCCAAGGCTTCCCTAAGGAAATAATTTCCAAGCTGAGATACAAGTCTCTGGTGAAGGTAAGAGCACAGTGCACTCCAGAACTGAGATAAACATGGTACGGTTCCAGCAAAAGTAGTGAGAGCAAGGGTGATGAAGCTGCCAAGGTAGACATGGGTTAGACAAGGCAGGGCTGCACAAGACTTTATCATATTACAAACTTTATCTCAAGAACAATAGGAAGCCCATGATGGGTGTGATGGGAACCATGATCAAATTGAAAAGATCACCCTCACTAAAACTTGAGGACACATTGAAGGGTGGCAAGAACTGATATGAGAAGCAACGTTGTAGTTGTTCAGGCAATGAATGATTATTGCTTGGATTAGGTTGATGATCATGAAGATGGAGAGAATGAGATAGATCTGACAGACACTCTTGTGACTTCTTAAACCTACTGTTTATTGGTTATTATATTTTCATATAAGTAGGGAATGTTGTAATATCAGATAGAAAATCACCATCCTGAACCAGGGAAAACTGCTGATATATTTTTAAAGAAAATGTTAATTCATACGAAACATATACAAATAGCCTATCCAAAAATTTTGTTATTTTTAGTTACATGCTATAACTTGGTATTTTATTAATGCAATGTATGATAGTCCAGCAGAATTACTCAGACTAATGGAAATTCTGCTGTCTTCAACACATAATTTTCTAGATGTCCTTGGCCAAGGACAGCCTGCACAATGAAGGCAGAGACAGCTGGAAGATATACAGGGGGGGTTTGTGTGCCAGACTTGAGAAGAGGATGCATCACTTTTATCCAAAACCCATTGAGCAGAGCTGAATCACAATGCTCTGCCTGGTTGCAAAAGTGTCTAGGAAACATCTTTCATCATAGGAAAGAATAAATTTTGTGGAAGGTTATCTATTCTCAATAAAATCTTTCTGCATTATTGGAAAACAGATGTATAATCACCATGTTGAAGACCATTACATAGCCGTTTAATTCAATCCTAATTGGGGGAAATTTTCAGTTGAAAACTGATGGTGTGTAAACCCACACAAGTGAATACATACAGTTGTTGAAGCACCTGATAACCCCCTAATTCCATTTTTGCCATATAGTCTGACATTTCTTTTCATGGTATAATTTTTCTCTGGTCAGAGTGCAGAAACAGCAAGAGTTTAACAAGGAATATGTTCAAGATTCTCAACTGGCGATCACTGTCAACTCTTTTTCCCTCATGCAAAATACTCTCATTATCCTCCCAAGGTCTCATCCTATTACCATAACTGGCTCATGCTGAAAGTCCAGTTCTCATTATCTAAATCATCCCAGGTGTATTTGAGACTCCTCAAGGTGATCATTCAAGTATAGCTCCTCCAGCAGAGTTTATCTTGATTTGCAGACCTGAGAAGTTAAGAAGTTAAGAGATGATTATCTTCTCTGCATGCCTCCTGCATACAATTTGGAAACATACTGAAACTGCAATAGACATTCCTATTCGAAAAAGAGGAGGAAGACAAGAGGCACATTGTAGTTAGTGGCCCATAGTATTTCTAAAATCTAGCCAGGTGCATGTTACCACGTCTTTGATTAGTGCTCATTTCTTCGCCCTGACAATGATTCTTTGCCCTCTGGTCTCTTGGCTCTGCTTTTCTGTGTCATCCTCTCTTTTTTTCTTTCTTTCTTTCTCTTTTTTAAATAAGAAAGGTCTGTGTTTTTAGCTGAGTAGGTTTCTTGACCTTCTTCATGCCCACGAAAGGTTGAAGGCACTGAAGTCTCTTTCGATTTTGAATCCTCTTTCCTCTTGTTATTCCAAGTTGGAGTTCCCCCTCACAAAAAGTTTGAAAAAATTGATATTTAAAAATGTATTTAAGTGGTCATCCTAGTGAAAAAATTATTATATTTCCAAGCTTTTTTATACCCCAAAGTTCAGTGTTATTTAAAATTTATATTTCATACGAAGAGAAATTTTTAAAATAAATTTTGAATTACTTTAGTTATATAAGAATATGAAGAATATTATCTGCTCATCTGTCACACACCTCAAACAATAAAAATTTATATAAAGATAGATGAGGCTATCCACTATTTACTTCTTACCAATCTGTTAGGTTGATGCAAAAGTAACTGTGGTTTTGCCAAAGTAATGGCAAAAACCACAGTTACTTTTGCATCAGTCAATAACTTCCTGCTTTCTTGTTTCACCTAAGGTATTATACATCTAGTTAACACCACAGAATGGGTGCATTCCTGATTTATTTCTTCCAAGCTGTGTAGGCTTGGAAAAATTATTTAACCTCTTTGTGTCTCAGTTTCCTCAGTAATAAAATGAGAAGGTAATATAAATAAATTACATACATATGTATATATAAAGCCAATAAGCTAATAAGTAACTGGTACACAGTAAGTACCACACAGACATTAGCTATTATTATTTTTCAGTGATAAGACAACCAGAAGTTTCTAATTTGGTCCTGTTGATGAGATAATTTCTCTTCCACTTAGCTGGTGAGAAGTTGGAATGAAGCAAGTATACTTGTGTTTTATCACCCACTTTTCTCAAATCTACGCTTCACAATCTGCAAATACACATTGATTATTGTACGGAATGGTTGGAATCATTTTAGAAGTGATTCCTGGTATTGAAGGGGGAAAGTCAAAGCTCCCACTACCTTGTACTTACTCTGACAACTCAAAGAGAATGTATCCTTTACCTAGGTCCTTCAGTCTCCACCCATCTCCCTTGGGATGACCCTTTCTTCCCCTTAAGAGATAACTTGTGTGCTAAATCCATCCTTTTTCCTTCCTCTCCATGCAAAGTTACAGGTCTGAGTAATTTAATATGAAGTAGCACCCCAGTAATTCAGCTAGTCATTCACTGAGTGGACCCAAAACAACATGGCAAAAAGCATTTCAGGTTTCAAGGTCAAAGATAGCCAAGGAGCCCTTAGGATCATCTTTTCTTTTCAACATTAACATCACTGTGGCTTGTAGAAATATCTTTTATGTAAAACAGTAGACTGGTTAGATTAGCACACATGTACGTTTGACATAAAGAGTCAACTTCTGAATAGCTACATCTAAACACACACTGAAAAACAGAGCTATTCCCTCAGTTATTTTGGCCTCTCCTTTGACTGAAATTTAAAAATAATTCTGGTGATAATTTACAAGGAAAGTATCACATGGAAAATTCATTCAACGTGTAGTAATTCATAAGCAAATTATCATAGCAAATAAAAAGGAGTCAGAAGAGCTGAAGTGTTACAGGATGTCACCAATTTGGCAAATTTTATTTTTAAGAAACCACAGTATTTACCGTTTTGTACATAATTGGATAATGGCCATGGATGTCATATTTTCTATCCAGAGATTTTCTGATTATCTCGAGTAGCCTAGTATAATGATTAAGAATATGGGGTCTGAAGTCATACTCCTTAGATTTAATGCTGGTTATGCCATTTACTAGCTGTAACAAACACTGACAATGCTCCGCTCAGATTCTCTTAGCTTTTTCTGAGAGATATCTTCCAGCTTCAGTGTCCTTTTCTTCAGAGGACTACCCTTGAGGGGTACTAGAGCCTCTTGTGAGAACTGGTAGGAAACTGGAGGTGCTGGATAGTTTATCTGCCTAGGGTGGCATGGCCATTACTCACTGAGACAGATGGTAAAAGCCCAGATCTACTGCCTTGAAGTTGGACAAACTGCAATTTATGCTCAGAAGATTCCCTCCTGATCGGACTTAGGCTCACACTTAACTGAAATTGCACCATTGCTTGGCTTCTTCCCCTATGTTTTCTGCTTTCTCTACTTTCTTACTCATTAATCCTGAAAGCACTTTCTTAAGAAATCACTTGCACAAACAAATTCTCCTCTTGGGGGTCTTCTGAGAAATCTGACCTAATACACTCTCTAGGTGATCTTGGGTAAACAGCTTAACTACTATGTTGAATCGAGTTTCTTCACTTGTAAAATGGAGGAATGATAGGGTTGTCATAAGAAATAATAAGAGATAAAGTTTTTAAAGAACACAGTGCACTGCTTGGCTCATGGTTAGCATACGAAATGTTAGCTACTCATTTTGTGGCAAAGCACTTAAAAATTATTGAGCTTAAATATGAGTCATGAATTTCTTTTGCTCAAAATGATTAGTATTCCAAATTTTCTGGCTTTTCCTAAAATAAAAAATAGCTTCTAGCAGTATGTTACCTTGTAGATATTTCTAAAATTTATAAACACACTTAATCTGTCCTTTCATGGTAAAAATATCATGTTACCAAAAAGGGAAAAACACATGCAATGGAAAGGGTATTTTGAAAAAGGATAGTAAAAGTATTTTTATCAGTATTGCTGAAAGTAATGTAAAGTGTCATTAATTAAAATTTACACATCTGAATATTTACAAACGTGGAACAGAATTTTCTATTAAGCAATTTTCCAAAGAATTTCAGTGGCTTATTATTTCATTTTTAAAATATTTCCATTTGTGTCTAAGCTTCTCTATGATATATTTTTCTAAACTGTAGCACCCATTACAACAATTATTAGATAAACTTTCGAATCTTCAAATTGCTGTAAGACAAAGTATTAATTCATGATTTTCAAAAGATACATTTAAACTATTGAATTCAATACTTAGGATATTAACTATTGGTTTCAATACCTAAAATATTATTTTAGTGAGAAAAAATATTTTATAATATAAAATATATAATTTAATATATGAAAATTCTTTAATCTTTATTTAGTCCTTACTAAATTTATTTTTGTATATGGCATATAATTTTTTTATCATTATATAAATATGACTTCCAAATCAATTAAATAGAGAGATAATGAATAGATAAAGAAACAAATACTTGTATAATTTTTTCCCTTCAAAAGTTTGTGGGATCAAAAGTTTGGTGAAGAAGCCAGTTGGCTTATGTGGAGTTTTCTTGCTCTAGGGAGATCCTTCAAGCAATCACTATGTCAACAGACACAGATGTTTTCCTTTCATCATATGCTGAAGATCACAGATCCAAACTTATTCAAAAAGCTACAGACGCATTATTCTTCTCCCATTGGACTGGCAGGTTTTATAGAAATTGTTGCATGTGGATTCGACAAATCGAAGAGCAGGAGAAATTCTAAAATGTCCCTTCACCTGATCCACATGTGCAGGGCAGTCAGAGGCTTTGTTGCAGGAGCAATGACTGTTGGTATGGGCTACTCCATGTATTGGAACTTCTAGGCAAAACCTAAGCCTTAAAAGAAGAGATGCTGTCTTGGTCTTGGAGGAGCTTGCTCTCGTAGACATCTCATTATTGAAGATGTATGTTTATGTTGAAAATAAATTATTGGAGTGGGTTCAGTTGACAATATGGTATTTTGAATATTGGCTTCCTTTCTTGCAGGCTTGATTTGCCTGGTGACCAAATTATGAGTGACTAGTTCACTAACGAGGTCATTCAGGGGAGTCAAATTAACACAAAGAAACACGTCACCTAAATGCACTTGAAGGTATTAAAATGTCCACTTTCTTAAACTGTTAAGACGAAACTAGTTCTAAAGAAGATAGCAGGCCCAACCTGAAGCACTCCCAGTTTGCTGCAGAATCTTGCATGCTTTGGATGTTATATAAGAGTCCTTTTCACTCATTATTTTAACTTTTTAACGCCTGTCTTGTGGACTGGCTAGCTCATTTAGAACTCTTTCAAAAAGTCCGTGGAATATAACTTGTAAAGCCTCCCACAACTGAGAGTATGTGTGTGTGTTTAAACTAAATGTAGAAAGCTTAAAATGGAGCTGCAGGGTAGTAGTATTGATTTCAGAATCACAATTGTAAACATAAAAATAATTTAATTATGAGTTAGTTTAGCTCTTTTATAATTGCAGAATTGCAGAAATATGTTTTTGCTTCTGTTATAGTAGAATAATTTTTGTCATCTTGAAATGGAAATATGTATTTTAAGTGCTCATGCAAAGGTAAAATGAAAAACACTTTTTTAAAAAGTTTGATGAATTAGCCTGTTCTTAGAAATTCTGAAGATCCAAAAGAATGATCTAAATATAACAATGAAAAAACAGAGATTATCAGAGTGGATAACAAAACAAGACCCAAGTATAAGTTGTCTACAAAAAACCATTTTAAATATAAAGATTTAGATAGTTTAAAAATAAAGCAATGAAGAAAGATATATACCATGGTAACACTAATTAAAAGATATCTAGATAAACTACATTAATTTTAGCCAAAGCAGACTTCAGGACTAGAAAAATTATTCAGAGTAAGAGAGTCATCATACAATAATAAAGGAGTACGTTCTCTAAGATTGCGTAACAATTCTAAATCTGCATGCTCCTGAAAATAGATCATCAAACTATATGAGATAAAACTTAAGTGAAAAAAAAATAAGCAAATCCACTATTATACTGGAGATTATAGTAGTTGGAAATCTCAACACCTCTTTGTTGGTAATTGATAGGTACAATAGGCAGAAAATAAGTAAAGATATAGATAACTTGTACATAACTATTAATCAACTTGATTTAATTAACATTTATAGACTACTTAATCTACTACAACAAAATACACAAGTTTCTGAAACTTGCATGGAACATTCACCAAGATAGACCACATTATATGCTAGGAAAGACGCCTTTAAAAATCTGAAAAACTAGAAATCATACAAAGTATTTTCTCAGATCACAATGGAATTAAACTAGAAATCAAGAACAAAAAGGTACTTGGAGTATTTTCAACTATTTTAAAATTGAACAAAACACTTCTAGATAACTCATGGAATAAAGAAAAGGTATCAAGAAAAAAGATTTTTAAAACTGAACTAAATAAAAATAAATATTATTAAAATCTGTGGGTAAAGTGAAAGCATTGCTTAGAGTGAAGTTTATAGCATTTCATGCATATATTAGAAAAGAAGAAATAGCTGAGATCAGTAATAATCTTTCACCTTAGGAAACTAAAAAAAGAACATTTTAAGCATAATTATACAGAAGAAAAAATAATAAAAATTAGAGCAGAAATTAATTAAATTTAAAAACAGGGTAACAACAGAGAAAATCCATAGCTTGTTCCTTGCAAAGATAAACAAAATTAATAAGCTTCTAGTCAGATTAACCAATAAACAAAGAACACAAAAATTACCAATATCAGAAATGAAACAGAGGTCATCACTACTGATTCCATGAATATAAAAATACAATAAATAAAAACTAAGAATAACTTTATGCCTACAAGTTAAATGAAATGGCCAATTATTTGAAAGACACAAACTACTGAAATGTACACAAAGAGAAAGAGATAACCTGAATAAGCTCTGTATATTTTAAAGAAATGAGACTAATAATAATATTCCAAAAAAGAAAGCTCCAGACCCAGATGGTTTCATGGTAGTTTTACTGAACATTTAAGCAAGAAATAATATCAATTATTCACAATGTCTTCCAGCAATAGAAGCCAAAAAAAAATAAACACTTTATAACTCATTTTATGAGCCGGCATTACTTTAGTATCAAAACCAGCTAAAGACATTACAATAAAGGCTAACTAGAGACTAATATCTCTTATAATCATAGACACAAAAATTCTCACCAAAGTATCAGCAAATCAAATCTAATAATGTATGAAAAGAATAGTACACAATGACCAAGTGAAATGTATTCCAATTTGAAAAATCAATCAATGTGATCCACTAGGAAAACACGTTAAAGAAGAAAAATCATGTGATCACATTAATTGATGCAGAAAACACCTTTGAAAGAATCCAACACATCTTCATGATAAAAACTCACAAGAATCCAGGAATAGAAGGGAGCTTGATAAAAACTATCTACAAAAGACCTTGATGCTAGTATTATACTTAATAGTGAGAAACTGGATGCTTTACACTGAAGATCAGGAACAAAGGTAAGGATATCCTTTGTTCACATTTCTATTCAATATTGTACTGGAAATACTAGCTAGTATTATAAGACAAGAAAAAGAAAACTAAGATATACATACTGGACAGAAAAAAATACAACTACCTTTCTTCACAAATGACATGATTGTTTATGTAGAGCACCATGAACAATCAACGACCAATAAATACCAGAACTAACAAGTTAGTTTAGTAAGGTGAAAGGATACAAAATTCATAAACAAAGTCAATTCTTATTCTATATACCAACAATTGTAATTAGAAATTTTTAAAAATTACAATATCACGCAAAAATTTCTTAGATATAAAACAACCAAAATTTTTACAGAACCAAAAAAACAAGGACAAACAAACACTACAAAACAATGATAAAAGAAACTGGATAAAATCTAAGTAAATGCAGATATTTTATGTGCACATGAGTTGAAAGGCTATAGCTGTCAATTTTTTTTCTCATTCGACCTATACATTTAATGTCATCCCAATCAAAATCTCAGCACGCAATTTTGTAGGTATCATCAAGCTCATTCTAAAGTTTATATGAAAAGGCAAAGGACCCAGAATAGTCAACACAATACTGAAGAATAGAGAACTCATAGTACCTGATTTCAAGAGTTAATACAAAGATTAATAAAAAAGATGATGTGGTGTTGGCAAAAGAATGCGTACATAGATCAAAGGAACAGAATTGAGAGGCTAGAAATTAGATCACACCAATACAGTAAACTGATTTTTGAAAAAAGGTGGAAAGGCAATTCAAAGGAGAAAGGACAGTATTTTTAATAAATAGTACTGAAACAATTAAACTTTCATACCCTAGAAAACTAATCTAGACACAGACATTACATCCTCCGCAAATATTAACTCAAGATCCATCATAGACCTAAATACCAAATGCAAAACTATAAAAGTTCTAGAAGAAAACATGAGAAAAAATATTTATTTGATCTTGGGTTTGGTAATGCATTTTAGATACATCACCAAATTCATAATTTATAAAATAAAAAATTGATATTTTGGACTTTACTAAAATTAAAATGTCTGCTCTGTGAAAAACACTGTTAAGCGAATAAAAAGACAAGCCACAGAATGGAAGATAACATTACTAAAGTTATCTGATAAAGGGATTGGTATCTGAAATTATTCAAAGTAATCAGTGAAAAAATAAACAACCCAATTAAAAAATTGGCAAAATATCTGACCAGACATCTCATCAAAGAAGATATACAGATGACAAGTAACATATAAAAACATATTCATGTTCAATTCATTTGTCATTTGGGAAATGCAAATTAAAACAACAATGAAATGCTACCATATACCTGATTTAATGGCAAAAAAATAGAAAAACAAAAAAACACCACCACCAAGTACAGACAGGATGCAGAATAAAAGGAATCCTCATTCTTTGTTGGAAGGAATGCAAAATGGTACAGCCAGTTTGGAAAACAGCTTGGCAGCTTTATACACATCTGAACATAGTCTTACCACATGACTCAGCAATCGTGCCCATAGGTATTTACCTAACTGATTTGAAAACTTATGTCCATGCAAAATCTGTATGTGAATGTTTATAGAAGCTTTATTTATGATAACCAAAACCTGAAAGTAGCTAACATGTTCTTTCAATAGCTGAATAAATAAACTGGTGTTCATCTATACAATGGTACACTATTCATCAATAAAAATAAATGCACTGTCAAGTCATAAAAAGGCATACATGGATCTTAAATGCATATTGTGAAGTGAAGAAAGACAGACTAAAAGGCTACACACTGTATGATTTATTCAATTTATGTGACATTCTGAAGGAGGAAAATTTATAGAGATAGTAAACAGGTTAGTGGTTGCCAAGAGTTCAGTGTGGGGAAGGTTCAATAAGTGGAATGCAGGGAATTTTTTTAGGACAGTGAGACTATTCTGAATGATAGTGTAATGACACTAAGCATTTGTCAAACTCATAGAACTACACAGCACAAAAATAAAACAATGTATGCAAATTTTAAAAATTAGGAATCCAGGAGATCACAAGATGAAAGGCAGAATGTGACAAAAGAATTTAACTGTATTACTAATATATAAAACAATCTCACTAAATGGGATAAAGGAAAATGTATTGACCTAATAACTTTCAAAATGAGTGGCATTTGTAAGATTAAAGGCAAAAGGAACTACTCACAATTACTGTACTATAATTGATATATTTGTTTCCTATAGATATAGGTTAATAATTCTGATACCACTATATACATATGGCATTGAGTAAATGCATGGCAGATGATGGGAGCCAGGTTTCTCTCTGTTGGAGTGGGAAGTTACCAATAAACAAAGGGAAAAGGCTAGAATTATCCATGTGGTAATGGATTAGAGTTGGAGATATCAGTATGAGCTTATGTTTAGCTTAATATAAATATATATGGTAACATAAAAATATTTTAATATGTACATATGCCCAGGTTAGTACACACATATATATTTCCTTTTTCTGTCTGCTTAGAAAGCATAGAAACAGCACCTCAGTAGCCATGAGCACACTTAGCACCCAGATCTTGGTGTCTATTACCATTTGCCAATAAAAGGAACCAGGGATCCTAGGAGAAATTGTGGATTCTAGGACTGGGCAGAAAATATACAAGATGGCCAGGTGTAGTGGCTCATGCCTGTAATCCCAACAGTTTGGGAGCCTGAGGCGGGTGGATCACCTGATGCTGGGAGTTCAAGACCAGCCTGACCAACATGGAGAAACCTCGTCTCTACTAAAAATACAAAATTAGCCAGGCATGGTGGCACATGCCTGTAATCCCAGCTACTTGGGAGGCTGAGGAAGGAGAATCACTTGAACCCGAGAGGTGGAGGTTGCGGTGAGCTGAGATTGTGCCATTGCACTCTAGCCTGGGCAACAAGAGCAAAACTCCCTCTCAAAAAAAAAAAAAAAGAAAATATACAAGTTGAACCTAGAACATCTTATAAAAAATTAAATACATAAGCACAAAAATTGAGATATGTCAAAAGGACAAAAGGGCCAGCTGAAAGAATTCCCAAAGGCCAAAGCTGAAATAATTTGAGCAACTAAATAAAGTAGTATTGCATTTTAACTCAAAGTATAAAATAAACATTCATGAGTTCATACTGATATAAATTAAAGCAGGAAGAAAAAATAAATCTCCTGTGCAGAAGAATTCAAAATAATTTATGTAGATAGGCCACCCTCAAAGAGATAGTGCCTAACTCTCTACTCCTTAAGTGTGAGCTGCACATATTGACTTCCTTCCAAAGATGATAGTATGGAAAAGGGGAAAGAGACTAACTGCAGTTGAGAAACCTGACAAATGCTGCCTCAGCCAGGTGATCAAGGTCAACATTAACAATAAAAAGTCGGCCGGGCACAGTGGCTCACGCCCGCAATCCCAACACATTGGGAAGCCTAGATGGGCAGATCACCAGAGGTCGTGAGTTCAAGATCAGCCTGGCTAACATGGTGAAACCCCATCTGTACTAAATATACAAAATCAGCTGGGCGTGGTGGCACGTGCTTGTAATCCCAGCTACTCAGGAGGCTAAGGCAGGAGAATTGCTTGAACCCGGGAGGCAGAGGTTGCAGTGAGCTGGGATCTCACTGCTGCACTCCAGCCTAGGCAACAGAGTGAGACTCTGTCTCAAAAAAAATGAAAATAAATAAATAAATAAATTAAATTAAATAAAAAGTCATATTGACTGCATGAACCTTTGATATATGATGAGAATGACACTTGACCTCTATGGTCTTTCTCCCCAAAACAAATAATCCGTGTTTTATCCTAAGAAAAATGTCAGACAAATTCTGATTGAGGTATGTTCTACCAATACCTGACCAGCACTCTTCAAAACTATGAAGGTCACCAGATGCAGGAAAATCTGAGAAATTGTCACAGCCAAGAGGAGCCTAAGGAGACACAATGACCAAGATATAATGTGATATTCTGGATGGAATCTTGAAACAGAAAAAGAACATCAGATAAAGACAGGAAATCTGAATAAAATGTGGATGTTGGTTAGTAATAATGTATCAATATTGTTTCATTAATTGTTATAAATGTACCATACTAATGCTAGATGCTAATGACAGGAGAAAGTGGGTGTTGGGTATATGGGAACTCTGTACTATCTTTGTAATTTTTCTCTATATCAAAAACATAAACTTTACTTTAAAAAGGGCTAATAAAATAATAAGTAAAAAATACATTTGAAAATTAAGCAAGATAATTCTAAATAACTCTTGGGTAGAACAAAAAATCCCAATGGAAATTAGAACATATTTTCAACTGACTGACAACTAAAATATTTACATATCTAACACTGTAGGATGTACGTAAACTTTGCATTAAAGAAAACTTGGGCTTTATATGCGTATAGTATTAAAAGAAAAAGAAAGGCTGAGAATACATGAATGATATAGATATCCATTTTAAAAATGACTGTAAGAATAGAAAAATAATTATTAGTAAAAGGGAGAAAATAATAATAAATAATAAGTGCATAATTTGTGAAATGGAAAACTAGTATAAATTAGAGGCTCAATAGAGCCAAAAGTTCATGTAAACACTTAACAAGTCCAATCAAGAAAAAAGAAAGAAGTGGCAAATAATCAGTATCAGGAATGAAAAGATGAACATCACATTAGAAATATAACAAGAGACTACTCTGAACAACTGTATGTCAGTGGTATAGTGTGGATATTTGTCCCCACCCAGATCTCATGTTGAATTGTAATCCCCAATGTTGGAGGTGAGTCCTCGTGAGAGGTGTTTGGGTCATGGGGGCAGATACCTCATGGCTTTGTACTGTCTTTGTGATAGTGAGTGAGTTCTCATGAGATCTTGTCACTTAAAAGTGTGTGGCACCTCACCCACTTTCTTGCTCCTGTTCTCACCATGTCATGTGACTTCTTCTCCCCCTGCCTTTTGCCATGATTGGAAGCTTGCTGAGGTCTCCCCAGAAGCAGATGCTGCTATGCTTCCTGTACAGCCTGAAGAACTGTGAGCTAATTAAATCTCTTGTCTTATAAATTAACCAGTCACAGGTATTTCTTTATAGCAGTGCAAGAATGACCTAATTCAGTTAAAAACATTAAAAATTTAGATGAAGTGAGAAAATATATAGAAAAACACAAGCTACTAAAACTAAAACAGGAGAAAAGAGAAAATCTGAATTGTTCCCTGTCTACTATATAAATTGTATCTGTAATCAAAACCTTTCCATAACGAAACACCAGGCCCAGTTGATTTTCCTGATGATTTCCATCAGATGTTCAGGGGAAAAAATGACTCAAATACATCCAAACAAAAAAGAGAAACATCTCACAACTAATTTTATGAGGTCAGCATAATCTTGATTCCTAAACTTGAAAACACTTTACCAGAAAAAAATTAAAGATAAATATTTTAAATAAATATAGATGCAAAAATTCTAAACAAAATGTTATCAAACACAATCCAGTGATATATAAAATCATGATAAAATTGCATTAATATTAGAAATCCACTGTTGGTTTAATATTTTAAAGAGTATTAACTTAAAAGAAAAACACAATATGTATACATTTAGAAAAGGGAAGGAGATATTATTTCTTATAAGGGGTTACAGCCTGCAAGGTAACCATCCCATAGGCTGGGAAGCATAGTCTCCAGCCAAGACCAGAGACAGGCACTTGGAAGGCGAAGGGTTGGGGCAAGAGATTTATGCTGAATGGGTTGGCGAAACATTCATATTCAACATGTTACAGGAGGAGCTATGAATATTCATGAAGATGGTTCTAACACATGCGGATTGAACAAACATACATGAAACATATGACTCATGTTTATACATTCATTTTGGGGTGGAGACTTAATATTTAAATATATTAAAATTAGGCCCTTTACATGAAAAGGTCTTTTCAGGCCTAAGGCATGCAAGTACGTAGCTTCTGTAAACCGGCCAGAAACAGTCCACAGTTAGTGGTCTTTTATTGGGAAAGTTACTGAAGTCAGTCTCTTGTCCAATCAAAACTGTAGTTATGGCTGGTGGAACCGGAGGTCAGTTAGTCAGCGCCTGTGAGCTGGATGAGTTGTAATTGTTTTAATATTGTTTATTTTAAGGCCAATGCTCATTTAGCTGCTAGAGAAAAAGAAGACCCTTGCAGCAGTTAGGACACAGTTATTCTTTAAGCGTAGGGGGTGCATGACTTAACCCTTGCCTGGCATGGCCGTAGGTCTTCTTTATAATCTGGTATCTTATTGCCACAAAAAGTCTGTTCTATGATCTTTACTTTAACATTAATGTTGGTCAGTTGTTGTGTCCAGTGATAAAAGGGAGAGGGAATAAAAAGTAATTACTGACATATCTGACCTCCCAAGCCCTCGTGGCTAGGAACTAAGTTTTTAAAGGTTTTCTGGAATCCCCTTGGCCAAAATGGGTGCATTCAGTTGATGGGGAGCTTAGAATTTTATTTTTAGTTTACAGTATCCATATATATGCATATATATTATATGTATATG
Organism: Homo sapiens; assembly: GCF_000001405.40. NCBI lineage: Eukaryota > Metazoa > Chordata > Mammalia > Primates > Hominidae > Homo > Homo sapiens. The sequence continues at coordinate 223,389,075 of NC_000002.12, read as the reverse complement.
TATACATGTATATATATACATTTATATATGTATATAAATATATTCATTTATACATATGTATATATGTATGTGTATATATACACATATATGATATGTATATATGTATATATGTGTGTTTGTATGTGTGTGTATATATATATATATATAGAGAGAGAGAGAGAGAGAGAGACAGAGACAGAGGGAGAGAGAGAGAGTCTCACTCTGTTGCCCAGGCTGGAGTGCAGTGGTGTGATCTCAGCTCACTGCAACCTCCACCTCCCAGGTTCAAGTGATTCTCCTGCCTTAGCCTCCCAATTAGCTAGGATTACAGGTGCCTGCCACCACACTTGACTAATTTCTGTACTTTTTTGGTAGAGACGGGGTTTCACCATGTTGGCCAAGCCGGTCTCAAACTTCTGACCTCAAGTGATCCGCCCACCTTGGCCTCCCAAAGTGCTGGGATTACAGGTGTGAGCCACTGCGCCCGGCCAGTATCCATATGTCTTACCACATTAAAATAAAATAGAGAAAAATCATACAATCACATAAATAAAGCCAAAAATGCACTTGGAAAAGTCAATGCTGATATATAATTTCTTAAAACACATAAACTGAGAAGGAAGTCTTCTTAATCTGATTTAAAAATCCAGATTTTAAAATCTACAACAAAAATCACTCATACGCAATGTTTAAAAGTTGAAAGCTTTTCTCTCTGAGAATGGGAACAATTATAACTATTAACAATTATATTTACCATTTCTATGGAGTTCTTACCAGTATAAAAAAAGCAAAAAAAAAAAAAAAAAGAAAGAAAAGAAATAGAACAAGAAATGTTGGCAAGGACATGGGACAACTGTACTCTCAGCTATACCTTACTGCTTGAGATGTAAACTATTCCAACCACTCTGCTGAATGGCAAACAAATTGTGATATATCCATACAATGAAACACTCTTCAGCAACAAAATGAAATGGATTACATCCAACAACACAAACGAATCTCAAAAATATGCTAAGTGAAAGAGGCCAGACCAAGGGATACATGATATATAATTCTATGTATGTGAAATTTTAGAACTAGACAAATTAATCTAATGTGATAAGTGGTTGACTAGTGAGGGAGTGGGATTTGAACAACTACAAAGGGACAAAACAATTTTGGAGGATAAGAAAATGTTCTATCTCTTGATTGTTTTGGTGTGACATTTGTCAAATTTGTCAATTATTCACTTAAATTCTGTGCGTTTTGTTGTGAGAGAATTTTTCCTCAATAAAGTGTGTCTTAAGAAGATACCATTAACCATAGCCCCAAAAATATCAAGCACCTTGGGAGAAATCTAATAAGTAATCTAATGCAGGTACCATAAAACTATAACATATTATAGAAACATAAAGAAAACCTAAATATATACAGGAATTATACCACTTTCATGAATTAGAAGCCTTAATGTTTTAAAGATGCATTTTCCTCACATTAGATTTATAGATTCAATGTTATCCTAGTTTAAATTTCTCCAGGGATTTTTATGTTAATTGGAAATCTGATTTCAAAATTTATATGAAATGCAAATAGTCAAGAACAACTAAGGCCTTCTGAACAAGAAGGATTTAAAGAACTTCTATCACTGGATTTCAAGCTCCTTATAAAGCTACATTAATGAAAACAGTGTGCCACTCAGGCAAGAAGAAACTAATAGACCATGGTGCAGAACAAAGAGTCCACAAACAGAACCAAACACGTGTGGACGCTTCAGGGATGTGGGAGAAAAAAGTACTTCCAATAAATGATATTAGAGCAATTGGATATACATATAGAAAGAAAAAAGAAGAATCTTGACTCTCCTCACACTAAGCACAGAAATCAATTCCTTGAGGATTATATGTCTAATTTCAAAAGGTAAGACATTAAAGTGTCCGCAAGATGATGACGTAATAGGATAATTTCATGATTTTGTAGCAGAGAATACTTCCAAAAGAGTACACAGAATCACTAATCATAAAGGGAAAAAAATAGCTATTTATCTATTATTCACCTATTTATCTATCTATCTATCTCTCTCTCTATCTATCTATCTGTCTGTCTGTCTACCTTAAAATTAGAATCATTCTGTTCATTAAGTGACAATATTGAGTAAAAAGAGAAACCAAAATGTGGGGAAAGTGTACAGCAACATGCTTAACTGACAAAGGGGTCTTGCTTCACTCTTGAATATTAGTGTCCCTAAGGACTCCATCCCCACAGGAGCCCCGAATGCCTACATTCATTCCTGCAACATGCATTGGTTGCCTTTGAATGTTTATTTTCAAATCAAGGTCACTTAAATGAGGCTAGACAGAGCCCTTTCTCTACACTCAACGTATTCCTCTAGGAGTAAAATCCTGCTGTTTCTATCTTCTTAATAGATCCCATTTGGTGCTTGTTTCTGCTCCCAGTAACCCTCGCTTGATTCAGGACCGTCTGTGTTCTTGCCTAGATGATTAGAGTAACCTTCCAACTGATATTCTCTAATCTAGTCTTACTCTTGCTCAGTAAGTATTTTTTTCTAACTTAAAATGTGTCATGTTGTTCCTGCACAGTCCTCATTATAATGTAAATCCAAAACTATGGAAGTCCATGATCTGACTCTTGCCTATTTCTCCAACTTAATGCCTCTCCACTCTCTATACTATTCAGCATATAGAACTACTCCTAATGTATTACTCTCTTAATACCTCCAGGCCTTTGCATAAATTACTCCCTCTGCCTGGAGTCCTCATGCCTCCTGTCTTTGTTTAGAAAACCCTCACTCATTTTGTACATAGTAAAAGACTTTCTCATTGGCTCTCCTATCTGGGTACCTTCACAGTACCTTGTGCTTCCTTCATTATATAACAAACCAGAGGATTGTAATTACCTTTTCTGTCTGTTTCTATTTTATCTCTCCGCTGTCAGCACCTATGCACATTGCCTGGCAAATTGTAATTGCCCTGTTAATGCTTGTTAAATGAATGAATAAGTGGGAGTGGGCACATATAGAAGAGACCCAGATGATTGGTGTTAAATTTATGAGCAAAGAACTTTGAGAAAACCCAACTCTAATTAAACTGACTTAGGTACAATATCAGGGATTCCAAACTGAGAAATGCTTTTAAACGAGAAAGCTTAGCTTCTTGACAAGTCTGTCTCTCAGTAGAAAATGATTTCCATAGTGAGTCGCAGATTTCCTGCTTCTGTATTCAGCTGCATGGAAAATGGATGGAAAGCGAATGGTCATCTCAAAGGCAGGTTTGGAGTAGGGCCGAGGAAGACTTTGTTGGTGTTTTCATAGTTCAGGGATTCTCAATTATAGCTAAGATTAAAATTATCTAGGAAGCTTTTAAAAAATATCTATGCCCATGTTCTACCCCTGATCAATTCAGTCAGAATCTCTGGGAGTGCCTAGGTATTGATAGTGTTAAAGTTACCCAGGTGGTACTGATGTGCAGTCATTACTGTGTACCATTAATTATGCTACTGAGAAATTAGAGCCATGGATTTTGCAACTTCCAATATAATCACCAGGTGGTGCACTGTTTTACGGTATTTTGAACTCATTCCATGATTTCAAGTTGCATCTGATCAAATCTTTTTAAAGGCAGCTTAGAATAAGCTCACCTGTCTCAAAGACCTCAATTTTCAGTTTGCAGCTATCATTTGAAAAACTCTTCTGAACATGGAGAGATGATGGTCTCATGGAATCTGCATGACCAGGGAGCGAACTTGGAATACTTACTTGTTGACCTGATGAAGATATTGTTAACCTATTTTAGTTGTGCATAAAGCTTAAAAACATGTTCAATGCTGGGAATTTGAGTACCCGGGCACATGTTGAAGGCCTAGAGTTTAAGGCGGTAGTTTTCAACCTTGGTTGCAGGTTAAAAATCATCTGGGGACCCATTGCAAGACATTCCAGATTATTTGGTGTGGGATGAGGCATTACATAAGTACTTTTCAAAATCGTCCAGATGCATCCAAGGTTGAGAACTGCTGGTTTAGGGGTGTTCCTCTTCTTTGTCTCTTTTTATTGTTGTTGAAATGTATTTATTTTATATTTTTCTAACTTTTATTTTAGGTTCAGGGAGTACATGTGCAGGTTTGTTACATGGGTAAATTGTGTGTCACGGGGGTTTGTTGTACAGATTATTTTGTTACCCAGGTAATAAGCATAGTATGTGATAGGTAGTTTTTCAATCCTCAGCCACCTCCCACTCTCCACCCTCAGGTAGGCCACCGTGTCCATTGATCCCTTCTTTGTGTCCATGTGTACTCAATGTTTAGCTCCCACTTATACTGTAAGGTTGTGCTATAAGACTACAGTAAGTTATTTTTAACAAAGTCTGAAGAAGTCTTAAGAAAAGTCTTAAAGAAGTCTTAAGGCAAGTACTTGCCTGCATTTGGCTGTTTCCAGTGCTGATGTTTTAGTTGTATCAAGAGTTTCTTTATCAATTTAAAAGAGAAAGGAAACTAACAAAATTAAGGTATCTTTGCATTTCTTTAGCATATTTCGGTATTCAAAGTTTTTTTGTTCTTTTGTTTTGTTTTGCTTTGAGTTTTCTTTCATTATTCCCCCTATATTTTATCTTCCACCTTCTTTTGAGTCTCTCAAGTTTCTTGATTTGAAATTCCTCATTTTTATTATTTAGTCATTTCATGATTCTCTTCATATCTCTTATGTCTTATTTTAAATTCTCTCACAATTTTCTGGTTTATCATAATCTAGTTTTTCATAATTTAAAACTTTATAAATTCATTGTTTGGGCCTCTTAACTTTTAGTATCTCTGGTAGTAGCTTTCTTTCTCCCTTTTTATTCTTAATTATTTAAAATGTCAATTCTTACTTTTTAATCACTTTTTAAAATGTTAATGAATTAAGATCTTGGTTTCCTGAATCTTTTATTACAAATATTTTTACTTTCTTTTGCAACTTTAATACTTTACCATTTTATTATTATTTTATTTTTAAATTAAATTTTATATTTTAATTTTTAATATATGATTTGTCTTTATAATGGTTGGTAATAAGTAGTTATACAAAAATCCCAGCCCACACCCAGAATAAGATATGAAACATCTTCATTGTGGCTGTCCCTTCATATCCAATTTATGGATTTCAACCTGGTTAAATGTTGGTTTTACAAAATATCTTTCCTCTAGTAGCTTAGGACACTCAGGACAATTCAGTTACTCACAACAGTCATAATTCTACCTGTTTAATGTTTCTGCACAATACCAGAATGATGCTTTTGATGTCTTAATATTAACCAATCTTTTCATGAGGCGCTACCTTTTGGAAACTGTGATCTTAACATCTAAAACTACTCAACTTTGGAGGAAACATGTTATCTAAGAGGAGGGGGAGAGAGGCAGCAGCTTGAATACATGTCAGTAAGAACTCCTAGGCCAAGTCTTCCTGCTGGTTTTCATTAAGATTCCCAACCAGTAAATTTTTCTAATGGGAGAAAGGTATTCAGTTCCTGGCCCTTGCTCTGATGAATTCACTTCCTTTACCACAGATCTCATTTTGTTATTATCCTTTTTCTGTGGAAATACAGGAGAAGATTTCTGGTGTGTGACTCTTCGCATATCCATTTCCTAATATTCATGTGCCCAGAATGCTGGTTATTGCCAGCAGAATGTGGTTTTAGATAGACACAGCTGTACTTCTGAAGGGTGGCTCTCACTCCTCCATATTCTCCTTAGTGGAGATTCCAGGCATGATTAGATGGCTGGAGTTCAGGGAGAAGGGAATGACTATCCAAGTCTTTGGCCCTGGGTCATTGTCACTTTTGGAAAACATTTTAAAATGTAAGGAGGTGGCTGAGTCGGGCTTCTATCTGTTGCCCTTTCTCCCAAGGAGGAAAAGGATGGCATTTGGGAGACATTGAAGTCTTTAAAGGTAGCCTCAGTCGGCCTTCAGGATTTGGGTCATTTTATTGTGTGTTGTGGAACCCTTCTTATTAATGATGTATGTCTCTTAGTTGAAGAGTTATGTTACAGTTGAGAGCACACAGCCCAGCAACAAAAACTAATTTTAAAGTACTTGAAATCTCTTACTAACATTTTATATAAACCACAAAGAAAATCAAAAGACATGATTAACAGCAACACAGCTACACTCTTACTTTCTCCTCCTTCCAATACCTACCACACTCTATAATTGCTTGGACCAACTCTCTCTCTCATGGTCTCCCAAAACCTCCTTGCTACTTGCTCTTGATTCATTTATATTCTCCCTCTTCCTCAACTCCTTGTCCCCATTTCTTTATTATGTGGAAAGGCACGGCCTCCTTTTTTAAGAAGGTAGTGGTATTGGGCTGACAATTATGATTCTCTTTTGGCAAACCAAAGGGAGTACAAAAGAGGGAGGCTGTGAACATTCAAATGTGAGTCACTTTTACCCTGTCCCAGCTGTTTTTATGTCTTTGTAATTTGGTTACAGTTTGTTCCATTGGTAAGCATATGTGAGGTTGCTTCCCCCTACCTGATGACACTTTCTTTTCAACTATACAATATGAGGAATGAGATATCTCACCCTGTCTCATAAAGCCACCCCTCCCCAGTCTCTTCCTGATTAGACTTTTTCAGACCATCTATGGCAAACTTAGAATTCTAGTTTTGTCCTATACTTCATCTTGCTTAAATAACCCGTCATTTTATGTTAGGACAAAAATTTGCCACATAAGATTCTTTCTCATACAAAATTTATTCTCTTTTCTTCCTTTCTCTTCTCGTCCTTAACAAAAGTACATCTTCATACCTAAAACTTTCCTCACATCTCTCACTCCTACTATTCGTTTCTTTCTGCTTTGTTTTTATTTTCTTCCCGTTTCCTTTTTGAAACAACGTTTAAACAACCTCCAAGTAGATTAAATTATACGTCTTAACGAAAGACATATTCTGTTTTCTTTATAATTTTTCTCATCAAAAACACATATTGGCTGGTACGATGGCTCATAGTGCTGTAATCCAAGCACTTTGGGAGGCTGAGGCAGGTGGATCATTTGTGGTCAGCAGTTCGAGACCAGCTTGGCCAACATGGTGAAACCCTGTCTCTACTAAAAATACAAAAAAATTATCTGGGCATGGTAGTGCACACAGCTACTCAGGAGGCTGAAGCAGGAGAATCACTTGAACTTGAGAGGTGGAGGTTGTAGTGAGCTGAGATCACACCACTGCACTCCAGCCTGGGAGACAGAGCGAGACACTTTCTCAAGAAAAACACATGCACACACACACACACACACCCCTTAATTTTCTTTTTTGAACTTTTCATATAGAATTGCACATATTAATTAAAATTTTTGAATTTTGATAACCTTAATTTATAGTGGAAACCTAAGAAGTAAGCAGTTTTGAATTGTTTGTCATATATGAACAGCTTATGGATGTACACCTTAATAATTTTTGGAAACATGAGCTTCTTTATAGAACAATTTTTCAATGTGAAACAAGACAGATCTATTAATAGACTCAAATATATTTTGTTTCTTTGTAATAAGAAGCCAAAAGTAGATGAATTTAAGCCTAATGTTCAGCAATTTATGTTTCAGTATTTTGTCTTAATTGGAAATGACCTAGGCATTTAATGAATATCTGTTAATTCAATAAATCATAGCTTTAAGATTTCAAGTTTCATGAAAAATTTATTTGCAAACATTTACTCAATTTACATTTACCTAATTTATTTCTTGTAGTTATGCTTAGATTTCTCATGAAAACTGAGGTATTAGACAAAGCTAGTCATTCTTTCTATTATTTTTCTGCTAACTATTTTTATAGCCTGTGAATATCAGGTATTCACCTAAGTATGAATGTTAAAGTTAAATATCTGGATATTTTGCCAATAACTCAGAAGATATAGCTGTTTTCACTAAACCAACAATGTTAAACTAGCTTTCCTTATCAAAGAATTATATTAACACTGATCATTCTGTTTTTAAACATTTAGCAGAGACAAATATCACTCTGCTTGACCAGTAAGTCCAGGTGAAAGAAAATACATGCTAACAATTCTGAAGACATCTTCATTTTTATTTTACAAACAAAATTAAAGCCAGCATATTTGTTACATATTTAGTTAAGTCACATAAACTAAAAGGTATTTGGGTTAATTACTATACATTTTTGCTGTTTCAAGTATTAATTTATAAGAGTGCTCATTTATCTTAAGCCAGTTTGAATGGAATTTCTTAAGGGATTTCTGGCTGACTAAGCCAGATTTTACCATGTAGACACAAAATACGACATGGGTAAATGCACATGAACACATACACACACAAACAAAAATCTTCTAGCGTTCATTTTAAAAGTTTAGTCATGACAGTAAAACACAGTAATATAAATTCATCAGTTTATACAAAGACAGTTGGATCTAAATTATATTTCTGGTAAAATTAGACAAGTGAAGTTCACCTGTTCATATGTTAAAGCTTCTTACCAATGATTTTGGAGAAGACCTTTAAGATTTTCCTTTTGTCCTTGATAAATAATCTTATGAAGGCTGAGGACCAAATTTGGGGCAAAGTAGTTTCCATAGCAATGTAAAATAAGTCTCTTTTACCCTTTTCTTCTCCCTCTTTTAGGCTCAAAGAAGGTTAGGGGTTAATTCCTTGGTATATACATTTCATTGAAATGACGTAGGAAAAACATCGTTCAAGCAGGCTTTGACTTATTTTTGTTTCGTTTTCTACCAACTACAAGGTCAGTTACAGCAGTGACATTTTATCTTAATACAAAGGAAAAAATGTCAGCAAACTCATAGTATTCAGGGAAAAAAGAAAAATGGGGAAGTTAGAAGCTTCTACATGCCAGCATTTCATTCAGACTTTAAAACCGTATAGTTGTTGTTCCTTAGTTTGAATAATGATCATTTAAGCTCTGAATTTTTCTTGATGAGATTTGCCCATCAATTTAAACATGAGCATGAGGATGGGCCATAATATGTAGCTAGCTGGAGTCCCAGAAAACCTGGCATGTCTTAATATTTGAGAATCCCATTCCATTTCTTATTAATCTCTCAAGAACCATGAAGATCCTATTTCTTGTTGCATAGAAATGTAAGGAATATACTCACCAAAGGTCCTTTATTATTAAGATGACCTTATCCACATCAGATCCTATATGAAGTCAGCAGGGAGCTTACCTAAAAGAGGGAGGATTGGCTTGAGAAAAGACCACCAGCACAGAAAAAGCAGGCCATAGAAATGGACAGCTTAAAGGGCTCTAGTGAGTACTGTACACTGGCTCCAAGAATCATCAATTCCTTCCGAAGGTGTTGTACATCAGATCCCACTTATGACACAAGATACATCAACCTAAATAACAGAGAGTCTCCAAAAATATTGAGTTTATTCAGAAGTGCACAAGGGATTTGCAAATATATGCAGGCTACAGGGACTATAGACATGTCCAGAGACTGAGGTAAAGGGAAAGATCTGGGAACCACCATATAATGTTTACAGTATTTGTTGTTCTCAGCACTACAGAGAGCAAATGAGTATCATCAAATCTGCATGTGCTAATTATAGACACTTGGCTGATGATGTTTTATAGAAATTTCTCCTTAAACCCAACTAAGAACCAAGGTCCATTACAACATTGAACAGTATAATTATAAGTGATGATTTCTAGCCTTTATTCTATCCTATTGATGAAATATTTTCAGTTACAACACTCTCATTCCCTTCGCCTCCACCTCAGGAAACTCAACATGTTTAAAACTGTCTTGCTTTGTCTCCTATACTCCTAATCTCAGTGAAAGACACCAACATCCACCTTCAAAGAAGGAAACCATGTTGGCATCTACACTTTCCCTTCCCCAGCTACACTTCCCATCTACACTGATGGCTAAGTCTTGTTGATTTACCTTCCTTTAAAAGCTTATATCTATCCCTATCACTTCATCCTTGGTGGTATTCACTTATTTCATCCCCATATATAGACTGATGTAAAACTTTCCCATTATTGGATCTTCCTGCAGCTACTTTTATCTCTCTTCAGTGGACCTTTTTTATTGCTGCAATAATTTTTCTGAAAAGACAAATCTGATTCTCTCACTCTCCTGCTTAAAGCCTCTTGGTGGCTTCTCACTATCTATCTACTGGTTAAGTCTAAATTCTTTAGTATTGGCCATGCTATCTCCTGGGCTTCATTTCTAAGAATTCTGTGCACTGACCTCTTTTCATCACCGCTACCTGTGCTGTGACCCCTTTTGGACACTGCTGCCAACTACATTGAAGCACTAATAACTGCTGTCAGAGGCCAGGCTATGCCAGGCTCTTGTTTTTTGCTCACCCTGTTCTTCTGCAGGGAGTCCCTCCTTCCACATGCTTCCTCCTTTTCTACTTATGATTCTTTCTTTGAAATAGACAGATGTGGTATAAATATTAATATTTCAGTAAGCCACTCCATGTTCTTTTTGGAAATGATATAAGCATAAATTCTCTAATTTATTGCTCATGCTCCCCATGAATATTTACTAGAAAAAAATAATGTTTCCCATTTATAAATTGATCAGTAAGAATCCTCGTCCTGAGGGTTAGGATGCAAGAAAGCCTCACACTGACCCTTCATCCCTGTACCACAGAGCCTTCAGTAAGAGTCTGTAATCAGATTACATCACTGTCTTGTCTCTTGATCCAGGCAAGATGAGAAAATGATTATTTTCAATTCAATGAGCGTTTATTGAACACTTTTGCTTTGCCAGGCATTCTACAAAGTGCTGATGACATGAGTCCGCTATGGGAATAAAGATATATGCCAGTCAAACCATGTCTCAGTTTGGTTGTTAGCAGGGACAATTAGTGCAAGGAGTGGCAAGTCCTTGAGAAATGCTCAAGTTAATTCAAGAAAGCCCCAAAACATTTTATTACCCATAAAAGCTATCAAAAATTTCCTTTAGAAACCTAGATGTGTATGTAAGTTTTGAAATGAATAGTTGGCAAAAGAATACCCATTCATAGTTCCATTCATAGTTCCATTTTTGTTATTGACAGGGCCTTACTCTGTCACTCAGCTGGAGTGCAGTGGCACAATCATGGCTCACTGCAGCTTCTACCTCCTGGGCTCAAGTGATCCTCTAGTCTCAGCCTCCTGAGTAGCTGTGACTACAGGTATGCCACCACACGTGGCTATTTTTCTTTCTTCTTCTTTTTTTTTTTTTTAATAAGTAGAGTCGATGTATTGCTATGTTGCTCAGGCTGGTCTCAAACTCCTGGCCTCAAGCAATCTTCCCACACTGACTATTTTTATAAGCAAAACTTCAATGCAAATTAAAAAGAGTTGTATCCTCCTTGACTCAGTTATATACACCCTTTGGGGAATGTTCTCTTCAAATCACACAGGTCATGTAAATCTCCGGCACCAGAGCACCTAGGAAGAAATAGTTTAAAATATACCCTTGCAAACCACAACTGAAAAATCACAAAAGTTATAGATCTCTTCTTCTATCTAACAGATTTTGTATCCTTTGACTATCATCTTCCTATTACTCCCCAACCTTTGTAACCACCATTCTACTTTCTGTTTCCATGAGTTCCATCATTTTAGATTCCACATGTAAGTGAGAACAAGTAGTATTTATCTTTCTGTGCCCGACTTATTTCACTTAGCATAATGTTCTCCAATTCCATCCCTGTTGTCACAGATGACAACTTTCTTCTTTTTTTTAAGGCTGAATAGTATTTTTTTGAGTTCTATTGAAAAGTATGATGAATATAGCTAATAATAAAGTATTGTACATTTCAAAACTGCTAAGAGAGTAAATCTCAAATGTTCTCAACATAAAAATATTAAGTATTTGAGGTGATAGATATGTTAACTAGCTTGATTCAGTTATTCCACATTGTATTTGTAAATCATAACATCACTTTGCACCCTATAAATTTATACCATTATAAATTTTCAATTTACAATAAAAAAGGAGTCATAGATCTTTTCCTCAGATCCCAATGCTTATTCTTTGCATAGCACATTTTGGTCTAAACATTGACTGTTGTGACAGTAATTCAGGGCATTGTCTCTCTAGCATTAGACTTCAAATGTCCTCTATATACTTTCATCCTTGTTTTCTATAATGCCTAATCATGTGTAATTTGTGATTCTTTCTCATATATTGAGCATTGTCCCCTCTGACAGACACTTGAGTGTGAGTTTTAAAATGTTCTTCCATTTAAGGTGAAACCCTGGAGAAAATGAGGTCATAGGTTCCTCGCCTGAGACAGAGGAAAGAAGAGAAGAGTGACAGAGCCACAGTGGGCAGAACCAAAGTGCAAATCATCATCAAGGGGTAGTTGGGGACAAAAGGCAGGGACCAGGCACCAAAAGTCAGCATCTCCTCTCACATGGGCAGAACTTGTTTCTGAGAGTCGTGTTTCCATCTGTACTAAAATTCTAACTTACCCAACACAAGATTTCTTTCAGGCTTTGACTCAGTGAGATTATAGTCTCATAAATAAAGTAGAAGGAAAAACATATTGATTCTAGCTTTACATCATGAAGTAGAAAAAACATCAGTAAGAGTATCAAGTAAAAGATCTCTAAAATATTCATTGTTAACAGACCAAAGGGAAGAAGCTGGGATAACCATAGCAACACTGAAATATAAGCCATAAATCCTGCAAAATAGACAAACCAGCAGAAGCTGATTACAGTGGAGGGAGGAAGACCATTATTCTGAATTATACTGTTAGTATAAGATTCTGGTGTTGATTCCTTTCTATGAATACGGTGATTAATTTAAAAAGTAACCAGGTAGAGTATTCATTATACTGTATTTTTTCAAAAAGTAAAGACTTTACAACCTATGTGGCTTATGGAAGAGACATGTAAATTAGCCAGTTAACATTTATTTTCTTGGCTAAATAAACTGCAGTTAGGGATTAAAAACTCAGCTTAATAAATTCATTATCTCTGTGTCCTGATTCTCCTTCCATATCAAGGAGGGCAGAAACACAAACCTATGGAAAGATTAAAATGAAGGAGGAATTGTAAATAGTAAATTTGCTTTGTGTGAATCAACTTTAAGTCTTCCATGCTGAAGAATATTTTGCCCACGTCTCCATGTCTTTTGAAACCTTTTACTATCTTTAACTGGTTGAAATCCTACCTCTTCCAGGAAACTCCTCAATCTACTAACCCACCTGAGGTCTCTTCTTTCTAAACACTTGTAGTATGCACAGTTCATTCTATTTGAAGCAGCATTAATTACACTGTATCTTGGGGTGGGGAGGCTTGCAGAAAAATGAAAGGAGAACACTGGACTCATGGGAGTAAAAGAATTCAGAAACTATTTCAAATCTCCTCCATTCTCACCCCTCCCACTCTCAGTTTGTCCTTGATTTGTTTCCCTTTTTTTTCCTAGAAGAGTATCTCTTAGGATGACTGAAATATTCTCTAACACCCTATATTCTTGGTGAAATTCTGCATCTTGCTTAAAAGTAGAAAATTTCATAGTCTTATGCATGACAAGCATATAACCAGAAACAGGATGTCTGACTTTCTCATTATTCTGGTCAGAACTGTGTACCTAAGGTGTCTGTCTTGTGTGTTGATGCTAGCCTTGGGGAGGGAGATTTTTCTAAGAACAGAATCATTGGCACCAAGCTGTCAGTGGCACCTGCTTTAGATGAGGGCTACTCAAATATGACTCCAGGTCTCCACTTATCAGGGTACCTTGAAGTCCCCAAATTAGATCAACACAGCAAACACCAATGTTTTCTTCTCTCTTTCTGGCAACGGCCTCTACTGCTTATTATGAGATATGGGTCATGTTATAATGGACAGGGGAAGCTATTGAATTGGAAGGATAATATAAAGAAAGTTAAGATGAAGAGAAACTCTTGGTCTCTATAAAAATTCTAAGGTTTATGAGTCTGTAGATCTTTGTACTCTTTCTCACCTTAATCTTGTGGTGCTAGAAGATTACCATTACTGTAAGACAGTACAGAAGTGAGAATGAGGCCTGGCCTATGGTTAACAACATTTTTCAGCATTCTTCTAATACATATTTATTCCTTTTGTATTTCTTATGGATAATATACCTTCTGATCCTGATCAAAAGCTTTAAAGATAGAAATTCTGTCTCCGTTATTTTAATAGGGGTCTTATTCTTAGCAGAGCACAGGAAACATAGTAGGCACCCAAGTTAGGATTTGATGATGCAGAATGGGATGATAGATTCTTAACAAAAACAACAACAAGTTAAATCTGATTCCCGAGTTCTCGTTTTACATTTTTCATATACACCAGTCATAATTTTGGAAATGTTTAAATTTTAATGTGGACCTGTTGATAGGGTATAAACAGAGTTACAAAATTTTCCCCATTTTCTCGCAGGAGTGCTCTGGCTTTATTGTAGAGAATAGAAGAATCCCTATGTGAAGTTGAACCATTAAAATCTAATGGTGACCTAGAAAGATAAAGATCAATGGAAGATCTCATAAAATCCATGTAATTATGAAGATTAAGTGCATAGGGTAACTTCTTCACTAAATCTCTGAAGAACAGAGTATTGAGATCAGCAGGATAATGTATTCCCAGTGATACAGTATTGATCCCATTGATAATATACTCCCATTAAGCTTAAAAAATGAGACTTCAGAGAAAAATACAGAGAAATATTACTTTTCAGAGTGAATAATAAATGGAGAGAAGGGTTTGATATTTGTTAAATGCTTCATAATTTTTCATTTAATTACAGGACAATTTAGAAATATTTCTCTCATTTGGAAACAAGAAAATAGAGATTCATAGAGGCTAAAATATTTGTTCAAACTGGTAGTGGAGAACAATTTTAATTTTTGATTTAGTGATTCCAAGTCCAATTTTCTTTGTGACAGGTATGCCTACCAAAAAGTTGTTGTCTCAAAAAATGGTTCACCCTACCAATATAATTATGTGCAAAAAGGTTTTAGATAATTTTCCAAAACATAATTCCAAAATATGTTCTTGAAAAATTTAGGAATATATATAGCATTAATATATGCCCTTAACATTTTGCAGTTGATGTCACAAAGGGAAGCCATCATTTTCCATAAAGCACGGCTTGGTGCTACTGAAAAAGGCTGAGTAGGATGACACCATTGGTTCATCACGGGATGGCATTTCTAATGTTCTTAGAAAGGATCACTAAAAAAATATCTTTAGAACTTTTTCTAGATGAAGTCAGAATTAACTTCAGTGTCACTTTAGAAAATTCCATGTATAAGTCTAATAATCAGAAGAAAGGGCAGGGAGGTAGTAGTGAGGAAGGATTTGGAAGGAAGGGTGTAAATTGGAGGGATCCTCTCTTCTGGACATTGATTTGCGTTTGCTCTTTCAGGCAACGTGGATGTGGCAGAGCACTTCTTAATAGCTATACTAGGTTGCCAGATTGAAGATTGTTTCCTATTGTTTCTGTTATATTTTCTAGAGCCTCCTGGGGCCATGAGATTTGGAATCATCTTATTCCCCACACTTTCCATTTATCTTTGGTGCTTACGTTTGAAAAATGTCCAGTCTCTGTCTCCCAAAGCCTTCATTTTTGTTGTATTTGAAAAACCCTTACAGATGGTATTATAAAACCTAATGCAACACAGACAATAATTGTTCTATTATTTATTTTGCACTTACAATATTGCTTTAGGGGATCTTTTCCTATTCAGAGCTCTCCCTACACCCCCCACACACCCACTCCTCTGCTATCCTTGTTCTGTTCATGAAAAACTCTGTTTGGAACCCGGATTTACTCAGTTTTAAGCTCCTGAAGCAGTCCCAGGATGGAGCTCACCTCCTGCAGAATCCCCAGGGTAGAATGCCTCCTGGTCACATGCCTCTTAGGGTCAGAAGATGCTTAGTTCATTTAGCAGTATTTTTTGTTTGACATTTTTTATTATATAAGCAATGCATAATCACTAGGACATTTTGAAAATACTAAAAATAAAAAATAACATTAAAACCATGCATAATCTCACCGCCTGGAGGTAATCACTGAGTTTGTTGATGGATGTTTATCTAGTCTTATTATTGAATATAATGTACATTTTTTCTACAAAATTGAAATTTACATATTATTCAATATTATTCTACAACATAAATTTTAATGGCTATTTAATATTCCATTTTTTGGAAAATGCACACAGTTCATGTCATCAAGCCACCTAGCGTAAGACATTTAGTTGGTATGACAGGGTGTTGTTTTAACCCTGTGACCTTTCCCCACTAGGGCTTGCCAGGTGTATTAGTCCATTCTCACACTGCTAATAAAGACATGCCAGAGACGGGGTAATTTATAAAGGCAAGAGGCTTAATTGACTCACAGTTCAGCATGGCTGGGGAGGCCTCAGGAAACTTACAATCATGGCAGAAGGGAAAGCAAACACATCCTTCTTCCCGTGGTGGCAGCAAGAAGTGCCAAGCAAACTGGGAAAAGCCCCTTAAAAACCATCAGATCTCATGAGAACTCACTCACTGTCACAAGAACAGCAGCATGGGGATAAACACCCCTCTAATTCAATTACCTCCTACCAGGTCCCTCCCATGACATGTGGGGATTATGGGAACTACAATTCAAGATGAGATTTGGGTGGGGACACAGCCAAATCATATCACCAGGTATGAGAAAGGAGGCATCATACTTAAGACTACTAATTTCGAAAGCCTTGGCCCAGGTATATAGAGTGCATGGAAGAAAGATATTGAATGGATACTTTTGAACCAGTTTTTACTTTCACTCTTCCCCCAACAACCCTCCCTACCCCAGCTCAAGAAAAGGACCAGAGAAGTTAGATACTGGTGAGAGTTGAGAAGGGGCTCTTCTCCTCCCCCTCACCTCACAGGCTGTTATTAGGCTCAAGTGAGGAAAGCAACAGAATAATTTTTGGGGGTGATATGAGAATTGAGTAGTCTGTGTTCGTCACTTAGACTAGCAGTGGCAGCTCTGCTGGGTTTCTCAGAGCCACCCTGGCCGCAAGTGTTGGGGGCAGAAAAGCCTGAGGCAGGTGTCTTCCCTCTGCTCTGAAAAGGGAGTGAAATACTGCTGGTAGGGAAAGCTAGTATATCTGCTGGGTTTTGCTCTAGGGTGAGGGAAGGCAGGGAAGAATGAAGCAAGGATGCAATGACCTGGGGCCAGTTGAGGTCAGCTGGAGTAATGGTTTAACCCAAGGACTTGATGGTGTGAAGCAGGCTTCCACGGGTGAGGGCATGAGCACACTAATCAAGGACCAAGAGTCTTCTCTTGCCAACAATCTGTGTAAAGCCTTGAGGACATAGATATCATTTTAGGGAGAAAAGAGAGAGGGGAGGAATCCTAAATTGCCTGAATTTAGTCCTGAAAAAAATGAGTTAATCAGAGTACACTGTCTTTGGGCAGAATAGGGGCTCAAAACAGAAACTTTTGGAAAATACAGAATGGTTTCTTAGTTGCCCACTTGAGTATTTTCTTAACATCTTAAGATATACTTCAAATATCATAATTTTTTTTAGTATAGTCACTAAATTGTACAACTGTACCCATAATCTAATTATAGAATTTTTTATTGTCCCTAAAAGAAACCTATACCAGTTAGCAGTTGTAGTCACTCCACATCTTCCATTCAATCCCATTTTCCTTGACATAAGAAATTGCTAACCAACTTTCTGTCTCTATAGATTTGCATATTCTGGGCATTTATATAAATGGAAACATACAAGACATAGTCATTTGTGGCTGACTTCTTTCACCCAGCATACCTATTTCAAGGTTCGTTCAACCGTGTTGTAGCATCTTATTATAGGTTGAAGCATTTAACAAATGTCAAACCCTTCTCTCCATTTATTATTCACTCCAAAAAGTAATATTTCTCTGTACTTTTTTCTGAAGTCTCATTTTTTAAACTTATTGGGAGTATATCATCAATGGGATCAATACTGTATCAATGGGAGTACATTATATCCCACTGATCTCAATACTCTTTATTCCTCAGAGATTTGGTGAAGAAGTTATCCTATGCACCTAATCTTCATAATTACATGGATTTTAAGAGAGCTTTCATTGATCTTTAGCTTTCCAGGTCACAATTTGATTTTAATGGTCCAACTTCACATAGGGATTCTTCTGTTCCCTCCAATAAAGCCAGAGCACTTCTGGGAGAAAATGGGGAAATTTCTAGAACTCTGTTAACACCCTATCCACAAGTCCACATTAAAATTTAAACATTTACAAAATTATGACTGTTGTACATGAAAAACATAAAATGAGAACTTGGATATCAGATTTAACTTTCTCCTGTTAAGAATGTATCATCTCATATACAAAAATTAGGCAGGTGTGGTGGCACACATCTGTAGTCTCAGCTACTCAGGAGGCAGGAGAATCACTTGAACCCAGGAGGCAGAGGTTGCAGTGAGCTGAAATGGCAACACTGCACTCCAGCCTGGTGACAGAGTGAGATTCCGCCTCAAAAAAAAAAAAAAAATGAAAGAATGAAGTCCTTCCTTTCCTTTCAATAGGCATGTGTCCTAGGAAAAGAATGTATCGTCTCATTCTGGATCATCAAGTCACATCTTGCGTGCCTACTATGTTTCCTGTGCTCTGCTAAGAATAAGAGCCTGAATAAAATAACAGAGACAGAATTTCTATCTTTAAAGCTTTTGATCAGGATCAGAAGGTACATTATCCATAAGAAATATAAAAGGAATAAATATTTATTAGAAAAATGCTGAAAAATGTTGTTAACCGTAGGCCAGTCCTCATTCTCACTTCTGTACTGTCTTATCTTCTAGTGCCACAAGAGTAAGGTGAGAAAGAGTACAAAGTTCTACAGACTCATAAACCTTAGAATTTTTATAGAGACCAAGAGTTTCTCTTCATCCTACCTTTCTTTATATTATCCTTCCAATTCAATAGCTTCCCCTGCCCATTGTAACATTACCCATATCTTATAATAAGCAGGGGAGGCCGTTGCCAGAAAGAGAGAAGAAAACATTGGTGTTTGCTGTGTTGATCTAATTTGGGGACTTCAAGGTCCTCTGATAGTTGGAGGCCTGTTATTCCAGTTAGTCGTATTTGAGTAGCCCTCATCTAAAGCAGGCGCCACTGACAGCTTGGTGCCAATGATTCTCTTTAGGGCCTTGGGGGAAAGGGTGGGAGGGGGATGATAGATAAAAGACTACAAATTGGGTTCAGTGAACACTGCTCTGGGTGATGGGTGAACCAGAATCTCACAAATCACCAGTAAAGAACTTACTCATGTAACTAAAAACCACCTGTTTCCCAAAAACCTATGGACATAAAAAATTAAAGATAAACACAGGGATTATGGAGAAATTTTTAAAGGGGAAAATTCTTCTGTCTGGTTTGCCCTTCTTTTTCAAGAGGCACTCATCTATTATTCTAGATGCCATTGAGAATAACTTTGGCAGTTCATAAAAACTCAAACTTGGAGATGATCAAGTCCAGGGGGAGGCTGGGGAAGTGTCGAGGATGAGGACCAGGATCAGGGCTTCTTCCTTCCTGCTCCTCCCTCCAGCTTTCCTCTCTTCAGTTCTTGCTTGCCTCCCTTGCTTAAAAGTGCAACCTCTGAGGACCCACAAAAATAAGGCAAAAGCTAAATGTTTAAAATAATTTACCAAGTAATTCAATAGGATGTGGTGGTGGGTTTCCCTCTTTCCAGGCTTACCTCTTATGTAACTTTTATATTTTCTTCTTCAATTATCGCTCATTCATATATTTAAGGTCGTAAAAACTGCCCATGTTGGTGTTTTAAGTATTTGTCAAAAATATAATTTTATTGTAGTTTTGGATTGATTGTTATTCAATTTCATGCTTATATTTGATAATTTTCATTTCTTTTATGCTATTGTTCTTTGCCTTCCTAATCTCTAATTTTTTTTCTTCTTGATAAAAATGGCAGGGGCTTTACCTTTCATATTGGTTTCAAATAATAAAATACTTTTAAATAATTATGAATCTTTTTATTTCATTATTTTCATAGCATTATTTCATAACTTCCATGTCATTTTTTATTGTTTTATTTTCTACTGTTAAGAAAAATTATTATTCAAAAGCTGTCATGAGGCAAAAAGATGACCTGATATCTTTTTAATGTCATACAAAAGCATTGAATAACAGACTTACTTAAGGATTATTTATTTCTCTAGGGTATTATACCTCTATTTCACTTACTATTTGCTGTTGGTCAGGGCTCAGACTCTGTGAAGTTACATATTAACTTGTAGATGCCTGTCATATCTTAAATTGAAGTCTTAATTCATACATTTTCTCTTTTGATAGTGTTGAAAGTTGGCTTTTATCAGATTGCTGCTTCAGTTATATCTTGTAGGTTTTGCTGTGATGGTGATTTTACTTCTGTTTTCAGCAATTGTTCTAAGTGAATGCTTCAGCTTGGTACCTCTGGTTGCCATGCAACCCTCGAATGTTCATCTTTTTTACCCAAAAGGCTTTGGGGATAATGTTTGTTTCCTTTGCTGTCTCCCATTTTCTTCCAGTTTCAAGCTTTCATTGTCTTCTAGTTTGCCCACGAAAATACTATTCCCTCTCTGCAGAATGCCTGAAAAATACCAGCTGACTTACAGAGGAAACTAAGACTGCATGAATTCTTTAACAATAGTCAAATTCAGGTTACCAGTTCTTCCCATTTCTTCTACCCACAAGGGATCTGGATTATTTCATTAGCAGTGCCAAGACACCTTGGGCACATATTTAAAATTACCAATTAAAAGACAAACCAAACAAAAAACATTCCGTTATCCTTGATTCAAGAGTAATCCAGTGCATTGACAACTGGCTGTGCCACCAGTGCTTTTGAAATATATCTCACAAAGCAGCCCATGGCACAGTCCTAATCTTTAAGTTAAGTTCAGTGTCAACTTAATAAAAAGCATGTTCTTTGTGCAATCTTGGACTACAGAGTCAGACAGATCTGGGTGAAAATCTTGGCCTCATTGCCTATTACTTGTCTTTTAAAGGTTTGAATGAAAACTACATAGCTTAGTACCTGGTTTTTACAGGTGCTAAATAAGTAATAACTATGGTTGTCTTTATTCTAACATTAGTGTATATAAATCCTGTATATATAACATACGCCCTGGAGAAAGTTAAGTTCTATGTCACGGATTTCTTTTACAAATGGTCATGTGACTCAAACTCATTTTATAATAATGAAAGGAAATTTTCTGATGTGCTTCTTTGATTTAATCAGACCTCAACTCCCTCCTATACAAAGTTAAAATAATGACAGATAAGATGCCTCTCAATTGAAATAGAAAGGACATGCAACAAATGGGTATCCAATTGGATGGGGAAATTATTCTCTTATCTTGTTCTAAACAGCAGTAGCTATTAGGACTACAAAGTTGTTGTTCATTAGGCAGAGAAGAGGTCTCTGAGCTGATCTGTCATTCAGAATTTGATTCTCACAAAAGGGTCATGAGAAAAGTGCCCATGTGGCTGCTTGCATTTGAGCTGTTTTGTCTCTGGAATAAGTTGGAGTGCTGCTGTGATAGGATCTATGTGACTTCAGAACGTCTTTGGATCCCTTAGAGGCTATGGTATCTCTATTCACACAAGTTTCTGGCATGGAACCATACTTGGGTCAAGAAAGACATCCTAGTTCAATTTCCGTATTTTACATACAAGAAAGATAAAAAGTTAAGAAAGTTTCCCAAACTCACACAATTAACTCCAAAATATCTCCACTATTACTACCATCAATGTCTCACAATTTATCTTTATTTTAAATTTTATTATTATTATACTTTAAGTTTTAGGGTACATGTGCACAACATGCAGATTTGATACATATGTATACTTTAGAGTCTTTCTTTTTGCCTTCATTAAAATGCAGGTATACTTAGGAGGTATGGCAATGTAATTTGCATAATTGAAGGGTGGGTATCAATGAAACATTCAAGAAAGGGAATAGGCTCTGTGAAATGAAGGACAGACAATTTGGGGTTAAGAGAAGTACAAAACTGGAGGTGATACATAAAGGGAAAGAAGAAAATGGACAGAAGTCTGAATGTAGGGAGAAGCACAACATTAATTAGGATTAATTAATGGATTAAAGGATTAATCCTCATGAATATCTGCTGCTATCACTGACTCCTTTGAAAAAAAAAATAGACTGTTGTGATAGTGACTGTGTGTAACGTCCCCGCCTACATCAGAAAATACAGATTCTCTTGGGATACATACTTTGAGGGAAATCAGCAGCTATGTAAGAAAATTCTCTAAACCAAGACTAAATACTGGGGATATCATATGCAGGTGCTGCAGCCCATAGACCCAGCTGAGCTCCCAGACCACAGCCAGCACTAGCTGCCAGCCACCTGTGCCATCTTAGATTTCTAGCTCAGTGGCACTTTCAGATGACTGCAATGTCAGCTGATATCTAACTCCAACAGCAAGAGAGATACTGAGTGAGAACCACTACGCTGAATCCTTCCTGAATTGCTGGCACACAAAATCATAAACAAGTTGTTTAAACTACTATACGTCGGTGGTAATTTGCTACAAAGCAAAGTAGTTGAAACAGATGTGTTTCTTTGAGTGAGCACTTTAGTACATTTAAGTTTCTGTATCCTTATATAGGTAAGGAGATGACCACTGACCTAAAATATTTCCCTACATGTTTTTTTTCACCTGTTCCTTTCTTAGGGTACTTTTTTAAATTAAAAAAAAACACACAAAATAATTCAACTCTGTACGTATTATACTTTCCATTCACAATAAAGCAAATGAAAAATCATCAAAAATTAACACAACGAAATTTACTTTTGAGACTGTAATCAAGAGGGAAAACAACTTTCAAAAGAAAGAACCCAGGGAAGAATCCCTAGAATCCCATAGCATTTTATCTGATGCTTCGATGTTATTTTAATGTTCATTCAGATCCCAGGTGATGCTGATATGCTGAGTCCTGAACCACACTTTTAGTAGAAAATTTACAAAAGCGCTGTCCAATAGACTTTCTGCAATGATACAAATGTTCTCTATCTGCACTGTCCAATTCAGTAGCTACTGGACACATGTGGCTATTGAGCTCTTGAAATGTGGCCTGTGTAAATGAGAAACTAATCAAAATTAAAATTTAAATAGTCACATGTGGCAAGTGACTACTTTATTGGTAGCAGCTTTCTTGAACATTCTTCCTAACTGAGTCTATGATCCAACACCTACAGTGATAGGGAAATTCCCATCTTCGGAAGCAGCTCACTCACAACATTTATCATTTTAATCAAACTGGTAGTAGATCTGTATCTGTAACTTTAAAGAATGAGCATAGTGTGAATGGCAAAACAATGCCTTCCACAAAAAAACAGAAGGCCACTTGTGAATTCGCAGAATATACCAATATGCAGTGTTACAGAGCACAGGGGAATTAAGACTGTAAATGGAATTAGGGTTTCAAAGTATATCTCCTTCCTTTGGAATTATAAATTATATTCCAATATACATCACTTAGAAACTGTATTTAGCTCCTGGTTACTGGAATCAGAAAAATAGTGACTTTAAAATGGTGAAACATTTTCTTTTTCTCATGTAAGTAGAAGTCTGGGAGAGGCTGCTCAGGGCTGTTGAAACAGTTTCATGATCTAATCACGGACCCAGGCTTATTGTTTCTTTCAACTCAGCCACGTTTGCCTGTGCTTGTCTCTTCGTGGTTATAAAGGGGCAGGTCCATGCCCTTGTTCTAGGTAGGAAGAAAGAAAGGAGCCGAGTAGGGGACAAAAGTTTCATGCCAGCTACATTAGTCCCCTTTAAATAATTGTTTCCCCAAGCTCCGGGGAACATCTTCCATTTGTATCTCATTGAGCAGAATTTAGTTGCTTAATCACTTTTATCTGCAAGGGAGGCTGGGAGATGTAGTTTTTTTTAGTTGGGCATATTTCTACCACTAGCCACTACCATCACAACCCCTCAATAATTAATTACTATGTAGTTAAAAAAAGAAGGGGGAATTAGGTATTGGGGTAAACAATTAGCTATCTAAACCTGATCATCTCCTCTAAAATTGTGATCTCATCTCCTCTCTGGTTGTACCTGTTCTTCTCCATGAAATCTCTCTTTGTCAAATGCCTTATTGAAATCTAGACATGCAATATCAATGAGATACTACTAATCTACTATTGTAATTATAATCCTATTAGAAAGACTTGCAGGCAAATCTAGCTAAACTTACAGAATTTGCATGAATTTATGAATGAACAGAATGGTGGTTTCAATAAATGGGTAGTTGTCACTTAACATTTGCAGTCTGAAAAGAGACATAAAGTCATTGAATTATTTTTTATTACTCTTTTTTTACATTTACTGCTACATTCGCTAAGAAAGAAAACAGCTACTGAAGTTATAATTAAGCATGTAAACATTTTAAATTACACATTTAAAGAGAAAATAAAGGCATTTTATTAGCCTATTATGAATAATGTTTATTATTTCATTAAATAGAAATATTGTTCTGCATACAGCATTTCTTTGTGGTTAAGCTAGCACCATTCCCTTCAACTGTACTCTCTAAAACAAGGATGTTTCTTGACCTTTCTGTGAAAGCTGGAAAATTATTTGGTTATAAAATGCCAAGTAGATTAACTGAAAGCTGCAGTCCATGGGCTTGTGCCATTTCAACACTTAACTAGAGGTTTTAAAGCAGTGCTGTTATAACTAAAAGGGTACTTGCTCTGTGGACCCATTTAAATTACACTTGTCATGTTTCAATTGGGGTTAAAAGCACAGTAGAGGAAGAGATGATGCAATATAATTCCTGGACCTCTTGTTCCCACCGATAAACAAATCCCTTACAATCTACATCTAATTTAAGTAATGTACTCAGGTAAGTATGGATACTACTGCTACTAATAACTATAACCATCGTTTATTTCAATGTCCCAGGCATTGTGCAAGGAATGTTAATCCATCCTCTCTAACCCTCATGGCAAATGTATGGCAGAGACGTTATAGTCACCATTTTACAGTTAAAGAAATTAAGGTCAGAAAAGTTGTGTAATTAGCTCAATTCCAGGTTCAAACCGAATGTACCCAAGTCTCCAAAGCCTACCTTGACCTTCTAAAACCACTTCTCTGTCTTATCCAAAGGTCCTGTGAGAGCCTCTCAGCCACCAGATTATTTGCCATTTCTCTTTTATCATCATAAAGTCCTGGATTCAGAGTTAGAAAATTCAAATATGAATCTTTACTTGATTTGCTACTTACCAGCTGTGTGACCCTGGATTTGTCTTTTCACTTCTGTGAACCTCAGTGTCATCATCTATAAAATCGGTATTGTAATACCTAGGAAATAATGTTTTTATGCTTTTTTAATTTTGAATTTTTGTGGGTACATTGTAGGTGTATATATTTATGGGGTAGATGAGATATTTCGGTACAGGATACAATGTGTAATAATCCCATCATAGAGAATGGGGTCTGCATCCCTTCAAGCATTTATCCTTTGTGTTACAAACAATCCAATTATACTTTTAGTTGTTTTAAAATGTACAATTAAGTTATTATTGACTATAGTCACCATGTTATGCTATGAAATAGTAGGTATTATTCATTCTTTCTATTTTTTGTACCCATTAACCATCCCCACCCACCACCTCCCTGCTGTCCCCCAACTACCCTTTCCAGCCTCTGGTAACTATCTTTCTACTCTATGTGTCCATGAGTTCAATTGTTTTGATTTTTAGATCCCACAAATAAGTGAGAGCATGAGATGTTTGTCTTTCTGCACCTGGCTTATTTCACTTTATAGTAGTGTGTGCCATGTAGAGTTGTTGGCAGTATTGAAGAACATAACTTACATTAAAGACGACGAACGCAGCAGGTACTTCGTAAATATTGCTTGAATCATGTACTTGTCATGACAGGTGGAAAAGAGAATAACTATGATCCATTAAAAAAAAAAAGAAAGAAAGAAAAGAGCAGGAAAGACACGGAGCCAACATTGACAGAGTGTGTAATCCAGAACAATGACTTATTAGGAAAGCCAACATAGTGGAGGTTAATTTACGGACTTCACTTATTTAAGCTTATTTGGGCTGCTATAAAAGACCATAAACTGACTGGCTTATAAGCAACAGAAATTTATTTCTCACAGTTCTGGAGTCTGGGAAATTTAAGAGCATGGTGTCAGCAGATTCAGGGCTGGTGAGGGCCCACTTTCTGATTCCTAGACACTCGTCTTTTTGCCAGGTCCTCATATGGTGGATGAGGTGAGAAAGCTTTGTGGGGCCTCTTTTATCATGGTACTAATCCCATTCATGTAGAGTCCACCCTCATGACCTAATAACCTTCCAAAGGCCTGACCTCCTAATACCATCACCTTGAGGGTTAGAATTTCGAACATGAATTTGAGGGGGCCATAAACATTCAAACCATGACATTTGTTAACTGTCTATGATATCAACAAACTTTAAAGAAATGGTATTTAGGAGAGATGAGTTTTATTAGGGCTGTGTAGCATAATGGAAAATTCCTGTCTTTTGGAATCCATGGGTGGGAGGATCCAAGATTTGAACTTAGGGTGTAAACTGCAGTGTGATCTGCCTAGGGTGGTGGGGCAACTGGTGGCAGCATGAAGATGCTGGCCACCTGGGGTTTTGGAGAGGCAGTAATTCTGAAAGACAGCATAAATAAATGCTAACCTTTTAATATTTTCAAAAGAGACAGAATTAATAGAAGTTTGGGTTCTCCAGAAACAGGCATTGAGAAAAAGTTTGGAAGGAAGCAAGCTATTTATTAAGGATCAATAGCAGGAAGAAGAAGCAGGATTAAACAGAAGATTAGGTTGAATTGAGTTCAACTGAGCTCAGAGTGTTGGCAAACCCTGCAAGTATGGCTTGTCCTATTGTTCCACATCAAGGACAGTGGCAAGGGCTTTATATCTCCCACCAAATAAAAATAGCCCTGGGAAGGGTGTACCTCAGTTGATGTGGTTCTGTATAGACTCTAACATAGTTGATGACTGTAGGTTGCCTGATTATTATAGAAATGTTTCCCTGGGGTGGGACCTGGGTGGCTTGTCTTAGTTTTAAACTTGGGACTATATTGGAGTTTGAATTTATGAGACCAAGTAGCCAAGAGCACGGGGCTGGCATTATGAGATCAGATATGAGTGCTGGACACCCCTACACCATCCGGCCATCTTTGACTTTGAATGTGTCACTTTGCAATCTATGCCTTGTCAGTTTCCACATCTATAGAATAGGGGTTTGGCCTCCATGACTTCTGAAATACATCCAATCTCTAATCTTCTACAATTCTATGGTTTTATTTATTAGTTTATTCAACAAATATGTATTGCATGCTACTACTGTGCCAGCCACTTCTAGGTATGTACAATAAACCACTGAAGAAAATGAACAAAGCCCCCTGCCCTTGTAGACCGTACATTCACGTGGTTTGAAGTTCTCTTTATTACAAGAAAAAGCAATGAAGTATGAATTTAATCAGTAAAATTTTTAGCTAAATCACTGTAACATTCTGTGATACTGCTTACAAGCAGAGGAATTTGATATAGAGGGTGTCAGGGAGAATATATCATATCCAGAAAGTAATCTGACAAATTATTTACTGGGCCACATCATAGCTTCCACACACTGTACAAACAGTAAGATATTCTTTCCACCTTTTGCCTATGAGAGGTAATAAAATTATTGACAGTCTTCCTTACTGGCAAAGGCCAGGAAGAAAATTAAAATCCAGAGGGGAGAAAATAAAATATACTTTCGGAAACTTGGATGAAAAACACGTCAATGCTCTTTTCAGTGATTCAGCCAAAAAGTTATTAAAACTGTGATCATAACACAAGATATGGGAGCAAATAAAGAATATTTCAGCTCATATCAAATGCACTTCAATATCACATTTTGTACTTCTGCTATTGTGATGGGAGGTGGATGAGTAGAAAACATTCCATGTGGCTGTCATTTTAGCTACTGCATATCCCATTTAAATTCAACCACCAACCTAATGTGCTAACTAGTTGATTACAACATTTGGTAAAGCCAAGAATATATTTTGAGAAAAGGGGTCTTGATTTATTAGGATTTAATCACTCAACTTAAATGAATATCAAATTAACAAATGAATTTTTGACAGAATGATTATAATGTGTGATTCAGTAATAACAGTCAATTCATTTTTTTCAGTAAGAAGATAAAAAACTCATTATATAAGTTATGAATTAGATTTAGGAAAATCATTGTAGCATATTTCAACATATCACTGAGTTTTGTTTTCAAGATTTAGGAAAATCATTGTAGCTTATTTCAACATATCACTGAGCAGAGGGGATAGCATAAACTTCTCACAGCGTAAACTTTACATGAATACGAGGGCCATTTCCTTGGTACATGCTCCAGTGAAACACATCATCTCTGGGCCTTCAAGAACTTTCCTCCAGTCACCCACATTGCCCTTCTCTGGTAGCAATACATCCATATCTGAGGCTGACTGGGTCTCCAGTCCCGTCCATGATTCTTAGTATGCAAGGAGATGTGACATATTAAGGGTTCCAATTCTAGAAATGGCAGACTAGGTCATCCAGACTGTCTCTCCTGCTGAGAACAAGCAAAGTTGAACAACAACCAAAGTCAAGTTGAAGGCATTAAAGATTTCGTAGAGCAGTGAAGAATTATGGAGCCAAGAGCTGAGAGAAGAAGGAAACCCAGCGAGGCGTGCCAGGCAGGGACAAATTTCACCCAGAGGTATCTGCTGGTTCCCAGGGGGACTGAGATGACGATGAGAACTTTAGACAGAATCATAGGGCTAGCAGAGCGAAATGGAAGTTCGGTTTCGCCGAGGAGCAGAGGCCAGGGAGAAATACCCAGTCTTGTGGTTGGAACCACATGGGGTTATAACATGGGAAAAAAGGAGACTGTAAATAGAATAGTCCACAGAGAATGAACAGTTGTTGAAATTATTTCCATCGATGAGAGGTTGCTAGTGCCTTTCTGCACCTTACAGAAACAAACTTACACCACAGAAGACACTGTCTGGGGTTTCATTTACATAAAGCCCCCACACAGACAAAACTAAAATCCATTGTATAAGAAGACAGCATAGTGCTTATCTTTAAGGGGGATGGTGATTTGGAGAGAGAACGAGAAGCACTTCTGGAAAGCTGGTTATTTTCTATTTCTTGACTTGGGAGATTATTACATGAGACTTAAGTATTTTGTGATAATTCTCCAAGCTTCCAGATCTTAATGATTCCAACAGGAGTCCATCCAGTGAGTAGATGCAGTTTCCTGCAAACCACTTCTACCTGGAGTATTTGCACAAGGTTACCATCTTGCTGTCCCATGAACTTAATGCCTCTCAGGCTTCTCCTGTTATCAACAGGAACTGCTCCTTTCTCCAATACTTAAAGAACATCAACATCTCCAAGAAGCCGATCGCATGCCCCCTCCCGCTGGGATGCAAGATTTAGCAAATAGAAATATAAGATGCCCAATGAAATTTGAATTTTAGGTAAACAACAAATAATGGTTTAGTAAAATGTGTATTAAATGTTGCATGAGGGAATGTAACTGTCCCAAAAAATTATGTGTTGTTTACCTTAAATTTAATGGGACATCTAGTATTTTATTTGACAACCCTATTCCCAGATCATTTCCTTTGCTCTTTGGATTTAAGGAGGTGGGGCAAAGAGGGAGGAAGAATAAACCAGCTGAAAAGAAACCAAGAACCAATGTCACTTTGCTTTGCTTTTTATATTTTCTAGTTTATATTCCATAGATAAAACCTTCCTTTCAAAGAATATATAAGAAAATTTGAATACAGGTTTGAGACTCAAATCCAATGGTCTGTGTTTCCATCAGCATCACGACCCAAAAGCAGCAGAAGTCTTTAGCTCTGAAAGAAGAGAGTGCTGTTTCTCTTTTATTCCTCACCCCATTTTCAAAAATGGACAAGATCCCCTTGTGGTCTAGGCCTGTGCTGTTCAATATGGTAGCCACGGGCCACAGGTGACCATTTAAATTTAATACAAATTAAACAAAATTAAAAATGAAGTTCCTTAGTCACACCAGCCACATTTCAAGCACTCAGTAGCTTCATGTGGCCAACGGCTACCATATTGGACAGTGCTAATTAGAAGGCATTTCCATTACTGCAGCACATCCGACAGGACAGTGCCACTCCATACTATCTATCTTATTAAGAAATAGATGTGAGGAGAGAAATGACAAAGCATTGTCAAGCAGTGTTCCTGAGTCTGCTCAAGGAGGAGGCCTTGCCATTGAGCTGAACCTAGCTGCATCTGGCTTCTCACTTGGGGATTTTCCTTCATCACCCATGGTTATGAAGCACTATCTTGATTTAGCACATATTCAAACCATTTTTAACTGAGCTTTTTTTGAGAACTCACATATGTATTTAAAGTCTGTGGTCTGAGTCTTCTGCAGAAGGGCAAGGATAGGGTTCATCTCTGGGGTAAGGCAAGAGATGAGGATTCTAGTAGCTTCTCTACCATCGTCTATCCTGAGACCTGGATCCAGGCACTTCCCTCTCTGTTTCTTACATTTATTTCCATAAAGGCACATTTTGTTCTTATTAAAATTCAAAACTGAAGCTTGGAAAAAAATACTATAAACTCCAGAGTGAAATTCAATCTGACTTCTTCACTGTGTGATTATCTCTAAAAAAAATCAGGTCTCTCCAAATGTGAATTCCCCAAAAGTAAAACATTATTCATTTTTAGGACAGTAATGGCCTCAGAATTCAGAACTGGGAATGGTACTTTCAGATTTGGATTTTGGTTGATTATCTGGGTCTGGCTGGACTTTCCTGTAAAACAGCCTGGAATTGAAAATGAGAAGACATTGATTTAAATCCTGGTTGTGTAATATTGAATAAATTACTTAACCACTATAGACCTCGGTTTTGTCTTTAGCAAAACAGAGATAATAACATCAGCATCATACAGTTATAAAGAAGACTGAATTAGGAACATAGGAAAAGTGCAAATGAGGATGACAAAGAAAAAGAAAATGTTAAACAAATAGTATCTGTTATTGATAATAGGTTTTCTTTATTTTTGAGCTATATAATGGAAAGAAAATAGTATTAACTCTGTTAATTTTAACTCAGTTATATGTGCCACCCAATATTATATACTATTTGCTGTCTAATTAGAAAAGCATTTTTATATTTAAATATATATATTTAATATTGATCAGAAAGGTATATGGTATCTTTTTGTTCATCCACCAATGGACATTGTTAATAGAAATTTGCCACCTTCAAAAAAATTTTCAAATAAAAAGTATATCTATTACAAAACAAACCACCCCAAAACGCAGTGGTTTATAATAAAAAATTATCATTTTTCATAGCTCTAAAGATTGACTGTCTCAACTGGGAAGTTCTCACTTTGGGTTTCTCATGGTGCTGTAGTTAGCTGGAGTAACAGTCACTTAAAAATTTAATTGGGTTGGATGTTATTAAAGAAAACCAGAGCTGAACAGTATTAAAATGGTAAAATAAATAAATAAAATCAGAAACTATCATAATTGGGGAAAATAGACTTCAGTGTAGAATTGAGCTCAATTCTGAATACAACAATATACAGGGATTTATAGCCAAGAAACAGAATAAGGGCATTGGTAGATGGAAAATTACTAAGAGGATACATCAGGGAAGGGGAGATTCTTAGGCTGATCACACAGGACCTTTGTTGAAGGCAAGCCAGGGTGATCAGATATAAAAGATAGTGAAGGAGAAATTTGATTAGCTGTAAAATCTCTAAACAGACTTAGCAGGATTGTTGCTAAAACTTGTCTGTGCAGGTCTGGCAAAGATGGGTCTAAGATTGAGGCATTAGTCAAGAATAGAGCTTAAAACAGCCTGACTAAAGTTAGGATGAGAGTCTGTCAACATCCAGGATGGGTCATTTGAATGACTATCAGTTGGTGCTGGTTTGGAGTCCAACAGAGGCAGTTAGATCACCAAACGTAGCTTCTCCATGTGGCTTGAGCTTCTCTCAGCATGGCAGATGGGTCTGTGAGTGTCCCAAGAGCAGCATTCCAAGAGACTCAGGTGGAAACTGCAAGTCTTCTTATGATCTGGCATCAGAAGTCTTAAAATGTCACTTCCAATGCATGTTACTGGTCAACATATCACTAAGACCAGCCTGGATTCAAGAGGGAAAAAATTATACTCTACCTCTTGATATGAGAAGCAGGGGAAAGGAACTGATAGCAGGTATCTTTGGAAACAATCACAATATCCATATGTCAAGTTGTACAATGCCCAGTGACTTCTCAAACATAAATGTCTGGAAATGTCATAAAGAGAAGGATAGAAAGCTCAGACAGTTTATCTACATGCCCACAACCTGGTAGGAAGTATTCTAACCATGTTCCTCTTGGTAAATGATTGTGGATGTTCCCATGAGAGTTAAACAAAGGTGAAAATATTCATAAAGCTGCTCACTACATCAGGAGGGTACTTCCAACATCTTTGGCTGAAGTTACAAATATGTCTAGTAAGTTTAGAGAAACAGCCAAACATATGACAAAGGTGTCTCATTCCTTGTCCTTATATAAAAAACTACTTTAAACATGAGGTGCTTTTATACTTTTTTATTTTTTTATCCCCAAATAGCATTGCCAGATAGAATACAAGATATCAAGATACCCAGTTACATTTCAATTTCAAAGGAAGAATGAGGAGTGTTCTAATATAAGCATATCGCAATTATTGAATTGAATATGCTTATACTAAAAATAATTCACTATTTATCTGAAATTCTAATTTAACTGAGCATCCTGTGTTTTTATTTGCAAAATCTATAACATTACCCCTAAATAAAATAGTAATTTTTTTGTTTTTTTGAGACATAATCTCACTCTGTCACCCAGGCTCGAGTGCAGTGGTGCAATCTCAGCTCACTGCAACCTCCGTTTCCTGGGTTCAAGCAATTCTACTTCAGCCTCCCGAGTAGCTGGGATTACAGGCGTGTGCCACCATGCCTGGCTAATTTTTTGTATTATTAGTAGAGACGGGGTTTCACCATGTTGGCCAGACTGGTCTCAAACTCCTGATCTCAAGCAAACTGCCCACCTCAGCCTAAATTGTTATTTTATTTCAGACATTTTTCTTTTTTTTTTTAATTATACTTTAAGTTTTAGGGTACATGGGCACAACGTGCAGGTTTGTTACATATGTATACATGTGCCATGTTGGTGTGCTGCACCCATTAACTTGTCATTTAACATTAGGTATATCTCCTAATGCTATCCCTCCCCCATCCCCCCACCCCACAACAGTCCCCGGTGTGTGATCTTCCCCTTCCTGTGTCCATGTGTTCTCAATGTTCAATTCCCACCTATGAGTGAGAACATGCAGTGTTTGGTTTTTTTGTCCTTGTGATAGTTTGCTGAGATTGATGGTTTCCAGCTTCATCCATGTCCCTACAAAGGACATGAACTCATCATTTTTTATGGCTGCATAGTATTCCATGGTGTATATGTGCCACATTTTCTTAATCCAGTCTATCATTGTTGGACATTTGGGTTGGTTCCAAGTCTTTGCTATCGTGGATAGTGCCACAATAAACATATGTGTGCATGTGTCTCTACAGAATGGGAGAAAATTTTTGCAATCTACTCATCTGACAAAGGACTAATATCCAGAATCTACAATGAACTCAAATAAATTTACAAGAAAAAAATAAACAATCCCATCAACAAGTGGGAGAAGGATATGAACAGACACTTCTCAAAAGAATACATTTATGCAGCCAACAGACACATGAAAAAATGCTCATCATCACTAGCCATCAGAGAAATGCAAATCAAAACCACTATGAGATACCATCTCACACCAGTTAGAATGGTGATCATTAAAAAGTCAGGAAACAACAGGTGCTGGAGAGGATGTGGAGAAATAGGAACACTTTTACACTGTTGGCGGGACTGTGAACTAGTTCAACCATTGTGGAAGTCAGTGTGGCGATTCCTCAGGGATCTAGAACCTGACATTTTTCTTAAGCATATCAAGTGAAGAGTAAATTTTGCATTCGGTTTCAAAATTATAGTATTTTATCAATCATTTAATTCTTTCCTGTGCTGCCAGGTAACCCATACCTAATTAAAAGTTATCAGAGTCAAATTGATTATAGACTTTCTGTAGGAATGAAGGCAGAATGATGGACATCAAGGGCATACACAATACTTTCTTATAGATATTTTGGCAAATATGTTATTTAACATTTCTCAGTAACTTTAGCATCACGGTACATTTGCAGAATTGGTGCAGACCCTTTTTCCCCTTTGGCCATCATTAATTCCATCTTGTTACAATTAATACCATTTTCTTCTTTTTTGAGTAATGATGAAAACATCTGGTAACCACATGAAAACACTTCATCTGTTTAAAGGCAAATGTTATCTCCAAGCTTTCTCTTCTTCAGGCCAAATTATATCTGCTCATTTTTCTTCTTTGGTTCTAGTTCCAACCCTTTTATCATTTCTGTTTTTCCTCTCCTGGCATTCTACGAATTTTCCATGTTTCTGAAACTATACGGGTTGAAATAAATTCAATACTCTAATAAGACTGCAATAATAAATATAATGAAAAATACTGCTTTGATCATATAATTCCTTTTTTTTTTGTTTTTTTTGAGTTGGAGTCTCACTCTGTCACTCAGGCTAGAGTGCTGTGGTGTGATCTCAGCTGTCTGCCTCCTGGGTTCAAGCAATTCTCTTGCCTCAGCCTCCCAAGTAGCTGGGACTACAAGTGTGCACCACCATACCTGGCTAATTTTTGTATTTTTAGTGGAGACAGGGTTTCGTTGTGTTGGCCATGTTGGTCTCAAACTCCTGACCTCAGGTGATCCACCCACCTCGACCTCCCAAAGTGCTGGGATTACAGGCATGAGCCACCACGCCCAACCTGATCATATCATTCTAATCACTAAATATGTTATTTTAAATGCATTAAATATATTTAAAATGCATTGACAAAATTTGTCTAAAATCCAACACACAAATTAAAACAAAATTTTAAAAAGTATTCAAATAATCTACAAAGAAGTCAGTAAGAGGGGAATAGGGAAACAAAAACAGAAGAGATGGCTGAAAATAAATAATAAACTGCCTAAAAACAATAAAATAAAAAATAACAGCTGAATCCAACCATATCAATAACTACATGAATGTTAATGGACTAAATACTCCAATTAAAATGTAGAGACTCTCAGAATAATTTAAAAAGCAAGATTCAACAATATGCTGTCTACAAGAGATGCCCTTCAAATGTGAAGACACAGGTAGATGAAATAAATGGTTGGAAAGTTACATACCATGCAAACAGTAGGCATAAGAAGGGTGGAGGAGGTATATTCATATCAGATAAGTCTTTAAAATGGATAGTATGACCAGATACAAAGAAAAAATATATTATAATGATAAAAGGGTTAATTCTTCAGACAGAATTAGAAACCTTAAATTTTTATGCACCTAAAAATTAAACCTTAATAAAAACAGAAACTTAATATATGTGAATCAACATTTAAAAGACATACGTCTTAAATGACAAGCTACAGGATGGTCAAGTCTTTTGCACCCTGGGTACCTGAATGACTATGTGGAGTAGAACTCCTCATCAACCCACAGTGGACACATAATCATAAGAAGAAATATACCTTTGTTTTGGTAAATTTCTTTATTTGCTGCTAATCTTTTACTGTAGCATAGTTTGGCCTGTCCTTAATAATACAATGTTCTAAATCCTTCTTTTCCAAATATAATTTATTTATCCTTCAAACCTGGAAAGTTGTTTATAGTTTTCTTATACCATGCCTTATTCCTTATATGATAGTTATTTGTTTAGTTGTATAATCCTCCATACTAATAAGCCCTATTGGTCAAGGGACTGCCCTTAATCACTTTTTGTTGAATATTTAGTATATGAAAAGCACCAAGCTACCTGTCAATGATTCAACATCCAGTGCATGCATAATCATGTGTAGTAGACAATTAATAAATAATTCTCAAATTGAAAACAATGTGATACTTGGGGAAAAGAGAAGAAGGATGCATCATTTATTCTGACAAAGTTACCATAATTTCATAAAACTTAAAAATGCATTGCCTATTTCTTTTCCAGGCTACTGCTTATAGTCAATGAAACCAAATAAATTATACATAAGTATCACAGTTTACATATAAAAACATTTGCATACTACCAAACTTATGCACCTCCACAAATCCAAAATCTTTCTTTTACTCTCTAGAATTTAACAAATAATCCTCACCAGTGAGGTGGCAATCATAGTGAGGATCATTTATTAAATAATACTCTATTAAATCTAATAGCTATTAAATCTAATAGCAATTAAATCTTTGCTATTAGATAGCAAAGACAGAATGAGACAAGGAGCCAAAGGTAATAAAGTAAACAAATCACTATAGTTTGAATAAGATCCTCGAGTGAATAAAATGTATATATGACATTTTCTTAAATGACCTCTTTGATTTTTAAAATTTTCAAAAAATATTTTTTGTTTCAAAGCTTTGGGGGTACAAGTGCTTTTTGATTATAGGTATGAATTGTATAGTAGTGAAATGTGAGATTTTAGTCGACCCATCACCTGAGTAGTGTACATTGTACCTCATATGTAGTTTTTTATCTCTCAACCTCCTCCCTCCCTCTCGCTTCTGAGTCTCTATAGTTCATTATACCACTCTGTATGCCTTTGCATACCCATAGTTTAGCTCCTACTTATAAGTGAGAACATACAGTATTTGGTTTCTCATTCATGAGTTACTTCACTTAGAGTAATGGCCTTCAGCTTCACCTAAGCTGGTTCAAAAGACATTATTTTCTTCTTCTTTGTGGTTGAATAATATTCCATGGTGTATATATACCATACTTTCTGTATCCATTCATTAATTGATAGGCACTTAGGTTGCTTCCATATCCTGCAATTGTGAATTGTGCTGCTATAAACATACATGTGCAGGTGTCTTTTTGATATAATGACTTCTTTTTGTTTGGGTAGATATGCAGTAGTGGGATTGTCATAGTGAATAGTAGATCTACTTTTGTTTTTTGTTTGTTTCTTTGTTTGTTTGAGATGGAGTCTCACTCTGTTGCCCAGGCTGTAGTGCAGTGGCTCGAGCTCAGCTCACTGCAACCTCCACCTCCTGGGTTCAAGCGATTCTCCTGACTTAGCCTCCTGAGTAGCTGGGATTACAGGTGCCCACCACTACCCCCAGCTAATTTTTTGTATTTTTAGTAGAGATGGGGTTTCACCATGTTGGCCAGGCTGGTTTCGAACTCCTGGCCTCAGGTGATCCACCCGCCTCAGCCTCCCAAAGTGTTGGGATTACAGGCATGAGCCACTGCGCCCAGCCTACTTTTGATTCTTTAAGAAATCTCCATACTATTTTCCATAGAGGTTGTACTAATTTACATTCCCACCAGCAGTGTGTAAGCATTCCCTTTTCACCACATCTATATCAACATCTACTGTTTTTTGACTTTTTAATAATGGCCATTCTTGCAAGGGTAAAATGGTATCTCATTGTAGTTTTAATTTTCATTTTTCTGATGATTAGTAATGTTGAGGAGTTTTTCATATGCCTGTTGGACATTTGTATATCTTCTTTTGAGAAATGTCTGTTGATGTCATTTGTCCACTTTTTATGGAATTTGTTTTTCTTGCTGATTTGTTTGAGCTCCTTGTAGATTCTGGATATTAGTCCTTTGTCAGATGCATAGTTTGCAAATATATTCTCCCATTCTGTGGGTTGTCTGTTTACTCTGATGATTATTTCTTTTGCTGTATAAATGCTTTTTAGTTTAATTAGGTCACATTTATTCATTTATTTTATTTTTGTTGCATTTGTTTTTAGGATCTTAGCCATAAATTCTTTGCCTAGGCCAATGTCTAGAAGAGTTTTTTCTAGGTTATCTTTTAGAATTTTTGAGGTTGCATGTCTTAGATTTAAGTCTTTTTCCATCTTGAGTTGATTTTTGTGTAAGGTGAGAGATAGGGATCCAGTGTTATTCTTCTACATGTGGCTATCCAGTTTTCCCAGCTGCGTTTATTAAGTAGGATATCCTTTCCCCAACTTATGTATTTATATGCTTTGTTGAAGGTCAGTTGGCTGTATCTATTTTGGCTTTATTTCTGGGTTTTCTATTCTGTCCCATTGGTCTATGAGTCTACTTTTATACCAGCACCATGCTATTTTGGTAACTATAGTCTTGTAGTATAATTTGAAGTGAGGTAATGTGATGCCTCCAGATTGTTCTTTTTGCTTAGGACTGTTTTGGCTATTCAGGCTCTCTTTTGGTTCCATATGAATTTTAAGATTGCTTTTTCTAATTCTGTGGAAAATGATGTTGGTATTTTGATAGGAATTGCATTGATTCTGTAGATTGCTTTTGGCAGCATTGTCATTTTCACGATATTAATTCTTCCAATTCATGAGCCTGGAATGTGTTTTCATTTGTTTGTGTCTCCTGTGATTTCTTTCAGCACTGTTTTGTAGTACTCCTTGCAGAGATCTTTCACCTCCTTGGTACAGTATATTTCAAGGTATTTTATTCTTATTTTCCAGTTATTGTAAAATGGATTGAGTTCTTGATTTGATTCTCAGCTTGATTGTTGGTGTAGAGCAGTGCCACTGATTTGTGTACATTGATTTTTATCTAGCAGTCTTTTGGAGGTGTCTTTAGGATTTTCTAGGTATACAACATATCATCGGTGAACAGAAATAGTTTGACTTAATCTTTTTCAATTTCAGTGATGCCCTTTATTTATTTCTCTTTTCTGATTGCTCCAGTTAGGACTTCCAGTACTATATTGAGTAGAAGCGGTGAAAGTGGGAATCCTTTTCTCATTCTAGTTCTCAAGGAAAATCCTTTCGACTTTTCCCTATTCACTATGAAGTTGGTTGTGGGTTTGACATATATGGCTTTTATTATTTTGCGATATGTCCCTTCTATGCTAAGTTTGTTGAGGGTTTTTCATCATAAAGGGAAGCCAGATATTATTGAATGCTTTTTCGGCATCTATTGAGATAATCGTATGACTTTCGTTTTTAATTCTTCATGTGATATATCACATTTATTAACTTGCATATGTTAAACTATCCCTGCATCCCTGGTATGAAATTCACTTGATGATGGTGTATCATCCTATTGCTGTGCTGTTGGATTTGGTTAGCTAGTATTTTGTTAAAGATTTTTGTATTTTTGTTCATCAGGGATACTGGCCTATAGTTTTCTTTTATTGTTATGTCCTTTACTGGCTTTGGTAGCAGGGTGATACTGGCTTCATAGAATGAGTTAGGAAGGATTTCAACTTTCTCAATCTTTTGGAATAGTTTCAGTAGGATTGATACCAATTCTTCTTTGAATATCTGGTAGAATTCATCTGTGAATCTATCTGGCCCTGGGCCTTTTTTTGTTGTCAGTTGTTTTGTTACTGATTCATTTTCACTGCTTGCTGTTGGTCTGTTCAGGGTTTCTATTTCTTCCTGATTTAGTGTAAGAAGGTTGTATGTTTCCAACAATTTATCCCTTTCCTCTAGATTTTCTAGTTTGTGTGCATAGAGGTGTTCATAGTAGTCTCAAATGATCCTTTTGTTTCTGTGAGGTCAGTTGTAAAGTCTCCATTTTCTTTCTAATTCAGAGAAGGTCTGAATGTTCTCTCTTCTTTTCTTGGTTAATCTAGCTAATGCTCTATCAGTTTTCAAAGAATGAACTTTTTTTCATTGGTCTTTTATTTTTTTGTTTCAATTTCAGTTATTTCCTCTCTCATCTTTGTTATTTCTTTTCTTCTGTTAGCTTTGGGTTTCGTTTGTTCTTATTTCTCTAGTTCCTTGAGGTATAAAGTTAGGTTGTCAATTTGTGATCTTTCAGACTTTTTGATGCAGGCATTTAGTGCTATAAACTTTCCTCTTAGCACTGTTTTTCTGTATCCTGGAGGTTTTGATAACTTGTATCACTATTGTCATTCATTTCAATAAATTTTTAAATGTCCATATTGATTTCATTGTTAATGCAAAAATCATTCTGGAACAGATTGTTTAATTTCCATGTATCTGTACAGGTTAGGGGGTTCCTTTTGGAGCTAATTTCTGGTTTTATTCCACTGTGATCTGGGAAGATATTTGATATGATTTGAATTTTTTAAAATTTATTGAGACTTGTCTTGTGGCCTATCATCTGGTCGATCTTTAAGAATGTTCCCTGTGCTGATGAGAAGAATGTATATTCTGCATTTCTTGGGTAGAATATTCTAAAATATCTGTAAATATTTATAGATATTTAAACTATACAACTAATGTGTTCTAGAGTATAGTTTATGTACATTGTTTCTTTGTTGACTTTCTATCTTGATGATCTGTCTAGTGCTGTCAGTGGAGTGCTGAAGTCCCTCACTATTATTGTGTTGTTGTCCATCTCATTTCTTAGGTGTAATAGTCATTGTTTTATGAATCTGGGACCTCCAGAGTTAGATACATATAAATAAAGGATTGTAATATCTTCTTTTTGGATTGATTCTTCTATCATTTATATAATAATCTTGTTTTGTTTTACTGTTATTGCTTTAAAGTCTCTTTTATCTAATATAAGAATAGTTACTCTTATTCACTTTTGGTTTCCTTTTGCATGGAATATTTTTTTGGACCCCTTTTCCTTGAGTTTATAAGAATCATTACATGTTAGATGAGTCTCTTGAAGACAGCAAGTATTTGGTTTGTGATTTTTTTTTTTACTCATTCTGCAATCTGTATCTTTTAAGTGGAACATTTAGACAATTTAGTCTATGTTAACATTGAGATGTGAGGTATTGTTCCAGTTATCATGTTGTTACCTAGATACTTCGTTTTCATCATTGTATTATTGTTTTATAGGTCCTATGAGTTTTATGCTTTAAGAGGTTCTATTCTGGTGAGTGTTTATCTTTTATTTCAAGATTTAGAACTCCTTTTATAATTTCTTGTAGGGTTGGTCTGGTGGTGACAAATTCCCTCAGCATTTTCTAGTCGGAAAATGATTTTATTTCTTCTTTGATTATGAAACTTAGTTTTGCTGAATACAAAATTCTTGGCTGACAGTTATTCTGTTTAAGGAGGTAAGGATAGAACCTGAATCCCTTATGGCTTGCAATATTTCTGCTGAGATTTCTGCTGTTAGTCTGATAGGTTTTCCTTTATAGGTTACTTGATGCTTTTGTCTCACTGCTCTTAGAATTCTTTCCTTCATATTGACTTTAGATAGTCTGATGACTGTATGCCTTAGTGATGTCATTTTTGCAATGAATCTCCCAGGAATAATTTGAGCTTTTTATATCTGGATGTCTAAGTCTCTGAGGGAAGTTTTCCTCAATTGTTCCCTGAAATACATTTTCCAAACTATTGGCTTTCTCTTCTCCCTCAGGAACACCAATTACTCAGCTTTGGCCATTTTACATAATCTCATATTTCTTGGAGACTTTTGTTCATGTCTTTTTATTCTTGTTTATTTTTGTCCACTTGGGGTAATTCAAAAGCCTTGTTTTTGAGCTCTAAAATTCTTTCTTCTACTTGGTCTAGTCTATTGTTAAAAGTTTCCACTACATTTTGTAATTACCTAAATATGTCTTTAATTTCCAGAAGTTCTGATCCTTTTTTTAAAATAAATATCTGTCTACAATTTTTAAAAAAACTATCTGGAAAATTCGTTTTTTAAAAAGTTTCTTTATGTTGGTATTCACCTTTCTCTGGAATCTTCTTGAGTAGCCTAATAATCAACCTTTTGATTTTTTTTTTTTTTTTTTTTTTTTTGTGGAGTGTCACTCTGTTGCCCAGGCTGGAGTGCAGTGGCATGATCTCGGCTCACTGCAAGCTCCACCTCCTGGGTTCACACCATTCTCCCACTTCAGCCTCCCGAGTAGCTGGGACTACAGATGCCCGCCACCATGCCCGGCTAATCTTGTTTTGGTATTTTTTTTTTTTTTAGTAGAGACGGGGTTTCACAGTGTTAGCCAGGATGGTCTCAGTCTCCTGATCTCATGATCCACCCACCTCAGCCTCCCAAAGTGCTGGGATTACAGGCGTGAGCCACTGTGCCTGGCCCCTTTTGATTTTTTAAATTTGTATTTCTGAGATTTTATCTTGAGTTGTATTCATTGCTGGAGAGCTAGTGTGATCTTTTGGGGGTGCTATAGAACCCTGTTTGTTTGGTCATATTACAATAATTATTTTTCTAGTTCCTCCTCATTTGGGTAGACTATTTGTTATAATTATTCTTGAATTTATTTTTTATTTGTGACTTTTTTTGTAAATTTATTCTTTCCCCTTAAGGATGAGACTTTAATGTTCATAGTTTATTGCAACTTTTTTATTGTTGGTACTTTAAGAAGTGAAGACTCTGCGTGGGTTCCTTGGTTATAGAAAGTCTTTGTATAATGGTGTTCTCAGATGCTGGTTGTAGTAGCAATGCGTTTGGTGTGTGGCCAAGTTCACTGTCAAATGACCTCTTTGCATTCGTTTCTCCATTGTTCTCAGAGATAGGTGTGTTGGGTGTGACTCAGGACAGA
The DNA here is from genome assembly GCF_000001405.40 of Homo sapiens. Classification (NCBI taxonomy): domain Eukaryota; kingdom Metazoa; phylum Chordata; class Mammalia; order Primates; family Hominidae; genus Homo; species Homo sapiens. Next base: position 223,346,548 of record NC_000002.12, on the reverse strand, counting down.
ATCTAATAGAATTGTGTGTGCTGATTCAATCATCCAATGCTGTAGTTGTAAACATTCATCTGTTTTGAATTGTCCAGAATTTATTTAGCTGTTAATAAAAGGTAACTTGCTATGTCAAGTCTGTAAAGGAATTGACTCCAGATAATTAAAACGTACTAGTGAATTAACAGCTTTTAAAGAAAAGAGAGTAAAGCCTCAAAATAAATTGATAAGCAATTTTTGTGGTGAAGAGAAAAATCTGTTGAGATAGATGAGAACATGGTGTCCACAGATATTAATTGGGTCATATTTTCTGTTAAGAATAAAAAAATAAAAATCTTCATAATAAAGTGTCAACCTATTATCCTAGGGATAAATCAGAAAGTTTAAGATATTGAGGTAAAGCAAGTACCTTAAAAGATCAGTTATAAAGTATGTCTACAAAACTTAAAAAGTGTTTAATGTAGCTCCTTGAGAATTATGAGACAGCCGTGTTACCTGCTTCCAAAATCATGAAAAATGTTTAGCTGTCAGGGATCAGGATGAAGAGAACTCTAGGGCAGCTTCCAGGGTCACAGAAGCAGGAACTCAGGGAAAATTTCTCTAGAACCCTAATGGTGGAAGGAATACTAGCTTGGTCACACCAGCTTCCATCCACTAGTCACCGTGGAAGTCTCCTTAGTCTCTTTTGGGTCTGGGCTTGAGCAGTTAGGGCATTCATTTGACCTCCCTCTGGATATTTTGGTTACCAAAGAAGGATAAAGGGGGACACTTGGAGTCCCCCAAACCCATTGAGCCTGAGTTTCCACACCTTTATTTATTTTATTTATATATATATTATACTTTAAGTTCTAGGGTACATGTGCACAACGTGCAGGTTTGTTACATATGTATACATGTGAAATGTTGGTGTGCTGGACCCATTAACTCGTCATTTACATTAGGTATATCTCCTAATGCTATCCCTCCCCCTCCCCCCACCCCACAACAGTCCCCGGTGTGTGATCTTCCCCTTCCTATGTCCAAGTGTTCTCATTGTTCAATTCCCACCTATGAGTAAGAACATGTGGTGTTTGGTTTTTTGTCCTTGAGATAGTTTGCTGAGAATGATGGTTTCCAGCTTCATCCATGTCCCTACAAAGGACATGAACTCACATTTTTATGGCTGCATAGTATTCCATGGCATATATGTGCCACATTTTCTTAATCCAGTCTATCATTGTTGGACATTTGGGTTGGTTCCAAGTCTTTGCTATTGTGAGTAGTGACACAATAAACATATGTGTACATGTGTCTTTATAGCAGCATGATTTATATTCCTTTGCGTATATACCCAGTAATGGCATGGCTGGGTCAAATGGTATTTCTAGTTCTAGATCCCTGAGGAATTGCCACACTGTCTTCTACAATGGTTGAACTAGTTTACAGTCCCACCGACAGTATAAAAGTGTTCCTATTTCTCCACATCCTCTCCAGCACCTGTTGTTTCCTGGCTTTTTAATGATGGCCATTCTAACTGGTGTGAGATGGTATCTCATTATGGTTTTGATTTGCATTTCTCTGATGGCCAGTGATGATGAGCATTTTTTCATGTGTCTGTTGGCTGCATAAATGTCTTCTTTTGAGAAGTGTCTGTTCATATCCTTTGCCCACTTTTTGATGGGGTTGTTTGTTTTTTTCTTGTAAATTTGTTTGAGTTCTTTGTAGATTCTGGATATTAGCCCTTTGTCAGATGAGTAGATTTCAAAAATTTTCTCCATAGTGTTGAAAATTCTGGCCAGGGCAATCAGGCAGGAGAAAGAAATAAAGGGTATTCAATTAGGAAAAGAGGAAGTCAAGTTGTCCCTGTTTGTAGATGACATGATCGTATATCTAGAAAACCCCATCATCTCAGCCCAAAATCTCCTTAAGCTGATAAGCAACTTCAGCAGTCTCAGGATACAAAATCAAAGTGCAAAAATCACAAGCATTCTTATACACCAATAACAGACAAACAGAGAGCCAAATCATGAGTGAACTCCCATTCACAATTGCTTCAAAGAGAATAAAATACGTAGGAATCCAACTTATAAGGGACGTGAAGGACCTCTTAAAGGAGAACTACAAACCACTGCTTAACGAAATGAAAGAGGACACAAACAAATGGAAGAACATTCCATGCTCATGGATAGCAAGAATCAATATCGTGAAAATGGCCATAGTGCCCACGGTAATTTACAGATTCAATGCCATCCCCATCAAACTACCAATGACTTTCTTCACAGAACTGGAAAAAACTACTTTAAATTTCATATGGGACCAAAAAAGAGCCCGTATTGCCAAGTCAATCCTAACCCAAAAGAACAAAGCTGGAGGCATCACACTACCTGACTTCAAACTATACTACAAGGCTACAGTAATCAAAACAGCATGGTACTAGTACCAAAACAGAGATATAGACCAATGGAACAGAACAGAGCCCTCAGAAATAATGCTGCATATCTACAACTATGTGATCTTTGACAAACCTGGCAAAAAGAAGAAATGGGGAAAGGATTCCCTATTTAACAAATGGTGCTGGGAAAACTGGCTAGCCATACGTAGAAAGCTGAAACTGGATCCCTTCCTTACACCTTATACAAAAATTAATTCAACATGGATTAAAGACTTACATGTTAGACCTAAAACCATAAAAACTCTAGAAGAAAACCTAGGCAATACCATTCAGGACATAGGTATGGGCAAGGACTTCATGTCTAAAACACCAAAAGCAATGGCAACAAAAGCCAAAATTGACAAATGGGATCTAATTAAACTAAAGAGCTCCTGCACAGCAGAAGAAACTACCATCAGAGTGAACAGGCAACCTACAGAATGGGAGTTTCCACACCTTTAAAGCAAAAAGTCTGAATTAGAAGAACCCTTGGATCCTTTAAGTTCTCATGTTTCTCAGTTGTTTTCATTGAAGCCAGAATATCCCACACCTATGGTATATTTTTAAAAGGTGCGTTAATCAATGACGCTTGAAAGAAATACCCAGATTTGAAAGGACTAAAAAGGCCACATACTATATATAGCATTTTTTTTGTCACTAATTAATCCCTTGAAAATTTCAAGGTATTCAACTGAAGTATGAACATCCTAAATATACTGATATAAAGCCCATTACTAATGTAAGATTCTATATCAAATCTGTATAACCTTAACCATAAATACCTGACTTCCTATAGGGCAGTCCAGAGTAAATTTTTCACTGCCTAAGCCATTTGTTATCCTGATCAGATTTTAAGCACTGTAATTTACATCGTTGTTTAAAATATTATAAAATTATTTTTTTATAACCACTTTTTTTCTAACAAAATAAGGAATGATTTTCTTCTGTAGGTAAAAGCTGTGATCTACACAAGCAGAGTTTTTTAAACACAGTTTTTAAAGAGAATCTGGCCCTAGGTAGACCATGCACCTTAAGTATATAACATCCAAAAATAGCATTTAGATCCACAAGGAGAGAGGTTTGATGTTTGCTAGTAAAACATCAGAATATATTTTGAGCTGCATAATGTCATCTGTTCCACATCAAACAGCAGTAAAATGTAGCATTTTGATGTTCTTATACTGTGTTCACTCATCTTTTGTCTTCAAACTGTCTCAATTATAATGTTCCTTCCAGAAGCAGGAATTGTTCTCTCCTTTTCATTCTGCCAGGCCTATTTTAGGCACTGTCTTTCCATGAGGAATTATTTGGCTGCTTATACACCCCAGGTTCATTTACTAGGTTTGAAATTAGCCTTCAGGATAGTGCTTTATATTTTTGTTTAAAGGATAAATTATCTGTTTTTGTGATTGTAAAACACGTACTCATAAGAAATTAGGAAAGCAAAGTAAACATCAACTGATATTAATTACCATTTATAGTATTTTTATTTTCTTATAGTATTGTAAAGGGAAATAAAAAACACGAGTATTGTATAAGTATGTATAATACTTTAAAGTTAGATCATATAAGATGTAGTTTTTGTGCTTTTAATGGCTGCATGGAATTCCTTCCTAAGAGTCATAACTAGATTTCAAACTGTTTTTACATGCATTCTCTTTCTTGATCTAAGAAATGCTTCTTTATTCTTCTTTGGCAGACCTTTCTTGGCAGTATAAAATTGATTTTTAAAAAAGCATTACTTCTAAAACATGAGCTACATATATATGGAAATTGATAAAGCAAAGCCTCCCTGTACTCCTCAGTGAGTTTTGCAGTCTCTGCCTAGAGATGAAATGTCTCTTCTGCTAATAACATTTATGCCAAACATTTGAACAACTCTTACTGTAAAAAGCAAAGTAAAAAAAAAGTATGAATATGTCTTGTAATCTCTTTAGACAGCTGCTAATAGATGATAAATTTACATTTTAAAATAGGTTTTAGACAAAGATCTGATTTGGACTGAAAATGCTGGGTATTTCTGCCATGCCACATTATGCTTAAGCTACCTTTGAATGCATGTATAAGAAAGAACAAAGAAAAATAACTTCTGATCCTAAAAATTAGAAGAAATTCCCGCCCCCCACCCCCGACCCGCAACACGTACACACAAAGTCAGCCCTCCGTGTCTGAGAGTTCTGCATCCACAGATTGAGCCAACCACAGGTCAAGAATAACCAGAAAAAAAAAAATTAATGGTTATGTCTGTACTGAGTGTGTACAGACATTTTTCCTTGACACTAGTCCCTAAACAATACAACATAACAATTATTTATATAGCATTTAAATTGTATTAAGTATTATAAGTAATCTAGAGATAATTTGGAGTGGTTAGGAGGATGTGCATAGGTTATACGCAAATACTATGTCGTTTTATTTTTTATATATTTTATTGATTGATTGATTGATTGATTGATTGATTGAGAGAGTGTTTAGCTCTGTCTCCTAGGCTGGAGTGCAGTGGTATGATCTCGACTCACTGCAACCTACGCCTCCCGGGTTCAAGCAATTCTCCAGGCACAGCCTCTCGAGTAGCTGGGATTACAGGCGCCCACCACCATGCCTGGCTAATTTTTGTATTTTTAGTAGAGACGAAGTTCAACCATTTTGGCCAGGCTGGTCTTGAACTCCTGACCTCAAGTGATCTGCCAGCCTCAGCCTCCCAAGGTGCTAGGATTACAGGTGTGAGTCACCGCATCCAGCCTCCTATGCCATTTTATATAAGGGACTTGGGCATCTCTGGATTTTGACATCTATGGGAGCCCTGCAACCAATTTCCCATCGATGCTGAGGTACCAACGATATTAGCAACAAGAAATAACTCAACAAGACCATCAAGAAATGAAGATCAATGTGTAATCATTTCTGTAGAGGTGTGCACTAAAGACATAAGTGACATTAATGACCAATGGCCATTTTACATGTGACACAGACAAACTTAATTTTTATTATAATCATCTTTACAGGGATCACCACTTTCTGCCACTTTTGGGGAGAATTATTGCCTGCTTTATTTGTCTACAAGGATAATGGAGAGATTGGGGTAGAGTTTTAAATAGATGATTGGAAACAAGACTTTCGTGAGGTTTTACTTTGTAGTGTGTGCTATAATTCTCTTCTCCCTTTGTTCCCACCTAAACCAGATCTTCAGTAAAGGTCTACATTAGCCCTTAAAGCTTTTGGACTCCAGTTATTATTCTTCTGGAGGCATTGGTGTAACGAAACTCACTTTGACACAGGAGCAAGTATTCTCTGCCTACAGATATATTCTTATAAGAATACTTACTGAAGTTTGGATGGTTAAAAACTTCGGGTATATGTGTAATTCTGTCCCCTGGGAATGGTGCAGCAAAATACCAATAGAAATCAAAAGTAAAAATCACTGAAAACTTAGTCCATTTGAAAATTTGGTGTCTATATTTGGGCATCTCACTTAAACTCTGTTTGCTTGAGGTTCATTATTTATAAAATTGAGAAAATAATCTTTTAATTTGGCTTTACTATGTCTTTTTTGGAGTGTTCAATAGGAAATACTTTTAAATGCTTTGCAGACTTCTGAGTGCCTCATATGCATGTTTATAATTGTGTACGATGAAGACTTTCTATTGTTGGCATAGCCAGATAGGGATCTCTTTACTTCTTGCTTATAAATTGGACTAGAAATGAGAAATAAAAAGTCTTGGCTAAATATTTTCTACTGGAAACCTCTTCCCCTGAGCCATGCTGTTGAATCATATGGAAACCTCAGGGAACTCCTTTGTCTTCTCTTGGTCTCTGATTTTCTAGAGGTACTAGCAGAAGATGAAAGCAAGGGAAGAAAGTGAGGTGACAGTGTCCATTCTCGGTTGTCCTGAGACCTGGTCACTGTGGGTTGCCTGTGTCTCTCCATCAAAGGCCAGGTCCTGTCCAAGAGCTTCTCCATCCCCCTCCTCTTTCCAGATTCCAGTCTCTGCCTCCTCCACATGTTCCTTCAGACCCAGTATGTTTGCGGCTCCTCACTCTCTTCAGCCCAGAGGTCTTGCACTGCACCTTGTTTCCTTGAAAGCTTGTCCATGCCTCTGTAAGTAGTGTAGTCTTTTTCTTTTTTAAGTAAACTCACCTTAAATTACCCCATTTGAATATGCCATCTGTGTTCTTACCCAAACTCTGACTGGTATGGGTCTCGTTACCAAACACATTTATATCGCCACCTGTTTTTGCTTATTTAATATCTCATCATCACCTCTTCCAATCTGAGTTTATGTTGTTTTCCAGATAGTGTTCTGGATTGGATTTTAAAAAAGACTATTTTATACTTATTTTATAATGAAGAAACTTATGCTTTTCTTTCTTATGACACAAAAGTATACAGAGGAAAATCTATAAAGAATATACACAAAATATGAAATATTCTGCAAATGCAAATAATTAAAAGTGTCCCTCATAAGGCAGACAACCATACCCCTCCCATGACTTCCCTACACTCGTTATGACTATTACAAGCACACACACACACACACACACACACACACACACAAATTCCAAGTAGGTGACAGGCCCAGACAGTGGCCTCACTAAGTTGAAACCTTGGTTGACAATAGATATGGCTGCTGCCTCACCAATCCTTCCCAATGCTCCAGAAATGATGGGATGAGGTCCTGCCAACCTAGTGTGTAAATACAAAGTCCAGAGAATACAGAGGAAGATACAGGATAGGAAGAAAGTTGTGGATTCCACTTGTTTGTGGTTATACACCACAAACAAGAAATTCCCAGAAATAACTAGGCAGAGAGCTTTTGTTTTTAGGAATCTAGATTTTCTGCAAAAAATAGAAGATTAAGGCTATAAAAATATCAACTTTTAACTTGGAGAACATGAGTTATATAACTTTGAAATGGCAGAGGAAAAAGAAAGAACAAAAGAGAAAAATAGAATAGACATTATTCCTTCAACACAAAAAGCCTTCAGAAAGGAGAGAAGGGAAACTGTTCTGTGATAGGTACAGAAATTAAGCAGAATCCTCCCCAGAGTGCTTTATGTTGAGAGGAGAAGGGCACATGTTTTCTCCAAAGCCCACTGATGAATTATTTTGAGGCTTAGGTATCTTGGTCAGACTTATTCTCAAGGCTAATGTAATGATGTGTCTGAGGCATCTAATGTTTCCATTACATGTTCCACAAGTACAAAAGTTCATCTTTTTTTGAAAGGCCAAGGGTACACAGAATGTCTACAACTTGATTAATGAAAAAGACATCATGAAAATATTTTTAAAGCCATTGAGGGAAAATAAGTTAACAAGGATTTTTTGTTGTCCTATTAAAACTCGGGACATCGTTTTTCCAGTTATCACAAGAATAGGACTGATCACTTTCAATTTCTCTTCTTTCATTTGGGATACGGGAAATGGGCATGGTGGCTGAAATGATGTTCCATTTACCAAAAGAGGGAACAGCTCCAAAAAAGAAACAAACAGGCCTTGGGTAAAATGGCACGGTGATTGGGAATGAAAGCAAGCATACATACTCCGAATTTAAAAATTTATGAAACTCATAATGAACATTCTCAAAATACTTGAGTTTCTCCTGCTCGTATGCATCCCATGTTGCACCTCTTTTCATCGATTGTCTGTATTATGCATTGTACACTAATCAGGATTGACCCTGAGGTTGCAACTTATTGCTGACTCCAGCCAAATGTCCTCACCCTTAAGCCTATCTCAAAATATATCTCAACATACAGAAACTCGATGACAGAAATGCCTATTTTCAAGCACTGATGGCTTGGGCTAAGCACTGTGTCCCTGGGGGTTCACAATTTAAATGGCCCATGAAGCCCAGGAAAACATTTTTCTCAACAAAATCATTGGCATATGTGGAGACAAGCAAACTTGTTAATGAAAGGACTGGAGCCCCATGGCTTTCCTTCCCTCCAAGCCCCCACCTCCACCCCCAACCTCCACAGAGCTCCCATGGCTCACAGCTTGAAAATCACTTCTCTAAGCCATTAAACTATTAGCTTCACATATCATCCAAGGAGACATTAAGGACATGAGCATTAGGAAGTACAACAGACAAATGCATTAGGGAGTAGAAATAGAAAATAAAGATAAATATCAAGAAGAAAATGAGTGTTTTTAGGTTTCCAACATATGCCAAGTATTATACGACACACTTTACATGCATTATCTCATTTCATCTTAACCTTAACTTCATCAGGCAGGGATTTTAATCTCCATTTTCCAAATAAGGAAACAAACTCAGAGGAATTGGGTAAACAGCACCAAAGCCCTTAGCTAGTAACTAGCGTGACTAGAAATTGAGGCCAAGGCTTCTTCTTTCCATGACACCCTGGAGCTTCCCAAAGGCTTTGCTGTTCCTTCCAGAGACTCCAACAAACCAAGTACCAGTCTCATTTCGGAAAATATTCTTATCTAGTTTAATAATTAGTTAACTGAAAATTTAAAAAAATGATTTTAATTTGAATTAGACTTTTAAAATACTTAATCAAGTTGGCTCATAGATTGTTCTTTTGAAAACTAATACTTAGTTTAATTTAGGATTTAATGTGTTTATGGTAGTTTAAAGAAAGAGAACCAAGCTGAGAGCCAGAGAGCTGGATTCTACACATCGTGCAGGTTGTGTGACATCATAAGTAACTGGCTTCCCTCAATCTTCGTTTTGTGTATGAAAAATGAGGATTTGAAGTACACCAGAAGAATTTCCTGAAGCTGGGTGATCCTGACTCATGGCAGTGCCTCACAAATCCAAGACATGACTTTCAATAAATCCAATGCTCTTTTATTTAGTATAAGATGATGATTGCCAAAGCAATGGTGTATAAATAAACAAAAAGGAATATATTACACCAACATATCTAAAAGTAGAATATAGAATATAAATTCCTAATAATTTGATATATATCATTGTCTATTTGTAAATACACAAGGAAGTTTGTTCTGTTACTATAATATTATGTGGTTATTTTTCTCTTTGGACTCTTACTTCCATTCTACTTTCCAAAAAGAACTTCATCTCAAATAAATGTATTTTTATACTTATAAGTCTTTTACTGATGATTGTATAACTTTCTTCTACAATAACAATATGCATATAAAAGTTGAAACTTATTTTCTCCAATGGCTGTAATGCTCTATGTGATAATTTTTTCCCTCTAGATTGAATTGTCATTGCAATTATTAGAAATACAAAATTAACCAAAACATATAACATATATTGTTATATGTTTATATTTACTTTATATGTTTAAAATTCCCATAATTGTTAACGTGTAAATTATACTCAATTTTTTTTTTTTTTGAGAAGGAGTTTCATTCTTGTTGCCCAGCCTGGAGTGCAATGGCACAATCTAGGCTCACTGCAACCTCCACCTCAGGGTTCAAGCGACTCTCCTGCCTCAGCCCCCCATGTAGCTGGGATTACAGGTGTCCGCCACCATGCCCCTGCTAATTTTTTTGTGTTTTTTTAATATTATACTTTAAGTTCTAGGGTACATGTACACAACGTACAGATTGATACATAGGTATACATATGCCATGTTGGTTTGCTGCACCCATCAACTCATCATTTACATTAGGTATTTCTCCTAATGCTATCCCTACCCCAGACCCCAACCCCTGACAGGCCCCAGTGTGTGATGTTCCCCACCCTGTGTCCATGTGTTCTCATTGTTCAATTCCCACCTATGAGTGAGAACATGTGGTGTTTGGTTTTCTGTCCTTGTGATAGTTTGCTGAGAATAGTGGTTTCTAGCTTCACCCATGTCCCTGAAAGGACATGAACTCATCCTTTTTTATGGCTGCATAGTATTCCATGGTGTATATGTGCCACATTTTCTTAATCCAGTCTATCATTGATGGACATTTGGGTTGGTTCCAAGTTTTTACTATTGTGAATAGTTCTGCAATAAACATACGTGTGCATGTGTCTTTATAGCAGCATGATTTATAATCCTTTGGGTATATACCCAGTAATGGGATCACTGGGTCAAATGGTATTTCTACTTCTAGATCCTTGAGGAATCGCCACACTGTCTTTCACAATGGTTGAACTAATTTGCACTCCCACCAACAGTGTAAAAGCATTCCTATTTCTCCACATCCTCTCCCGCATCTGCTGTTTCCTGACTTTTTAATGATCACCATTCTAACTGGTGCGAGATGGTATCTCGTTGTGGTTTTGATTTGCATTTCTCTGATGGCCAGTGATGGTGAGCATTTTTTCACGTGTCTGTTGCCTGCATAAATGTCTTCTTTTGAGAAGTGTCTGTTCATATCCTTTGCCCACTTTTTCATGCGGTTGTTTGCTTTTTTCCTGTAAATTTGTTTAAGCCCTTTTAGATTCTGGATATTAGCCCTTTGTCAGATGCGTAGATTGCAAAAATTTTCTCCCATTCTGTAGGTTGCCTGTTCACTCTGATGGTAGTTTCTTTTGCCATGCAGAAGCTCTTTAGTTTAATTAGATCCCATTTGTCTATTTTGACTTTTGTTGCTATTGCTTTTGGTGTTTTAGTCATGAAGTCTTTGCCCATGCCTATGTCCTGAATGATATTGCCCAGGTTTTCTTCTAAGGTTTTTAGGGTTTTAGGTCTTACATTTAAGTCTTTAATCCATCTTGAATTAGTTTTTGTATAAGATGTAAGGAAGGGATCCAGTTTCAGCTTTTCTACATATGGCTAGCCAGTTTTCCCAGCACCATTTATTAAAGAGGGAATCCTTTCCCCATTTCTTGTTTTTGTCAGGTTTGTCAAAGATCAGATGGTTGTAGATGTGTGGTGTTATTTCTGAGGCCTCTGTTCTGTTCCATTGGTCTATATATCTGTTTTGGTACCAGTATCATGCTGTTTTGGTTACTGTAGCCTTGTTGTCTAGTTTGAAGTCAGGTAGTGTGATGCCTCCAGCTTTCTTCTTTTTCTTAGGATTGACTTGAAAATGCGGGCTCTTTTTTGGTTCCATATGAACTTTAAAGTAGTTTTTTCCAATTCTGTGAAGAAAGTCATTGGTAGCTTGATGGGGATGGCATTGAATCTATAAACTACCTTGGGCAGTATGGCCATTTTCACGATATTGATTCTTTCTATCCATGAGCATGGAATGTTCTTCCATTTGTTTGTGTCCTCATTTATTTCGTTGAGCAATGATTTGTAGTTATCCTCGAAAAGGTCCTTTACATCCCTTGTAATTTGGATTTTTAGGTATTTTATTCTCTTTGTAGCAATTGTGAATGGGAGTTCACACATGATTTGGCTCTCTGTTTGTCTGTTATTGGTGTATAGGAATGCTTGTGATGTTTTCACATTGATTTTATATCCTGAGACTTTGCTGAAGTTGCTTATCAGCTTAAGGAAATCTGGGGCTGAGGCTATGGGGTTTTCTAAATATACAATCATGTCGTCTGCAAACAGGGACAATTTGACTTCCTCTTTTCCTAATGAATACCCTTTATTTCTTTCTTTTGCCTGATTCCCTGGTCAAAACTTCCAGCACTATGTTGAATAGGAGTGGCAAGAGAGGGCATCCTTGTCTTGTGCTGGTTTTCAAAGAGAATGCTTCCAGTTTTTGCCCATTCAGTATGATACTGGCTGTGGGTTTCTCATAGACAGCTCTTGTTATTTTGAGATACATTCCATCAATATCTAGTTTATTGAGAGTTTTTAGCATGAAGCGCTGTTGAATTTTGTCAAGGGTCTTTTCTGCATCTATTGAAATAATCATGTGGTTTTTGTTGTTGGTTCTGTTTATGTGATGGATTACGTTTATTGATTTGCATATGTTGAACAAGCCTTGCATCCCAGGGATGAAGCTAACTTGATCGTGGTGGATAAGCTTTTTGACGTGCTGCTGGATTCAGTTTGCCAACATTTTATTGAGGATTTTCACATCGATGTTCATCAGGGATATTGCTCTAAAATTCTCTTTTTTTGTTGTGTCTCTGCCAGATTTTGGTATCAGGATGATGCTGGCTGGCCTCATAAAATGAGTTAGGGAGGAGTCCTTCTTTTTCTATTGATTGGAATAGTTTCAGAAGGAATCGTACCAGCTCCTCTTTGTACCTCTAGTAGAATTCAGCTGTGAATCCATCTGGTCCTGGACTTTTTTTGGTTGGTAGCCTATTAATTATTGCCTCAATTTCAGAGCCTGTTATTGGTCTATTCAGAGATTCGACTTCTTCCTGCTTTAGTCTTGGGAGGGTGTATGTGTCCAGGAATTTATCCATTTCTTCTAGAATTTACTAGTTTATTGGCATAGAGGTGTTTATAGTATTCTCTGATGGTAGTTTGTATTTCTGTGGGATCAGTAGTGATATCCCCTTAATCATTTTTTATTCTGTCTATTTGATTCTTCTCTCTTTTCTTCTTTATCAGTCTTGCTAGTGTTCTATCAATTTTGTTGATCTTTTCAAAAAGCCAGCTCCTGGATTCACTGATGTTTTTGAAGGGTTTTTTGTGTTTCTGTCTCCTTCAGTTCTGTTCTGATCTTAGTTATTTCTTGCTTTCTGGTAGCTTTCGAGTTTGTTTGCTCTTGCTTCTCTAGTTCTTTTAATTGTGATGTTAGGTTGTCTACTTTAGATCTTTCCTGATTTCTCTTGTGGGCATTTAGTGCTATAAATTTCCCTCTACACACACTGCTTCAAATGTGTCCCAAAGATTCTTGTACATTGGGTCTTTGTTCTCATTGGTTTCAAAGAACATCTTTATTTCAGACTTCATTTCGTTATTTACCCAGTGGTCATTCAGGAGCAGGTTGCTCAGTTTCCATGTAGTTGTGTGGTTTTGAGTGAGTTTCTTAATCCTGAGTTCTAATTTGATTGCACTGTGGTCTGAGAGACAGTTTGTTGTGATTTCTGTTCTTTTATATTTGCTGAGGAGTGCTTTACTTCCAATTATGTGGTCAATTTTAGAATAAGTGTGATGTGGTGCTGAGAAGAATGTATATTCTGCTTAATTGGGGTGGAGAGTTCTGTAGTTGTCTATTACATCCACTTGGTGCAGGGCTGAGTTCAAGTCCTGGATATCCTTGTTAACTTCGTGTCTCATTGATCTGTCTAATATTGACAGTGGGGTGTTAAAGTCTCCCATTTTTATTGTGTGGGAGTCTAAGTCTCTTTGTAGGTCTCTAAAGACTTGCTTTATGAATCTGGGTGTTCCTGTGTTGGGTGCATATATATTTAGGATAGTTAGCTCTTCTTGTTGAACTGATCCCTTTACCATTATGTAATGGCCTTCTTTGTCTCTTTTGATCTTTGTTGGTTTAAAATGTGTTTTATCAGAGACTAGGATTGCAACCACTGCTTTTTTTTTTTCTTTCCATTTGCTTGGTAGATCTTCCTCCTTTCCTTTATTTTGAGCCTATGTGCGTCTCTGCATGTGAGATGGGTCTCCTGAATACAGTACACTGATGGATCTTGACTCTTTATCCAATTTGCCAGTCTCTGTCTTTTAATTGGGGCATTTAGTCCATTTACATTTAAGGTTAATATTGTTATGTGTGAATTTGATCGTGTCATTATGATATTCGCTGATTATTTTGCCCATTAATTGATGCAGTTTCTTCATAGCATCAATGGTCTTTACAATTTGGCATGTTTTTGCAGTGGCTGGTACTGGTTGTTCCTTTCCATGTTTAGTGCTTCATTGAGGAGCTCTTCTAAGGCAGGCCGGGTGGTGACAAAATTTCTCAGCATTTGCTTGTGTGTAAAGTATTTTATTTCTCCTTCACTTATGAAGCTTAATTTGGCTGGATATGAAATTCTGGGTTGAAAATTCTTTTCTTTAAGAATGTTGAATATTGACCCCCACTCTCAACTGGCTTGTAGGGTTTCTGCCAAGAGATCTGCTGTTAGTCTGATGGGCTTCTCTTTGTGGGTAACCCAACCTTTCTCTCTGGCTGCCTTTAACATTTTTTCCTTCATTTCAACTTTGGTGAATCTGACAATTAAGTGTCTTCAGGTTGCTCTTCTCAAGGAGTACCTCTGTGGTGTTCTCTGTATTTCCTGAATTTGAATGTTGGCTTGCCTTGCTAGGTCGGGAAAGTTCTCCTGGATAATATCCTGAACAGTGTTTTCCAACTTGGTTCCATTCTCCCCCTCACTTTCAGGTACACCAGTCAAACGTAGATTTGGTCTTTTCACATTGTCCCATATTTCTTGGAGGATTTGTTTGTTTATTTTTACTCCTTTTTCTCTAGTCTTGTCTCCTAGATTTATTTCATTAATTTGATCTTCAATCACTGATATCCTTTCTTCCACTTGATTGAATTGCTATTGAAGCTTGTGCATGCATCACGAAGTTCTCATGCCATGGTTTTCAGCTCCATCAGGTCATTTAAGGTCTTCTCTACACTGTTTATTCTAGTTAGCCATTCGTCTAACCTTTTTTCAAGCTTTTTAGCTTCCTTGCTGTGGGTTAGAACATGCTCCTTTAGCTTGGAGAAGTTTGTTGTTACCGACCTTCTGAAACTTACTTCTGTCAACTTGTCAAAATCATTCTCCGTCCAGCTTTGTTCCATTGCTGGTGAGGAACTGTGATCCATTGGAGGAAAAGAGGTGCTCTGGTTTTTAGAATTTTCAGCTTTTCTGCTCTGGTTTCTCCCCATCTTTGTGGTTTTATCTACCTTTGGTCTTTGATGTTGGTGACCTACAGATGAGGTTTTGGTGTGGATGTCCTTTTCATTGATGTTGATGTTATTCCTTTCTGTTTCTTAGTTTTCCTTCTAACCGTCAGGTCCCTGAGCTGCAGGTCTGTTGGAGTTTGCTGGAGGTCCACTCCAGACCCTGTTTGCCTGGGTATCACCAACAGAGGCTGCAGAACAGCAAATATCGCTGCCTGATCCTTCCCCTGGAAGCTTCGTCCCAGAGGGGCACCCACCTGTATGAGGTGTCTGTTGGACCCTACTGAGAGGTGTCTCCCAGTTAGGCTACACAGGGATCAGGGACCCACTTGAGGAGGCAGTCTGTCCATTCTCAGAGCTCAAATGCCATGCTGGGAGAACCATTGCTCTCTTCAGAGCTGTCAGACAGGGACGTTTAAGTCTGCAGAAGTTTCTGCTGCCTTTTGTTCAGCTATGCCCTGCCCACAGAGGTGGAGTCTATAGAGGTGGTAGGCCTTTCTGAGCTGTGGTGGGCTCCGCCCAGTTCAAGCTTCTCAGCTGCTTTGTTTACCTACTCAAGCCTCAGCAATGGTGGATGCCCCTCCCCCCGCCAGGCTGCAGCCTCACAGAGCAATCTCAGACTGCTACGCTAGCAGTGAGCAAGGCTCCATGGGTGTGGGACCTGCCAAGCCAGGCACAGGAATGAAACTCCCGGTCTGCTGGTTTCTAAGACCATGGGAAAAGCGCAGCATTTGGGTGTGAGTGTACCGATTTTCCAGGTACAGTCTGTCACAGCTTCCCTTGGCTAGGAAAGGGAAATTCCCCAACTCCTTGTGCTTCCTGAGAGAGGCAACTCCCCGCCCTGCTTCAGCTCGCCCTCCGTGGGCTGCACCCACTGTCCAACCAGTCCCAATGAGATGAACCAGGTACTTCAGTTGGAAATGCAGAAATCACCCATCTTCTGTGTTGATCACGCTGGGAGCTACAGATGGGAGCTGTTCCTATTTGGCCATCTTGGAACAGAACTGTTTTTGCTTTTCTTTTAGTAGAGATGGGGTTTCACCATGTTTGCCAGGCTGGTCTTGAACTCCTGACTTCAGGTGAACTGCCCACCTCAGCCTCCCAAAGTGCTGGGATTACAGGCATGAGCCACCATGCCCAGCCAAATTATACTCTAAATGTATTTGCTGACAATATAGGTGAAGCCTTTTTCCCGTAATTACTTTATGTATTTGCAGATGAGAATTGTTCAACTGTAGAATGAGTTGTGGTTGAGCATCAATATTATTTGTATTTTTCATTTTTAAAAATAGGAGCCCTGAGAAACATTGTTCTCAAAAATGTGTACCTAGAAATGCACATTTTATTAGAGCCATTTGGTCCATCTCTTTAAAATCCACCATGACTCCATGCTAAAATCACACAGTGATTTTCCATAAAAAATTATAAATTATGTTTATGTTCAGCCAGGTGCAGTGGCTCATGCCTGTAATCCCAGCACTTTGAGAGGCCAAGGCGGGCAGATCATGAAGTCAGGAGGTCAAGACCAGCCTGACAACCATAGTGAAACCCCATCTCTACAAAAAATACAAAAATTAGCCAGGTGTGGTGGCGCACACCTGTAATCCCAGATACTTGGGAGGCTGAGACAGGAGAATCGCTTGAACCCAGGAGGCAGAGGTTGCAGTGAGCCGAGATCACGCCACTGCACTGAAGCCTGGGCGGCAGAGTGAGACTCTGTCTCAAAAAAAAAAAAATTATGTTTATGTTCAATTAATTGGCAACTCAGGTCCTCCTTCATTATTTTTTAAAGTATTTTTAAAATTAGGGAAAAACTAAATGACTTGTTAACCATCTTTAGAGTCATTTCTCAGTTACTGCAGAAGCTTTACTAAGATTTATAAAATGACAATTATACTGATGACTTGGAGAGATATTCAGTGTTAACTTGTAAGACAAGGAATCAACCAACACAGAGTACTGGACCCTGGTCTTTGTGCTAGAGCAGGTCCTGCAGACCCCTGTAATGCAAGGTACCAACCTTACAGCTGCTAGATTATGAAGTCTGACAGGTTCCAGGTCCCTGGGAAGGGGCTAGGGCTCCTAGGATTCAGGGCGATAAACATTTACCAACCATTGAGAAAGTATGTCAATACTTTAACAAAAAAAAACTTCCTGTTATGCTTTTCCTCAGTGACAAACCGTATTACAATGCACTCAGAAAGAATGGGGAAAATACAAGTATTTCAACTCACCCGTGCCAGTACAAAATTTTTTATAAAATCTATTTGTCTCATTATGTGCCTTAAATATATTTTCATCATAACCTTGGAGCTGCTGATTTGGCTCATTCAAGTTATAGACAGCATCCATCATCTAATCTAATTGAAAAAGCCAGTCTTCATTATCAGTAAAATCAGATGAGTTTTCTGTTAGGAAAAGTCTTTTCAATTTAAATTGCTGTGTTGAGATGCATTCCCATGACAACCATCTCACTTCTTAACACTAATCTTAACACTAATGGATAAAACATGGTACTCAGGCACAAGGAAATAAGGCACAGTGGACTTCAACAACCTCATCTTTGCTTTGCTCTCAAGGGAACCTCTTCCCCTAAAGGGATACATTCTGTAGCAATATCCAGGGATAAAAGAGAGAGGTCATTAAAAGGAAATTGTTGGTAGTCCTGCCTTTTCCTTCAGTGTACATGAATTCCGAACATCTTAGCACAAATCAAGATACCACATGTCTCTAACTTCATGCTTTGCCCTTAAAAAGGCATAATGGTTCTTTTAAGGGCAAAGCATGGAGTTAGGCATCCAAGAAAAACCACAAAGCTGGCCATCAGTGTTTTGAGTTGGCCATTTGTTTTTGCTCTACAGGTTTGTACACACAAAATAACAATACATCATAGAAAAATGCTGTTTGTGTGGGAGGTACACCATTTTCTTGCAAAGTGACAGGAAGGAGACTGAGATGGGAAAATGAGAAAGCAGAAGCAACGCAGGTTTATTGTAGGATGCAAGTTAAGGATCTGGAAATTAATTTCTTTAAAAATGTGTACACTCAGGTATCTTTTGTGAGGTTTTGTATACCTGTAGGGGTATGTGGGCCTCAATTTGAAGGCTACCAGACAAAATGGTCTTTAAGACTTGTCCTCTTTTCGGTCATGCTCTAGATAAGATCTTGGTCATTTTATTGAATGTAACTATAATTTAAAAATTGGGGCCAGGCGTGGTGACTCACGCCTGTAATCCCAGCACTTTGAGAGGCCAAGGTGGGCAGATCACAAGGTCAGGAGTTTGAGACCAGCCTAGCCAACATAGTGAAACCCCATCTCTACTAAAAAATACAAAAATTAGCTGGGCATGGTGGTGTGCACCTGTAGTCCCAACTACTTGGGAGGCTGAGGCAGAAGAATCGCTTGAACCTGGGAGGCAGAGGTTGTGGTGAGCCAAGATTGCACTACTGCACTCCAGCCTGGGCAACAGAGCAAGACTCTGTCTCAAAAAAAAAAAAAAAAAAATTGGAGCAGAAGATTCCATCGGGTGCTATGCTGACCAAAGTAGGCTACTCTGCACCCAGACTTACACTATTGATCCATAGCTACTTGGGCTGATGCTGTGAATTGTTTTCAGTGGTGAAGATAGCTTTTCCCTGGGTCATCCTCATTCTTCCTCTTCTCCTTCTGACCCCTACAGAGCACACATTTGTCAGGTGCTGATGGAGAGAAGGGTAGCCTCTGGGAGTGCAATAGAACCAAGTTCTATGGCAAATGTAGTGACAGCATGAACATCCTGATATTTTGGATCAGACACAGAAACATGAATAGGGTGCCATAATATCAGGAACGGAGACCTCTATTAAACCCTGATGGTGTGTGTGTGTGTGTGTGTGTGTGTGTGTGTGTGTAGCAGGGATTGGGTGAGAAGATAAGTAGTCCTTGCAAATAATTTATATAATATTCCAGATAAGGCCTCAATAAGGCCATTCTATTCCTGGCCTCACAAATGTGATGAACCTTAATGAGGTCACTAATATCCTGGATTAAAAATCTAAATTTTGTTTTCTCAAAATTACTTTATTTCATGGGATCCAAAAAGTTATTGATTTTAGACATGTTAAAATGTGAAGAATTAAAAGGAAACTGGGTATGATTTGACAGTTCACTTGTGGGGTGGGGTTGACCAAACTGTGTGCATGATTTATAATAAGCCATCTCACAAGGACTTGAGAGATAAGTCAGATGGGCAAAATGAACACTTTCCCAAGAATGGCATATTTGTGTCCATATACCAGGAATGACCTCCTCATGAATTTCGTAGATGCCTAGGAAATTCTATCAGGCTTCAGAAGATTGCTAAATGATTAAAAATCAGAGCAAAGGGATTTGGCTGATCTTGGGGGATCTTTACTTTTGGATAGAAAGAAGTCTGATGCATGAGTTTTGCTTCACTCCTGGGACCTCATTCTAACAACTAGCATACCTGTATCTGAAAGATCCATGGTTTTAGGTATGTCTTAGACGGGCGTATGTCCTTGAAAAATACATGTACATTTTTGGGTAGGTGTATCCTTAGTGTCTTTTTTTTTTTTTCTGACAGAGTCGTGCTCTTGTCACTCAGACTGGAGTGCAATGGCACGATCTCGGCTCACTGCAACCTCTGCCTCCCAGGTTCAAGCAATTCTCCTGCCTCAGACTCCTGAGTAGCTGGGATTACAGGCACCTGCCACCATGCCCGGCTAATTTTTGTATTTTTAGTAGAGATGTTTCGCCATGTTGGCCAGGCTGGTCTCGAACTCCTGACCTCATGATCCGCCCACCTCTGCTTCCCAAAGTGCTGGAACTATAGGCGTGAGCCACCGCGCCCAGCTGGTGTATCCTTAATTTTCATAAATTATGCTATTAATTTTAAAAATGTGTTAAATGGCAATGTAAAATGGTGCAGCCACTATGGAAATTAACTTGGCAGCTCCTCATAAAATACACAATTATATGACCCAACAATTCTACTCTTGAATATATACCCAGAAGAATTGAAACAAGGTGTTCAAACAAACACTTGAACACAAATGTCCATAGCTACACTATTTACAATAGTCAAAGGTGAAAACAATTCACATGTCCATCAACTGATAAATGGTTAAACAAAGTGTGGTATATTCCTGTAACGGCAAGTTATTCAACCACAGAAAAAACGAGGAACTGATACATGCTACATTATGTATGGACCATGAAAACATGATGCTAAGTGAAAGATGCCAGACACAAAGACCACATATCGGATGATTTCATGTATATGAAATATCCAGAATAGGCAAATCCATGAGACAGAAAGCACACTGGTGGTTCCCAGCAGCTATGGGAAGAGGAGATAAGTGCCTGCTTAATGGTCATGGGATTTCCTTTAGGAGGGATGAAAATGTTTTGGAACAAGACAGTAGTCATAGTTCCTCAACATTGTGAAATATTAAATGTCACTAAATTGTGCACTTTAAAATGGTTAAAATGCTAAATTTTATGGTATGTGTATTTTACCACAATTAAAAAAATTATATACACACAGGTGCACAAACTTGCTAGCCATCTCAACACTTTCTCCTGTTACTCAGGAACAAATTTTCAAACTCTTCACTTTGTGGTGCTTTGAAAATGGCATTTGTGTTAAGGGCAGCATTACTTCCTTTTTTATAAAAAGGAAAAACAAAAAAAAACCCTGAATCACCCCAATTAAACCCTATAGGGAGTAACAGAATATCACAAAAAGATGAGTAGATCTATAAATGCCTATTACCAGGGGATAGAGAAGCTCAACCTCTTTCCCTCTCAAGAGAAAGATGTGTTACATAGAAACTTTCCTGTTAAAAGCAGGATCTGCCTGTCCCTTCTACGTAGCCTCTCTTCTCCCTTTAGCTCCATTATATATTAAATAGCTTCCTGATGAGATTCTTTCTTGGGTTTCATTTATGTAAATTATTCTTTATGTAATTTGCTTAAAAATTACATTAAAAATTTTGTAATTTTTCCTTGAGTTCTTTAGTATATATTTTTAATTTGCTTGACTTTAAAGCAGAGCAGAATCAGTCAAGAGAAATGTAGAACAAGACAAATACTTCTTTGCTGTCACGGAGCTTTACTATATCTTGTTATCTCAACAGTACCCTGGGATTACGTGTGGAGCAAGTGTTAGGTGTGTATGCATTAGACCAACATCAGTCCAGGGTCTCAATGAAAGACAAAGACAGAAAAGGTGCTGCCCTACATACTAGCAATCTCAAAGGCACAAAAGACTGTAGAAGACTAAAAACAATACTCATCAACAGGCAGGTTATAAACAGAAGCAATTCAGATTGTTGAAGGCAATGTCACCTTTTATTCTGAATTATGAATTAAGGATGACAAAAAAAATAAAATAGAAAACCTCATGAAGGAAATAATGAATCTGAACAGTCTTCAAATAAAAATAAAATAAAGTCAAAAACTTCTTGGCCTTATTATAAATTCTTGTTCTTTACTTTTCCAATAATACAGAAAACTGAAACTATTCTGAACAAAAAGTATATTTCCCTTCTCTTAAAGGAGTCAAATCTTTTCTATTTCTATGAAGATGATAGTTCACATGTTGTCTCGTTCCATTTTAGCTGAATTCCCTTTAATGAGTTACTTAAATTTGCTATTCCTGTTTCTTTGTTTGTAAAATGAAAATAGGAACAGCTCACTGAGTTATGGAAAGTGTAAAATAGTAATAACTGCTGACACTTTTGAATGCTTATTACGTGCCAGGCACAATCCTAAGTACTTCATGTGTTATTCCTCCTATTAGCCTTACTAGGCAGGCAGTATCCACATCCCTATCTTTAGAGGAGAAAATAGAAATATCAAGAGTGAAATAGCTCGCCCAAGGCCACACAGCTAGCTAGGGGCTGGACCGGAACTTGAACTAGACAGACTGGCTCCAGATTTGGTGCTCTTGAAAATAATGCTGTACCGCATAGCCCTCTTGCAGACAGGAGGGACTAGGCACTAATAGCTCCCTTCTTCCCTATCTGTAGAATTGTGACAACAGCTTTGCAGATACAGACCCTCAAAGTAGCGAGGACAGAATCTTAAAGAAGAGGAAATAGCACTTCTCTCACTGTCATAAGTAAAGCCAGAAATTGCATTTTTTCCTGAACCCCATTCTGAAGGAAAAAGATTATTTTACACTATCCTGCAGCTGAAAGAGGTCTGGTTAGCCAGGAGAGGAGAGCTGGTGGGAAGGCAGTCACAGGAAGGGGTTGCTGTTTCCTGAGGCTGCCCCTGCCCCCCAACCCTGCCTGTGCTGCAGGAAAATGCGGGCAGTCCACCGTGAGCATTGAGGCAGGGAAGCAGCAGAAGGTGAAAAGCTATGCCCTGCCCAGCCATAGTGGAGCCAGGAGGGAGCTGCAAAAGGAAAAGTCAGAAATACCAAATCTCTCTTCATTTATACTTTTGTGATATATATATATATACACACACACACACACACACATATATATATATACACATATATATATACACACACACACACATATATATACACATATATATATACACATATATATACACACATATATATACACATATATATATACACATATATATATACACACACTAGCAATTTCAAAGGCACAAAAGACTGTAGAAGACTATGCACTAGCAATTTCCTATGCACTAGCAATTTCAAAGGAGGTAGACTACACCAAATATTTATATATATGTATATTTTTTCTTTTTCTTTTTTTATTTTTATTTTTTATTATTATACTTTAAGTTTTAGGGTACATGTGCACAACGTGCAGATTTGTTACATATGTATACATGTGCCATGTTGGTGTGCTGCACCCATTAACTCGTCATTTAGCATTAGGTATATCTCCTAATGCTATCCCTCCCCCCTCCCCCCACCCCACAACAGTCTCCGGTGTGTGATCTTCCCCTTCCTGTGTCCATGTGTTCTCATTGTTCAATTCCCACCTATGAGTGAGAATGTGCGGTGTTTGGTTTTTTGTCCTTGAGATAGTTTGCTGAGAATGATGGTTTCCAGCTTCATCCATGTCCCTACAAAGGACATGAACTCATCCTTTTTATGGCTGCATAGTATTCCATAGTGTATATGTGCCACATTTTCTTAATCCAGTCTATCATTGTTGGACATTTGGGTTGGTTCCAAGTCTTTGCTATTGTGAATAGTGCTGCAATAAACATACATGTGCATGTGTCTTTATAGAAGCATGATTTATAATCCTTTGGGTATATACCCAGTAATGGGATGGCTGGGTCAAATGGTATTTCTAGTTCTAGATCCCTAAGGAATCGCCACACTGACTTCCACAGTGGTTGAACTAGTTTACAGTCCCACCAACAGTGTAAAAGTGTTCCTATTTCTCCACATCCTCTCCAGCACCTGTTGTTTCCTGACTTTTTAATGATCGCCATTCTAACTGGTGTGAGATGGTATCTCATTGTGGTTTTGATTTGCATTTCTCTGATGGCCAGTGATGTTGAGCATTTTTTCATGTGTTTTTTGGCTGCATAAATGTCTTCTTTTGAGAAGTGTCTGTTCACATCCTTTGCCCACTTGTTGATGGGTTTTTTTTTTCTTGTAAATTTGTTTGAGTTCATTGTAGATTCTGGATATTAGCCCTTTGTCAGATGAGTAGGTTGCAAAAATTTTCTCCCATTCTGTAGGTTGTCTGTTCACTCTGATGGTGGTTTCTTTTGCCATGCAGAAGCTCTTTAGTTTAATTAGATCCCATTTGTCAATTTTGACTTTTGTTGCCATTGCTTTTGGTGTTTTAGACATGAAGTCCTTGCCCATGCCTATGTCCTGAATGGTATTGCCTAGGTTTTCTTCTAGAGTTTTTATGGCTTTAGGTCTAACATGTAAGTCTTTAATCCATCTTGAATTAATTTTTGTATAAGGTGTAAGGAAGGGATTCAGTTTCACCTTTTCTACATATGGCTAGCCAGTTTTCCCGGCACCATTTATTAAATAGGGAATCCTTTCCCCATTTCTTCTTTTTGTCAGTTTTGTCAAAGATCAGATAGTTGTAGATATGCAGCATTATTTCTGAGGGCTCTGTTCTGTTCCATTGGTCTATATCTCTGTTTTGGTACCAGTACCATGCTGTTTTGGTTACTGTAGCCTTGTAGTATAGTTTGAAGTCAGGTAGCGTGATGCCTCCAGCTTTGTTCTTTTGGGTTAGGATTGACTTGGCAATGTGGGCTCTTTTTTGGTTCCATATGAAATTTAAAGTAGTTTTTTCCAATTCTGTGAAGAAAGTCATTGGTAGCTTGATGGGGATGGCATTGAATCTATAAATTACCTTGGGCAGAATGGCCATTTTCACGATATTGATTCTTCCTACCCATGAGCATGGAATGTTCTTCCATTTGTTTGTATCCTCTTTTATTTCATTGAGCAGTGGTTTGTAGTTCTCCTTGAAGAGGTCCTTCGCATCCGTTTTAAGTTGGATTCCTAGGTATTTTCACTCTGGTGCCCAGGCTGGAGTGCAGTGGCACAATCACAGCCTACTGTAGTCTCGACTTCCCAGGCCCAAGAGGTCCTCCCACCTTAACCTCCCAAGTAGCAGGGATGATGGGCACAAGTCACAACATCCAACTATTTGTTTTTCCTTTGTCTTGTTTTGTTTTGTAGAGATAAGGTCTCACTATGTTGCCCAGGATGGTCTTGAACTCCTGGCCTCAAGTGTTTCTCCTCCCTCTGCCTCCCAAAGTGCTAGGATTATAAGCATGAGCCACCATGTCCGGGCCACTTTTGATAATTTTGATTTTTAAAAATATTGCAGTTATTTCCATCACTGAATTTTGCGGAGCATAAGGGTTGGGGTAACTCAGTTGGTAGAGTAGCAGACTTTTCATCTGAGGGTCCAGGGTTTAAGTCCATGTCCAGGCATTAAAATCTCCCATTGCAAAGTATTCTTCTCTAAAAGAAGGAAATTTGAGTTACCATTCAGCATTTACAATGGTACCCCAATAGGACCACAGGCACCAGAAACAAAGAAGGAAATCCCGTGATGGGAGATGAGGAAGGCCTGGAAGAAGAACCTGCTGCCCCTTTCTGTTGAAAGTGGACATATTGGGCCAGGGGCTCCTGCTTCAATGGTTATGTATCTTTCTCTCATTCCTTTACAGTTCTGGTGTATTCTCCAGGTGTGTGACCAAGTCCCCTGATCCCCAGCCAGTAAAGGAAGTAGACTGCACCAAATAAAAATATTAAAAAAGACGTAAGTCATAATCCAACATCCTTGCATTGCTGGACTTACAGTGGAAGGGTGACTCATCCGATGTTTCTTTCTACCCATTTTAACCCCATATCTCAAGAACTCAAGGCTATGGACCTCAATTTTCCTTACCACTTAATTTATTCTCTTACAACTGCTTTCCTTGGTAAACTATAAGAAAGGAAGTTTGAAATGAGGGCAAAAATAATTAAACAAGGAAAAAATGTTTTTAAGGATAAATACAATGTCTGCCTTCATCATGTTGTCTCCTCATTACTCTGAGATGACTCGTGAAGAAAGCCCAGTTAAAAAAATCATGCTCGTGGTGGTTCATGCCTGTAATTCCAGCACTTTAGCAGGTTGAGGCAGGTGGATTACGAGGTCAGGAGTCCAAGACCAGCCTGACCAAGATGTTGAAACCCCATCTCCACTAAAAACACAAAAATTTGCAGGACATGGTGGCAGGTGCCTGTAATCCCAGCTACTCGGGAGGCTAAGGCAGAAGAATCACTTGAACCTGGGCAGCAGAGTTTGCTGTGAGCCAAGATTGCACCACTGCACTCCAGCCTGGGTGAGAGTGAGATTCTGTCTCAAAAAAAAAAAAAAAAAAAAGTCATGCTGGGCATGGTAGCTCATACCCGTAATCCCAACACTTTGGGAAGCCAAGGTGGGAGGCTCACTTGAGGCCAAGAATTCAAGACCAGCCTGGGCAACATAGTGAGACCCCATCTCTACAAAAACTAGAAAAAAATTAACGAGGTATGGTCGTACATGCCTGCAGTCCCAGCTACTCAGGAGGCTGAGGCAGGAGGATTGCTTGAGCCCAGGAGTTCAAGGTTACAGTGAGCTATGATTGCACCACTGTACTCCAGCCTGGGTGACAGAGTGAGACTTGTTCTCTTTAAAAAAAATTTTTTTTTAAATCAGATAACAAACAGCTCATCTCATTTTGATGTATATGTCCTGCATTTTTAGTTTTTGACAAGTCCTACCCCAAGTTTCAGTAACCTGGTTCCTCTCTGCATAGCTATGACACTGAAATGGAGGAAGGAGGAAGAGTCAATGAATTTCAGATTGGCAGGGAAAGTCTAAGCACATGTCTAAGGTCTCAGAGCAAAGCTGGTGACTTAATGTGTGGCTGGAGAAATGGTCTAATGAGCTGATCTCCACCTGGATACATCTTCTGCTGCTACGTTTGCAGCCAGCAGGACTCCTAGGTTAGGTTTTATACATTATTGAGCATGTATCCTCAGATTTTCACATGGGGCATATACACCTATCCAATCCTAAAACTAGTCCTTCAGCTGCCACATTGTATCATATTATTTGACCATCTGAGACTAAGCCAAGTGGGAAAGAAATCCTATGTTAAAATTCCAATGGAACTTTTCATATGCTGTATTTCTTGGTTTCAAGAAACCCAAACACCACAGCTGTTATTTCTCCATTTCAGCCACATTCCACAGACCTGGCTTTGAGTCCATATTCCTGTTGGGAATGATGTATTTTGTTTCTAATGCAGTGATCTTCCCCTTAGGACAACCAGTATACATATTGTTAAGAAAAATGAGTGGTGCCCCTCTGTCTTCAGGAAGTGCTTCAGGATTTGTCTTCACTAATAACATACAGCCAACCACAACACAAAAGGGGGAGGAATGAATAAATTCAAGGCAAGGGAAATAAAGATGCCAGAAGAACCAGTGGGCAGCTCTGCCAAGGGCCAACTAGATGGAATTTGCAGAGGCCTCCTGGCCACATAGTCTTTCCCGAAAAATGCATCTCTAAAGACAAACAGAGGGTGAGGCAGCAACTTGTGCTGAAAACTGGCTACACCTAATTTCAAGCCCCTTAATGGACAATGCTCTGCTTTAAGCATGGGAGAAAGGAATTCAGCTATAGAACATCTTCTTGGATTCTTCTCTAGAATTTTCCCAGGTGTATAAATTTGAATTGCACAAGTAACTTAGCAATTGCCAACTATAGTGTTAGACAAACCTCTTCATCTCTAGAGTTCTCACTGCCATTATCAAGCCACCATCAAGCGCACACAAAGAAGTAAATACTTCTGTTATGTCTTCTTGATTTAGTCATTTTGTAAATATATATTAAGTGCCTACTTGTATTAGTTACCTGTTGCTGCACAACAAGTAACTTATACCATGGTGGCTTAAAATCCATATCCATATCCCTTTATTGTATTGGAACCCACAGTTTCTGTGGATGAGAAATCTGGGCACCACTGGGAGCTATGTCACGAGCTGCCTACAACCCTTTTCCAGGATAAGCTCTGTACTTAGTGCTGAAGACATGGTGAGGAACCAAACAAATAAGGCTGCCTCCCTCCTGAGCTTCACCATCTGGGTTTGAGACACTGAATTATGAAACTCCAAGGGACATCTATAGGATGGAGACAGGGGATAAAAGCAGGAGGGTGGAGAGATTCATTCATGCTCCCTCATAGGTCCTGGGTCAGGTGGATGAATGAAGTGAGTCTCTGTTGCCTTAGAACTCACTGGGGCAACTCACAGTATAGATGGAATATGTGGCTGCTAATAGGAAGTAATTAGAAAGCAAAAATAACTCCTCTAATAAAACCACTGTTTCAAGTCTATCTGCCAGAGGAGAATGTCTTTAATTTCTTAATTACAAACGTATTCTAATGCAAATGTTTCTGAAACAGGTCATACCTTGTTGTGTAGCCAAACTAAGTGCAAACATCTGATGTCAGATTCTTCTTGAAAGTGGATTTGGTAGGAGAGGGCCCTGCCATTGTAAACTAAAGAAAGAACAAAGAGAAACAGCCATTTTCTCATTATTTCAAAGAGTAGCCCTTGCTAGAAAAATAAGGATGGTAACAATAGCGTTTGACGGTGATCAGCAGAAAAATGCCCCCCCCCCACCCCAAAACATGTGTACTCTAGTTCTAAGAATTTGTGAATATGTTACCTTACATGGCAAAAGAGACTTTTCAGATGAGACTATGGTTAAGGGACCTTGAGATGGGAAGATGATCCTGTATTACCTCTGTGGGCCCAATCTAATTACACAATTCCTTCAAAATGCAAGAGGAAAGCAGAAGAGTAAGGCAGAAAGATGCAATGAAAAGAAGAGGCAGGAGAGGTTCAAAGCATGAACATGGAAGAAGAGGGCCTTGGCCGAGGACTGTAGCCTCTAGAAGTTGAGAACAGCCTTCAGCAGATAACCAGCAAGCATATGGAGACCTCAGTCCCACAACTGCGAGAAACTCAATTCTGTGAAACATGAATGAGCAAGGAAATGGATTCTTCCCTAGAGCCTCCAGAAAGAAACTCAGCCCTGCAGACATTTTGATCTTAACCTAGTGAGGCCCCACTCAAGCTACTGACCTACAGAACTGTAAAACAATAAATCTGTGTTGTTTTAAGCTGCCAAGCATATGCTAATTTGTATGGAAGCAATGGAAAATGAATATACCTACTCTTAGAATCATTATGAGGATTTGATTCATTCATATATATTTAAAATACTGAAAATGCACTTGGTAGTTAGTAAGCATTGTGCACGTGTTTGCCATCACTGTGATCCAGCAACCCAGGAGTTCTTAGTTTGCAGATGGAAAAACATAGCTCACCTGAAAAATGGCTAGGGAATGTCTCTGTTTTTTATTTCCAAATAAATCCCTCTTAATGATCATGTGTTGTCATAGAATAAGCTGAAGGTCCCTAATGCAAGAACCCTAAAGGAAAGTGACCAATGAGCAACTTTTTAGCACTATTTGGTAAACTGAATAAAGCATCCACTGACCTTTTAAGATCTGACATCCTACTTTTTCATTCTGGTAAAGTAATTTCCTTCTGGATTTAGTTTAATACATTTAGCACTGTAATAAGATTTGGGTCATATGTCAAACCCCAAAATGGATCTATGGTTCATGATACCCATTTATCTTATTATTTCCAGGATCTCATGGAATTTTCCTCTTCTTCTTTTCTGTTGATTCACCACTGTATGCCCAGTGCTC
Source organism: Homo sapiens (assembly GCF_000001405.40). Lineage (NCBI taxonomy): Eukaryota > Metazoa > Chordata > Mammalia > Primates > Hominidae > Homo > Homo sapiens. Next base: position 223,317,268 of record NC_000002.12, on the reverse strand, counting down.
ACATCATCAACACCTAATCAGCATCTAACACTAAATAGTTGCTCAGTAAGGCTTTGCTGATTGAGATGAAATCACAATAAGAAATATCAGGGTATTTTTATTCTATTTATCTTTCTAATCAATTTCCCTACTTATTAACTAACCCTTAGGATCAAGATACTTGCACATAGTAATTAAGTTAAGCTAAGACCTTTAGTACCAATCTTATCATCAGAGAGTTTACTAACTAGTGGGAGATATTAAACACATGCATAAATGTAACTGGGAATATAGGGGAATGCATTTTACTTTAAGTTCTGGGGTACATGTGCAGAACGTCAGGTTTATTACATAGGTATATATGTGCCATGGTGGTTTGCTGTACCTATCAATCCATCATCTAGGTTTTAAGCCACACATGCATCAGGTATTTGTCTTAATGCTCCCCCTCCTCTTGTCCCCCACCTCCTGACAGACCCCAGTGTATGATGTTAGGGGAATGCATTTTAAGATGAGAGTCTCAAGTGTGGGATGTGTACTATGTGGCATGCAGGATGTTTTCAGGCTGGACGAGAGCAAAACACTAAATAATATTACATTAGAAAGCCACTGTTTTCCATCCTGACTGCTTTCAGAAGAAAACCTCAGTTTCATCTGAGGGTGTCTAATATCATTCTCATACTTGGTTCATCTCCCTTTGCAATCTCAAGAGAACAAGCCTCAGGCGGAGAGACCCAGGCTGGCCCAGGGTGCAGCTAGGGTTTAATTACGTTGTTTGGCTCCAGTTGTATTTATTTCCATGGATACCTTCTGTTTATGGCAAGTGAAATGCTTTTCCATTTTCAGCAGTGGTATAATGTTTTCTTTTAAAATTACTTCATTTAAATTTTTAAAAAGTGAGTCCAATTTCAATTTTTTTAAGTAAATACTGCCCCAGATCGTTCTTGAAATGGCACCAATTACAAAAGTGTTACAGGAACAACTAGAGTTTGGGAAATAGTGGGATGCAATGGAATATACGGTAGAGACTTAAGTATCATGTTTGAGAGGAAGAAAACACTATAGCCATGTGAGCGGATTATGTTCTGGGAGGCCACCATAGAAGAAGAATTTTGCACTGGATTTCCCACAGTTAAGACTGAAGCCTGTGGACAGGAGACTGGGAGGCTTGAGGTGAAGCAGAAAGTGGCCTCAGAAGACACTGAACAGAGCACTTTTGCTTAAGTAAAATTGTGTGTAGGAAACCAGTGATGAATACACTTGTAATGAGGTTGTGGACAACCTTTCATTCCAAGCTGATTCTCTCCTCCCTTGGGTGAAGTCCAAAAGTCAAGAGTCACCCGCTCTTCTTCCAAAACTGACCCAGAGCCAGGTCCCAGGTGCCCACAGCAATATAATACAAGGCTGCTCTTCCCGTGCTTTAGGGTTCTGTGTTACGGTGTCACTGTTGTTGTTGCCATTGCTGTGAGCTCCCACCCACTCCTCAAAGCTTCTGCCACACTGCCTATCAACAAAGGCTATGTAGCTCTCTGATGTGTTAACACCAACACTCATTTAATTTATATACCATTTTGACCATTTGCAATGCGAAGCTAACAGGCAGCTCTGTCCCTCATTTTCGAGAGCTTAGTAGTTGTCCTGTGGCTCTAGAAGATGTCCACTGAATTCAACCTGAGTACCCATGGTTTGTTTAAAAATGGTGAAAAATTTTAAAAAGCCCTCCTTTATATCTAAGAATCCTCAAGCAGCTATTCTAAAACCAACCTTTTATGCTCCTCTGTGTGCATTTGACAGTAATGAAATGGCTAAAGTTCATTGGTAGAGACAGAGAGGCAGCTGGCAGTTTTAAAATACTTTACATTTCATAGACGGACATTTTCTTAGATTTAAAGGGTGAGTTTATGCAACTTCATAAATACACAAGTTTGACCCTGGCTTTTAAAATTAATTTTTAGTAAATATGCTTCAGAATGCAAGTGTTAATTCTCATCTTTTTAGTCTGATCTTTTTGTCCATAACATGTAAGATGGGACGTCTTCCGTCCACCGGGAAGCCAGCTGCAGTCTCTCTGATCATCACAGGCATGGGTGCAACATTTTCTAATGCTGAAGAGGGATCACAGAAGCACCAGGAGGGAGAAACAAGAGGTGAGCAAGGATGGTGTTCTGGAAAAGTAGGGCCTTGATGACTGAGTTGATTGGAAGGGCAAGAGGAAGTCTCTGAAACCAAAGTATTTCATATCACATGCCATTGTGCCTGACATTATCAGCTGTCATTAGTGACTAAAGTCTTTGGATTCAGACATTACCTCTTCACGGTTCATATCCTTGGTAAAGCATCACAAGGGGCCATTAACATCTTAGCACGAATCAGAAACCCCTTAGTGTTATAATGGGAAATAAGATACAGTCTTGATATAAAAGAGGCTTAAGAGAGAATCAGTGCATAAGAAAAACAGATTTAAGTCATTTCTTGTTGAGTGTCCTGTAAAGAAGAGGCAGAAGTCATATAAAAATATTTTATAATAGTATTTTATGGGCACTGAATTATAAAGATCTCCAACCCAATCAGAATGGACATAGGCTCTAAACAACTAGTAGAGGCACAGTGCTACATTCTTGCTGAACTACAGTCTTGAAAAGAGGGACCATCATTTAGGAGGGCATTCCATGGACAGACTCCAAGAGTTCATTTAATATCCACTCATTCAGCATCGAGAACATTTATTAAGTTCCTACTGTGTATAATGTGCTATATCAAGATTGTGTTTATGAGGGAGACTTTTAACTTTTTTTGTTTGAGATGGAGTCTCACTCTGTCACCCAGGCTGGAGTGCAGTGGCACGATCTTGGCTCACTGCAACCTCTGTCTTTCGGGTTCAAGCAATTCTCCAGCCTCAGCCTCCCGAGTAGCTGGGATTATAGGCGTGTGCCACCATGCCTGGCTAATATTTATATTTTTGGTAGAGACGGAGTTTCACCATGTTGGCGGGGCTTGCCTCAAACTCCTGACCTCGGGTGATCCACCCGCCTCCGCCTCCCAAAGTGCTGGTATTACAGGCACAAGCCACTATGCCCTGCCAGGGGGAGATTTTTTAAAATTCAGCCCTTTATAGCTAGTGTGCACTGCCATAAAAATAATGTTTAGGATGTTTTTATTTAACCCCATATTTTATAGTGTATTTTAGCAATTAATAAAAGAAAAGCAATGTGATATGACTGCAGGAAACTGACAACAGTCCATGAGCCTGCTGCGTCCAGTCTCAGCACTCAGCACACCTGTCGGGGAGTCTGTGCCAGTGGTAACTCACTCTCTCAGGGGTTCTGTTTGGCCCACACTGCTTCACACTTAGCTCATGGAGATTCGTTAGTCAAAAATACCCATCTGACTCCACATGAGGATGAGAAACAGATGACAACCTGGCCTTCTCAGACAAATTCCTATTTCTTAAGTTCTCGTGCCTCTATTTGCTGCAAGTTATAAAATTAACAAGCAGTTGCCCTTTTAGGCTGTCATTTGAGGCTGGTGTAGAAAAGTGATAAATAGCACAGGGGTTAAAATTTACTAACTATGATGGAGTCATACCTGGAATTGTCATTAAAATGTCATATTTCATCCAATGGGTGATTAAGAGCATGCTGTCTTTTTGACACACTGGAAAAATGGTGAGGCAGGAAATTTTCTTCTCACCTTCTAATCAGTCAACTAAGGAAAAAAAAAACATTATAATTAAACCACTAGGTTACAAGAAAAGGAGGAAGGCCCTTTTAAGCCACAAGGTTATAGTGGACATCCATTACTCTTGTATTCTTTTGGTAATGACAACCGGTTTTCCTTGGGAACTATTCCTCTCTCACTCTCAATCCTTAAGATTTGGGAAGTTCCTCCATCCTTTACTTCAAAGATGGGCATGTGACTCAGGCCATATTCATTAAACTATTGCATTCATTCGGACATAGTGATTGCCATAGAGATGATAAAGTGAGATCAGTGAGTCAATGCCACCCTGAGTCTTTTGTTAGAACAGTGGAAGGGGAGTCTTCATTCTGTTGGGATTACTGAGTGACCAGGATGTCTGCCTAGCATCATTGGCAAACATTCTGCCACCAGGAGGAGAGCCCAGAGAAGAAGGCCTAATGACACAAGATCTGCACTAAACCCTTGGACCAGAAATTTAGATTTCAAAATTTGAGGGATGGGGGGCATTTTCCATGGCCCTGAAATTTTTTCTTAGGCAATGGCCAGTTGTTCTGGTCCTGAGCAGGATTGAGAGCCATGAGGAGAGTGACAGGTAGATTATATGATGTCAGTCATGAAAGCAGCCTATCTTAAAGAAGGAAAGTCTAACTATTCACAAAGAAACATTAATATAATAAAAAATTTAATGCCATGTACCAAGTAGGTAATCAATTGTGAATTTCCCCAAAATATGTGGGGAAACTCTCTCAGGCTGACTGATAAGAAAAGCTCCTCCTTTGCTAAAATTATAAAAGCAGATTTCCCTGGAACAAGGAAATGACAGGAAGGGTTACAAGGCAGAGAGGAGGTGAAAATCTTAATTGGGCCACTTTTTAATGTAATTCTGTATGTGTGGTTTTGTTACTCAATTTGGTTTATAAGCTTCTTAGGAGTTCTCCACGAAGACCTGCGTTCCCCTTTATTCCCGTATTTCAATTTTTTTTATTCCCTAATTCTCTCTTCTATTTCTCACATCAAACCGTGCAAATGAGGTGTCCTATTTTCTCTGGGCCCTACTGGGTGATAACCATTCAAGCTGATCCACTGCTCTGGGTTAATTGTATGATGAGCAACTAATGGCTCAGCATGTCATTCTCTTGGGACATATCTACATGGTGCATTAGTCTTTTGGAAGCTCACAGTCTTAACCTTAAAGAAAAAAAAAAAGAAAAAAGCCTAATTAGAGAAGCTCCAGATAGGCATGATGGGGAGGGTGAAACTACAGTAGCTAATGACAAAGTTCTTTAACAGGAAAAATCCCTCACCAGAATAAAGTGGACAGCTGCTTACTCCAGTGTCTCATGGAACTTGCTTGGAAATTGGGCAAGAGAGTTTTGCCTTTAAGTTAGTCGCAGAATTTGTATATTCATTCCTATATCGACTTACTGACTTTGACTTAAACCTAGGCCTCTGCATATAAAAATATTCTTATCTGGAACATAATTGCTCTCAGCAGAAATTATAGCAAGCTCAGCTGATTGTCTATGAGTATGAATAATAGCCTTTATTCTTTTCCAAAGTAGGTAAATATTTTCTTTAAACTCTCTCAGATGTGGTTAAAAGTGTTCAGGAGCCAGCCGGACACGGTGGCTCATGCCTGTAATCTCAGCACTTTGGGAGGCCAAAGCGGGCGGATCATTTGAGGCCAGAAGTTCGAGACCAGCCTGCCCAATATAGCAAAATCGCATCTCTACTAAAAATACAAAAAAAAATTAGCCGGGCATGGTGGTGCATGCCTGTAATACCAGCTACTTATTGGGAGGCTGAGGCAGGAGAATCACTTGAACCTGGGAGGTGGAGGTTGCAGTGAGCCGAGATCACACCACTGCTCTCTAGCCTGGGAGACAGAATGAGACCCTGTCTCAATAAATGAATAAATAAAATGAAATACAATAGAATAAAAGTGTTCAGAAGCAGCTTTTAATATTCTCCTTAGATATAGCCATTGGGATTCATTTATATGAATGCATATCAGAAACCAGGCAGTTGGAGACCAGGCGTGTGCTCATACCTTGCCTATTACACATGTCTAGTGAATGAAAGTTTATAATAAAAGATGGATGGTTTAATTTTCCTACTTTTAGCGTATTTGCAAATGTAGAAAATCAAACTTATTTTTGGCAAATGCACCCAAGGGTCACATTGAATAATAACATCTAATATAGACTTTCAAGTTAGTGTAGGTTTTTTTTTAAAATGATTTCTTCAAATAGCAGATTAAGAAAATAAAACCATTACAGAGTTAAACTGATATGTGATTTCCCCCTTTCACACCGCTGACATCTTGCATCCACAAAACAAAAACAATCTTCCTTTAGATGTACCAGTGAATTTGGAAAACATTTTTTATACTCACAAGAGGGTCACGTATAGCAAGACTAATTGATAAAGCATAACTTAGATGTTAACTCATTAGGGAACATTTGCAGCACATCCGCTGCCAAGGGGATGCCTTTAGGATGTTGGATCAGAGAAACTATTGAACTCTCCAATTTAACCAGGAGGCGTAATAGCTCTGGGACAATTCCTGCTTTGCAAACAAGATGGTAACAAAGAATGTATTGAATTTTGTGAAATCTGTAAGAAATATCCATTCAAGTAAGCAATGTTTGGCAAAAACTCTCAGTCTTGGCCAGACAATTATATGTGTCAGAGATGGTTGAAAACCCAAGTTTATACAAGGTAAATGCTAGTGTCCAAAACAAGACTGTCTTCCCTCTCAGTGCTAATGAAAAACCTTTTGTATAGTAAATATTTTTTCCTATGCCTATTAGAATCTCACAAATATTTATGATCAATTCCTTTGGCTTTTTAAAACAAAATAACAATGTTTATTTCAGAGCTCTAGAACCTTATATGGGTTGATATAAAAACATTTGATCAGGCAGGTCTTGGAACATGCTTTCAGTAATCAAGACATCCAATTTAGTTCTTCAATGCCAATAGTTCTAAGATAGAACTGTAGAAAAGTCAAATTACAATTTGTAATTTCTCACCCAACTTTGTATGTTTCTAGGTCTAAAGAGTAAAAATTCAGTGTAAGGAGGAACTGTTCCAGATGATATTAGCCCTGTCCTGGGTGATCCTTCAAACCTGGAAATACCAGGTAGATTCTGGAATAAACCAAATGGCACACTGAGGTGGGCAAATTTAGCTGCCCAGTTCAGCACCATCAGCCAGAACAAGACAAGGCTCCTCTGGTTTGATCTGGGCTAGAACCTCAGGAGTTGCATCAGCAGTTAAACCTCCATGTAAGTAAGGTAGAGTTTCAGCTCTTTTGAATTCTCAGTGTCAGCTCATACTGTGGGCACTGTGTATGGCAGATACCTTCTGGTTCTTATTACTTTGAAATCTCTAGGATTTAAACATATACAGAGCTATCGAATTCAGGAAATACAGATTATTCTCAATGGCAAAGTTGTCCAGTGGTCTTCCACACACACACACCTGTGAATATCTGTGAGCATGTGTCTTAAGCTTGTGTTTCATTCAGACTTGTTTTTCCCCATTTGTAACCTCTGGGTCCCAAGCAGCTCACCGTTATGAGCTGCATTGGTGTTCCCTTGTTGGACTGGCTTCTGGCTAGGTGTGACTCCCAATAGGAGGGAGATCTTAAAGCAGAGAAAAGGGGAATTGAGTACCCCGACCCCATTTCAGCACTGTGGTTCCCTCCTCCACAGCTCTCACACCTTCTGGGCTCTGGGGATACTATTTGCTCCTCTTGGCCCTCAGGCCTATGGATGGTAACGGCCTCCCTCTGTTTCCAGCCTCTGAGCACTTAATCATTCTTTTTTTCAGTCGTTTATTCTTACCCTCATGTCTTAAGTAATACCTGAATGTATTCTCTTCAGTTGAATTATCTGAATAGAATGTTTTTTCCTGCTAGGAAAAATGCAAACCTCGGTAGATTATTTCATTTTATGCAAAGGTCATGAAATCAAATGCCTATGTGGACTAAACAGGAACCACAACTACATGACACAGCCAAAGATGACATAATAGAAAATGGTGGGATTTATGAAAATGGGAAGGTATATACCTTCTTTTCTTTTTTTTAAACGGAGTCTCACTCTGTGGCCCAGACTGGAAAGCAATGGCGCGATCTTGGCTCACTGCAACCTCCGCCTCCTGGGTTCAAGCAATTCTCCTGCCTCAGCCTCCTGAGTAGCTGGGATTACAGGCGCCCACCACCGCACCTGGCTAATTTTTGTATTTTTAGTAGAGACGGGGTTTCACCATGTTGGCCAGGCTGGTCTTGAACTCCTGACCTCAGGTGATCCACCCGCCTCAGCCTCCAGAAGTGCTGGGATTACAGGCATGAGCCACCATGCCCAGCCAGATACATGCCTTCTAAATCCATTCCTATTCAACTTTTTTTCTACAAGAATATAAACCTGAAGGTAGTCTGGGCGCAATGGCTCACACCTGTAATCCCAGCACTTTGGGAGGCCCAGGCAGGTGGATCACAAGGTCAGGAGTTCAAGACCAGTCTGGCCAAGATGGTGAAACCCCGTTTCTACTAAAAATACAAAAATTAGCCAGGCGTGGTGGTGGGCACCTGTAATCCTAGCTACTCAGGAGGCTGAGACAGAGAATTGCTTGAACCCGGGAGGCAGAGGTTGCAGTGAGCTGAGATTGCACCACTGCACTATAGTCTGGGCGACAGAGTGAGACTCCATCTCAAAAAAAGAAAAAAAAACTGAAGGTAGCCAACTAGAGATCACTGAATCGGGACATGAAAAGCCACGTAAGGGATTTGGTCTCATATCAATATAGAGTTTCTGAAGACCAAGATTATCTAGAACATGGAGTGGTTTAGGATTAGTTCACCAATAAAACCAAATTCTAGCTTAGTTAATATTGGCATTTTCCATGCTATAATTCTTGGTATATAAAACATGAACTAATTTTAGGCTGGAGAAGGAACACTAGAAAGAAAATATGTGTCGAAGGACTGACATATCAGTCTTTTGTAATGTGACTACCAAAACTGTTTCAAATCACTCTCATACACACTTATCTCATAAGCATAATGATTATTTCAGATTCCTAAGAAAAGGAGACCTTTGATGATCTACTGTAGTTAATCACCAAACTAAAAATAATACACTAATTTTCTAGTAGTAGCTTGTATTAAAGAGACACAAAGTGATGGAGCATGGCTCTTTAATACGAGCTACTATTGGATAATTAATTTATTCTTAATTAAAATATTAATCAATAAAAATGAAAATACAAGGTATTTTCAGGTTAATTCCTGAAGTCTGGGCAGATGGCTGCACTGAACTCGCTCAATAGCAGCATCACGTTCCAACATCCTTGGAATCTATTGATGTGGTTTGCTGCAGGTCAGTTGGATTTAGGCCAGATACATAGCTGATATCCATTGGAAGAGCTCCTATGATAGGCTTTGTGGGGCCAAGGCAAGCACTGTACCCATCCATCAATATTTCTCTTTCTAGTGCATCATGTCCATCCTCACACAAAGATTATTGTAATATCTTCCATCTTAAAAACAACTTCCATGACCTGAAAATTTCCTTTAATTACTGGACCGAATCTCTGCTCCCTTTCATAACAAAAATTTCTCAAAAAAAGTCTATATGATGGCACCATTCTCCTTCACTTCTCTTTGAACCATCTCTAATCAAAGATTTATCCCCACTGCTCTCAGGCTTGGCCAGACAATTATATGTGTCAGAGGACAGTTGAAAACCCGAGTTTATATAAGGGAAATGCGGGAGTCCAAAAAAAGACGCTCTTCCTTCTCAGTGCTAGTAAGAAACCTTTTGTTTCTGGTAAATAATTTTTTCTATGCCTATTACAATCTCATAAATATTTATGATCAATCTCTTTGTTTATTTAAACACAATAACAATGTTTATATCAGAGATCTAGAACTTTATATGGCTTGATATAAAAACATTTGGTCAGACAGGTCTTGGAACATAATTTCAGTAATCAAGACATCCAATTTAGTTCCTCGATCTCAATAGTTCCAAGATAGAAGTGTATGAAAAGACAAATTACAGTTTGTAATTTCTCACCCAACTTTGCATGTGTTGTCACTGAAATTACTCCTGTCAAGTTTACTAATGACACCCACACCACCAAATCCAATGGTCAGTTTTCTGGTTTTTACTTTATTTCACCTAGAAGCAGCCATTTAGTCACTGATACAGTTCATCTGTATCTCCTATCTTTACTTAGTTTCTGGGTTTCTTTCCACCTCACTGTGTGTACTCCCTGAGTCTCCTTTGCTAGATCTTACTCATTTTCTTAATTTCCACCTGTTGGGGTGCCTTAGAAACTTCTTCTCTGTCTTTAGTCATTCTCTACATAATTTTATCCAGTTGCATGGCTTTAAATATTATCAAGATTCTCCCAATCAGCTAATTTCAACTCCAAACACTCTCTGTAACTAACTCATATCCATCTCCACTTGAACATCTAATAAACATCTTAAAATCAACTTGACAAAAGCAGAGTTCCTGATTGTCCACCCCCAAAAATCCCATTCCGTCTCAGCATTCCCCATCTCAGTAGTTGGCATATTCATTCACTCACTGGTTCAAGCCCCAGATCTTAAAGACATCATTCTCTCTCTCACACTCTACACAAATTTTATTTTGTTCATTGTTATATCATCAGTATCTACAATATAGCCTGACAAGTTTTAGTAGCATCATAATGACTGCTCTCTAGTTTCTGAATATATCATTTCTACTATGTATCCACAGGTAATTCTGCTCTCTTTGATTCTGATATGGGTTGGCTGTGTCCCCACCCAAATCTCATCCTGATTTGTAGTTAGCATAATCTCCAAGTGTGGGGGGAGGGACCTGGAGGGAGATAATTGAATCATGGGGTCAGTTATCCTCATGCTGTTTTGGTGATAGTGAGTGAGCTCTCTGAGATCTGATGGTTTTACAGTGGGTTTTCCCCCTTTACGCAGCACTTCTCCTTGCTGCCACCATGTGGAGAAGGATGTGTTTGCCTCCCCTTTCACCATGATTGTAAGTTTCCTGAGGCCTCCCCCCAGCCATGCGGCATTGCGAGCCAATTAAACCTCTTTCTTTTATAAATTACCCATTCTCAGGCAGTTCTTTATAGCAGCATGAGAATGGACTAATACAGAGCTTATTCAGATTATCTGTAAAATGAGAGTAGTACCTGTCTGTATTGGTAGCATATCTCTTGGTTACAAGTAATAGGTAACAAATCAACAAGTTTAAGGAAAAAAAAAAGATGCATTTACTGGAAGGATACAGTATCTCATGAACCAATATCAGTTTAAGGCTGAAAACAGGAACTTGAAGCCATCAGAAGACAAGTCTTCATCTTTGTGTCTCAACTGTGCTTCTCTACACTGATCTGCTGCAATCTTTTCCCTCTGCAGAACCACTTCTCTGCTTCTCTTTTACTCAAGGAACTAGTCAAGAATGCCATCTTTATACCAAATATAAATTAGTAGGATGCAAAATTTAATTGCCATCCATTCAAGTTGTGATCCATTTTTCATTCGTTCAGTCATTTGAGTCAAAGGAACAGCTTCATGCAATAAAAATGTAACCATGGTGTTAAATTGTACTTCAAAGCTACAAGCAGAAAGCAATTTTATTCTATCTCACCACTGCTGCCTTAATCCCACTCCATGAATCATTGCTTCCCACCTGGGAGAAAACTGGAGAAAATTTCATGTCTTTTCTGATGACTTACAGATATTAAAATGTTCAGTGTAATTTAATATCAAACTCTAAAACTCACTTCTAATTTAAAATTTCTCCATTCTCTCTTCCTATCTTCCCTTACTTTCTTGTCCTTTAGCTGCTGTTTCTTGTTCCTCCTTAGTCAGCTGCAGAGGTGAAGAAGAATTAGTGGGAAAGAGAAGAATCTTCTTGACATTACAATCTGACTTTGGAAGTGGTAGGTGTCTACTCTCAAAGAGTGCTTTTTGGGTTCTTTGATGATCCAACCTCACAGGAAAACTACCCCAGCACAGGAACTATCTATAGTCTCTCCCTCAAACCCTGGTTCCCAGCAGTGCAGCCATCTAGATAGGCCTCTGTATTAGTCAGGGTTCTCCAGAGTAGGAGATATATATGTGGGTGGGTGAATAGATAGATAGATAGATAGATAGATAGATAGATAGATAGATAGATAGATAATAGACAGATAGATGGCTTTATTGTAAGGAATTGTCTCACATGATTATGGAGGCTAAGTTCCAAGACCTGCAGTCAGCAGAGCAAATGGTGTAAGATTCAGTTAGAAGACTGGCAGGCTCAAGACCCAAGAAGAGCCAATTTTTCAGTTTGAGTCTAAAGGCAAGCAAACACCAATGTCCAATTCCAGCAGTTAGGCTGAAGGAGTTCCCTCTTATTTAGCGTTTTTGTTCTATTTGGGTCTTCAACTGGTTGGATGAAGCCCACTCACACTGGGGAGGGACATCTTCTTTACTCAGTCTACAAAATCAAATGGTAACACTTTCACAGATACATCAAGAATAATGTTTGACCAAATGTCTGGGCACCCTGTGGCCCAGTCAAGTTGACACATAAAATCAATCATCATAGCCTCTTAGGTGGAGGCTCCTTTAAGATAATTACAGTCCTGCTATTATCATTGATCCATTGGTTTGAAGGAAAATCCTACATTCTTAGCTTGCCACTGATACATGTTGCTGTGGTTTAAATATTTGTCCCTTTAAAACGATGTTGACATTTAAATCCCCAATGTGACAGTATTAAAAAGGGAGAACTTTATGAGGTGATTGGGTCATGAAGGCTCTGCCCTCATGAATGGATTAATCCATTCATAGATTAATGGATAATTGGATTGTCATGGAAGTGGGACTCGTGGCTTTACAGAAAAATGAAAAGACACTTGAGAAGCACGCTCTGCTCCCTTGCCATATGATGCCCTGTACCACCTTGGGACTCTGCAGAGAGTCTCCACCAGTAAGCAGGTCCTCAACAGATGTGCCCCACACAACCTTGGACTTCTCAGCCTTCACACGTGTAAGAAATAAATTCCTTTTTAAAAATAAATTACTCAGTTTTAGATATTCTGTTATAAGCAACAGAAAATGAACTAATGCATATGTGCAACTTAATTTACACCCAGAGAATCCCTTCCTACATGCTCTGCTATCAAAGCAGTTCCAGCTAGCCTCTCATGCTCAGACATCTGAAGATGAAGTCAAGCAGCTGTCCTTGTATCTAGCCCTGGAGACACACCTGTTTCTCCAAGTGGTTCCATAAGTGTGCCCTTCATCTGGGGAGCAGAGAGTGTTTCAATAAGAACTCTCTTCAAAGGGGTTTCCACCATTAATCTCCCCCCTAAATAAGTTCTTCATTTTAAGAAAATAATACCTGGGGCTAAAATATGGGAGTTGCAGAACCAGTTTCAGGCTACCCCCTTGATAATGCTTCACTGGTGACCTGGCACTGTATTTTAGAATGTGGAAATTAGCTTGGTACTATTGTTCTCTGCTTTGGGTCTCCAGATGAAACTTCTAAAGCATGCTTCAGACATAGCTTTCCCTTTAGAGTAGAAGTGCCATTATTAGAGAAAGAGAATTGTGAGTTACTTATAAATTCACTCTAAATTTATTTTCACACCTTTCTGCTTATATTATTGAGTTCCTATGAGGATCCAATTGGACAACTGGTGTGAAAACTGTAAAACAGAATACACATGTTTTAATCAAGTTCAAAACTAGTTTCCCAGTTCTAAAGGTACATTTAAGGGTAATCTTTTCCCTTTAAGTGAGCCCTTCATTACAGAGAATAAATAGATACAACATAAGAGAACAAAAGAGGACAGTCTCCTAAGGCTACTTCTGCCACCCCAGAATTTGGGGAGCAGCGGAATTATAATTCTCACCACTCCAGGCACGAAATATTCAGGATCATGGAGAGAAATGGAGGCTTCTTGGTATTACTCCAGCTGCTTGTGTGTTCAGCAAAGGTAGGAGCAATGTCATAGACTAAACTTAGGCCCTATAACCCCAGGCTGCTGCCTCAGGAATGAACCCGCTTTTCTTCCCTTTATGGGATAACTGAGTGTAAGCTTAGCACTTATCAAGGGTGGCTACACACATATAAGCCAAGAAACCCAATGACCCTTCCATTTTACCTCACCATAACCAATTACACCATTACAATTCAGTTATGATATTTTCATTGATATTTCAATTACTGCACTGTAGTAAAGTTCTACCACATTCCTGATAACATAAGTTTACAAGCTCTATGGAAGTTAGGAGACAACCTGGTGACTAAAGGAATAAACTCTCAGTCCACAGTAGCTTTTTCTTGGAAATCTACATTTCAAAAAGGAAGATTATCCAGAGAACCCTACCAAATCAACATGTAGGTAGGTAATACTACTGTGGCACATTTTATAACTACATTGTCACTTCCTCAGAAGGAATAGGTTCAGTATTTTCAGTGTTGTTTTTGTTTTTTCTAGTGGTATTAATAGTACTTAATACAAACATTATTTCATAATATACATGCATTTACAATTTTTAAAGTGACCCTATTATATTCAATGAAACAACATGACCTAAACACCAGAAGTGGCAGACACTTTTGTAGGTGATAGGGATTATATTAGTCAGGGTTCTTTAGAGAAACAGAACTAATAGGATAGATGTATATATGAAGTGCAGTTTATTAAGGAGTATTGACTCACACCATCACAAGGTGAAGTTGCATGATAGGCTGTCTGCAAGCTGAGGAGCAAGGCAGCCAGTGCGAGTCCCAAAACCTCAAAAGTAGGGAAGCCAACAGTGCGGCCTTCAGTCTGTAGCCAAAGGCCCAAGAGCCCCAGACAAACCACTGGTGTAAGTTCAAAAGTCCAAAAGCTGAAGAACTTGGAGTCTGATGTTCAAAGACAGGAGGCATCCAGCACAGGAGAAAGATGAAGGCCTGAAGACGCATCAAGTTGGCTTCTCCCATCTTCTTCTGCCTGCTTTATTGTAGCTGTGGTGGCAGCTGATTGGATAGTGCCCACCCACATTAAAGGTGAGTCGGCCTCTGTCAACCCACTGACTCAAATGTTAAGCCCCTTTGGCAACACCCTCACAGACACACCCAGGAACGATACTTTGTATCCTTCAATCAAGTTGACACTTAATATTAACCATCACAAGCCCACCCCTTGTCAACTTGAACCCATACACATCTCCTGAAATTATATATAATCTTCAAATAAAGACAATTTTAAGATCATCATTACACCTAACAATATAGCTATTCTTGTACAACTGAAAGCACACTAATCCTTAACCTAAATGATATTACATAAAGTTAACAACACTTGAATGCTGATATGAAGTCAGTAAATCTTATGCAACATGATAAAGGAAAATAAAGTTAACAAAATGATGATCTTTTCTTTTCTTTTTTTTTTTTTTTGAGAAGGAGTCTCACCCTGTCACTCTGTCACCCAGGCTGGAGTGCAATGGCACAATCTCCCGAGTTCACACCATTCTCCTGCCTCAGCCTCCTGAGTAGCTGGGACTACAGGCGCCTGCCACCACGCCTGGCTAATTTTTTGTATTTTTTAGTAGAGACGGGGTTTCACCGTGTTAGCCAGGATGGTCTCAATCTCCTGACCTTGTGATCCGCCCGCCTCAGCCTCCCAAAGTGCTGGGATTACAGGCATGAGCCATCACGCCCGGCCAAAATGAAGATATTTTCTTAGTACAAGTGTATACATGCACAAATATATCCTTAACAAAACAAGTAGAAAATATTCAGGACAATTACAATCCTCATTTCTGTCATATGGTCATAGCAGGTATTGATGACTACCTTCTTCTACACATTCTGTATTTCCTTTGCCTTCTGCAAACACCTCAGCCGCCATGGTTCTTTACCTGTTGGAGTGACCCAAACCTTCATTACTGAAGGTTCTGTGCCATTTGTAGTCCTGCCTGGATTGGGTCATTGTAGTTTTCAATTGACCTTAATCACAGGGCATGGTAATACTAAGAGATGCTCTATGGGATCTCCTGTATTCCATACATACTTTTCCTTACCTCTACTGTGGAGTGGTAGACTGATTTTATCTTGATAGTCTGTGTCAGTCACCCCAGCGAGCACTGTAACTTCCTTCTTAGCCTGTTGACTTAGAGGTAGGAGAAGCCCAAAGTGTCCAGATGTCAATCTTAACTTCCAGTTTAATGGAATCATTGTTGTCTCTCCTGGTGGCAGTATTATTCCCTCTGGAACTAAGACCTCTAAGCAAGCATAATGTAATGTCGTGAAAACAGGAAGCAAAATGTTGCTAGTGGGTCACTAGAGATGATGGTGAGAGGTGCCACTTCCACTTTCACCCCTTGATTCCTGGACCCATGAATACTGGCTATGGGAAAAATGGTACCATATATTGGACACTGGTTCAGAGCATACACAGCCTTCTGGAGAACTTTGCCCCAGCCCTGCAAAGTATTGTCACCTAGTTGGCATCGTAATTTTGATTTCAAAGGCCATTCCATCCACCTGCTGGATAATGGGTAATATGGTAAGACCAGTGAATTCCATGAGCATGAGCCCACTGTCACACTTCTTTAGCCATAAAATGAGTTTCTTGGTTAGAGGCAATGCTGTGTGGAAAACCGTGACAGTGGATAAGGCATTCCATGAGTCCATAGATGGTAATCTTGGCAGAAGCATTGCATATAGGATAGGTAAACCCATAGCCAGAGTAAGTGTCTATTCCGATGAGGACAAACCACTTCACTTTCCATGATGGAAGAGGTCCAATATAATCAACCTGCTACCAAATAGCTGTCTGATCACCCCCAGGAATGGTGCCATATCTAAGGTTCAGTGTTGGTCTCTGTTGTTTGCAAATTAGATGCTCAGCAGTGGCTGTAGGCAGGTCAACCTTGGCTAGTGGAAGTTCATGTTATTAAGCCTATTGTAACCTTCATCCCTGCCATCATGGCCACTTTGTTCATGGGCTCATTGGGTGATGACAGGGTTGGCTGGGAAAGAGCTGAGTGGTGTCCACAGAACGAGTCATCTTATCTACATGAAATTCTCCTCTGCTGAGGTAACCCTTTGGTGAGCATTCACATGAGATACAAATATCTTCACAGTTTTTGACCACTCAAAGAGGTCCATCCACACACGTCTTCTTCAAATTTCTTTGTCACCAGTTTTCCAATCGCGCTTCTTCCAAGTCCCTGACCATCCAGCCAAACCATTGGCTACAGCCCATGAATCAGTATATAATCACACATCTGGGCATTTCTCCTTCCATGCAAAGTGCACAACCAGGTGCAATGCTCAAGGTTCTGCCTACTGGGAAGATTTCCCTTCACCAACGTCCTTCAGATATGTCCTAGAAAGGTGCTGTAGTGCTTCAGCTGTCCACTTTCGGGTGGTGCCTGCATGTTGTGCAGAACCATCTGACAACCAGGCCTCTGTCTTCTCTTCCTCTGTTGACTGATCATAGGGAACTCCCCATGAGCCCATTGGGACAGACTGGAGGACAGAAGGCATGGTGGCAGCAGTGGGGACCATAGGCATTTGAGCCACTTACTCATGTAACTTACTTGTGCCTTCAGGACCTGCTCAAGCCTGATCACATATATACCACTTCCATTTGATGATGGAATGCTGCTATACATGCCCAACTTTATGGGTAGATGGGTCCAAAACCACCCAGTTCATGATGGGCAGTTCAGGTTGCATGGTGACTTGATGACCCATAGTCAAAAGTTCAGTTTCTACCAAAGCCCAGTAACAGGCCAAGAGCTGTCTCTCAAAAGGAGAGTAGTTATCTGCAAATGATGGCAGGGCCTTGATCCAAATCCCTAGAGGCCTCTGCTATGATTCACCTACGGAGGCCTTCCAATGGCTCCAAACAGAATTTCTGTCTGCCACTGACACTTCAAGCACCATTGAATCTGCTGGGTCATATGGCCCAAGTGGCAGAGCAGCTTGCACAGCAGCCTGGACCTGTTGCAGAGCCTTCTCCTATTCTGAACCCCACTCAAAACTGGCAACCTTTCTAGTCACTCAACAAATGGGCCAGAGTAACACACCCAAATGAGAACTTTTGCCTCCAAAATCCAAGTAGGCTCACTAGGTGTTGTGCCTCTTTCTTGGTTGTAGAAGGGGCCACATGCAGCAACTTATCCTTCACCTTAGAAGGAATATCTCAACAGGCCCCACACCACTGGACCCCTAGAAAGTTTACTGAGGTTGAAGTTCCCTGAATTTTAGTTGGGTTTGTTTGCCATCCCCTGGCATGCAAATGTCTCACCAATAAGTCCAGTGTGTTTGCTACTTCTTGCTCACTGGATCCA
Organism: Homo sapiens; assembly: GCF_000001405.40. Lineage (NCBI taxonomy): Eukaryota > Metazoa > Chordata > Mammalia > Primates > Hominidae > Homo > Homo sapiens. Next base: position 223,299,219 of record NC_000002.12, on the reverse strand, counting down.
ATCAGCATAATGTCATCAATGTAATGGACTAGTGTGATATCTTGTGGAAGAGAAAAGCAATCAAGATTTCTGCAAACAAGATTCTGACACAAAGCCAGAGAGTTGATATACCTCTGAGGTAGACAGTGAAGGTATATTGCTGGCCTTGATAGCTGAAGGCAAATTGCTTCTGGTGGGCCTTATGGACAGGAATGAAGAAAAAAGCATTTGCCAAATCAATGGCTGCATACCAGGTACCAGGAGTTGTGTTAATTTGCTCAAGCAATAAATCCACACCTGGTACAGCAGCTGCAATTGGAGTCACCACGTGGATAAGCTTGCAATAATCCACTGTCATTCTGTAAGATACATCTGTCATCTGCACAGGCCAAATAGGAGAGCTGAATGGGGATGTGGTGGGAATCACCACCCCTGTGTTTTACAAGTCCTTGATGGTGGCACTAATATCTGCAACCCCTCCAGGGATGCAATATTGTTTTTGATTTACTATTTTTCTACGTAGAGGCAGCCCTAATGGCCTTCATTTATCCTTTCCTAGTATGAAAGCCTACCAGTCAGGGAGCCAATGTGGGGGTTCTGCCAGCTGCTAAGTATGTCTATGCCAATTATGCATTCTGGCACTGGGGAAATGACTACAGGATGAATCCTGTGGGATTCACTGGACTCACTGCAAGTCAGACCTGAACTAAACCTCCATCACGTGACCTCCATAAGCCCCTCCTTTAACTGGAGGACCACAATGATGTTTTGGGTCCCCTAGAATCAACGTCAGCTCAGGGCCAGCGTCCAGTAGTCCCTGAAAAGTCTAACCATTTCCCTTTCCCAATGCACAGTTACCCTGGTAAAAGGACAGAGGTCTTGGGGAAGGATGAGAGAAAGATTAACAGCCTAAATTGTTGGTACTGTAGTGGAGTCCTTCCTTAAGGGGATCCAGCATCCCTTTCATTCAAGGGATTCTGTGTCTGTAAACTCTGTAAACTGGCTCAAGTCTGAAAGTTGATTGAGGGGCCACAATTCTCTGTTTTTAATAACTCAAATTTGTCTTTTGGTCACTCAGCCTGGAAGTTTTCTGCTTATACAAATGAAGTAAGAATCCATTAGGTATCCTATCAATTTCACTTCTAGGAACACTGTGATTAATTAGGCAATGCCAGAGCTTTACATGAGTCAGACTATTCTGAGTGCTGCTTTCCCTCTGCTCTCCATTACAGTAACTACACCCACCTTGCTTTTGACAGTTGAATGCTGCCACTTGGCTCCTGCCACCCCAGGATCTAATTATTTCCATTGCATTTAAATTTTCCACTTGAGTGACTGTGGTTCCCACTGTAAGAGCTGGTGTACAGAGAAGAGCAATCACAGAGCTCTTCAAGGATGCAGGTGCTCCCCTCACAAATCTATTTAGCAAGGTATTGGTGAAGAGTGTGTCTTCTGGACCCTCGCAGCTAGGATGAGTAGGTCTAAAGTGACTAATCCACTCTAGCATTCCAATCTCCCTATGCCTTTGGATCCCTTCCTCTACATTAAAACTAAGGGAGATCAGGCATTTCCAGCTCATTCACAGTGGGCCATCTTTTGATCCGTATTTCAGCTAAACAAGCATATAGACTATTAGAGCCTTTTTAAACTCCCTGAGCTGCAACATTGAATGCAGAATCCCTGCTTAGTGGGCCCATATCTATAAATTCAGCCTGATCCAACTTTATGTTCCTTCCAACCATTATCCCACACCCTTAATATCCATTCCCATATCTGTTCTCCAGATTTCTGCTGATATAAATTAGAAAACTTAAGCAGTTCTTTTGGAATGTAATGCACCTTGTCATGGGTCACACAGAACCTCACCTATAGGGGCCTGCCGGGACTTGATTCTAGTTACAGGTCTAGAAGCAAATGGGGGTGTTGGGGGTGGGTCCTGAGAAGAATCAGCATTGTCTTGCTTGGCAACTGTCTCAGAGGAGGCCATCACTGTTGCCTCAGGCAGTGCATGGTTAATCTCCTCAGACAACAGTGGAAAAGCTGATGGCAGCCTGGGTGGGGGAGGGGATGTTGCCACCACTGGGGGTGGGAGGCTGTTTCCCCTGGCAAAAAAGCCTCATCAGAGTTTACAAGCTCAGTGCCCCCAGCTTCATCAGGGTTGTCCCACACATCCCCATTCCAAGTTGCAGGATCCCATTCTTTTCCAATTAATGACCTCACTTTAACAGTAGACACCTGGTGAGACTGAGTGTGCACCTTTCATTGCAGATCAGACATGCACATTAAAGAGCTCGTGTCTGATTTTCCACAATTTCAGCCCTTTATCTACAGGAGATAAGACTTTCACTCAGGGCAATCTTAGAAGACTTGAGGCTCAGTGTGTGTTTCTGGAACCAGGACTTAGAATCCCTGAGCTCATTCTTTTCTTTCATCACTTTGTCCAGCAAACTTAGGAGCAACCAACCAACTTCATTATATTCCCTGGTTCTGCACAAATGGTCGAAAGTATTACGTATAGAGTCACTAAACTCCTCGCCCCTCAAGCGTGGTGAATCAGTAGTATCAAATGCATTTACTTTGCATAACTCTCTAAACAGTTCAAAACAGGGACTATCAGTGTTCTCCATACTATTAGAAGTAGAATCCTCAGGATTTTGAGGTCTAATCAGATTAAGCAGCCAACTCCAGAAACCTCAAAACCAACTAAAAAAAAAAAAAAATCATCCTTAAAATTCTGTTCCATTAGAACCACTCCCGGTACCAAAATCTGTATTAGTCAGGGTTCTCTAGAGAAACAGAACTAATAGGATAGATGTATATGTGAAGTGGAGTTTCTTAAGGAGTCCTGATGCACGCTATTACAAGGTGACATCCCACGATAGGCCCTTTGCAAGCTGAAGAGCAAGGCAGTCAGTCCGAGTCCCAAAACTCAAAAGTAGGGAAGTCAACAATGCAGCCTTCAGTCTGTGGCCGAAGGCCCGAGAGCCCCAGGCAAACCACTGGTCTAAGTCCAAGAGTCCAAAACCTGAAGAACTTGGAGTCTGACGTTTAAGAACAGGAAGCATCCAGCATGGGAAAAAAATGAAGGCCTGGAAGACTCAGCAAGTTGACTTCTCCCACCTTCTTCTGCCTGCTTTATTGTAGCTGCTCTGGCAGCTGATTGGATGGTGCCCACCCACACTGAAGGTGGGTCTGCCTCTCCCAGTCCACTGACTCAAATGTTAAACTCCTTTGGCAACACCCTTGCAGACACACACAGGAACAATACTTTGCATCCTTCAGTTCAATCAAGGTGATACTTAATACTAACCATCACAGGGATACGCAACTGACTAAGACAGAGATGGGGGAAGAGAATCAAGGAAGAGGTAGTAGCATCTGTACTCAGTCGTCAAATTCCTTAGAAATCCAATATTAAAAGTCTGGATGTCATAAGGTAGGGTTTCACTTGCCTCTGTGCCAGGTACATATTTTACTGATGAGATTTCTCATTTTCACAAAATTCAAAAAAAAATTAATCATATTTGATTATTGTTCTTTGACAACAAAGTGAATAAACTATTTTTTCTCCTTGCATTTCTTAAAGTGTCTCATTTCATTTTAGCCTGAATTTTCCTTTTCTGCCTTTTCTGTTCCATAGGTTTGAAAATTTGAAATACTCTGTACTTCCATGAATTCACATTATGGGTTATGCATTCTTCTTGAAATACCCTTTCTTCCACCCACTGCATATGCCCTGTTCTTTGCACACTTTGCTTTTATTTATTCTTTTATATTCCTATGTCACCTACTTTACAAATTCTTTGTTGGCTATCTTCCTTTTACATGAATCAGATACCCCTCCTGGGTACTCCTAGACCAGCTTGGACATATGTATTTTATAGTGTTTATCACTGTGCACTGTTATTAATGGCTTTCTTAATTCTTATGCTCACTTTACTCAGGTAGAATCATCTTCCTCATCTCTGATTTCATGGTGATTAACACAAAGCCCAGAACACAGGAAGCACTCATGGTTGTTGAATGAATGAATGATGTGAAAGAACTAAAATCAGAGTCCAGCACCTCTCAAAAATCGAATACCTTTATAAGTCTTTTCTGATGAACTATCTAAAAACTAACTACCTTGAAGTGTAGCAAAATTATATTTTGATTATTGAAAAGAAAATCCTTGGAAAATGTTGCATTTTTTAGATCCTAGGAATATATGCCTATACTCTTCAAATATTCTCTATGTGGGTTGAAGATAGAATCACAATCCAAAAATATCTCAACATTCTGGAGTAAGAATTGAATCTAAAAGGATGAAATCTGACTGAGATAAATTTAAGCTTATGTAAGTACACAATGGGGGAAGGACATAACTTAGGAACAGCATAGCTAGAAAGGACTTGAAAGTTAATTTAAAGGTAACTGTGGGGCTTATATAAATTTAGAGTATAATTTGGCCCCTGAAATATTTAATGTGATCTTTGGTTGTATTAATAAAAGGATTGTTATTAACATGAGGGAGATAAAAATCCCATTCTAATATGTTCTGGTTAAACTACACATAGACTGCTGGTCTTCAGACTGGAAGGCAATTACTTCCACTCTTTGGAAGAGACAAAGACTTTGAAAAAGAACATGCACATGGAAATTGTTTAGGAAATTCATTTTTAGATCATCATAATCCACATTTTTTTCTGAATTGATCCACCTGAGAAGGTAGCTCTGGCCGAGTTTCTTCTCTACTGCACTGCCTGCATCGTGATTGTCCATGTTATAAAAGGAAGACATGGCTCCCACTCAGCCACAGTCTTAAAATAGCATGTTGCTGAAAGGTTTCAAATATTTCATGAAAATAAAAAAGGGAAAAAATTAATGGAGACAATTCATTCAGCCAAGGGTAATTTATTCAAATTTCCTCCTCATTTAACTCATTAAAAAAGTACTCAAAATATATTTTCACCTTTTTTGTTTAATAATCATTTATCAGAATTTTTAATATGTTTGGTGAATTGTACATACTATTATTATGATTATTGCAATGTATGCTCATTAACATTTTAACACATAAATCCTTATTATCTTAGAAATAAAAAAATTGAACTTGTTTCATTATTGCAGAGAATAATTAGTGTCATTAATATATAGTTTTGATATATTACCAGAGGTGGCTGGAAAGATGGCTGAATAGGAACAACTCCAGTCTGCAGCTCCCAGCAAGATCAATGCAGAAGGCAGGTGATTTCTGCATTTCCAGCTGAGGTACCCAGCTCATCTCATTGAGATTGGTTAGACAGTGGGTGCAGCCCACTGACTGCAAGCAGAAGCAGGGTGGGATGTCACCTTACCTGGGAAGCACACGAGGTCGAGGAATTCCCTCCCCTAGCCAAGGGAAGCCATGAGGGACTGTGCCCTGAGGAACAGTGCATTCCAGCCCAGATACTACACTTTTCCCATGGTCTTCACAACCCGCACACCAGGAGATTCCCTCAAGTGCCTATACCACCAGGGTCCTGGGTTTCAAGCACAAAAATGGCCTGCCATTTGGGCAGACACAGAGCTAGCTGCAGAAGTTTTTGTTCATACCCCAGTGGCACTTGGAACACCAGCAAGACAGAACCATTCATTCTTCTGGAAAGGGGGCTGAAGCCAGGGACCCAAGTGGTCTAGCTCAGCAGATCCCACCCCCACAGAGCCCCGTAAGCTAAGATTCCCTGGCTTGAAATTCTTGCTGCCAGCACAGCAGTCTGAATTTGACCTGGGATGCTTAAGCTTGGTGGTAGGAGAAGCATCTGCCATTACTTAGGCTTGAGTAGGTGGTTTTACCCTCACAGTTTAAATGAAGTTCAAACTGGGCAGAGCCCACCACAGCTCACCAAAGCTGCTATAGCCAGAATGCCTCTCTAGATTCCTCCTCTCTGGGCAAAGCATCTCTGAAAGAAAGGCAGCAGCCCCAGTCATGGGCTTATAGATAAAACTTCCATCTCCCTGGGGCAGAGCACCTGGCGGAAGGGGCAGCTGTGGGTGTAGCTTCAGCAGACTTAAACTTTTCTGCCTGCCAGCTCTGAAGAGAGCAGCAGATCTCCCAGCACAGTGCTCAAGCTCTTCTAAGGGACAGACTGCCTCCTCAAGTGGGCCCCTGACCCCCATGCCTCCTAACTTGGAGACATCTCCCAGCAGGGGTCAACAGATACCTCATACAGGAGAGCTCTGGTTGGCATCTGGTGGGCGCTCCTCTGGGATGAAGCGTCCAGAGGAAGGAACAGGCCAGCAATCTTTGTTGTTCTGCAGCCACCATTGGTGATACCCAGGTAAACAGGGTCTGGAGTGGACCTCCAGCAAACTCCCTCAGGCCTGCAGCAGAGGGGCCTGACTATTAGAAGGAAAACTAACAAGCAGAAAGAATAGCATCAACATCAACAAAAAGGACGTCTACACAAAAACCCCATCTGAAGGTCACCAACATCAAAGACCAAAGGTAGATAAATCCACTAAGATGAGGAAAAACCAGCGCAAAAAGGCTGAAAATTCCAAAAACCAGAATGCCTCTTCTCCTCCAAAGGATCACAACTCCTCGCCAGCAAGGGAACAAAACTGAACGGAGAATGAATTTGACAAATTGGCAGAAGTAGCCTTCAGAAGGTGGGTAATAACAAACTCCTGCGAGCTAAAGGAGCATTGTTCTAACCCAATGCAAGGAAGCTAAGAACCTTTTTGAATGTTCTAACCTGGAAAAAAGGTTAGAGGAATTGCTAACTGGAATAACCAGTTTAGAGAAGAACATAAATGACCTGCTGGAGCTGAAAAACAGCACAAGAACTTCCTGAAGCATACATGAGTATCAATAGCTGAATCAATCAAGCAGAAGAAAGGATATCAGAGATTGAAGATCAACTTAATGAAATAAAGCATGAAGACAAGATTAGAGAAAAAAGAATGAAAAGGAATGAACAAAGCCTCCAAGAAATATGGCACTATGTGAAAAGACCAAATCTATGTTTGATTGGTATACTTCGAAAGTGATGAGGAGAATGGAACCAAGTTGGAAAACACTCTTCAGGATATTATCCAGGAGAATTTCCCCAACGTAGCAAGACAGGCCAACATTCAAATTCAGTAAAGACAGAGAACACCACAAAGATACTCCTTGAGAACAGTAACCCCAAGACACATAATCATCAGATTCACCAAGGTTGAAACAAAGAAAAAAATGTTAAGGGCAGCCAGAGAGAAAGGTCAGGTTACCCACAAAGGGAAGCCCATCAGACTGACAGCGGATCTCTCTGCAGAAACCCTACAAGCCAGAAAAGAGTGGGGGCAATATTCAACATTCTTTAAGAAAAGAATTTTCAACCCAGAATTTCATAATCAGCCAAACTAAGCATCATAAGTGAAGGAGAAATAAAATCCTTTACAGGTAAGCAAATGCTGAGAGATTTTGTTACCACCAGGCCTGCCTTACAAAATCTCCTGAAGGAAGCACTAAACATGGACATGAAAAACTGATACCTGCCACTGCAAAAACATGCCAAATTGTAAAGACCATCAACACTATTAAGAAACTGCATCAACTAACAGGTAAAATAACCAGCTAGTGTCATAATGACAGGATCAAATTCACACATAACAATATTAACCTTAAATGTAAACAGGCTAAATGCCCCCAGTCTGGCAAATTGGATAAAGAGTCAAGTCACATTGGTATGCTGTATTCAGGAGACACATCTCATGTGCAAAGACACACATAGGCTCAAAATAAAGGGATGGAGGAATATTTACCAAGCAAATGGAAAGAAAAAAAAAAACACCAGAGATTGCAATCCTACTCTGTGGTGAAACAGACTTTAAACCAGCAAACATCAAAAAAGACAAAGAAGGGCATTACATAATGGTAAAGGGATCAATTCAACAAGAAGAACTATCTATCCTAAATATATATCCACCCAATACAGGAGCACCCAGATTCATAAAGCAAATTCTTAGAGACCTACAAAGAGACATAAACTCTTCATAATAATAAATAATAATAATAGTGGGAGACTTTAACAACCCACTGTCAATATTAGACAGATCAACAAACAGAAACTTAACAAGGACATTAAGGACTTCAACTCAGCTCTGGACCAAGCACACTTAATAGACATCTACAGAACTATCCATCCCAAATCAACAGAATATATATTATTCTCAGCACCACATCGCACTTATTCTAAAATTTACCAGATAATTGGAAGTAAAACACTCCGCAGCAAATGCAAAATAACGGAAATCATAACAAATGGTCTCTCAGACCACAGTGCAATCAAATTAGAATTCAGGATTCAGAAACTCGCTCAAAACCACACAACTACATGGAAACTGAAAAACCTGCTCCTGAAAGACTACTGGGTAAGTAAAGAAATTAAGGCAGAAATAAATAAGTTCTCTGAAACCAATGAGAACAAAGACACAATGTACCAGAATCTCTGGGACACAGATAAAGCAGTATTTAGAGGGAAATTTATAGCACTAAATGCCCACAGGAGAAAGCAGGAAAGATCTAAAATCGATACCCTAACATCAAAATTAAAAGAACTAGAGAAATAAGAGCAAACAAATTCAAAAGCTAGTAGAAGACAAGAAATAACTAAGATCAGAGCAGAACCAAAGGAGATAAAGACATAAAAAACCCATCAAAAAATCAATAAATCCAGGAGCTGGTTTTTTGAAAAGATTAGCAAAATAGACCACTGGCCAGACTAATAAAGAAGAAAATTGAGAAGAATCAAACAGACAGAATAAAAATTGATACTGGGGATATCACCACTGATCCCACAGAAATACAAACTACCATCAGAGAATACTATAAACACCTCTAAGCAAATAAACTGGAAAATCTAGAAGAAATTGATAAATTCCTGGACACATACACTCTCCCAAGACTAAACCAGGAAGGAGTGGAACCCCTGAATAGAACAATAACAAGTTCTGAAATTGAGGCAATAATTAATAGCCTACCAACCAAAAAAAGTCCAGGACCAGATGGATTCACAGCCGAATTCTACCAGAGTTACAAAGAGCGGCTGGTACCATTCCTTCTGAAACTATTCCAAACAACAGAAAAAGAGGGACTCCTCCCTAACTCATTTTATGAGGCCAGCATCATCCTGATACCAAAATCTGGTAGAGACACAACAAAAAAAGTACATTTCAGACCAACATCCCTGATGAACATCGATGCAAAAATCCTCAATAGAATACTGGCAAACTGAATCTAGCAGCACATCAAAAAGCTTATACACTATGATCAAGTCAGCTTCATCCTGGGGTGCAAGCCTGGTTCGATATACACAAATCAATAAATGTAATCCATCACACAGACAGAACCAATGACAAAAACCACAAGATTATCTCAATAGATGCAGAAAAGGCCTTTGATGAAATTTGACACCCCTTCATGCTAAAAACTCTCAATAAATTAGGTATCGATGGAACGTATCTCAAAATAATAAGAGCTATTTATGACAAACCCACAACCAATGTCATACTGAATGGGCAAAAGCTGGAAGCATTCCCTTTGAAAACTGGCACAAGACAAGGATGCCCTCTCTCACCAGTCCTATTCAACATAGTATTGGAAGTTCTGGCCAGGGCAATCAGGCAAGTGAAAGAAATAAAGAGTATTCAATTAGGAAAAGAGAAAGTCAAATTGTCTCTGTTTGCAGATGACATGATTGTATATCTAGAAAACTCCATCATCTCAGCCCAAAATCTCCTTAAGCTGATAAGCAACTTCAGCAAAGTCTCAGGACACATAATCAATGTGCAAAAATCACAACCATTTCTATACACCAATAATAGACAAGCGGAGAGCAAAATTGTGAGTAAACTCTCATTCACAATTGCTACAAACAGAATAAAATACCTAGGAATACAACTTACAAGGGATGTGAAGGACCTCTTCAAGGAGAACTACAAACCACTGCTCAAGGAAATAAGAGAGGGCACAAACAAATAGAAAAACATTCCACGCTCACAGATAGGAAGAATCAATATATTAAAAATGGCCATACTGCCCAAAGTAATTTATAGATTTGATGCTAACCTCATTGAGCTACCATTGATTTTCTTCACAGAATTAGAAAAAACTACTTTAAATCTCATATGAAACCAAAAAAGAGCCCATATAACCAAGATGGTCCTAAGCAAAAAAAAAAAAAAAGAAAAAAAGAAAGAAAGAAAAGAAAAGTAAAAAAGCTGGATGCATCATGCTACCTGACTTCAAACTATACTACAAGGCCACAGTAAACAAAACAGCGTGATACTAGTACCAAAACAGATATATGGACCAATGAAACAGAACAGAGGCCTCAGAAATAATGCCACACATTTACAACCATCTGATCTTTGACAAACCTGACAAAAACAAGCAATGGGGAAAGGATTCCCTATTTAATAAATGGTGTTGGGAAAACTGGCTAGCCATATGCATAAAACGGAAACTGGACCACTTCCTTACACCTTATACAAAAATTAAGATGGATTAAAGACTTAAACATAAGACCTAAAACCATAAAAACCCTGGAAGAAAACCTAGGCAATACCATTCAGGACATAGGCATGGGCAAAGACTTCATGACTAAAACACCGAAAGCAATGGCAACAAAAGCCAAAATTGAAAAATGGGATCTAATTAAACTAAAGAGCTTCTGCACAGAAAAAGAAACTATCATCAGAGTGAACAGGCAACCTACAGAATGGGGGAAAATGTTTGCAATCTATCCATCTGACAAAGATCCAGAATCTACAAGGAACTTAAACCAATTTACAAGAAAAAAACAAGCAACCTCACCAAAAATTAGGAGAGGGATATGAACAGACACTTCTCAAAAGAAGACATTTATGTGACCAACAAACATATGAAAAAAAGCTCATCATCACTGGTCATTAGAGGAATGCAAATAAAAACCACAATGAGATACCATCTCATGCCAGTTAGAATGGTGATCATTAAAAAGTCAGGAAACAACAGATGCTGGAGAGGATGTGGAGTAATAGGAATGCTTTTACACTGTTGGTGGGAGTGTAAATTAGTTCAACTATTGTGGAAGCCAGTGTGGCGATTCCTCAGGGATCTAGAATCAGAAATACCATTTGACCCGGCAATTCCATTACTGGGTATACACCCAAAGGATTATAAATCATGCCACTATAAAGACACATGCACACGTATGTTTATTGCAGCACTATTCACAATAGCAAAGACTTGGAACCAACCCAAATGCCCATGAATGATAGATTAGATAAAGAAAATGTGGCACATATACCCCATGGAATACTATATAGCCATAAAAAAGGATGAGTTCATGTCCTTTGCAGGGAGATGGATGAAGCTGGAAACCATCATTCTCAGCAAACTAACACAGGAACAGAAAACCAAACATCGCATGTTCTCACTCATAAGTGAGAGTTGAACAATGAGAATACATGGACACAAGGAGGGGAACATCACACAACGGGGCCTGTCAGTGAGTGGGGAGCTAGGGGAGGGATAGCATTAGGAGAAATACCTAATGTAGATGACGGTTTGATGTGTACAGCAAACCACCATGGCATGTGTATACCTATGTAACAAACCTACATGTTCTGCACATGTATCCCAAAACTATATATAATATATATATAACTATATATTTAAATACATATATATAAATACAAAACTATATATATACAAAACTATATATATATAACTATTTATATATAGTTTTAAGAATAAAAGTATGTTATGTTAAAGAATAAAGGTATGTTATGTTTAAGAATAAAAGTATGTTATATTAGGATAAAATTCTGTGGGGGATATGAAATAAAATGGTGACTTCAAGGAGAAGTAGAAGTGAGTCTAAATCATCAACAAAATACAAACATGAGTCAAAATGTATAATGGTGGACATTAAGCCACCTTGGTGCTCATATTTCTTTGGATATATTAAAAAGAGTAATACAAGTTTTATTTATAAAGTCAATATTCCCAATACAGTTGAAATTACATCCACTGCAACTACTTATACTTACAATGAAAAAGTTTTAGATGTCTACTTAAAAATGCTCAAAGGAGTACCCAGTTTTTCAAAGTTTGTTTAGGGAGTGCGTAAGCAAAACATACCACTGTTCTGGTGAATCACATTTAATTCCAGGTATAACACTTAAAATGGGATAGAGAGAAAGTAAAATGTATTCAAGGAAGAATCATAAAATTATGAAAAGACTTGGAATCATCTCATATAAAAACTCTCAACACCCCCTCCACCCACGCAAAAACCTATCTAGGGGTAAAAAAGGAGCTATAAGCGCAAAACTGATCTTTAGGTTTTTGAGGAACTGTGTTTGCAGCCCACAGCACAAGTCAAGGACTAATTGGTTAAAAATACAAATATTTTCACACCCATTTTAATTTCTTTCAGTGTAGAGGTTATTTTTTTCACCACTGTTTATACTATACCCCAGTGCTTGGCAAGTCGTAGGTACACAATAAATATTTGTAAAATGGCCAGGCATGTTGATTCGCACCCGAGTTACTTGGGAGGCTGAGGTGGGAGGATCACTTGAGCCCAGACAGGAGTTCAAGACTGCAATAAGCTATGATCATACCACTTCACCCCAGAATGGGGGACAGAGTGAGACTCTATCTCAAAAAAAAAAAAATTATAAAATGAATAAGAGAACTTAGTATGAGAAACAATTTCCCAGCATTAAATCTTCATAAAGATTAAAATAAACAGCCACAGGAATTCCTTTCAGGGGAGGTGTTCAATTTGTGTTTAAAGGGGGTAAACATAATAGAATGCTATTGACTAGGATTTATCTTTAGGGTCACCTTCAATTTTACTTTCCTGGAATCAGGATAGGATCTGATAGTTTTTCCTCATATAAGAGAGCCTAAATTATTACTACAAAAAAAACATATTTTCCATAGATACTTTTAAAAGATAGAGATTGTTTTCTCTATCCAACATTAAAAATAATAGTTTTGCACAAATAAAAGTCACTTTATTATTGTTAGGGAATGTTGAGTTTAGATGGTCATCACTAATTTAATTGGGACAACTTTAATAACCAGAATCAATTATAACCTTCACAAGAGTCAGGTGGCTATGTTAATTTCTTTCTAATCATGTCTGTGATTCACTAATTCAATAATTATGGCCAATATACTGAATTTTCCATCAGGACTATCTTAACTGGATCCAATTAAGGAAAGCATCTGGATGCCTCTTGAAATAAGTAGCAGAAATTAAATCAAGAAGACTGTCAATGCCATTTATTTCCAGAGGACTTAGACATTCTCCTTCCATTTTTATACTTCAAAATTTTTAGTAAGAAATTGTTATGTTTTCTCTAGTAAATAACAAAATGAGACAAATATCTGTGATGGCAGTGGCTGCTCATCATGCCAGTTGCAGTGGGGAAGCGTGGCTGTGGCTGCACACTCCATGGAGCCAGTGGGAACCCTGCCCCTTCTGATTGGGACTGGAGCTCCTCGGTTACTGCAGCCACCCTAACCACAGCTGCAGACCCCAGGCCTCCTGCTCTACAGAGCAGGCAGAAGCCCTACTCTCCGGAGTGGGGCTACAGCTGCCCAAACCAGCTGTAGATCCGCGCCTCCCTGTGCTCTTGTGGGAGGGCCAAGAGCAGGAAGGATCTGCCCTCCTGGGTGTAGCTGCAGCCACCACACCCATGGCTGTAGACCTGGGCTGTAGAGGAGACAAGGAAGAGCTGGGGACAAGTGGGAGCCCTGCCCCTTCTGAGTTAGCAGGGTGAGAGCTCCTGGGTGCAGCTGCAGCCACCCTCCCAGGCACAGGACCCCGGCATCTCTGCAGCCTGCACCCTTGGGGGCCACAGGAAGGACTCCCATCCCTGAAGGCTCAGGGTGTCTGCTCCCACTGCCTGGCCTCTCTCCACTTCCAGCACTTGCTCTGATCTTAGAGTGGGCATTGGAGCCAAGCCCCTAGGCCATGAATGGCAGCGGGAGGCAAATTGATTCCTGGGTGGAAGGGGGTGGTTCGCCAGTAAGGCCCCACCTTCAGGCCAAGAAGGGTCTGAAGACTGGTTGCTGGGCTGTCAGTCCTGTGGACCACAGTGGGGACTCATGGTGCCTCTTCTGGGTTCGCCCATGGCTGCCCATCAACTAATTGGCCCCATTTCCTCCCCGCTGAGGTCCATAAAAGCCTTGGACTCAGCCAGAGCAGGCAGAGGATGGCCAGAGGAGGAAGACGGCAGAGAGACCATGGGACCGGAGAACTAGCTGCAGAAAGGAATAGCCTTCCCTGAAGAGCTGCAGAGACAACTTGCCAGCAGAGAGAAATATCCTCTCTGCTGAGAGCTTCAGAGATCTGCAGAGACATCAGAATGTCTTGCCTATGGAGAGGAGCCACCCATTCCAGGGCCTCCTCTCTGCTAAGGGCTGAACACTCGACCAGACAACCTGCCTACAAGAGGAGCTACCCAATCCTTTTAGCTGTTCTAACATGAAATAGAACTCTTCTTCACCCTTCACTTGTCTGCATACCTCGTTCTTCCTGGACACAGGAGAAGAACTTGGGCAAAGGCACTGCAGCCACAGAGGTTTCCAGCCAGAAAAACTGACACCCCAGAGATCCCATAACATCTAGATGATATAATTCAAGGGGATAGAAGTTCACACAGTCCTAGTGCCTTGAAACTTCATTTGTTTCTCTCCATTCTTGCCCATCCACCCTGATTTCACCCCATCTGTTTATAACTCTGGCTTACTGGGCTCCTGGACTCCTGTCACCCAGGGTGAAGAACTCACATGCTGGTAAAGAAATGCTTATTTATGTGATACCACAAAGAGCTTCTCCTCCTTTTTCCCAGTAAAGGAGCCAACCATAAAATTTACTTTGATTCTTCCTCTTCCAAAAAGCAGTAAAGGGTTTAAACAAGCCAAAGTGGAGGCACAATCTTCAATAGTTCTGTCTTTACAGAACTCTTCAACAGGGGGCCACAGGAACCCTACAAAAGGTTTTAGAAGCTGCAGACCAGTTGACTCATGGAATCTCTCCAGGATTTCTTTTCTCTTTTTTTCCTTATGTTTTCTTTCTTTCTTTCTTTTATTAATCTTATGGTTTTTTCTTTTCTTCTCTTCTTTTCCCTCCCTCCCTCTCTCTCTCTTTCTTTCCCTCTCTCTCTTTCTTTCCCTCTCTCTCTCTTTCTCTCTCTCTCTTTCTTTTTTAAAGAGTTTACTTGAGCTGAAGTGAAGACAGCTGCCCAGAAGGCTCAGATCCAACCATTCTTGAATATAAGCTCTATTTGGCCTTTGTTATAAGCAGGTTTTTTAAGGCAAAAAAGGGAGAATGTGATGATATAAAATTGTTTGTTAGAAATTCTCATCAGTTTACAGAAATAGCATTGATTAGTAATTGGCTTTACATTTTTAAGATATAGAGTGTGAGTTACAGTGTCTGATACTGCATTCTTAGGGTCATTTACAGTTACTTTTGGCACTAGCAAGCAGTTTCAAGAGATGAGTACACAGTATAAAAGCAAGGAAGTAGGGTGTCATAGCTGTCTCATTTTTTAATGTCTCTCTAGGCCTGATAACTTGAACTCTCATTCCTCAGATAAACGTTCTATTCTTTTCTCAGCACTTAATAAAGATTTGCTGAATGTATGACCAAATAAAGCCAAAGACAAACCAAGCCCTTACAAAATGGCAGCCCCAGGTTTCTTTCCCAAGATGGCTGCCAGCCTGCATGAACAGACAAGTAGTTGGCATAAGGGGCAAGGCCAATGGGAGGCATAGTATCTTTTTTCAGGCTCCATTTTGAAATTCAATACTTCTTTAATCACCAGCGTTCAATTAAGTTTAGCCTAAAGCTGCCTTATTACATAGCTTAAGTTCCACCTAAAGATTTCTCCATACATAATGAACTCTAACTTACCGGCATGTAAACAGACCTGACCTACTCTTGTGCCAATCTCTGAGTTTCAGCCAATCACAGGCAGCCAACTGTTTAATCCCTGTTCAAATAAGGTAAATGCCAAGCTGTAACCAACCCAGCTGTTTCTGTACCTCACTTCCATTTTCTGTACATCATTTTCCTTTTTATGTCCATAAATCTTGTCTATGTGGCAGCTCCAGAGAATCTCTGGACCTATTTTGATTCAGGGGCTGCTCAACTTATGAATCACTGTTCAATTAAACTCCATCGATTTAATTTGTCTAAAGTTGTTCTTTTAACACCAGAATAATGTATATCATAATCTCCCTCACTCTAATCATGTGGAGATTCAGATTTTTTCAGCTAATGAGGCTCCAACCCTGTCTTTGTTTAAAAAAAATGAAAAAACAAAACAAAACCATGTCCTAGTTTTACTGCTAACAGTATTTCTCTGACTTTTCTGGATTTCAGTTTTGTACAATTTCTATAATAAGAGGTTAACAGACATTATATGCTAGCCTCACATGAATATTACCTCCTGATACCTATAATAATATGAATAATATAGAGTTATGGGTAAGGAACAGACAACTTATTTTACATTCTTGTCTTTTCCTCTCCTTTTCCTTTTCAATCTTGCCAGCAAATCTTGCCATTTAAAATTTTATATTTAAAATGACGTATGCATTTTTCTCCATAGGGAATATTAGTGGTCTATAAACTAGTCAGTATTTCTTCCCTACAATAAAGCAAAAGCAGTAGAGGTCTTTTGCTGTATCCTATCAAACCAGTAATAATCCCTCTGCCAAAATCATCATCTGTTCTGAGTGTCTACTTTTTCATTTGTCTGATAGCTCCTCTTGGCATATAGTACTCTCTTTTGAACCTTCTGCCAAACAAGCACAAAATAGGACAGGAAATAAAAACTCTGAGGCCAAGGTCTCCATGGCCCACATCCCCATCTGTGAGAGCACAAGAGCTATTGCTCTCCTCACTAAAGATTGCCTGATCTATTTGTTGGTCTCCAACAATTTCCTGAGTGTATCTGAATGAATGCAAGTTATTTGGAATGAGTGGTTGCTTTTTAGTCTCAATACTGGCTTTATACTCTACCTCTCGTCTTTTCCTGTTCCATCTCCTATCATCCTTTTTTTAAAGGGAGCATGTGGAAGTGAAAGGACACGGCGGAGCCAGAACAAGAGTGACTGAGTTTTGTCTCCACTGCTTACTTGATAAGTGACCTTGGACAAGCTATTTGCCCTTTGTGAGTCTCTTTTCTTACCTTTACAATGGTGATATGACTACTGAAGCAAAATAGCACAAGTGAAGACAGCATCTTTGGAAACTAGAAGGTGAACAATAAATGACAGTTATCTTTGTGCCATAATGATTCTGAGTGTTCTCTTGTCAAGTGGAGTGTTCGTTACATTGTTCAACAAAATTGAACAATATAATGCATACCAAAAATGATTATTTCTATTACAGAGACCGTGTGGTTATAATATCTGCAAACACTCTCTTTGTATGCAGTATCTCATGGGTAAAATTAAACAAAATTGAATAAAATTTTGTTTTATAAATTTATAAATGTAATACAATGAAAGAACAAATCTGGAAAAAACATTTAATGCTTTATACATAATTTTCATTAATTGTGTCCTTAAAAAGAGAAGTATCATTAAAAAGAAAATAATTTTAAAATGCAGTTTAAAACGTCAATTTACTCATTGTTTAAAAAGATACTAATTCTCAATATTTTTTCTCCTTTGTTAGCAATTAAAAATAGACTACTGTAGAAGATATTTTAGACATATTGCTATTCAATTCTGCTAAGATAATTATTAGTATTATCCTTTGAGAAACAGAAATGGGTGTGTACAATTAGACTACAATGCTATTAGTTAATTGAGTTTTTCCCTTTCTCTGTAGAGTAATAAGGATCAGTAATATTCAACAACCATTTCTACCAAGTAATACATTTATCAATAACATGTTTGTTCATTTTTAAAAATTAGTATTTTGACACTTCTTGAGACATGTGCCATATGCTGGCTGGCAAGCACATATTAAAAGTGTTTCCATGGAACAAAGCTTTTTGAAAATGTGCTTCTATTCAATAAACCAGTTTTCACTATTTAACATTATTTGGTTACAGCTTGAAATACTCCCACATTTCACACACCATACAAATATTTGGGCTATTAGTATATAAGTAGCATATGCAATTCTGGATAAGAGAAAAAGCAGGTACACATTTGCCATAAGCAAGAGAATGTGGGTTTGCATACGTGTGTATGATTTGAGATAGAATAATGCAGAAAGCCAATCGATGGAAAGGAGAAAACATCTCAAACGAAGAAAGACACAGTGTCGAATTGGGGGTTCTATATAAACTTAGTTCCAGCTTTCTGGGTCAAAATTATCCATTCTGACACAGATTTTTCATGTCAACTTACAGTAACACACTCAGACCCCTTCAGCTTAAGCATTCAGTCCTCATAATAGCATATTGTGGTAAGTTACAAAGGCACTGCAACTCCAACATAAATAAATTTATAAATTAAGATGATAATTTGTCAGCATTATGGAATGGTAAAAACCTTAACAATAGAGCAGAGAAATTGGCCCACCATGTCATGGCTTCCGAGCTTTCTCTAAGATAAATATTTCAAAAATATGCAACAACATTTTTCAAGTATAAGAAAAATGTGGGGAAATATTCTGCTCCTCTATTTTTACTTCAGTTATGGGCACTCAGGGAAGCATTTAATGGCCTTTCCCTTGAAGTGCTTAGAAAAATTTTATTAAAAATGAAAAATCAATGGGAAATGAGTCACATCAAAAAAGTGGAAAAAATATATATATATATATGTATTTCCAAGTGGGAAAAATGTACAGAAGGTTGGTGTAAAAAACTCTTAGCAGCTTCCTTGTGAATGGGATAAGCGCTTTCATTCATGGAATGAATAGATGCAGTGATCTTTGAGAAAAATGACATCATATAACTGTGCCTATTAGAAGATCACTATAAATCTGATGGGATTCTTTCAGCTGTATTTGGAAGAGTCTCACTGAATAAAAACTGATAAGTTCTATCCATGACATATGCACCACAAGTTATAAAACAGTAAGAAAATCTCTCCATACCTAATACTCTCCTCAACTCAGTGAAGATTTTGTCTCAGCTGCTTATACACACTTTTAAGATCATTTTTCCATGCTCACATTTGCCTGTAAACTTCCTAGTGAGATAGTTTCATAGTAAAGCACCCCAATAATTCAACTTGATATTTTATTTTTATTATAAAAATAATACATATTAATTATGATTAATTTGGAAAGTAAAAATAGAAAGAATAAAACATAAAATATAAAATTACCCATACTCTTACATATAAATAAATTACTATTAACAATTAGTGGGTTTAAAACTTATATTCTTTTACCCCCTTAGATGGCAGCTATGATACATTGTAAAAAGCTGGCTTTGGACTGCAATTTTGGAATTTAATTTTGGTTTTAAATTTAAACTTCGATTTTCAAGACAAAAACTTCAGTTTTATTTAATTTTTCACTACAATATAATATTTTGATAGAATATGTTAAATTAATTAATCTAATCTACATGGATAAGCATGGATATATCAAAAACCTTTTGGTGGAAGTAGGAGAAAGCAAGTTAAAAATGTTTAATATGATGATATCTATGTAAAATTTCAAAGCAGTATATTAGTAAATATTACAGCATGTTACCTGTAGATGCATAAGTTTTTTTAAGGCAAATGCACAGGAGAAATAGCTTCTAGAGAGTGATTAACTCTAGAAACAGATAGGTAAGAACAGAGTGTTGGCACTACACTATATCAGAAATATTTTACTCCTTTGAAAAGTGATATATGTAGATGATGGAAATGTTCACTACCTTGATTGTGGTAATGGGTTTATAAAAGTACATGTATGTCAAAACTTAACAAATTATAGTCAGTTATGTGCAACAGAAGTCAACCATAACTTCATAAAGCTATTTAAAAGCAGAAGTAAAAAGTTATATAAAGAAAACATGGCAAAATATAATAGATCTAAATTGTGGTACATGGTTGCCTATAATGTCTTTCTCAATACTTCTTGGCATGTCTTAAATATGAATTCAGTGCAATCAAAATACCAATGTAATTATCAAAATACCAATGTAATTTTTCACAAAAGTAGGAAATAAATCCTAAAATTTGCATAGAACCACAAAAGACCTTGAATAATCAAAGCAATCCTAAGCAAATAGAACAAATCTGGAGGCATCACACTACATGACTTCAAAATATATTACAAGGCTATAGTAACCAAAACAGCATAGTATTGATATTAAATAGATGCATAGACCAATGGAACAAAACAGAGAACTGAAATCTAAATATTCATAGCCAATTAATCTTTGATAAAGCTACCAAGAGCATACATTGGGGAAAGGACATTCTATTCAATAAATGGTGCTGGTAAAACTGGATACCCCTATGCAGAAGAATGAAACTGGACTCCTATCTCTCACCATGTACGAAAGTCAACTTAAGATGAATTAAACACTTAAACATAAGACATTAGTCTAGGCAAAGATTTTATGGCTAAGATCTCAAAAGCAAGGCAACAAAAACATAAAATAGACAAATGGGACTCTATTAAAGTAAAAAGCTTCTGCACAGCAAAGGAAACAATAAGAGTGAAGAGACAGCCTCTTGAATGGGAGAAAATATTTGTACCCTATTAATCTAACAGGAGACCAATGACCAGAAAATACAAGGAACCCAAACAACTCAATGGCAAAAAATGTATAACCTCATTAAAAATGGGGAAAAGATATGAATAGACATTTTTAAGAGAAGACATAAAAATGGTTGACAGATATATTTTTAAAATGTTCAATACCACAAATCATCTGGGAAGTGCAAATCAAAACCACAATTAGATATCATCTCAACTTAGTTAGAATGACTATTATTAAATGACAAAAGTGAAAAAACAGGTAAGAGGATGTGGAGAAAATGGAACTCAAACATTCTTGGCTGGAATGCATATTATTGCAACAACTATGGAAAACAGTATGGAGATTTCTCAAAGAACTAAAAATAAAACCACCATATGACCCAGCAATCTCACTACCAGGCATTTATTCAAAAAAGAAAAACAAATCAATGTATCAAAGGGACACCTGAACTCTCATGTTTATCGCAGCACTATTCACAATAGCGAAGATGTGAAATCAACTTAAGTGTCCATCAAGGGATAAATGGATAAAGAAAATGAGTTATATATACACAAAGGAATACTATTTGGCCATAAAAAAGAATGAAATCATGTGACTTGCAGCAACACGGATGGAACTGGAGGTCATTATGTTACATGAAACCATCCAGGCCCAGAAAGACAAATACTGCATGTTCTCATTAATATGTGGGAGCTAAATAACTTGATCTCATGAAAACAGAGAATAGAATGATACATACCAGAGACAGGGAAGGGTGGGTGGGTGAGGAGGATGATGAAGGCAAGTTGGTTAATGGATACAAACATACAGTTTAATAGAAGAAATAAGTTCTAATGTTTGATAGCAGAATAGGGTGACTATACTTAGCAATAATATTTTGTATATTTCAAAGTAACTAGAAGAGGGGACTTGAAATGATGCCAACACATAAATGATGAATACTCCAGGTGATGGATGCCCCAAATACACTGACTTGATCATTATACATTCTATGCATGTAACAAAACTCACTCATATACCCATAAATACTCATATACCCCATACTCAAAATATTATGTATCAGTAAAATAAAAACATACTTTATAAATAAATAGAAATAATACTATTTTGTTTGAAGCAGAAGTAAATATAAAATGATACAAGTTTCTTCATTTTTTTAATCTAAAAGAACCACTCGTTTACCAAATGTTGAATTTCTGCCTGGTGGGTAATGGCAGACAAGAGTTAAGTTTCTCGAATGAACACTGAAGAACACCTTCAGAGGAGCCCTAAGAAATGTGGTATTTGGGCTTCTCTGTCGATGTCAGAAAATTCGGTGCCCTTTGACTTTACAAAGGAGAGTCTTTGCCCCTGTTAATCAATGGACCAAATAGGGCTTTATCTACATTAATTATTTCATCTACATTTAATATTTAACCTGGACATTTCTCTTCACATTCAAGAATAACGTGTCAGATAGCACAGCCTTAATCTAGACTCAGGGCTTGATGCCTTTGTCTGGCTGTCTTGCCGACTTCCACCCCAGGTTCCCTGCCTCAGTGTCTTTGCCCCACCTGATCTTTGCAATGTATCACCACCAGAACAATCTCCCTACAAGTTCCTACTTCCCATCTGAAATGGGACATTATGAGTACCTATCACTAAGGTTATTACTTAATTAAATAATTTCCATTTATGGGAAGCACTTAGAGCAATATCCAGGATATAATATGCACATAGCAAATGTTATTTGTTGTATTTATTATCATGTACATATATTAAAGTATTGTAGTTTTGCTAAGAATAAGTATCACACTTATCACATTCCATTTCCTCACCTCTGAAGAAACAATCAGTAGTTGCTCATTGCCTTCAAGGTCCAGTCCAACCTTATCATTCCTCCATCCACTGCTTTAATGATTTTTGCCACTTTTCTTAGCAAAAATTGTGTTAGCCAAGTCTATTCTACTTTCATTCTAAAAAGTAATGCAGTTTCTTTTTCCCATCTAACCTTTCTCAAACCTCATTCATAAACATACCCAGGCTTCCACAAGCCTTAGAAACATTTTATTCCCTTCTTCTAAAATCTACTTGATTCTAGTATCTGAACTACTCCTGTTGACATTAGGAACACACACGAAAGAGAAAAACAAAGTAAGCCTTCATATCTTGTTTCCCCAATTATACTGTAAACTCCTTCAAAGCCTCTTTCTGCATTTTGTTTCCATGTTTGCAGCAGAACTCAACACGTAGTAGGGAATCGGAATCAGCAAATGATTCCTAAAAAACCTGGTGGAGTGACAGTTCAAAG
The DNA here is from genome assembly GCF_000001405.40 of Homo sapiens. Lineage (NCBI taxonomy): Eukaryota > Metazoa > Chordata > Mammalia > Primates > Hominidae > Homo > Homo sapiens. The sequence goes on along the minus strand of NC_000002.12, from coordinate 223,276,268 downwards.
AGGGTGGATAATTCCATTCCAAACAAGATTTAACTTACATTTGGAATCACCGGTTAGCTCATTACTCTCAATTCGTTTTACTTCTTTATTTCAAGGCCAAGGTTCAAGTTAGCCACCCAAACTGGTGCCTGAGTGAAGCCAGGTTGCTTATAACTCCCAAGAGAAAATGTGATCTCAGGCTCTTACAAATATGGTTGACTTCTGCCTGAAAATGAAAAGCACACACAGACACTACGGGAGACCCAGACCTGGCCAAAGTAGCAAACAGCTTTTTGTGTCAAATCCCTTTCTCCATCTTCATTCATGTCCCACTACCTTTAGATTACGCCCAAGTGTGTCAGGGACACTGGATCCTCCCCAGTGCCTGTTTATCAGGTTTGCCATTTGTGTCCTAGGGAATGAATATAAATGTGCATTATTATTATACTGCACCAATTTTATCAATGAGAAAATTGATAAATTAGACAGGTTATGTGAGTTGTCCAAGGATTTGTTATTAGTACATACCAGCACCAGCTTTCAAAGCCAGTATTGTTTAACTTCATAGCCCTCTAAGCAAGACTATCTCTTCTTGCATCTTGCTGCTTTGAGGGTGGACTGCTTTTCCTAGGAATAGTGGGTCTTGTAGGTTGCAAGCTGGAGGGGTAGAATTGTACAAGAAGGTGTTTGAGTTCAGTGCTCCCCTCAGCAAGTTATTCCAGACCAGAACCCTCTCTACAGGCAGAGAGACACATAGATACCCGAAAGAGTAAAAAGATAACCAAGCCAAATTATATTTTCTACACAACAATTCTAAATTCAGTCTTAGAAATTATCTTGTTTCAAAGTTGTTCTCTAAAGTTTGTATATTCTTGTGAGTAGAAATTATTTTTTTCCAAAGGTATTTTCCAAATTCAGTGGGTTTAGACGTTTCCATAGTAGAAACCCTGAGTTTCTAACAGTTAACAGGAGAGGAGGGTGAAGTCATTATTTCCTCTCATACCTCATACACAGTGCATGAGGTGAGCTGCTGGGATTAGACTTGCAAGGCCAACTCTGGAGAGGCTATTGATTCTCTGTTGCCTTAGGTAAGCTAAGTGCCATTAAGCAGCTCTGCCTACCTTCCCAAGGGTCTCTTTTGCCAAATCCTCTTGGGCTTCCAGTAGAGGGGCTCCACGGTATTGAGAGGAACATGTTTTTTGTTTGTTTTTGTTTTTTAAAAATCTCAGTTATACTTAAAAAATTAATCATGGGAGGCTGAGGCAGGCGGATCACCTGAGGTCAGGAGTTCGAGACCAGCCTGGCCAACATGGCAAAACTCCGTCTCTACTAAAAATACCAAAATTAGCTGGGTGTAGTGGCATGTGCCTGTAATCCCAGCTACCTGGGAGGCAGAGGCTGCAGTGAGCCGAGATCGCACCACTGCACTCCAGCCTGGGCGACAGAGCAAGACTCTGTCTCAAAAAAAATAAATAAATAAATAAATAAATAAATAAATAAATAAATCTAAACAAATATAACTAAATGTTTAATAGTGACACTGAGGCTGTTTGAGAAGGCAATATTACTGGTCAAGATCAATGGTTCTCAAACCCATAATAAAAGGCATAAAAAATAAAACAAAAATACTCAATAGAATCAGCCGGGAGCTTTATAAAGCTGTTAGTGCCTGGGACCTATCCCCACCTATCTGAATAGTATAAGAAAAATTAAAACCTGAGCTTACAATAACTTTACTACCGATCTTGCCAGTTAAAAATCAGTTTATAAGACCCTTAGCTTTTACTTAAATAAGGTAGCATTGGCCACACCCAGAATTTTAAAATCTGCAATTGTAAAGTCTGCAGAGTGTTCCAGCACTTCTGGCCATTTTGTCAGTGGAAGCACTTCCCACTGGCTTTTCTGACAACCATCTTCTTAGCTCCTGAGGTTTTATCTATTAATGGTGTGAAACTCAGAATATAAATGGGCATGCTAGGAAGACAAATGAATAGCTTCTCCATAAGCTCTAGGAGTGAAGGAGTTTTTGCACTAAGCAAACTGAAAGAACAATTTATACCTATGCACTCTGGCTATGTCACAAGTCTGGAACAATAAGATAATCTGCCAGATATTATGAAACTAATAACCACTGAATGTCTACCTTGTGCCAAAAGCAATGGCATATATCCAAGATATCACATAATCTTCAGAAAATCTATGTGAGGTATGTATTCTTAATTCCCACTTTATGAATAAAAAACTATGAATTGAGAATAACAGAATTTGATCACTCTGTCAAAGTCCCAAAGTTATAAATTGATAGTGTCAGAAAGCAAAGTAGGGCTGCCTGATTTAACTGTCCTTTCTCTGTAACATTTCCCTCTCTCTGTAACAAGAAATGATTTTTCCCCACCTTGCTTAATTATACTCTTGGAAACCTAGGCTTACACCAGGATTGATTTTACACTTAGCATGTTTCATGCACCACCCAGGCCAGAAAGCAGTTAACAGTGGTGGTACCATGGATGTGTGAAGCTCAGATGTTCTTTAAGAGACCCTGCTGTGGGAGGGGGCATTGCTGACTGAGCCCCAGCTGCTGCCCTGTGGGGTCCACTGCCAGCTTAGCATCGAGGCCAGGCTCCCGGCAAGTTGCTCTCAGCCAGTGACTGAGCATAAGGGGATATTAGCATTAGCCAGCTTGTTCCTGACTGATGTGGGGTTCTTCTAAGGGGCAATATTTGCTCAAATACTGTACACCAGCATGGCCAAAACTTCCTTTGACCTGTGCTAAAGTCTGGACCTCTTTCTACCCAATCCTTTCTTCCTTCTCCCCTTTCCTAGGACTTTACCATGGTCTGCCTATTCCCGCTCCTTCACCCATTATTCCATACAGACATTTTTCCATGAAATCTTTTTGTGTCAAATCCCATCATGGAGGCTACTCCTCAGAGGACCCGAACCAAAACAACACCCTGCTCCCCCTCTTCCAAGCTCTCTCTCTCTCTCCTCTGCCCTCCCTCTCCTCCAACATTGAGCCCTAGGCCTTTCAGTTCAAACTCATGAACTGTGTTCTCCTCTCTATTTCCAGCTGCTCTAGTTCAGGCCTAGAACTATTATAAGCAGCTCCTGCCTATCCTCCTGCTTCTAGTGGTGCTCCTCCAGCTTGCCTAGTTACCTTTTTTCCAGTGAAAAGTGGTTCTTTTTGCACTAATACTTACACTCCTTTGATGGCTCCTAATCTTCTGCAGAATAAGACTCATGTCTTTGCTTGACATCTGAGTTCTTCCTTCACCTAGCCCTGCCTCCCTTGCCACCAGTCTCTTTTCACCAAAATGCCAATCAGACTGAATTCCTGTACCTTTTCTGTCACTTTGTGCCTTTGAACATAGACTACAGGTTTCCCTCTGCCTAAAAGCCCACCTCGCTCCAAATGCCATAGAAATTCGCATGGTTTTAAATGGGGGATAGTAGGTGTCTTTTGCTATACTCTGTTTACTTTGAGATTGTTTTCTAAAGTTTGTATGATACGGCTGAGAGATTTTTCTGATTCATACTAATGGACCCAAGGATCTTTTGAAGAGTCTATCCCATGGAAACAATTCAAGATGAGCAAGAAAATTTATATATGAGGACCACTTATCACAGTGTTAATTACAACAACCATGATGCAAAACAACCTAAAAGTTCAACAAAAGAGGACTGGTTCAATAAATGACAGCCCACTCACAAAATGGACATACATGTAGAGTCACTAAATGTGAAATTGAAATAATAATGTCTTGGAAAACTGCTTACATTGTTTTGAGTGAACATAGCAATTTCAAACACTCTATGTCATATGGTTTGGCTGTGTATCCACCCAAATCTCACTTTGAATTGTAATCCAAATTGTAATTCCCAGGTGTCGAGAAAGGGACCTGGTGGGAGGTGATTGGATCATGGTGGCAGTTTTTCCCATGCTGTTCTCATCATAGCAAGTGAGTTCTCATGAGATCTGATGGTTTTATAAGTGTTTGACAGTTCCTCCTTCACACATTCTTTTGTCTCCTGCTGCCATATAAGATTTTTCTTACATGCCTTGTTTCCCCTTCTCCTTCCACCATGATTGTAAGTTTCCTGAGGCCTTCCCAGCCATGAGGAACTGTGAGTCAATTACACCTCTTTTGTTTATAAATTACCCAGTCTCAGGCAGTATCTTTATAGCAGTGTGAGGATGGACTAATACACTATGTCTTAGGTGGTTCAATTTTAACATACACAGGCACCCAAATCTATGGATAGTATATCTAACAACTGACAGGATTGACATCCTCTGAGAAAAAGAGAAAGTATGTGTGTCTCTGGCTTCCTTTTTTATGTTTTTCTGAATTTTCCAATTTTTCTTCCATAAATCTGTTCTAGTTTATATAGAAAAAAATGCTAAGCTAAATGTTATTGCCAAAACTTCTTGAAGAAACTTACCACCAGTGATCACAATAACACGTTAACAGCTTCCTCTAATAAATTAACAGCATTCTCTAATAAATCTTTTAGCAAAATTTATTTTTTGATAGAGGAGCATTTTCTCATCAAATAGAAAAAGCAAAAATATATCCAAAAGCATTCTCAGGCTAAAAATTGTATTATGATAATACTTAAAAAGTTGGGGATGTGGAGTAGAAAAAATATTTTTAGGTTTTACAATACTACTAAAATTCAAAAAATACATACAGACTAAAGAATAAAGGTTCAATAATACTTGAAGAGTAACATAAATATTGTTTCATGAATTAAAAACAAGTTTTTGAGCTTAAGCTTATATAACAGTGCTTGACATTGGATAATACATTATAATTAACTATATACAAGGCATCATATTCAACAAATGCATATTTATTGAGAATGAAATTAGTATTCTTTTATATGATAGTCTTTCTCCTTTCAAGGGAAAATAACAAAAACATATTTCTAACTGGTAATAAGAGTTACTTGAAAAGAACTTTCATTTTTCATTTTTGCTGTGAATTATTTTTCCTTACTCTGAGAAAACCAAACCAACTATTTGATTTTACTTTCCTATTTCACATGATTGACAAAAGCATGGTTTTTCCATTTTCAAAGTAATAAAATAGGATCAATAAAGCAAATCTCCTTACAGCACAGTAATCTCTCTAAGACTCTGAGCAGCTTTTTACATGTCTTGATCCAATGTAATCCCAAAGACCATCCAAGGCGTATTTTGCAGATTCTCCAAAAGAAATGTATGGTTAAAAAGAAGTGGAAATTATCTACACCAGTGGTTCCTAATCTTTGTAGGGCTTCATCACTGAGCCATTTGATTTCTTGGCACCATTCTCTGACCCGCATTCCTGCTCTCACTCATTTCTACAAAATGATATAGGAATTCAATTTCTTGAATATATTTGATTTTCAGGTTCCTCTTGTAATAAAGCCAGGATTAGCTAGTACCCTCTGAATGTATCTCAAAATCAACTCAGGGAAGCACACTGCAATCACGTGCAGAAGGGCGTGGCTCTTTTCTACACAGCTGAGAAGAGCTGACTGGAAGAGCCGCTCTGAAATAAATCTAAGCCAAGTCAGAATTTAGTATCATATGAGAAGAGAGGCAAAGTACATGTTATTATATCACAGCGGGGCCTCTCTCAGAAACTTTCCAACCCATGGACGTTTATCACTGATTTGACAATGATGATTAAATCAATAAAATAAACTAACAAGCAAATAAAACAGTTAAATGCATGGCATTTAAAAACTGTAAGGCTTTCATGATATTATATGAAAAGAATAAACTATAATTTCCAAGGTATTATTAGTGGAGTACTTAATTTTATATTAATCTTTTTAGTAAAATGAAGACAGAAAACACGTGTAGATATATTTACAATGTACATATACAAATGTGTGTGCATGTATATATATACACACACACTGTGTGTGTGTATAAATCCACACATAAATATGATTTTACTAAGCTCGATCAAATTTTCAAAGAGTAAACTTCAGATGTCCAAATTTCTCAATATTATCCTTCTTTAATATGTCAGACTGGTTTCACTTATCTATTGCTACATAGCAGGGAGTCCCAAAATTTAGCAGTTCAAAATTATAGCCATTTTATTTGAAAATAATTGTATTGGTCTGGTATTTAGGAATGATTCTGCAAGAATAGCTTGCTTATGCTCCACAATATCTGGGGCCTCCAGTGGGATGGCTCGAGGGGCTAAGAGTTAGTTTCTTGGGGTATTGGCTGGGGTGGCTCAATTGGTGCTAGAGGATCCAAAATGGCCTCACTAATAGCTTGGTGTCTTGGTGTTGACTGTGTTGTAGGGTAACTCAGTACTCGCCAATATATCCTCTTTCTCCTGTTTATGGACTTTCATCATTCAGTAATCTAGTCTAAACTTCTATATATAGTGAGTTGCTTCTAAAAGGACAAAAATACAAGCTTGAAAAGTTTCCTAAGGCTTAGGTCTGGAGCTGGTAAAACATCACTTCCATCTTATTCTATCGGGGAAAGAAATCAAAAGACCAGCAAAATTTGAGGGACAGAAGGCATTGTTGGTGGTCATCTTTGGAAACAACCTACCCCAAGACCTTACTAGCATGACATTTTTCTGCCAAGGAGCTAAAGTGTATCTGTCATATCAGGGTTGATATTCTAAGGAAAATACAAAATAAATCAAGAAATTTTCTGGTAACATAAAACCTCAAGGAATTTGGGGAATGCTGTTTTCTATTAGGTTAACATTTCTTGCTAAGTGAAAGTTAACTGAGTTTATTTCAGTTCATTGTTGTTTGGACTATGCATCATTAGCTTACCAAGCCTCTTTCATTCAGTCATTCATATATTTATTCAACAAAAGTTTATTGAGCATATTCTGCGTGCTAGGCACTGTTATGAGTGCTGGAAATGCAGCAGCAAACAAAACCGATAAATTCCCCATCCTCAAGAAGTTTACCTTCTAGTTGAGAAGTCAAATAGTAAATCAGTAACTAAATATATATGTGTGCATAATATATACATTATATATCATATAATTATAACATATAACAAATATATTATAGTCTGTTAATATACAATTAATACCATATATTATTATATGATATATATACAACACACCAATATATACATTTAATTACTAGGTCATACATTTAACTTAATAATGTCATAACTTATTGCAACTTGATGTATCTTAGGTCATACATCTAATTTAATTAAATTGTTATTAAATTAAATTGTTAAGTGAAAGTTAACTGAGTTTATTTCCATTCATAAACTGAGCTGGTATTGTTGGGAGAGTATTGCAGCGATGCAGGTGGGACATGGATGTGGCTGGGTCTAAGGAGTTTCTATTATAGGTGATAAGATGCATTTAAAGGTAGAACCAATGATGTTGGCTAATGGATTGGATGAGAAGGGCATGAAAAAGGGAGGAGGCAATTTAATTAAATTAGATGTATGACTTACGATACATCAAGTTGCAATAAGTACTATGAAGAAAGATAAAAAAAAAATGAGGGGATAGAGACAGACTAGCAGTGCATTTTTAGAAAGGATGATCAAGGAAGGTCTCTCTTGACAAGGTGGAGGTTTTGCAGAAGTCATAAAGGAAGTGAGAGAATGATCTCTGTGTATATGTTAGGGGATTGGGATATTTTGGGTAGATGAGATAGCAGGTGCAAAGTTTCAAAGGTGGGAGCCTGCAAGGAAACCAGAGTTGCTGGAGTGCATGATGAGGAGAAGCATGGGGTCAGAGGGGTAGCAGGGAGCCACATCACACAGGCTTTGCAGGATAGGGCAAGACTTGGAATTTTACTCTGAGCGAAATAGGGAGCCACTGCAGGTCTTGAGCAGAAGCATGACGTGATATGGATTACATTTTAAAGGATCACACTGGCTGCTGTGTGAACTATAGTGAGGCAAGGGTGGAAGTGGGGGACATGTTGGGAGGGTATTGCAGTCATGCAGGTGAGACAAGGATGTGGCTGCATCTAAGGATTTTCTATTACAGGTGATAAGATACATTTAAAGGTAGAACCAATGATGTTGGCTAATGGATTGGATGAGAATTCCATGAAAAAGGGAGGAGGCAGGGATGCCTCCAAAGTTTTTAGCCTGAGAACAGAGTAGGTGGTGGGACAATTGACTGAGATCGATGCCCTCTTTAACTTCACCTTTAATGAAAAATGTCCCTCTGAAATGCACTACTCTCCATTACTTCTCTATTATGCATGAGTAAAGAAAAAATGTCTATCTTAGCTGTTTATTTGAAGATCTTATATGTGGCTTTGGGTCATTATTTTAAATATATATCTCCAATGTATATAGAATGTGATGCCTTGTTATGAACTCTACTTTCTGTGCTGGCAATAGAGCAGACATCAAAAGTGGTTTTAAAAATTTTTTTAAATAAAATGGTATACTGATGTCAACCTGTTTTGTGGTCATTTTTTTCTTTGAAATGGAGAACAGAGAAAAAAATGTATGTGTTGTTCTGTTGAGTTATGCTTTCTGTTATTTTTTATGATACTTAGCTCATCACTGACTAATTCATCAATGAATAAAATAAATCTTTAAATATGACAAGGATAAAACAAAGAGGACTTTAGCAGTCACTAGAAAAAAATGCTCTTCTGAAAATTAACATTGCTGCTTTAGAGTCAACTATTTCAGCCCCCTCATTTTTTTTGTTTTGTGGGATTTGCATTTCTTCACCAAGAACTATAGGTGGCAAGATAATATTAAAATACGAGACAAAAAAATAGCAGGAGAAAGGACCCTTCAAAAAGCTACTAAAAGCACCTGATCACCTTGTTCTTATTTCATAAGGCTGCCACATATTTATTACCTGCCATCCTCGAGGAAAAATCAGTGAGGGAGGAAAATCGACTAGGCTCTCATTGAGGTAATAACAAATTATCCCTTTCTGTCAATATTCCTTGGCTGCTGGGAAATACCCTGGTGAACCTTGGCTAGGGTCTCAACATTATAATTTTCTCAGTGGGAACATCATTGCTTGCTTTTCTCTGCAGTGGCCTCTTCTCCTGCGGAGATGCTGGCTACTTTTCGGGTCTCCTTGTGAGCCCTGTACTCTCATTGTAGAAAGTTCTCCTATTATAATTTTTCCCACCTGCCTCTGATATTCGGACTGAGGCTGACTCACTAGGGAACCTGATAAAATATTGAAACGACTCAGTCAAACTGCCCAACATCCCTTGCTGACCCCAAAGGCCTTGCTCCCATCTTCAAAACAAAGTCCACTCTCCTGTCTCATCCCTCAGTGAAAGACTCACCCAGGACATAGGGATAACTATTAAATTTGACAAACTTAACAGAAACATATTTTCTGTGAGGCCAAACATGTATAGTTGTATTGGTAGCACTGATCCAAGCAAAATGGAGACACAGCTCCTCCACTTAAGAAGCCAGGGAGGCCGGGCAAGGTGGTTCATGTCTGTAATCCTAGCACTTTGGGAGGCCGAGGCAGGCAGATCACTTGAGGTCAGGAGTTTGAAACCAGCCTAGCCAACATGGTGAAACCCCATCTCTACTAAAAATACAAACAATTAGCCAGGCGTGGTGGCACGTGTCTGTAATCTCAGCTACTCAGGAGGCTGAGGCGAGAGAACAGCTTGAACCCAGGAGGCCAAGGTTGCAGTGAGTTGAGATCACGCCACTGCACTCCAGCCTGGGCGACAGAGGAAGACTATGTCTAAAAAAAAAAAAAAAAAAAAAAAAAATCCAGGAAGAACTTAAATTCAGATTTCTAAACATGCTTAGTTTATCCTGAAAACTACCAATGCACAAAACCCAGATTGGTACAATTTCTGTTTTACTGAAACAACTTTGTGATTCATATTTGAGAATATTTATAAAATTATTTATACAGAACCTACTGTGTACAGAGGGCTGTGCTAAGCATTATGTAGATAGATGCATGCAGTCTGGGTTGAGAGTGTATTGGTTTTCTGTGGCTACTATAACAAATTACCACAAAATTAGTGGCTTAAAACAACCCAAAATTATTATCTTATAGTTATGGAAATCAGAAGACTGTCACAAGTCTCACTAAGCTAAAACCAGGATGCCAGCAGGATTGCGTTCCTTTCTGGGAGCTCAAGAAGATAATCTGTTTCCCTGACTTTTTCAACTTCTAGAGGCTGCCCTTACTCCTTGGCTCTTGACTCTCTTTATCCATCTTCAAAGGCAGCAATATTGTGTCTCCCTCTGAATTGTCTTCCTTAGTCTCAACTCCCTCTGACTTCAGTCAGAAAAGGTTTTCTGCTTTTTTTTTTTTTTTTTTTTTTTTTTTTTGAGACAAAGTCTCGCTGTTGTCCCCCAGGGTGGAATGCAAAGGCATGATCTCGGCTCACTGCAACCTCTGCCTCCTGAGTTCAAGCGATTCCCCTGCCTCAGCCTCCTGAGTAGCTAGGATTACAGGCACCTGCCACCATGCCTGGCTAATTTTTGTATTTTTAGTAGAGATGGGGTTTTACCACGTTGGCCAGGCTGGTCTCAAACTCCTGACTTCAGGTGATCCACATGCCTTGGCCTCCCAAAGTGCTGGGATTACAGGTGTGAGCCACTGTGCCCAGCCAGTTTTCTGCTTTTAAGAACTCTTATGATTAGGTTGAATGCACCTGAATAAACCAAGATAATCTTCCTCTTTCAAGATCCTTAACCTTAATCATATCTACAAACTCCTTTTTGCCATAAAAGGTAACATATTTACAGGTTCCCATAATTAGGATATAGAAACTATTAGTGGGCCATTATTCTGCCTTCCACAGACATACCTGAAAGAGTGAGGCCAGAGGCTATCTTTTATATCAAATAGTGTTGAATCCTTAAGTTTTAAAAATTATATATATAATGGGTGCAGCACACCAACATGGCACATGTATACATATGTAACAAACCTGCACATTGTGCACATGTACCCTAGAACTTAAAGTATAATAATAAAAAACAAAAGAAATTATTAATATTTCAATGTGGATAAAAGAAAATATGCATAAAGTTTTTCTTACCCCCATTTGTTTAACTCCAGCATTCATAGTTTGTGATTTAATATTTAGGATTAAAAAAATGGAATGAGTTTGTTTTATTCAAATCCATTTCAATACATCCAAGCAACTATTTTACTCAAGCATCTCATTTCCCCATGAACCCATCTGTTATGGATTGAATTGTGTCACCCTCACCAAAATTATTACGTTGAAGCCCTAATCCCCAGAACCTCTGAATGTGACCTTACATGAAATACAGTCATTGCTGATGTAATCAGTTAAACTGAAATGAGGTTATCATACTGGAGTAGGAAGATGATCCAGTCTGACTGGATATGACATGTGGACATGAAGGCAGAGATCAGGGTGACACTTGTACAAGCAGAGAAATGCCAAAAACTGCCAGCAAACCACCAGAAGTCAGGAGGAGGCATGAAACATATTCTCCTTCACAGCCCTCAGAAGGAACCAACCCTACTGATACCTTGATTTCAGACTTGTGGCATCCAGAACTGAGAGGCAATACATTTCCGGTGTTTAAGCCACCCAGTTGGTAGAATGCTGCCATGGCAACCCTAAGCAACTCATATACCATTCAGCTCAGGGAAACTACTCAGGAGGCCTGAACCCAGCCAGTTGTGTTGGGTTGTGCTAAGATTGATAAACTCAATCCCCATAAAAGAATGTGATCAAATGGGTCCAATGTATGCTATCTTTTGTGTGTATGGGTATGCATGTGTGTCTGTGTGTGTACACAAACAAATATTTTCAATATTTCAAATATTGAATTTTAAAATATTGGACCTTATACTTGACTGGGAACTAAACAGTAGGTGTAACAGACCCAGGGACTTGCTAAAGTCAATAAACACAAAATTTAGAACTCTCTTTCTGTTGGTCCTACAACTTCAATAATCAAATAAAACTCAACCTGTAAGTTTATATGGACTGTGGATTGGCCTTTTACACTATCTGAAATGTAATCAAGTTAGTGTTTCATATATAAGATCTTTTACTAGCATGGGCCTTTATCTTAACATTTTTATTTTCTACACATATGTTTATTAGGGCATGTATCTAATTCATATCTGTATGTCCAAGGATCATTCGTGAGAGTATCAGTTAATATTTCTATCAAAGACAATGTGATGTTAAACTTTTTTCTCCTTACCAATGGCATGAGACAAGAATTAATCCCACTTTCTTGTCAAGAAAATCAATTTGTCATTCAAGAAAATTAGAGATAATATGTTTCACAGACATTTTGTTAAAAAGTTATATGTAATTGTTTCATAAGGTCTTATATGGAAAAATGGAAATGGACAGAAGGTTAATAAGCTGAGGACATAGCTAAGCCATGCTGAAATTCCTGACGCACAGAAACCATGAAATAATAAATTTTTAAAAAACCCACTGTCTGTGGTGACCTGTTACACAGCAATAAATAATTAATATAGGCAGTAACCCTTTGAGCAGAGTGTCTGTGTGGTTTTTTTCTCACCTTTTATCTGTAGTGTGTAGCACAGCACCTGAGACACATAAATACTGATGGACAAAGATGGCAGTGTGGGGCATATTATATGCTGGGATCAGGGAAACTTACAATTGAGCTAAGGAGGTCTCATTAAAATGTGTAAGCAATCTGGAAAAAATTCAATGTGGTTTGTGGCCTTAGGTGTTTGGAGATGAAGCATGAGCCTCACCTGGAAGGTGTGGGGAAAAATGCAGGTAGATGAAAGGGAGATGGGGACCTTTGGGAGCTGTGGGGTGAGCAGCAATAAAGACGCCATGCCCAAGACAAATAAGGAGCCTGGCGATGGACATGGTTGGGTTGAGACTTAGTGAGAAACAGACACCTTGAAGAATGCAAAGGTGGTGGCTGTGAGGGCCTGGTGGAGGTGGACATGTCCATCATTTGAGGACAAGAGACCCAGGTGGTCAAGACTGCGGGCGGGGCCCATGGACATCTACCTGCAGCCCTGGTGGACAAGGTAGTAAAACAGGCTTCTTCAGAGACCAGGGCAGACAGCACAGAGGGATGCCTTCCTGAGTCATCCTTTTAGAATGTGAATTAGTGCATGTCACGCTCCCCTTTCTGAACCCTGCACTGGCTCTGCGTTTCATTAGAGTAAATACCAGGAATAAATCACCTGTGAGAACATGTCGTGTCTGCCGCTTTGCTCCTTTCTTTGACTTCATCACTCACCACCTTCTCTTTCACTTCCTCTGTTCCCGGCAGGCACGTCTCCTTTTTGTTCTCAAAAATACCAGACACAGGACATCTTAGGGCCTCCACAGCATCAGAACCACTCTTGCCCCAGGAAACCACATGCCTGTCTGTCCAACTGCTATAAACTATTTGCTCTATTCTTTCTTCTCAGAGAGACTTATCTGAAGCGCCCTATTTAATATTTCAAACTGTCTAATGTTACTAATTCTCTATCACTCTTACCCTTTCTATTTGCTGAAGTTGTTGAGTATATCTATTATCTAGACATTTCACTAGAAAGTAAGCTGCTTGGCTGAGCGCGGTGGCTCATGTCTGTAATCCCAGCATTTTGTGAGGCCGAGGAGGGTGAGGAGTTCGAGACCAGCCTGGCCAACATCGTGAAGCCCTGTCTCTACTAAAAATACAAAAATTAGCCAGGCGTGGTGTCACATGCCTATAATCCCAGCTACCTGGGAGGCTTAGGCAGGAGAATTGCTGGAACCCGGGAGACGGAGGTTACAGTGAAGTAAGATCATGCCACTGCACTCCAGCCTGGACAACAGAGCAAGACACTGTCTCAAAAAAAAAAAGTAAATAAATACATGAAAATACGCTGCTTTTGCTTAGGCAAGATTTTTTGGGTTTTGTCTTTGTTTTTTGCTTTATTCTCAAATATATTCAAGATACCTAAAACTAAGCCAACATAGAGTAGGTGCTCAGTAAACATTTTGAATTGAATTGAATCGAATCAAATTGAATTGAATTGAATTGAATTGAATTGAATTGAATTGAATTGAATTGAATTGAATTGAATTGAATTGAATCACTAAAGGGAGAGTTCAAGAAAGGGCACAGCATACCCCAGTGTTTAAGAGAATGGAACCATGGAGAAGGCTCTAGGCCACTCGAATGCAAAGTTAATTTGTCCTCACTGACCCCTGCAGGACGTGGTTCCTGGTGAAAAGAGGTAGGAGGTTGTAACACTAGATTGTGGGAGAGAGAATTTGAAAATTGCTAAGCTGTATCCAGAGCAGGCAGGTCTCATAGTGAAAATAATAGTTCTCACTATTAATAATAGTGCTGAGGCTGTCCCATCTGCTACTAAGAATGCTGGACAGGCAGGAAGGGAGATCTCAGCAGGTAGATGAATGGTTTTTCCTGGGCACTTCTTTCAGCAGCAATCTAGGCTCCTGAAATCCCCACAGTCCACCCAGAAGAGGGCCCCCAAACCATAGTATTAGGATTATTCCATTCTTTTCATTTTTACCTCCTCACCTCTCTTTAAGACCCCTCGTCATGAGGTTAGAATAGCAAATGAAAGAATAGGCATAACTGAGCTCTGTGTAGGCATCATGAGGTCTGGAAAGAGGAGAATACCCTTATTATTCCACCTTTTATTCCTGACTAACATTCCAGTCTGACTTGAAGATATATTTATATCAAATGCTTGGTGCTTTTTAAATATTTCACTTTTTGTCTCATACATAGTTCCCCTTCTCTCACAAGGCTGCAATGAAGGTGTCAGTCAGCATGAGGTCTCATCTGAAAACTTGCCTGGGGAAGGACCTGCTTCCAAGTTCATCGAAGCAGTTGTTGGAAAGATTCAGTTCCTTGTAGGTTTTTGGACTGTGGGCCTTCGTTCTTTGCAGGCAGTCAGCAGGAGGCTCTCTTCAGTTCCTTTTTGGATAAGCCTATCCATAGGGTAGCTGACAATATAACAACTTGTACATCAAAGCCAGCATGGCAGAGAGTTTGCTAACAAGACAGAAGTTACAATCATACATAACATAATCATAACAATGACAGATCATCATCTTTGCCATATTGTATTGCTTAGAAGCATCTCATAGAAGCAGCCCCTCAAGGAAACAGAACTACACAAGAGCATGAATACCAGGAAGCAGGGGTCTTTGGGTCCATCTTAAAGTCTATCTGCCATACAGCCTAGACTGATGTAGAGACTGACACTACTGACAAGGCATTGAAAAAAAGTGAAACTGCAATGTAACAAAACCCAAGAAGAAAAGTCCATGGTGCTATGATATTTTCTCATAGGGGGATGTGAACTGAATAAATTAGGAGAGAAGTTTCTTTCTGAGAAAGAAACAATCGAACAAGGAACTGAAGTTGAAGTAGGAGTTAAGTAGTTATTTTTTAAATTGTACTTTCCCTTCCTTCCTTTCCTCTCTGCCTCTGAGTCACTCATTTAAATCATAGAGTTATTCAGGGAACAAAAGATACGGGGAACATTGTATTTTACATCAGATGAGCTCATCTGAGGAATGTGCAGGGCATGTATTATCTCCTTAACAGTAATAAACAATACCTTCAAAAAAAAGGGAACTAAACAGCTATCATCTCCAACATTCTAATTTATGAAAACATCACCTTGATGCTAACAAAGCACAAAAAGAACTTTAAATGTAACATATTGATTCAAAAATCCTTGAAAGCAAGAAAAAAAATCCTTTATGACATTGTCTACAGTGGCAGAAAAATAAATTAACTAAATACTGGCATGAGGGCCCTACCCAAATTGAACAGTCCTAGTCATTTAACCCAAGTACTTTTGCCTTTTTCTTCCTTTTTTCTCCTTATACACTCACCCCAAAGAAGTCAATAAAAAACATCTCATTTAATTCATATCCCACTGAAATGAGGAATTCAGCATATATGAACTGACATAAAACCATATAAAAGATACAAAAAATAAAATATTACCTAATAAATAGAACACAGAAACATAATTCAACTTTTCTTCAGGCTATGAGGACATTCTTAGAAAAAAATATGTATTTTTCTCTTATATAAGACAGTGGGGAAGATGAAGAGGATGAACAGCTGTCATGTGAATGGCTTTTTGGCTCTGTTTCTTGTGTCCCCAGTTTTCAGGTCTTATTCTGTGTCTTTCTGTGAGATTATCTGTCCACTCTCTATATGTTGATTCTACAAACCCTCATACTTTTCACTGACTTCTCCCTAATTTTTAATTAGTTGCAACTTAACAAGATCAGACATTCCCTAAGGAAAAACTAGACAGTTCAGTTTATGGAGTTGGAAGCTAACATCACACATGATCCTAGATCAATACTATGGATCTGAAGAAGATTCTATTGCTCTCTAGAAAAAAATAAAATATGTACTATATTATAGCTCTCTGTTCAGAACAACCTTTATTTGTTTCTATACGTAAAACTATATTCCAGATAGCTGAAACTAGCAAGGATTAAGCATTACAAGAATGGGTCATGACATTGTGTATAAAATTGAGGTGATAGCATAATTCTTTTCTCTAAAGCAAACTGCATGGGCTTTCCAAAGGTAATTTTTTCCCTTTCTCAGAGGCTTTCATGCCTTGAGATATATGTTTGATTCAGGAGGCAGAAAGTCTGTCAACTGTACCTGGAGCAATATGGTAACTTGAGATACCAATCCCCATTACAGAAGATATCAAAATTTATAAGACAATTTCATTCTAATTATTCATAATTTTGATGTAGCTAAAAAAGTGAATGTAATAATTTGTCATTATTGGTGTTCCAAGATGGCCGAATAGGAACAGCTCCAGTCTGCAGCTCCCAGCATGATCAATGCAGAAGACGGGAGATTTCTGCATTTCCAACTGAGGTATCTGGTTCATCTCATTGGGACTGGTTGGACAGTGGGTGCAGCCATGGAGTGCAAGCTGAAGCAGTGCAGGGAGTCGCCTCACCTGGGAAGTGCAAGAGGTCCAGGGATTTCCCTTTTCCTAGCCAAGGGAAGCTGTGACAGACTACCTGGAAAAATGGGTCACTCCTACCCAAATTCTGCACTTTTCCCAAAGTCTTAGCAACTGGCAGACAAGGTGATTCTCTCCCATGCCTGGCTCGGTGGGTCCCATGCCCACAGAGCCTTGCTCCCTGCTAGCACAACAGTCTGAGATTGATCTGTGAGGTGGCAGCCTGGCTGGGGGAGGGGAGTCTGTCATTGCTGAGGCTTGAGTAGGTAAACAAAGCCGCGGAGAAGCTCCAACTGGGCGGAGCCCACCACAGCTCAACAAGTCCTACTGCCTCTAGACTCCACATCGGTGGGCAGGGCATAGCTGAACAAAAGGCAGCAGACAACTTCTGCAGACTTAAACATCCCTATCTGACAGCTCTGAAGAGAGCAGTGGTTCTCCCAGCACAGAGTTTGAGCTCTGAGAACAGACAGACTGCCTCCTCAAGTGGATCCCTGACCTCTGTGTAGCCTAACTGGGAGACATCTCCCAGTAGGGGCCGACAGACACCTCATATAGGTGGCTGCCTATCTGGGATGAAGCTTCCAGAGGAAGGATCAGGCAGCAATATTTGCTGTTCTGCAATATTTGCTGTTCTTCAGCCTCTGCTGGTGATACCCAGGCAAACAGGGTCTGGAGTGAAACTCCAGCAAACTCCAACAGACATGCAGCTGAGGAACCTGACTGTTAGAAGGAAAACTAGCAAACAGAAAGGAATAACATCAACATCAACAAAAAGGTCATCTACACCAAAACCCAATTTGTAGGTCACCAACATCAAAGACCAAAGGTAGATAAAACCACAAAGATGGGAAGAAACCAGAGCAGAAAAGCTGAAAATTCTAAAAATCGAGTGCCTCTTCTCCTCCAAAGGATCTCAGCTCCTCACCAGCAACAGAACAAAGCTGGACAGAGAATGACTTTGACGAGTTGACAGAAGTAGGCTTCAGAAGGTCGGTAATAACAAACTTCTCTGAGCTAAAGGAGGATGTTCAAACCCATCACAAAGAAGCTAAAAACCTTGAAAAAAGATTAGACGAATAGCTAACTAGAATAAACAGTGTAGAGAAGACCTTAAATGACCTGATGGAGTTGAAAACCATGGCACAAGAACCTTGTGACACATGCACGAGCTTCAATAGCTGATTTGATCAAGTGGAAGAAAGGGTATCAGTGATTGAAGATCAAATTAATAAAATACAATGAGAAGAAAAGATTAGAGGAAAAAGAGCAAAGAGAAACAAACAAAGCCTCCAGGATAAATGAGACTATGTGAAAAGACCAAATCTACGTTTGATTGGTGTACCTGAAAGTGATGGGGAGAATGGAACCAAGTTGGAAAACACTGTTCAGGATATTATCCAGATTTTCCCCAACCTAGCAAGGCAGGCCAACATTCAAATTCAGGAAATACAGAGAATGCCACAAAGATACTCCTCGAGAAGAGCAACCCCAAGACACATAATTATTGGATTCACCAAGGTTGAAATGAAGGAAAAAGTGTTAAGGGCAGCAAGAGAGAAAGGTCAAGTTACCCACAAAGAAGCCCATCAGACTAACAGCAAATGTCTCGGCAGAAACCCTACAAGACAGAAGACGCTGGGGACCAATATTCAACATTCTTAAAAAAAATAATTTTCAATGCAGAATTTCATATCCAGCCAAACCAAGCTTCATAAGTGAAGGAGAAATGAAATCCTTTACAGACAAGCAAATGCTGAGAGATTTTGTCACCACCAGGCCTGCCTTACAAGAGCTCCTCAAGGAAGCACTAAACACAGAAAGAAACAACCGGTACCAGCCACTGCAAAACCTGCCAAATTGTAAAGACCATTGATGCTTTGAAGAAACTGCATCAATTAATGGGCAAAATAACCAGCAAACATCACAATGACAGGATCAAATTCACACATAACAATATTAACCTTAAATGTAAATGGGCTAAATGCCCCCAATTAAAAGACACACACTGGCAAATTGTATAAAGAGTCAATACCCATTAGTGTGCTGTATTCAAGAGACCTATCTCATGTGCAAAGATGCACATAGCTCAAAATAAAGGGATGGAGGAATATTTACCAGGCAAATGGAAAGCAAAAAAAAAAAAAACAAAAAAAAAACAGAGGTTGCAATCCTAGTCTCTGATGAAACAGACTTTAAACCAACAAAGATCAAAAGAGACAAACAAGGCCATTACATAATGGTTAAGGGATCCATTCAGCAAGAAGAGCTAGCTATCCTAAATATATATGCACCCAATATAGGAGCACCCAGATTCATAATGCAAATCCTTAGAGACCTACAAAGAGACTTAGACTCCCACACAATAATAATGGGAGACTTTAACATCCCACTGTCAATATTAGACAGACCAATGAGACAGAAAGTTAACAAGGATATCCAGGACCTGAACTCAGCTCTGCAGCAAGCAGACCTAATAGACATCTGCAAAACTTTCCACCCCAAATCAACAGAATATACATTCTTCTCAGCACCACATTCACACTTATTGTAAAATTGACTACATAATTGGAAGTAAAGCACTCCTCAACAAATGTAAAAGAACAGAAATCACAACAATAAAAAGCCCTAGAAGAACAAGAACAAACCAGAGGTAGATTAGCCTTATCAAAATGGGAGCTAGTCTTGCCTCAACTCAGATTTATAATGGTTTAAAGTGATCAGCCTCATACTATATCCTAGCAAAGAAAAGGTAAACCTTTTCTGGAGAAATATACCATAATTAATAGCCTCCACAATATATTATAAAAACAAATTGGATTTCAATAAAAAATTACAAGGTGTACTAAAAGACAAAATCTTACAAGTAAAATTCCACAGGAAAAAACAAAAATAGAAAATAGAAACAACTACCCCCTCTCCATAATAACCATTATATTGTACTTGCAGACAAACACCTTCAAATAAATATGAATAATTTGTTCATGAAAATCGATGAAGAGATGGAGAACAAGAACATAGATATAAAAATGAAAAATTTCACCAGCAATTAGAATCTATTTATATAAACATTCTAGAAATAAAAGTATTTATTATCTGAAATTTAAACCTCAATGTATAAGTTTAACACAGATTGCAAATAGCAGAATATATTGTCAATAGCTAGGAAATATGTCAATAGAAAATATATGACTGAAGAATAAAGAGAAGTAGTCATGAAGATACAGAAAATAGTGAGTGTTAGGATACATGTAGGCATAGCAAAAAGGCATAATGTACATGTAAGCAGAAAGAAAGGAGAGAAAGATGGGACATATTTAAAGATGTAATGACTAAGAATTACCAAATCTGATCAAAAACATCAAGCAACAATTCAGGAAGTTCTGAAAAGCCCAGGCAGGGTAAATAAAATGAATAACACCTAGTCAAATTATGACAAACTGAATATGCAAGAGAAAAAAACAATTTTTGGATTACCCAAGAAAAGAAAATCACATTCAAAGGAGCAACAATTAATTCAACAGATCCCTTTGAATTTTCCTCCAGAAAATATGAAGGCAGAAAACAATAAAATGTTGTCTATAAATTGATTAAAGGAAATAACTACCAATATGGAGTTTTATACCCAATGAAGCTATCCATATAAAAATGAATATATCAAAACCACAGACAGGAAAAGAAAAATAAATAAATTGGACTTCAAAATTTTAAAATTTTGTGCATCAAAGAACACTATCAAAATAATGAAAAGGCAATCCACAAAATGGGATAAAATATTTGCAAAGCATACATCTGAAAAGAGATTAATATACAGATTATATAAAGAGTTTCTATGAAAGAACAACAATAACAAAACAAGTCATATTAAAAAGTGGGCAAAAAATCTGAATAGACATTTCTCCAAAGAGGAGATACAAATGGCCAATAAGCACCATGAAAAGATACTCAATGTCTTTTATCATTAGGGAAACTCAAATCAAAACCACAATGAGACACCACTTTGCAACCACTAGAATGGCAGTTTAAAAACAAAAAAAAAAAAAAAAGAAAGAGAGACAAAAATAAAAGTGTCTGTGAGGATGGGAAAATATTAAACCCTGTACATTGCTGGTGGAGATGTAAAATGGTTCAGCAGCTGTGGAAAACATCATAGCAGCTCCTCAAAAAATTGGACATAAAATTACCTCAAAAGTATTGAAAGCAAGAACTTGAACATATATTTGTACATCAGGGTTCATATCAGCATTATTTATAATAGCCAAAAGGTAGAAACAACCCAAATATCTATCAATGGATGAATAAATAAAATATCATACATACCTACAATGGAATGTTAATCAGCCTAAAAAAAGAAGTGAAATTTTTATATATGCTACAGCATAGATGAACCTTGAGGACATTATGCTAAGAAAAATAAGCCAGACAAAAGACAAACATTGTATGATTCTGTTTATATGAGGCACCAAGAATAGTCAAATTTATAGAGGCAGAAAGTAGAATAACAGTTATCAGGGACTGTGGGAGGGAGAATGGAGAGTTACTGTTTAATTGGCACAGAGTTTCAGTTTGAGATGATAAAAAATTTCTGGAGATGGATAGTGGTGATAGTTACACAACAACTGAACTGTGTACTTAAAAATGGTTAGAATGGTGACTTTTATGTTATGTATATTTTACCAAACTAAAAAAGGATTAAAAAGTAAATTTTCAGATAAACGGAAACAGAAAGGATTTTCCATCAGCAGAGTTGCACTAAATGATAGATTAAACAGAGTTTTTTTAAGAAGGAAGAAATGGACCCCAGACCAAAACACAGAACTACAAGGACCGAAGAGCAATGGGGAAAAAAATGGAAAAAGATATGCTATACAGACCAAACTTCTAACCAAAGAAGAAAAGTAATTTCAAATTACAGTTATATGTAACAAATTAACTTCCTTAACCTGATAAGAATTATTTACAAATCAGCTACTCTAAGCATCATACTTAATGCTAAATATTGAGAGATTTTTTCTTTGAATTCAGAAATAAGGCAAATATAGTAAACAGTAATATGTTGTGTACTTAAAAATTGCTAAGAGAGAAGATCTTAAATGTTCACACCACAAAAGAAAAATGATAACAAGTTAAGGCAATGTATATATTAATCTTTATTGTTTTAATCGCTTCACAGCATATACATATGTCAATACATATAAATTTTATTTGTTAATTACAACTCAGTAAAACTGGAAAAAAGTAATGAAAATATTTTAAAATAAAAGATATTTAGTATTGTCACATATTTAGTATTATATATAGGATAATGTAAAAGTAAGAAATAAGATTATCACTATTAACAGAATATCTGGTTGTGATTATAAAAACATCCAAAAGGATCTACCACAAACTAGTATGCTAAATGTCATAAGGCATTTAGCAATATCATCAGACATGGGGTCAATACACAAGAACAACTACATTTCTGTATCTTAGAAAGAAACGAAAACCTAAAGTCAAGTATTATTCAGAATAGCATCACACACCACTGTGTTGATAAGGATGTAGAACAACTCAAATTTTCGTAAAATGCTGGTGTAAACTTCAATTAATAACCATGTTAGAAAACTTTGGTAATATCCATTCAATTAATGGATATTACTGTTTGATAATATCCATTCAATTAATGGATATTACTGTTTGATAATATCCATTCAATTAATAGCCATGTTAGAAAACTGTTTGGTATTATCTGCCAACCATGAACATGCACAGTTCTACTACTAGGTACATATCCAACAGAAATACATATACATGTTCACACAAAAAGACACAAACAATAATATTCTTAGCAACACTATTCACAATGGCCCCACACTGCTAAAAGTCTACGTGTTCAAACAATATATAATTGACTTCTTAAATGGTGGTATAATTATTCAATGAAATACTAAACAGAAATGAAAGAAAAACAAACTACAACTGTACACATTAACATGGATAACTCTACCAGCTATAATTTTGAGTGAAAGAAGTCAAACGCAGAAGTGGACACATTCTATGATCTCACTTATATAAAGACGAATTATTCTATAGTCTTAGAAGTCAGAAAAATGGTTATCTTTAACATTGAAGAACTGATTGGAAGGGACACGAATAAGGAATACAGGAGTATTGGAAATATTTTACTTAATTGATATGGGTGCTGGTTGGCTGAATAGATTTATTTAGTAAAAGTTCAAAGAGCTATAATATATACTTATTTGTGCACTTTGCTATATATTACAACTCAATTCAAATTTTGACTCTAAAAAGTAGAGAGCTAGATGCCAAGGGCTAGGTACACTGTGATTCTCTTTCTTCAAAGTCCACAAACAAACAAAATGAATCTATAGTGAAAGAAGTCAGAATGGTGTTGATTTTATGGGGATCATTAACTGGAAGATGGAAGAAAGGGGCTTCGGGTGCTGGAAATAATTTAAGTTGACCTTGGTAGTTACATGAGTGTATACATTTGTAAAAAGTCATTGCATTGTAAAGTCAAGATTGTGCACTTTACTGTTTCAACTTGCAATTCAATACAAGAAGTTGAGTTACGGTGGGGAATAAACCTAGCCAATCCATGTATCTTACTAAAGGCATGGCTTCCTGCCTGGCACATTCCTCAGGCTCAAGAGATAAGCTTCTGGTTTCTTTTTTCTTTTTCTTTCTTTCTTTCTTTCTTTCTTTCTTTCTTTCTTTCTTTCTTTCTTTCTTTCTTTCTTTCTTTCTTTCTTTCTTTCTTTTTCACTGACTAGGACTCAAAGATGACGAGGGAAAAAGAGAAATTGGTTCTTTTTACAGGTAAAAAGTCAGAGAAATTTTGTTAACTACCAGTCAATAAATACAGTGACTAAATAAACATGGAAACTATACTAAAATTTATAGAGTAATACTAAAATGATAAAAAGCCCTCAATGAGTTTACAATCTAGTTGGAGAAACACAACACACTGAAATATATAAAACATTTACAAAACAACGTAAGAGTAACTAACTGAATACAGTGCCATGAAACTAGCTTTCTCTGAGGTTCACCCAACTCTAACTGGGATGTTCAGTCATAGGAGAGCTTACATGTCCCATACTTCTCCCAATTTCATTTCTACTAGTAATTTTACCTTTTCTGAGAAACAGAAAGGTACCTGTAATCAACATGTTAAAATCCCAGTGCATTTTTATTTTTAAGAATGATTTCTCAATCACATGATTGAAAATGCCTTCTCTTTCAGAGTAAAAAAAAAAAATCTATAAAGACTGAGTTATAACTATCATTAAACCCTTAAAGCAAAGCTAAATCATTAAGCTAGGAAGAAGCTGGGTTTTATTGCCCATAAAAAGCTAAGGAAAGGAGAGAAGGAGCCAAGTAACCGAGTCACTTCTCTTAAAATGAACGAGCATTTAGGAGAAGTGGAAACGTGGGATAATAAGAGTGAGACAGGACCAAGAGTGTTGCGTGGATAAAGCTCCTTATGCGTAGTGCACCCACATACCCTGGCTGCGCGCCACAGCCCTGGTTACCTCCTGAATTCCCAAAGTCTTCTCACTTTAAGCATTTGTCCCTGATGTTTTTGGCTGTATTGCAATAAGCTAAATGAGTTTGGTAGAACTCCACTTTGAACTTGCAACTTCCAGCTGGGTGCGGTGGCTCACCCTGGCATCCTAGCACTTTGAGAGACTGAGGCGGGCTGATCGCTTGAGGTCAGGAGTTTGAGACCAGCCTGGCCAACATGGTGAAACCCCTTAACTAAAAATACAAAAATTAGCCGGGCATGGTGGCACACGCCTGTAATTCCAACTACTCGAGGGGCTGAGGTGGGAGAATCGCTTGAACCCAGGAGGCGGAGGTTGCAGTGAGCCAAGATTGCGCCATTGCACTCCAGCCTGGGTGACAGAGCGAGACTCTTTCTCAAAAAAAAAAAAAAAAAAGAAAGAAAGAAAGAAAAAGAACTTGTAACTTCTACCAGGGTCTTGTCTAGCAGCATACATGAGAGATGTGTGCAGTAAAAAAAGATGCTCACTTGAACACGTGGTGAAACCTAAAAGACAACCAAAGATAAACCCATCTGTCCTTTCCCTACCCCACCCAGAAACTAACACTTCTCACTCAGTGGTGATCGCTGGTGCAATAAGGCTGGCTCAGACAATATAAACTGGAGAAGGGTGGTGGTGGGAGAAGTATTGCATGTTGCTGTCTCTGCCAGCTATTGGGTGAGCCAGCCTGTGGAATGCTGGTAACTCCTAGGCTGTCAGTTGGTGGGATCAGGGGACAACATGGGAAATTATAGCTTAACTGAACACCAAAGTGTGGGAAATAGAGGCTGAGCAGTCCTGCCATAGAATGTCTAGAATAGTCTGATTGCTCTTCTAGGGTAGTTTGCATTATGGTATAATCTAACAACGATTTTATTGTTTGGTTTTCTTTTTTATTTGATATTGAATCCTTTAAACAGTAATGAGCTCAAAAAGGTGCATATTTAATGAATCAACCTGAATCACCATTTCTTAAGAAAGTTCATGATGAACATTTAACTTGCTCAAAATGTTTTTCAATACTGAACATCCTCTTTTGGATCTATAGGAATAACATGGACCTCATAACAACTACGAGACTCAAATCTCTAAAAATATGTCAACATCTACTTTCAGAGTTTGTATTTATTTAAGAAGAACCTGCCTTAAAATGATGACTTAATACATGCATTTGAAAAAGCTGGAATATATTTCTGTGAAGCATGCCTTTTCATTCAAATCAAATGATAGCACCTTTTAAGTTAATTTCATGAATTGATTTTCAATACCAGGTTTTCTTTGCATGTAAAAAATAGTGAATTTATAGATGCTAATGTGTTGGCTCCATTAACAGAACTTTGCAACAGCAAAATGAAGCCTGTTGTATATCACTTCTAATGGAAAATCGATAAAGTTAATTCCAATAATATTAAATTATTTTCATCAAAGTTGTGGAATCAAAGAGAAAGTGTTAGAAACTGATTCAGTCAGTCAAAGACAAAACATCCAGTGCTATTGTCAATGTTACTGAAAATTTGGTTTAAAAATTCAACTTTGGAAACAAAGTTTTGTGTGTGATTTACTTTTTTACAGTGATAATATGAATATGATTTTGATGGAGCATAATGCCATGGTAAAAATGATATTCCAATTAAATGATGAAATCTTTGGAGCAGAAATGTATTTGTAATTAATTGCATTATGCAAACAAATCTTAACTGTATTCAAATGATCTACAGTATTCTACTAATAGGAATAGGAGTTACAGTTGTCAAAATATACAGATATTTTCCTATATATACAAAAAAGCAATTGGCCAAATATTTTATGGATATAATATGCTGAATTTTCTAATACTTACTTTTTAAATCAATAATAATTTGGATTTTTAAAATGTTTGAACCCTGGAAGGATTTCTATATAAGTCAACCTAAGTATCTTACAATGATATTGAGCATTTTCTAATAAGTATCTACATTTTGGCTACATTTTGTTCAAAATTAGTCATGAACCTTTAATCAAACTATTCAATGAGTGGTACAAGGAAAAATGTCAGCTTGCAGAGCTTTTAGAGAGAATCGCGATTTATTAAAACCAAGCTTATAAACAGGTAGTCATTGGGATTTATCCCAATAAAATTTGAAACCAAATAAATTAAACAAGAACTCAAAGAGTGTTCAAAATGAAATATTGAAGAAGATTAAATAACTATGCTCTGGAATATCTCAAGCAGTAGGCAGAATCATGTGATGGAGATACTTTTAACTTAACAGATTTATTTCCTGAACCACACAATTGAATGAAATTCAGAAGGCCTCTGTCCTATGACATCTAATTTTGACAAAATTTGTTTTAAAATCACAACTAGAGAAATTATTTAATGAGTTTTGTCTTGTAAAAATATTTGCTGAAGAAAGGTCACCTGTCTAGAATCAAAATGAGCATACATATGAAAATGTTTGGGTAGAAATATTTACACATTTTATTATGAAATATTACAATTCAGGATAACCTTCATTTAGCAGAATTTGCTCTGTACTCACCAGGTACTTCAGCAACTGTGGATGAAGTACTTTTTTCAATTGAAAATTGAGTCAGTTAAAGGTATCAGTATATAGCATTTATTAAAAGAGTCAACTGAATGTATTAACTAATCACAATTATTATCTATAAGATGAAACTTGAAAGTTTCAATTTTTATCAATAGAAACAAACTATATTGAAAAAATATATTCTTTAGAAAATACAAGTGATAGAATAAATAGGAATAGCTAAAGGTATCAATTTATAAGTAGACAAAGCTAAAAGCTGATTTAAGTACATTAATATGTATCAGGAAAAATTATTCTGCTTATGCTATTTTTAATGTTCAGCTAATTAGTGCGTAGAGTGAAAAAATTGTTTTTTCAATCTACACAGAGATCTGTTATCTTACTTTCCAAAAGAATTTTTATGTTGGAAAATAATTTTCAAATAGACCATGTTATTCATTGGGCAATATAATAAAAATAATTGCGTTCATAAATGTCAAAAATTATATAATTACAGCTGAGTGTGGTGGTGCACACCTGTGGTCCCAGTTTCTTGGGAAGCTGAGGCAGGAGGATCTCCTGAGTCCAAGAGATCTGGGCTGTAGTACAGTATGCCAATCAGGTGTTTGCCCTAAGTTTGGCATTAATATGGTGTCCTCCCAGGAGCGGACCAAATTGCCCAAGAAGGGATGAATCAGCCAAGGTCGGAAATGGAGCAGGTCAAAACTCCTGTGTTGATCAGTAGTGGGATCACTCCTGTGATTAGCCACTAAACTCTAGCCTGGGCAATATAGCAAGACCCCCATGTCTTATAAAAAATAGTAATAATAATTTCAATTATTTTTAGCACACTCTTTCCTTCTCAAAAGTGTCCCAATTTGAACTACAAATTATGTGGTCACTCCAGTCATGACCAAAAATAATAAAAGGAAAAGCAAATTGGTTGTGGGTGAAAGGTAAATAAAGTGACATTTTGAGAGCATCTGCATTAAGTATTGTATTTTTGCTGTAATTTTGTGACCGAAGAAATTGAAGCTAAATCGCTAATTGGTTTACCCCAAGAATATCTAACCACCAGGGGAGATGATAATGTAAGCCTATCTTATTCCTAAGCTTTCTCTATACCCTTATTTTCCCCTTACAGACTATGTACATAGAATTTTTTATTCATTCACGACCCACCTTTATTCTGAGCTGCTATAGAGAATCCCTAACCATCATTAATGAATAAATTCCTGTTACACATCACTGCATAGAGTTTCCTACGTGAGAAGCATTTTAACAGTAAATCAGTATCTTTAGTTAAGAGCTTCTGGTTTTTGATTGGGGGCTCATATTTAGAACACTCTTATATATAAGAGACCAACAGATTAAAATATAATTTTTATACAGAAATGAAGACCATTACTTGCCACAAAGCTACAATGCACCTAATTTGATTGAATTATAAAAGCTAGCATTCTAAGCAAGATTTAGGAGTTTGAAGGGACAAAAGGAGGTAGCTGACCAGAGAATCCATAAGAACAATAAGGACTAACATACATCAAACGTTACTCTATGCTCTACTCACCACAAACATTATTTCATTTTGCCCTCACCACAATATAGAGAGATAGGAACCATTATTAATCCCATTTCACTGAAGATGAAAAAACTGAGGCCTAAATAGTTGAGTAGCCAGGAGATAACACTACTGTAATAGGAGAGCTTAGATTCCAATTCTTGTAGCCCTTCTGAAGAACTCAGATCTTAATTACTACTAAAATGCAACAAAACAGATGGGTCACAGCAGATCTGGCTTCTAAGGAGAATACTTTTTTATTCGCTCTAAGTAGTTACATTTTATTATATTTTGTTACGCTTACATAAAAGGAAATTTATAAAACAAAACATCTTGAGTTTATACACATGAAGCTCTTCAGTCAACTAGATTTCCACCATGTTGTTTCCGAACAGTGCTCTTCCCCAGTCTCACTGCATCACTCTGCCCCCATCTGGTGGTGGCATACATACACTCCAGAAAAGAAGAAACATTTTAAACCACATTTAGTGATAAATTTATGAAATATCTGTCTTCTTCATCATTAACTAGAACACCAAAGACTTCCCACAGTGTAAAGTACCATTATTTGACAAAAAGATTTTAAGAAACAAAGTCCATTAAAATAAGTAAATGTAGTCTATTTCATGTTAGTGAAACCAAGTTTATCAATTTAAATTTTGCTACATGCAAATAAAACATTATTTTTAAAAATAGGGAGAGGGACTAAGATGGCCAGTTAGAAGCAGCTGTGGTCCACGACACTCATGGGGAGGAACGAAATGGGACAGTGACTATGACACCTTCAACTGAAATATCCAGGTTCTTATGCCAGGACTGATTAGGGAAACAACTCCACCCACAGAGAATGAAGAAAAGCAGGGTGGGATGACAGACCACCTAGGAATAACACAGCACCAAGGGAACCCCTACCCCCAGCCAAGGGAATTGGTGAGTTATTGTGCAACCCCAGGAAACCACACTTTTCCTACAGGTCTTTGTAACCCATAGATCAGGAGATCCCCTTGTGAACCCATGCCACCAGGGGCTTGGTTCCAACATACAGAACTGTGTGGAGTCTTGGCAGAGTAGCTGCTCAGGCAAACACAGAGATCCAGGAGCTTTGTATACTCCAGCCCCAGGATCCCTGGGGATCCAGGTCTGGAACTCAGGCAAGGTGGGAGGTCCACATATACCTTTTGCAAGGGGGTGGAATCCAGGGAGTTGAGCAGTGTCATTCTCCAGGCCCCACTTCTACGGCACCTCACAAGATAAGACCCACTGGCTTGGAATTCCAGCCAGACACAGGCAACAGAATAGAGGCTGCCTGAGACTGGATAGAGACCCTAAGGGGAGGGTTGGGTGCCATCTCTGCTGTTTGGTTTACTCAGCCATTCCAGCCTGTGGGCTTTGGAGAGTCCAGGTGGTTCTGACAAGGAAGGGTCCCCCCAGCAGCACAGCACAGTAGCTTTGTAAGATCATGGCCAGACTGCTTCTTTAAGTGGGGCCCTGATCCATTCTCCTTCACTGAGTGGGACCTCCCAGCCAGGCCCTCCAGCCCCACCTACCCACACAGACTGTGGACTGAGCTCTGATCTCTCCCTGGGATGGAGTGCCTTGGAGAGGGGAGGGCTGCCACCTGGGTTAGTTGGACGACTCAGCCGTTTCAACTTGTGGGCCTTGGAGAGTCCAAGTCAAGAGGGGCAGAAGCAGTTCCCCACCAAGACATAGCTCTTTTGTCAAGGCATGGCCAGACTGCTTCTTTAAGTGTGACCCCAATCCACTCCTCTTCATGGGACAGGTCCTCCCAGCTGGAGCCTCCCAGCCAGGGCCTCCAGCCACTCTCAGCAGGCTTCTCAGTGGAAACCCTATAAGCTAGAAGAGATCGGGGGCCAATATTCAACATTTTTAAAGAAAAAAATTTCTAACACCAAATTTCATATTTCATTTCCTCATTATTTCCTTGTCTGAAAGGATCTTATTTCTCTTTCACTTATGAAGTTTAATTTGAAATAAGATCCTTTGCAGGTAAGCAAATGCTGAGGAAATTTTTTACCACCTGACCTGCCTTACAAGAGGTCCTGAAGGAAGCACTAAATATGGAAAGCAAAAACTGTTACCAACCACTAGAAAAACACACTGAAGCACACAAACCAGTGACACTATGAAGCAACCATGTAAACAAGTCTGCAAAATAACCAGCTACCATCATGATGACAGAATCAAATCCACACATAACAATACTAACCTTAAATATAAATGGGCTAACTGCCCCCAATTAAAAGACACAGAATGGCAAGCTGGATAAAGAACCAAGACCCATCAGTATGCCGTCTTCAAGAGATCCGTCTCACATGCAAAGACACACATAGGCTCAAAATAAAGGGATGGAAGAAAATTTACAAAGCAAATGGAAAACAGAAAAAAGCAAGGGTTGCAATCCTAGTTTCTAACAAAACAGACTTTAAGCCAACAAACATCAAAAAAGACAAAAAAGTGAGTTACATAAAGGACATAAAGGTAGAGTTCAATTCAACAACAAAAAAGCGAACTATCCTAAATATATATGCACCCAATACAGGAGCACCCAGATTCATAAAGCAAGCTCTTAGAGACCTTCAAATAGACTTAGACTTGCACACAATAATAGTGGGAGGCTTTAACACCTCACTGACAATATTAGACAGATCATAGAGAGAGAAAATTATCAAAGATATTAAGTACCTGAACTGAACTCTGGATCAAGTGGACCTGATAGATATCTACAGAATTCTCTACCCAAATTCAACAGAATATACATTATTCTCATTGCCATATGGCACTTACTCTAAAATTGATCACATAATCGAAAGTAAAACATTCCCCAGCAAATGCAAAAGAACTGAAATCATAACAAACAGTCTCTCAGACTACAGCACAATCAAATTCAAAATCCAGACTGAGAAATTCACCCAAAACCACACAACTATGTGGAAATTGAATAATGTGCTCCTGAATGACTCTTGGGTAAATAATGAAATTAAGGCAGAAATCAAGAAGTTCTTTGAAACTAATGAGAACAAAGATACGATATACCAGAATCTCTGGGACCCAACTAAAGCAGTGTTAACAGCGAAATTTATAGCACTAAATGTTCACATCAAAAACCTACAAAAATCTCATGTTAACAACCTAACATCACAACAAAAAGAACTAGAGAACCAAGAGCAAACAAACCACAAAGCTAGAAGAAGATGAGAAATAACCAAGATCAGAGCCAAACTGAAGGAAATGGAGACACCAAAAAAACACTTCAAAAAATCAGTGAATCCAGAAGCTGGATTTTGAAAAAATTAATAAAATAGATAGACATCTAGCTAGACTAATAAAGAAGAAAAGAGATAAGATTCAAATAAACACAATCAGAAATGATAATAGGGATGTCACCACTGACCCCTCAGAAATACAAACAACCATCAGCAAATACTATAAACACCTCTATGCAAATAAACTAGAAAATCTAGAATAAAGGACAAATTTCTGGACACATGCACCTTCCCAAGACTGAACCAGAAGAAACTGAATCCCTGAATAGACCAATAATGGGTTCTGAAACTGAGGCAGTGAAAATAGCCTACCAAAAAAAAAAACCCAGGATGAGATGGATTCACAGCTAAATTCAACCAGAGGTACAAAAAAGAGCTAGTACCATTTCTACTGAAACTATTCCAAAAAACTAGAAAAGGAAGGACTCCTCTCTAACTTACTCTATGAGGCCAACATCATCCTGATACCAAAACCTGGCAGAGATACAACAAAAAAGGAAAGCTTTAGGCCAATTCCTTGATGAATATTGATGCAAAAATCCTCAACAAAATACTGGTAAACCAAATCCAGCAGCACATCAAAAAGCTTATTCACCATGATCAAGTAACCTTTATCCCCAGGATGCAAGACTGATTCAACATCTTCAAATTAATAAATGTAACTTATCACATAAAGAGAACCAAAGACAAAAAACACATGATTATCTCAATAGATGCAGAAAATTCTTTGAAGAATTTCAACATCCTTCCATTTTAAAAACTCTCAATAAACTATGTATTGAAGGAACATACCTCAAAATATTAAAAGGCATATAGGACAAACCCATGGCCAATATCATACTGAAAGGGCAAAAGCTAGAAGTATTCCCCATGAAAACTGGGACAAGATAAGGATGTCGTCTCTCACCACTCCTATTCAGCATAGTATTGGAAGTTCTGGCCAGGGCAATCAGGTAAGAAAAAGAAATAAAGAGTATTCAAACAGAAAAAGAGAAAGTCAAATTGTCTCTGTTTGCAGATGACGTAATTCTATATCTAGAAAACCCCATCATCTCACCCCAAAAGCTTCTTAAGCTGATAAGCAACTTCAGCAAAGTCTCAGGATACAAAATCGACATGCAAAAATTGCTAGCATTCCCATACACCAAAACAGGTAAGCTGAGGGCCACAATCATGAAAGAACTCCCATTCACAATTGCCACCAAAAGAGTAAAATACCTAGGAATACAGCTCACAAGGGAAGTGAAGAACCTCTTCAAAGATAACTACAAACCACGGCTCAAATAAATCAGAGATGACACAAACAAATGGAAAAACATTCCATGCTCATGGATAGGAAGGATCCATATCATAAAAATGGCCATACTGCCCAAAGCAATTTACAGATTCAATTCTATTCCTATTGAACTACCATTGATATTCTTCATAGAATTAGAAAAGAATATTTTAAAATTCATATGGAACCAAAAAAAGAGCCCAAATAGCCAAGACAATCCTAAGCAAAAAGAACAAAGCTGGAGAAATCACGCTACCTGATTTTAAATGATACTACAAAGCTACAGTAACCAACACAGCATGGTACTGGCATAAGAACAAACACATAGACCAATGGAACAGAATAGAAAACCCAGAAATAAAACCACACACCTACAACCAACTGATCTTTGACAAACCTGACAAAAACAAGCAATGGGGAAAGGATTACCTCTTTAATAAGTCGCTCTGGGAGAACTGGCTAGCCATATGCAGAAAATTGAAACTGGACCCCTTCATAATACTGTATATAAAAATCAACTCAAGATGGATTAGAGAGTTAAATATAAAACCCAAAACTATGAAAACCCTAGAAGAAAATCTAAGCAATACTATTCAGGACATAGATTTCATGATGAAGATGCCAAAAGCAATTGCAATAAGCAAAAATTGACAAACAGGATCTAATTAAACTAAAGAGATTCTGCACAGCAAAAGAAATGATCATCAGCATGAACAGACAAATGGGAGAATATTTTTGCAATCTATTCATCTGACAAAGGTCTAATATCCAGTATCTACAAGGAACTTAAACAAATTTACAAGAAAAAATAACCCCATTAAAAAGTGGGCAAGTGATATGAACAGATACTTTTCAAAAAAAAGACATACATGTGGCCAAAAAGCATATGAAAAAATGCCCAATATCACTGATCATTAGAGAAATTGAAATCATAACTGCAATGAGATACCATCTCACACCAGTCAGAATGGCAATTATTAAAAAATCAAAAAACAACAGATGCTGGTGAGGTTGTGGAGAAAAAGGAATGCTTTTGAACTGTTGGTGAGAGCATAAATTTATTCAACCATTGTGGAAGACAGTGTGGCAATTCCTCAAAGACCTACAGGCAGAAATACCATTTGACCCATTGATCCCATTACTAGATATATACCCAAAAGAATATAAATCATTCTATTATAAAGATACATGCACATGTACATGCATTGCAGCACTATTTACAATAGCAAAGACATAGAATCAACCTAAATGCCCATCAATGATAGACTGGATAAAGAAAATGTGGTTTATATCCACCATAGAATACTATGCAGCCCTAAAAATGAATGAAATTGTGTTCTTTGCAGGGGCATAGATGGAGCTTGAAGCCATTATCCTTAGCAAACTAATGCAGGAACAGAAAACCAAATACTGCATGTTCTTACTTATAAATGGAAGCTGAATGATGAGAACACATGGACACATGGTGGGTAAAAACACATATTCAGGCCTGTTGGATGGTTGGGGGTGGGAAGAGGGAGAGTATCAGGAAGAATAGCTAATGATGCTGGACTTAATACCTAGGTGATGAGATGATCTGTGCAACAAACCATCTTGGCACATGGCTACCTATGTAACAAACCTGCACACCCTGTACATGTACCCCTGAAGTTAAAATAAAAGTTGGAAATGAAAAATAAATTAATTAAAATTAAAATTAAATGAATGGGCCAAGTTGAATAACCGCAAAGATTATTTATAGCATTATGCCTAATTCTAATCACTGAGCACAGATTCCTTATGAAGAATCAAGTTTAAGTTTGAAATTGAGCTGACCATTTTGATGCTAATATTGCACTTACAGAGAAAAAAAGAGAAGGAAAGAGAAAACAGAGAAACCATCTGGTAAAAAGAAAACGCCAAATTTGAAAAATATTCTATTTTATATGAGTATTTGGGAAGGAGATGTCTCAGCTCTCTTATAATTAATCATCTGTAAATAGTTGAATGAACAACCTCTGGATAAACTAGGTACAGCCAAGTACTATTAGCTTAGGGTTATCTCAGTTCATTGTCAAAACATAAGCAGATACATTATAGAATTCTGACACATAAAACTTCCTCCAAACTCAGGGGTGCCTTGTTACTGGGGCCAGAATAATAAGGTGCTTTGGGGTTACACACATGAGTTTTGGGGTCAATGGCCTACCAAACAGGACAAAAGTCAAATTGGGTTTAGAGGTGTCTTTCAATGATGGAAAGAACTATGAAAGCTTTGTAGCTACACTAGAACAGGGGTCCTCAACCCCATGCCATGGACCAGTGAGCATCAGGCGAGCAAAAGAAGCTTCATCTGTATTTGCAGCTGCTCCCCATAGCTCACCTTACTCCCTGAGCTCCACGTCCTGTCAGATCAGCAGTGGCATTATATTCACACAGAAGTGTGAACCCTATTGTGAACTGCCCATGTGAGGAATCTAGGTTGCATGCTCCTTATGAGAATCTAATGCCTTATGATCTGTCACTGTCTCCCATCACCCCCAGTAGGATCATCTAGTTGTAGGAGAATAAGCTCAGGGCTCGCACTGATTCTGCATTATGGTGAGTTATATAATTATTTCATTATATATTACAATGTAATAATAATAAAAATAAAGTACACAATAAATGTAATGCACTTCAATCATCCCCCAGAACCCCTGTCCAAGGAAAAATTGTCTTCCATGAAACTGATCCCTGATGCCAAAAAGCTTGGGGACCGCTGTACTACAAGATCAATTATGAGACTATCTGAAAATAAAGCATAGAAATTGAATCAGATTGCAAGATGAGTATAATAGAAAATTGCAAAGAGTACTGTTAATAAAAATATAGGCCCCTCTCACATCTACCCACTTCTGCCATTTTATATTATCTGCAGGTATTTAGAGTCTCCTCAAATACCATCTGCTCTCTTACTTTTGGTCTCTTCTAATGTGGCATCTTCTCTCTCACCTCCAAAGTTTTGCACATACTGTTCATTACTCCCAAAGCACTGCTACTCTCAACTTCACTCACCAAGTGTAGTTCATGCTTCAGCTTCAGCTTAGCTATCCTCTCTCACAAGCCTTCCTTAATCACCAAAGGCAGAGCAAGGTGCGTTGGCTATGAGCGTCCCCTGCATTTGTACATTCCCTGCCAGAGCATAAACATGCCTCACAGTGATGTTTTCTTCACCCAGGTTATCTTCCACCAGGCTAAGGGCTTCTTGAAAGCAGATCATGCAATGTATTCATTGAGTAATCAGAGAGCTCAGCATGGCATCTTATATAAAATAATATATATATAATGCTTAATATTTACTGAGCATCTATTATGTACCAGGCGCTGCCTTATGCACTTTATAAACAGCAGGAGATTTAATCTTCCAACAGCCCTCTGAAGTTATCACCCCCAAAGACACAGAGGGCTTTAGCAAGTGGCCCAAATACCCATAGACAGCAAAGTGGCAGAGCCAGTATTCAGCAGAAACCACAGTCTGTTGCTGCAGGGTACTGCCTATTCCACTCTGTGCAATCATTCAGGTGTTCATCATCATCGACAAAGGATGATTGTTGGCTCTCTTGATGAAAGATAGAAACATCTGGGATAGTAATCATCGTTAGTGATATCAGGAATTATTTAGAATGAAGTATGACGTAGCCTGAAGGATACGACTGGAATAATGTGAGCAAGGCTTTTGCTCTTTTAGTGGCCAAATGAGGCTTTATTTGGGTGAAGGTGAAGTTAAAAAGGATGTGACTACACGGCCGGATGCGGTGGCTCACTCCTGTAATCCCAGCACTTTGGGCGGCCGAGGTGGGCAGATCTCCTGAGGTTAGGAGTTCAAGAGCAGCCTGGTCAATATGGTGAAACCCTGTCTCTGCTGAAAACACAAAAATTAGCTGGGCATGCTGGTACACACTTGTGGTCCCAGCTACTCGGGAGGCTGAGAATCCCCTGAACCCAGGAGGCAGAGGTCACAGTGAGTCAAGGTAGCGCCACTCCACTCCAGCCTGGGTGACAAGAGCAAGACTCCTTCTCATTAAATAAATTTTTAAAAAGATGTGAATGCAGACACATAGCTCCACATCCAGAAGTGACATGAGGATCCAATTTGGTGTCAAAACACCTATGAAATCCTGGAATCCCCTCTGCAGCATCTTCTCAGAGTATATCCAGGGCCAGGGCCCTCACCATGACTCACAGAGGCCCAGGATTTTTTTATAGTTTAATTTTCAGAAATCTTGATAGATATATCTTGCCTTGGTTGAGTTGAAATCTGCTTTCATTTGGTCCTATTTCTACCCTCTGCAAAGGTGAGTAGAACAAGCCATAACCGTCTTCCACGTAACTGCTCTTCCAATGTCTGAAGGTTGCTGCGATGATCACTTCTGCATCTTCCCTCCAAGCTCAACATCTTCAGTTGCTTCAATAGCTCCTCACTTGGCTTTGTTGAAATTCCCCTCACTACCCTTATTGCTGTCCTCTGGACATAGCTATTAAAAGTATTAAGGTGAAGGGTAGCACCTAA
Source organism: Homo sapiens (assembly GCF_000001405.40). NCBI lineage: Eukaryota > Metazoa > Chordata > Mammalia > Primates > Hominidae > Homo > Homo sapiens. The sequence goes on along the minus strand of NC_000002.12, from coordinate 223,238,658 downwards.
CTCAACTGACTGGAGAGAAGCTGGGTCCTAGAAATTTATCTATTTCTTGATCCCTAGAGAGCGATCCTTTCATTGCAGTAAGAGGGACTGAGCAGGGCTAGGATGAAAATAGTAATGGAGGAAAAAAAGTCTACAACATTCTAGTGGTTGATCTTAGGGAAATTACTCAGGCCTTCCTGTATTCGAGGATTGCATTGACATAAGTCATAGCAAGCCCATCTTATACAGCTACCAATAGGGATTTAGAAATAATTAAAAGTGTATCAATTGAAACAAAAAACACTTATGACATGACATTAAAAAGGAATACAAAATTATGGATAATGAATGATAATGATCATATATCTGTGGGTTTCATGCAGAGAAAAAGATTTAAAACAAGCCTTAAAACCCAGATGATGGGTTGATAGGGGCAGCAAACCACCATGGCACATGTATACCTATGTAACAAAGCTGCATGTTCTGCACATGTATCCCTGGACTTAAAGTTAAAACAAACAAACAAACAAACAAACAAACAAACAAACAAACCTTACAGAAGGATTTTAATGCCTTCTATTTTTTCATAATTTTCTAAGTTCTCTAGAGTGACAATGTATTGCTTCCATATAACCTGAGAAATAAAACTTTAAAAATACTTAAATGTGACTGCCTGAATTCTAATTTAACAGGGTTGGCTATAAAACAAAAGTAAATAATTGTGTGTGTGTGTGTGAGAGAGAGAGAGAGAGAGAGAGACAGACAGTGACAGAGACAGAGACCGAGACAGAGACAGACAGATGGTAATTCAAATGTAAGTAAGTAAGTAAGTAAGATTCTTTACTGAGAAAAATGAAGGATATTTAAACAATAGAAGACAATTCACATACACAGGGTCTTAAAAGTTAGTTGGGAAGAATATAAAAAGAGATCTACAATACAACTGAATTCATCTTTTTTTTTTCTTCTTTTTTTTTGAGATGGAGTTTCACTCTTGTTGCCCAGGCTGGAGTGCAATGGTGCAATCTCAGCTCACTGCAACATCCGCCTCCTGGGTTCAAGTGATTCTCCTGCCTCAGCCTCCCAAGTAGCTGGGATTATAGTCATGCGCCACCACACCCAACTAATTTTGTATTTTTAGTAGAGACGAGGTTTCTCCATATTGGTCAGGCTGGTCTCAAACTCCCAACCTCAGGTGATCTGCCCGCCTCGGCCTCCCAAAGTGTTACTATTACAGGCGTGAGCCACTGCACTCGGCTTCAGCTCATGGACAATAAACGCTGGTAAAGAACCTTGAGGAAGGAGAAATAATCTAAGACTGGTGGAATCAGCAAAGGTGGATTGATTAGTTTTTAAAGAACAGATAGGATGTGGTCAGAGAATAAGAAAGGAGAGGAGAATAAAACCGTAAAAGTGGAAATGTATGCGGCAGGTTCAGGGGACAACGGGAAATCAGTTTGGCTGAGCAGTGAGTTTAGGCAAAGAAAAGGAAATAGGATAGTATTTGACAGGAAGGCTTGGGCTAGACCTGTTTATTCAAAGCTAAATGTTTAAATGTTGTCTATAGGGAATCAGATAACCTACAGGATTAGGGAGCCACTAAAGGTTTTTAACCTTGTTTGGTGGGAGAGAAAATGAGACTATCAGAGAGATATTTTGTAAAAGTTAACTTGGATGTATTCCACCCAATAAGGAAAATCAAGAAGGACATTGAAGTTTCTCTAAAACATTTACATGCATAGATGATAATAAGCATGTTTTAATGAAGGACATAGACATGGAAACAAAGAAGTGAATGTGTGGCCGTGTGAAGCGGAATATGTGTGTCCAGAATACTCTGTTGGGGTGTGAAAAACAAGTTCAAGAAGAAACAAATTTAATGAGGCCATGGTTTACAATGGAAATTCCCGTCAGTCACTTGGGGCTGTGGAAACAGATTTAAAGATATAGCTCCCACTTCTAAGTGAGAATATGTGATATTTGGTTGTCTGTTTCTGTGTTAATTTGCTTAGGATAATGGCCTCCAGCTGCATCTTTGTTGCTGCAAAGGAGATGATTTCATTCTTTTTTTATAGCTGCATGGTATTCCATGGTGTATATGTAACACATTTTCTTTATCCAATTTGCCATTGATGGGCACCTAGGTTGATTCCATGTCTTTGCTATAATAAACTGGATTTTAGATGGAAGTGCCCATCAGTCACTTGGGGCCGTGGAAACAGACGTCAACAGAGGTTGGAATTAGGGATGTTGTTTGGGAAGGCAATTACTGAAGCTGCCAAAAAGATAGGTTCAGAGAGCACTGGAGATGGCTTCATGTTCTGTCCATATTTAGAGAGGAGGAGAGACCGATGCTGTGAAGAAATGTGGCAGGGAACAGCTGATGATGGGGAAAAAACCATAACCCAACCAAGTGGAGAAACTGCAAGTGTGAAATATTCTGAGAAAACAGTACTGGAGTTCCTGAGTTGAGTCATTAATATATCACTGGTATTCTTGGCAAAGACAGCTTTAATAGGGGGTGTGGCTATCACCTCTAGAGCAAGAAGGAATGGAAGATGGGGCAGGGAGGAGGGAAGAAAGCAGCTGACATCTCCTCTGAGTCCCAAAGTTATAAAAGTTTTTCATGTCATTGAAGTAAAAGAATTATAGCAAACGTCAGACCCATTACATTTTAATTGGATCATCCTAATTGCTAACAGAAATTTTAAAAGCAAATTAAAAGCTGCATAGAAGAAGAGTGATAAAGTTGAGTCACAAATCAAGAATCCTAGAGAGAGATGGAAAGGTCTTTTACCTTTTCTTTTGGATTGTTTGGTTATTTTTACTCACAGAATATATGAGTTGATTCAAGTGGTGTTCTGTGAACCCACTGTACCCAAATAATTTTTCAATCCATTTAAAATAAAATAATTACTCATAAAAATTCCAAACAACTTCTAAAGAAGCATATAGAAAAAATGCTTGAGTTTTTTCTAATGTATAAACAGTATTAGCAAATGAGTCTCACAGTGCGGTCTGAGCTGCCCTTTCATTCAATAAATAATTACGGAGTGTTTGCTGTAGATCAGCACTAGGGATATAACAACTGAACTAACCAAAGCTCTTGTTCTAAGGAGGTTTACACTCAAGGCTGGAGATGGGGACAGTGGTGAACAGACAATAAACATGCAGCATGTCAGGTCATTATCACTGCTATTAGGAAGATGGAAGTTAAGTGAGGGGGAACAGAGAATGAAAGGGGCTATTTTTGTTTTGTTTTTTTGTTTTTTGTTTGAGATGGAGTCTCGCTCTATCGCCCAGGCTAGAGTGCAGTGGCATGATCCCGGCTCATTGCAACCTCCAACCCACCCCGAGTAGCTGGGACTACAGCCACGTGCCACCACACCCGGCCAATTTTTGTATTTTTAATAGAGATGGGATTTCGCCATGTTGGTCAGGCTGGTCTCACACTCCTGACCTCATGTGATCCACTTGCCTTGGCCTCCCAAAGTGCTGGGATTACAGGCATTAGCCACCATGCCCAGCCTGAAGGGGGCTATTTTTATATATAGGGAAGACAGAGAAAGCCTCCTGTGACATTTGAGTACAGAGATGAAAGTGAGGATGTGGGCAAACCATGCAAAACACTCCAGGCAGAAGCCATGGCAGATGCAAAGGCCCGGAGGTGACAAGAAAAGAGGCCAGTGTAGTGGAAGTACATTGTGTGGGGGAGGGGGGAAAGGTGGGGAGAAGGAGAGGCAGAGAATGAGCTGAGTGTTCATTGGGAGATGAAAGATCACAGGGAAGATGGCAAGGCCTTTGGCTCCAACCCTCACTGAGATAGGCATACATCCCCTAAAGGAGTTTGAGACAAGGAGTGCCTGCCTTAGCTTTAAAAGGATCACCTCAGCTGCTGTATGAAGAATTTACTATACGTAAAGGAGGGACAAGGGTGGAACAAAGAACATCTGCTAGGAGGCCACTGCTGAGATCTGGGCAAAGGCTGGTGGTGCCCTGGGCAGGGTTAGAGTGTTGGTGGTACTAAGAAGTAGTTGGATTTCAGCTACCTTTGGCAGATAAAACCAATAATATTAGCTAATAAACTGGACTTTTTTTAACTTTTAATTTTTATTTTAAATTCAGTGGGTATGTGTGCATGTTTGTTACAAGGGTGTATCGCATGATGCTGAGGTTTGGGCTTCTGTTGATCCCGTCACCCAGAAAGTACCCAACAGAAAATGTTTCAGTCCTTGCTCCCCTCCCTCCCTTCCTCCTTTTGGAGTCCCTAGTATCTATCGCTCCCATCTTTATGTGCGGGCATACTTAAGATTTAGCTTTCACTTAAAAGCGAGAACATATGATATTTGGTTTTCTGTTTCTGTGTTAATTTGCTTAAAATAATAGCCTCCAGCTGCATATGTGTTGCTGGAAAGGACATGATTTCATTCCTTTTTATAGCTGCATGGTTTTCCATTATGTATACGTAGTACATTTTATTTATCCAATTTGCCATTGATGGGCACCTAGGTTGATTCCATGTTTTTGTTGTAATAAACTGGATTTTACATGTAAAACTAAAAAAACAGTTGTGCATGTCTTCAACTTTTTGAAAATGGGGTTGTCACTTATTTGAATTTGGAAGATTATAGTGTAACAGGTTTCAGAAGGGGTGGTGTGTTAGTTTCCTGTGACTGCTGTAACAAATTGCCACAAACCACATGACCTTAAAACATCAGAAATTTATTCTCTCACAGATTTGGAGATCAAAAGTCTTAAATGAAGGTATTGGTGGGGCCATACTCCCTTCAAAGATCCTAGGGGAGCTTCTTCCAGCCTCTGGTGGCTCCTGGTGTTCCTTGGCTTATGGCAGCATAACTCTAATACCTGCTATCATTTGTACATGGTCTTTTCCTTTGCGTCTCTCTGTTTTCAGAGAGTTTCTTATATAAATGCTTGTCATTGGTTTACGGCCCACCCTAATCCAGGATGATCTCATCTTAAAATCTTCACTATAATTATATATTTAAAAGTCCTTATTCCAAATAAGGCCATATTGTGAGGTTCCAGGTGAACATAACATTTAGAAGGACACCATTAAACTCCTACAGGTGGGAAACAGAATTCTACTTTGACACATGATATTTAATTCTTGTATATCCTAGTAAACAATTCAAATATGCCATTGAATTTATGTTTCAAGTTCAAGAGAAAAATCTGCAATGGAAATAATAACTTCGATGTTACCAGTGTATTGTTACATTTCTAATACAATAAAATTTTTACCAAAATATCTGAAACATGACTTAGACTGAAACACAAGTCACAAACCCATTTTCTTAATACCCCAATTTTAAAATATTTTTCTCAAAAGGACCTGAAAAATAGAAAAAAGCAAATTTATAATAAATATGATCATGATATTTGAAAGCCTCTGTACTTGAGGATAGCATTTTATGAAAGTAGAATCTTTGTATCTTTGCTTGGAGACATTAGATTAGGAAAAGAACATTGTAAAATCAGGAATGTCCATACTCTTGTGCCAAGAATTGCATATTACATATCGTAATAAATTCTCTAAGATTCCACGGTCATAAAGTTGTGTTCTAGATTCATATTGCTAGCATTTCATCTCCTGTCACTGGTATCTTAAGGGAAGCAAATTAAAGCTGAAAGAGAATCTCAAATCTTAGCCCTACAGGCACAAAAATTGTCCTACAAGGAATATGTAGGAAGTTGAAAAGCAACATTTTTTTACTTCAATAGGAAAACAGTCAGAGAGTAACAGAGGAAAATCTTATTTATATAAGCAGAAGCAAAATTATTATCAGCTTGAAGTTCAACCTCCTGAATTTTGCAAAAGGTGAAAGTTTTATAATATTATGCAACAAAACTTTAAAAAACATATTCTATGCTGTTATATAAAGCTTAGAATAGCTCCATTTGACCTAACACAGAAATAACTAGTAAACACTTTTCAACCAGTTTTTTTGAGTGTTTTGATTAATCAGTCTGGTTTCCATATTGTTACTGTGGAAATCATCCATGGGATTACATTTCCAAAGTATCTGGATAGTACAAAGTCAGACAACACTAAATCTTGTGCTTAGCATAATTTGACTTTCTTTACAATACTATAAATCCTTTATAAATCTTATAGTTGCTCAAGGGCACCACTGTGATCATCAGTCACTGTTGTTAATAAAATATGGAAGCAGATAGTCATTTATAATTCAGAGGCCAACCCAGTAAAGCTTTCTGCATATTGTGTGAGATATATATCATGATCTCAGAATGAATCCTCTCGGTGAAAGGGTTTTTTTCCTGGAGAAAGGGATTTGGAAAGAAGATAGCTGACTGCTTCCCATGTTTCTTTAGCTTCATTCTGGCTCCAACCCATCCACTTCTGCTGGGGCCAAAAAATGTATATGGGTCAACGGGGAGCAGCTGTATAGCTATTGCAGGGTTCCTTTCTCTGTGGGTTAGGAGTGATCCTGATGGCAGAATTAAAAGAGGTCCCAAGGATCTGACTGCCACGATACTAAAAGAACTTGCCCCTACAAGATCCCGGGACTCTGCAGAGAGGGTGGACATTCACAGTATAAGAGTGCCAGGTCTTCCTATCTCTTTGACAATTGATCTTAACCCCTACTTCCAGTACTGGGAGAGGAAAGGAGAGGAGACTAGGGAACAGAGAAAACAGGATTCTTTTTGCTGTCTCTACAGGAACAGCCTGACTGCCACGCTAGAGACACCTCTCTTCTAATACCAGTTACATTGAGTCTCTTTGGTTGGAACTGAGCTTATATTACCAAATAACAGTCACACATGGGTTTGGCAGCCATCAAGAAGAACAAATAGAATATCTGAACTTGCCCTGATGAAATAGACTTGCTGGAAGAGACAGAAAATAGTTTGAATAACAACATAATAAGAGTACTTGAGGCAAATTAAAATAAGAACAAAGAGATTTCTTGGATTAGCCAAATAAAAAACTTGATATTAGATTTTTTAAATCAGTAAATAAATTGAAAGACATGGCTACTATTAAGACTTGTACTTTCCATTTTAAAAATGAAGTGGAAGAGTAATACAGAGATAGAAATTGTTAAAGAAAATGCAAGAGACCTGACGGAGAGATCCAAAAGACCTGTTATATCAATGACATTCATCTCAGAAGGACAACAGGAAGCAGGTTACATGGTGATTAAACTAACACTAGAAGTATATTCTCTCATCTGAAGGAAGACTGACAATTCCAAATATTTTTTATGAAAAGGTAGATATATCTTTAGTATGCATATTTTATGTCTACTAAAATCAAAATTTATGAAATTCAAAAAAAAAATCTTGGCAGCTTCTAGACAGAAACAACAAAAGTATTTGCCTATAATGAGACTAGCATCAGAATTCTCATCTACAACACTTAAAACCTAATTGATAGTAAAATAGCATCTACAGATCATTGACAGAAAATGACTACAAAATTAATAGATTATTTGTCTAACATGAGAAAAAGATACCAAAGATTGAAGGAATACACAGAATCCAAATACTCAATTTGAGTTCAATTCTTGAAAAAGCATTCTAACCAGCAGTAAATTAACCAAAATAGAGAGATCATGACAGAAAAGATAAGAGGAAGAGAAATTGTACTAATCAAGAATCTCTATAAACAAGAAGGTAATAGATGAGAGACAGAGAAGGTAATAGATGAGAAACAGAGGGAAATGGAGAGAAATAGAGGAAGGATGGGAAGGAGGAAGGAAGGGATGGAGGAAGGAAGGAAGGAAAGAAGGAAGGAAGGAAGGAAGGAAAGAAGGAAGAAAGGAAGATAGATAAACTGTCTTGGAAATTGTAATATAAATGTTAACACTACCAGTAATTATGTGGTAACAAACTTGAAAGGCTAGAGGAAATGTTACATTTCCAATAAAACCAAATAAATGAAAATGTCATTATATATCTGAGCTCAGGTACCCGATGAAACTCTGAGGATATCATCTTTTATTGACTGCTGATAGTGCTTCCACTATAGAAGCAGCATCTACCAGGAAGCCACATGCTATTATCCTCTCTTACTGGTAAGGAGAATTCTACATACATGAGTACAAAGTATTGGCAGCTCTGGGCTTGAGCAAACACCCTCTGACTCCCACAAAAATTAGCCTCCAGGCAAAGCTGCCTTGGTTTCTGATTGTTAAAACACTCTGTGCTTTTGAGTCAGGGACAGAAGGACTGAATGTCTTCATACCTTTCTGCAGGGGAATCACTTTGTCTCTGGTGGCCATAATTTCTTTGTGTAGTTCCATTGGCCTTGAAATTATTGAATAATCCACCCGAGATGCTGCCGATAGATTCGCTAGTAATCTCATTTTTTTGAAACTACTGTGGATTTTCCTCATTTTGTTGTATTATATTGAGAATGTGAGAGCTGTGTCAGGGATTTCTAGGCAAGCACCGCTTTATACTATTTAATGCTGCATAAAAGCACTACATTAATAGCTCAAAACATAGAAAGTCATCTAAATGTTTATAAGCATTCCTATTAAAAAATGATATTTCATCCATTGGCTTAACAGAACAACCCATAATGTCATAGAAAAGTCCAACAAGTTTTGCTATAAACTTTCTCTATAAGTAAAATGGTAAACTATCTTATTTATGAGTAAGATGGTCTTGTGATGTATTTAACTAAGAAGTAAATTGTAAGGATCTATATCCTGCATCCATAATAATGAAAACAATAATGACGAAATTTCTTTACTTTCTGCACACATGAAATAACCCTGGATTTAGGCACAGCTTTCAAGTTTTAAAACAGGAGCTCTGCGACAGAAACCAGCATTCCAGGGCTAGTTCTGGACACACATAACTATTTATGTGAGGCCTGGTGTAGCCTACTTCCACAGAGGCCATCATGCACTCCACACAGACCATGGGTACAGTCCCTAAAACTTGCAGGCAACTGCAAATTCCAGATAGGGTTGCTCAGATAACTCTCTTCTGAGCAACTTTATCTGGAATTCCTTACCTGGGTATTGACTTACATGGCCTGAATGTTGACCATGTCTGCTTCCCTGAAAAAAATACAATTAAAATAAAATTTGACAATCGTAGCACCTCTAATTTTAGTTCTGGGTTGACCTCTAAGGAGGCTATGGCCAATGTTCTTCCACTACAAAATTCCTGAAGTTGAGGCATTGATACTATAGATTTCATCACTGGGTTGGAGAAAATGTACCAGGGCACTAGTTCTGGATATCAGAAGGAAGTCTGGGTCCCCTCCTGATAGTGACCTCAAAAATTCTCTGTGGTGCATAAAAAGCAAAGCCAGGAAGAGCCAACTTCTAGTGAGGATAGTGCAGTATTGTATTCACCAAATTTGAAAGAAAATGTGTAATGTGAAAGTTCAAAGTTTGGTTCTTTGTGTTCAGTCCTCCAAGGTCAGATGCCATACAGCTGCAACTGACTATATTAAGTTAAATTTATAAAAACAATGCATTTTAGCCCATTTGTATTGTTTACAGCACATGAATCTTATCTTATATGGAATTAAAAAAAAAATTTGTGTCCTGCTGTTGAAATATATAGACAAAATAGATTTTATCTTTTTCTATAATGTAATTTAAAGCATATTAACCTTGACCTAGCTAAATGATTTTTTAATCTTATTGTATTGAAGCACAAAAAAGGATTAAATGAGTGAATCATTTTGCTTGAGTGAACACTGCTCTAATTTTTGAGGGAGGGTTTTCTTCTTTCTGTACTGTATTATCATAAAGAGAGACTTTTTTCAAGATAAACAGGGTTTCATAAGCTTTCCTTCAATGAGAAAAAAAGGCTTTCAAAACACCTTTGGAAAATAATGTCACAGAGATTAAACCACAGGTTTCAAGAAAAGAAATCTTTACTAATTCCTTGAACAAGGAGAAAATGTAGGTTTTTAAAAAAAATCTAAAAACTACCCTGTGAATCTATACTGAGAATTAGGACTAGTGATACTGGCCAAGTGCATTCTTCAGCACAGCTGGTGTTTCCACACCTGATTTTGAAAGGACAACCATTCCAGATTCACTCTGTCCTTTCTCTTGTCACCTAAGGGAGATATACCCTAGACAAATAGAAGATTCCAAAGTTCCATTCTTGGTCAGTGTAGATAGGTTGATGGCCATGGTAGGCTTCTGCATCTCTAGGGAGGCATGCCATGACACAATGAGCACTAAAGCCACGGAATTCTGGGTGGGAATCCCTAGCCTCCTGGGGTCAGGTCACAACCAAGAAAGTCCAGACCAACTCCCCAGTGTGCTTTTAGAATGAATACTCACCATCAAAATTCTCACTTTGCAAATTAACACAGGAATAGAAAACCAAATGTGGCATATGTTCTCACTTATAAGAGGGAGCTAAGCATTGCGTACGCGTGGGTATAAAGATGAGAACAATAGACACTGGGGACTACTAGAGTGGGGGAAGAGGGAGTGGGGGAAGGGCTGAAAAACTACCTATTGAGCACTTCACTCACTACTTGGGTGGCAGAATCATTCATACCTCAAACCTCAGTATTACACAGTATACCCAGGTAACAAACCTGTACATGTACCCTGAAATCTAAAATAAAAGTTGAAATTATGAAAAAAAGTCCTGCTTTTGTTTTAACTTAAAAAAAATCAGAACATTTAAATCTGTTCATTGCAGAAGATTCGAAGGATACTTAAAAGCACAAAGAAGAAAATGTATATGACTTATAATCTTATTTTCCAGAGATATTGGTGATATACACCTCTAGTATTTTTATGCAGGTATCTATAGTTCTATAAACCAATTTGTGATCACACTGCAAATACTATCCCGTAGCCTTGTTCTTCTCATTTACCAACAAATCTTAAACACTCTTCCATATCATTAGTTTTCCAACAGCACACCATTTCTAGGTCCCATAGAGAACAATTTTTGACTATGCTACCATTTGCGTAAGGAACTCCCTATTTTGCTATTATAAATAATGCTAAAATGAACATCCTCATAGATACATTTCATAGCAAACTTATGATAATGCTTTGTCTGTGATTTGGCAAAACCATTTCCTCTTCAGCTCCTTTATATGGTCCTCTCATCTTACATTCCTCAGTTTCTTTGATGTTCATGGCATCATATTTTACTGGATGTTAGTCAGGATTCTTTGTTGTAAGCAGATGAAGTACATTATAGTAACTTATGCCAAAAGTGAATTTATTGGCAGCTTACAGAATCTCCAGGAAGCCTGGAGAGCTCACTGGAGGAACGGCTCTGTCCCAGTGAACTCCCTGCTGTTTCCACACACAATTGCACACAGAACCTGCAGCTTCTATCCCCAGCCTCCCTGAGACTGGATTTTTTTTTTTTTTTTTTGAGATAAAGTCATGTTCTGTCACCAGGCTGGAGTGCAGTGGCACGATCTCTGCTCACTGCAACCTCCGCCTCCCGGGTTCAAGCGATCCTCCTGCCTCAGATTCCCAAGTAGCTGGGACTACAGGCGTGTACCACCGCACCCAACTAATTTTTGTATTTTTAGTAGAGACAGGGTTTCACCATGTTGGCCAGGATGGTCTCAATCTCTTGACCTCGTAATCCGCCCACCTCAGCCTCCCAGAGTGCTGGGATTACAGGCATGAGCCACCGCGCCTGGCCCCTGGGACTGGATTCTAAATACTGGTACTGTCGCCACCATTGCCACTAGAAACTAGAAGGAGCTGCTGTCATCACCATTTCTGGAATGCATGCAATATCTCTATGCTTCTTCATTTTGCCAACTTAGAATCATTATCAGAGCACAGGCTATAGGTGCGTGGTCCAGCTTCTAGGAACGGGGAGCAGCAAGTATCTTGGAGATGGACTTCACCTCCCAAGGTGGAAGAACACCCAAGATAACAGGGGCTTACTTCCTCGGAAGCCATCACTTTTCCTGGTTACTGTCCTCAGGACCCCAACCATGGCTTCTCATCAATTGACTAAGTTAATATTTTACATTCATCTTTCTTTTCAGTTCTTCTCCCATTACTACTTTTGGTATTACCAACATCCACATAAATGTAACATCTTGATCTCTAGGTTTCTTGGTCTTCTAACTTCCAAAGATCTATTATTTGATCTCATCTCAGCCACCATCTTTGTAGTCATCCTTTTGATCTTGTTATCACTATCTGCATCACCTCTGAAGTCTTAACTTCAAGCATTCCCCTCTGTGACCACTGTTTCCTGACCTCAGCTGCTCTAGCACAACCACTTGAGCAGTTCTTCAGCCACTATAGCACTTTGACTCACTCATTCTGTCACCATGTCATGTATTGGCTACCTGTTACTGCATAACATATTACACCAAAACATAATAGCTTAAAACAATGAACATTTTTTTGTGTGTGTGGTTTCTGTAGGTAAAAAATCTGGGCACGACTAAACTGGGTCCTCCAGCTTTGGGTCTTTTTCAAGGCTTCAATGATGATGCTGGCCATAGCAGTGGTCTTATCTAAAGGCTTGATGGAAGAAGAATCTGCTTTCTGTTGTTGACAAGATTCAGTTCCTTGCAGTTTGCTGGACTGAGGACTTCAGTTTTTCACTGGCTGTTGTTCAGAGGCTACTCTCAGTTCCTGGTCATGTGGGCCTCCCAATGCACAGCTCACAACATGAGTGCTTCCTTATCAGAGTGAGCAAATGAGATGAGAGGGTGTTACCAAGACCAAAGTCACAGTCTTTTGTAACATTCTCAAAAATGGCAGCCAATTATCGTTAGCATATTTTATTCACTAGAAGCAAGTCACTAGGTCCAGCCCACGCACAAGGTGAGAGAATTGCTTGAATGTGAATACCCACAAGCGAGGCTAATTAGGAGCCATTTTAAAAGCTGCTTACTACATACCATCATCAGCCCACAGTTTTGCGGCCCACACAGCTGAAATTGCACCTGTCCATCATTCTAATCATTGTCTTGAAAACACTCTACCTCCCTGCCCCTCCTCCCACCACTGCCATGCCAAACAAAGCTCCAATCTTGTTTAAACCCAACTATATGCTTGTGGTGCATCCAAGCAGCTGACTATTGGTGAGAAAAATATACAACAGTGCTGTCTGGTCTCTCTTACAATTTATGATAATAAATTTCAAAAAAGCAATCAACACAGCATAGCAATCCTACTGTACTTCCTTAATTTATTTGCTTTCCCACTGCCTCAAACTGTTTCACACATTCTCCAACAATCTGCTCCCCATCTGACCATCTCACTCACAGCCAATAGCCTTGCCTTGTACTTTACCGAAAGAAAAAATCAATGCCTCCATCTTCTCCTCAGCAAAGCCCCTCGCCTCACATCTTTTCTCATAATCTCGCCTCCTGTTACATTGGATAAAATCTTCCTACTCCTAACCATGACCTACACTTCCAGCAATACTCTGGAGCTCATCATCTTTCTACATCTTCTCAAAGACTTCCCTTCTGCAATTACCCCTTCTCTTTCTTGTGTTATTGACAGCTGCCTCTCTACTGAGTCATTCCCATCAACATAAAAAATGGCCAACTAACTTTGAAAAATAAAACCTCCCTTTATCCCATATATCCATCTAGCTAAAATAAAACTTCTTGAAATATTTGTCTCTATTATTCCAGTTCTTCCTTCCTTCCTTTCTTCCTTCCTTCCCTCCCTCCCTGCCACTCTGCCTCCCTTCCTCCCTCCCTTCCTTTCTTCCCTCATTCCCTCATTTGAATAAAGTTTGCCCTCTGTACCTACCTGAGGGAATGCTCTTGTCGAAGTCCCCATTGATCTTCATTTTGCTTAATCCAATATCAGTTACTACTTCTTACCTTAATTTCCAATGTCTTGGCACAGCTGAATGCTCCATTCTTCTTGAAACACTTTCTTCTCTTGGTTTTGAATTAACATATTCTTCCTGTCACACTATTTGTTCCTCCTTGTTCTCCTTTGCTAGCAATTCTACCTCTCTTTAACTACTAAATTTTGGAGTCATCCACAGATGACTGGCCACTCTGCTGGCCACTCCCCTCTTTCTTATCTATGTACTCAGCAACATTTGTCACAGACTTTAGATAACATTTATATAAAAATGACTTCTAATTTCTATCTCCAGGCCTGATTTCTTCCTGGAATTCTTGACTTTCATATATAATTGTCTCTTCAATATCTAAAATATATGTCTAATAGGCATCACAAATGTAATAAGACCAAAACAAAATTCGTAATGCCCTTCTCCTGCCACTGCAACCCATTCTTCCTCTAAAGTTGCCAACATAAAACAGCTCAAAGTAAGTATTTAGGTGTTATCCTAAATTTATTTAGTTTCATGTCAAGTCTATCAATGTGTCTTATCTATTCAGCTGCAAAACATATCCTGTATCCATCATCTCTCTATTTTTATTGCCACTGTGCTAGGGCAGGCCATCATCACCTCTGTATTGGACAACTGTACCAGATTTCTAATTGGTGTCTCTACTTCCTCTTTTGCTCCCTCTACAATCTATTCTTTATGCCAAACCAAAACAATCTTTTAAAAGTAAAAGTCAGATAATGTCACTACCATGCTTAAAAATTATATAATATATATATTACGCACATGCATAAACATCTACAGATATTAAGGTATACAACTTGATGAGATTGAACAACTGCTGACCCTGGCTTATAAAGTCCTACACAGCCAGCTTCTACCCTCCTCACCATCCTCTCAAAAAACTCTTCTCTTTGTCCACCACACGTTGATCACCCCTGTTCCTGCTTTTGGGCCTTTTTACCAGTTGCTTCCTCTTCCTGAAATGCTACTTCCAAATCTGTACAGGGTTGGTGCACTTTAGCTTTAAGCTGATGTATTTTGGATGCTATGTCATTCGAAAAGATTCCCTGACATATTCAGGGTCTGAAGTCTAAAGTAAGCTCTTATAAGTCTCTTCCAACTATACTATTTACATTTCCGCACAGTACACATCACTCTATGATAGTGTTGGTTTGTTGTCTATCTGTCTCCCTTCCTGTAGAATATGAGCCTCAGTGGAAGAGGCTCTTGTCCATCTCACTTACCACCATGTCCCCAGTGCCCAGAATGGTATCTGCCATGGAAGCGTTCAATAGATATCTGGTGAACAAAGGACTCGCTTTCTCAAGAAACTATTTCAAGAAGTAGAATGACAAGGTCAAAGGATGCAAATAATGCCCATTCAGAAATTTTTATTTCAGAGACTACAGTCCTTTCAGCATCCCAGAATTTTGCCTGAACTTCCAACTGGAGTGTTAGGCAATGCAAGGAAGGAAGATTGATGATGTATATCAATGGCACACAAAGCACCACCACAGCACGCTGTCACCAGAGGCACATGTGCTTTCACTTTTCATCCTTAAACCTGACCCTTGTCTAAAAGATTGATGAGACCCCCAAGCACTTGCTGTAAAATGTCTAGGGAAGAATCCTTCCAGCTTGCTGGTTAACATCCTTTTCCATGGCCATTTATTTTCTGAATTAAACCCAAAGTTTTGCTCCTTTGTAGGCTCAGAACATGAAAGTAAGTGTAAGAACCTAGATGTATTCTCACCTGGAAAAAAAAATGTTGAAAGAAAGGGAGACTTCTAAAACAATCATTCTTTCATTCATTCAACTAACATTTTGAGAACCTAGTTTGTGTCAGGCACTGGTCTAAAACTTGGCAGTGAAGTAAGCAAAGTCAATGGCTCTGATATTGTTTACATGATTATGAACATGGTTTACATGATTATAAAGGCTTTTGTTTTATTTCCTGAGGACAAGGATAGTTCTCATGCCCCATTGTATTCTGTACAACACAGCCTCATGTCATAGAGGATTGGTATTTACTATATTGCACTGAATTGTTAGATACATGTTTTTAAAATATAGAAATATATCTCTGAGAATTGGTAATGTCTTACAAATACAGATTATGTGGCTTTTTTTTCTTATTGGTATATAAAATAAACAGTGCATCTTACAACCAACGGTGTCTTAGATTTAATGAAATGCTGTAATAATGTAGAGTTACTCAGCATTTTAAAAGTCCTGGCATCCCAAATGTTGACAGAGTGAGTAAGTGTTACCCTTGGGATAAGGGGCAGGAAAGTGGGCAGATGAATCCTCTCTTGGTATGATTAGTGTTGCTCTCTGCACCTGAATGTAAACATAAAGTTTCCTGGCTCCTCCAACTTTCTTCTGAGAAACAACACATCCATGTGAGTCCATCCCTCGATCCATGATCTTTGCATGTTTTTTAACTTTATTGTGACTTATGTGGCAACTACTTCATAGAGTTATACTTATTTAACATTTGTAAACTAAAAATAAAACCCTAGCTCCCCCCACCGCTACCCCTACCCCTACCCCTACCCCCAACGAACTGAACAGACCCCTTCTTGGCTAAGGGCACTCCAGAGAAACCTTAAAAATCTGTTTGCAGACATGACAGGGTGGGAGGTCAGACATACCACATTATCCCCCCTCCCTTTATGTTTAGACCAGGGGTGTATAACCTTTTGGCTTCCCTGGGCCACATGGGAATAAGAACTGTCTTGGACCACACATAAAATATGCTAACACTAACAACAGCTGATGAGCTAAAAAAAAAAACACACACACACACACACAACAAACAAACAAAACAAACAAACAAACAAAAAAACAAACTCATAATGTTCTAAGAAAGTTTATGAATTTGTGTTGGGCCACATTCAATGCCGCCCTGGGCTGCATGTAGCCTGAAGGCTGCAGGTTCAACAAGTTTTAAACACATCTGACCAGTGTTAATGTTAAAATAGAGATCATAAGACTGTCAGAACAGACTCTTTGTGGCAAAAAGATACCAAATTATAAACAGGACCTAAAGCCATGCCAGGTAAAAGATAAGCCACACACCCCTATGGTTAAAGAATAAACTATGTTCTAAGTGCCACAAGGATTTTCTTTTTCTCTAGCAGCTAAACAAACACTGACCTCAAGATAAGCAATATTAAAACAATTATCATCCACCACTAGACATATTAACTAGCCCTCTGTTTCACAAACCATAACTGCAGCTTTGATTGGACTAAAGACTGATTTCAGTAATTTTTTACTGATAACAAGATGGCTGACCATGGACTGGTCCTAGCCAGTTTACAGAGGGTGTGCACTGAGTGCTTTCATGTCTCAAAAAGACTTTTTGACTTATGGTGCCTAATTGTAATACATGTAAATATTAATTGTCCACCCCAACTTGAGCATGGGTCATATGTAACATGCAAGTTTGTTAAATAGGCATGCATCAGGACCCCCTTCATGAATATTCGTGGCCCTTCCTGTGACCTCTTGAATATGTACATTTAGTCAACCTGGTCAGCATAAAGCTCCTATTCCAACCTCTCCTCCTTTGAAATGCCTTTCTCTAGTCTTTGCGGGAGGCTGCGCTTCCCGGCCTGTGGGATGGTCACCTTGCAAGCTGTAACCCTTTTTAAGAAATAAAGTCTCCTTTTTTAAATTTATAGATCTTGTGATTCTTAAGTTAACACATTAAATGAAATAAACCATGCAAAGTACTTAGAGCAGTGCCTGGCAGAGGAAACTGTCAATAATGATTTTTCCATCCCCCGTTGTTTTCTGGAGCAGATCAAGTTCTGCCCTCACCTTTTCCACCTCCCCTTTTGGAAATAGAAGATATACTAAAAGGAATCATCTCTTCTGCACCATGTAGTAGGAAGGCTGGGCTTCAAATTCAGAGAAACTGAATCCAAATCCTAGTAGTGCAGGATTTCTTGTCCTCAGCAATATTGATGTTTGAGGCCAGATAATTCTATATTGTCAGGGGCTGTCTTGCCATGGCAGGATTTTTAGCAGTATCCCTGGCCTCTACCCACTAGATGCCAGTAGCCCATGCCTTACATGTTGTGAAAATCAAACGTGTCTCCAGACATTGCCAAATGTTTGCAAATTTGCCCTCCACCCCACATTGGCAACTGCTGTTTTACTGTATGCCAGTTGGCCACATTGGGCATTTCCTCATGTTTAAAATGAGAATAGCAATGCTACATCCAACAGTTCTGGGGATGAGCTACTGTGCAGGGAAATCAATTTCTGGGCTCGAAGGCCACTATAAACCTAATGAGGATTGTGTTTCCATGTTCTGACTACAGGTATAGTTTTAATGTGTACTTCCGAAGGTCAGTTAGTGCTCCCATAAAGCTGAAATGAAGCATGGCTAAAAAGAATTATCCCATGGCAAACAGCTGGGAACAAGCTGTCATTAACAGAGTGTTTTCACTCTGTTTTCAAGCAGATATCAAAGCAAACACCTTCCTAAGGCCAGGCTCAGAGTCACACCAGCACAGGATCATGTTGAGGGCAGATCATAAAATCTGCAAGCCCTAAATATGCCACCTCCAGGTTACAAATTGGTAGTACTGAAGAAAAATTATAGAACGGTAATCTCAGACGTATTTGTCTCTTTCTGTGCATTTTTTTTTAAGTACAAAAAGATGTGCGTAGAACTGATTTGAGCAAAATGTTGGCCATCAGCCTTCTCCCACTTCCCCTCTTGCAGTACTCCTCTCCCCACTACGATGCCTCTGCTCTGTCTCCGGATCCCAGTGTCCCTGCCCACCCTGAACCACAGTCCCCTTTCCCTCCGTGCCTCGCCACAGTGCCTCCTTGTGATAACTCTATTACCTCAACTTCCTACCTCAAAAGGATCTGATCAGAGCTCAGTGAGTTGCAGCCCTTATTCTCCAGCAGTACATTCCTTTTAAAAGCACAACTTATTTAACCAACAGGAAAGAGATGGTCATATATCATTTGTTCCAGGGTGGAAAGGGCAATAACTGAAAATCAAAAGATCTGATTTTACCAATACTTCCTTATGATTTTCATGTGTGAAATGTTGAAGAAGTAGAGACACTCTGCAAATGTGCTTCTAGCTCGTTATCTCAGAAGGAGACTTGTGCTTCCTCCTGAAAGTATTAGGCCATCGCCTAAGATAAGATTAACTTTATCTCTAAATTTTCACACACATCATATGCAGATTCATTTTTAAATAATATTTCTTTTATTAACAACCTATTAATTCCATAAGATAATAAAGGAGCAACTCACCAGACCAGGCTTACAAGAAATTAGGGTAGAAGAAGACAGATAGTTGCCTACCAAATGGTATGAAATGAGGAGGTGCAGAAGGAAGGCTTCTCATCCCAAATGAAAATATTCTTCCTTCTCACACATCTATCAGAGGCTAGAATTCCCCCCATTAAAATGTGTTGTCCTAACAAAGGCAATAACATATTTTATCCATTCTACAATACTTTTCATAATTTCTCATTTCTAAAATCTAAATGTATTTTGCAATCAATGTTGATGTCTACATTTAATGTAGTAGTATTCCGCCACCCTCTACTGCCAACAAAAAGCTGTAAAATCAGTGACATATCTTACAATTAATGGCATGTTAATATCAAGGGGATGAGAAATTTAAAGCTGCTTGGAAATTAGTTTAACAGAGAGCATAGGGTCGAACCATACCTTCAAGGCAGGGTCACAGGGGCAGAAGCTGGGGAAGGGAGGAATGTTTGGATCATTGTGGGGAAGATAGCAGAGCCACATCACAATTTACCTGATGCCACAGTTAAAACTTACTCTGAATGTTTCTTAAAGTCTATGTCTCTCATTGGCATACAGATGAAGTTTGGACTTTTGGCCCATTTTATTGACATGATGTATAACAGCTAAATGCTATGAGATTTGTTTTCCAATGTATGAGATATGAATGCCAATCAGGGAAGGGAAGGGAAGGGAAGGGAAGGGAAGGGAAGGGAAGGGAGAGAAGAGAAAGCAACGAAAAAGAAAAAGGGCAGAGACTTGACTGACACTACCCAGAGTATCTGTAAAACTGGTAGTAAAACCAGCTGCTTCCCGATGTGGGAGTCTCTTTCTTGAACCTTATGTCCCAACTTCCAATAATTCTGTTATTCTTAGGTGGATTGCTAATGCAGTTTTCTCCACCTTTTGGAGTCTGGAGCCCCTATAGAGTTCCCTTTACCTCTGTTGCCAAGACTTGAGCTCAGATTGCATTTCTAACCTGGGGTCCATGGAGGAGTTTCCAGAAGGTTTGTGAACTAGAGAACACTCATTAGTAATGTTTCTTTGATTTTCTTTCTATTGCTCTGGAAACTATTTTCGTAAGTAAGAGAGTTGAATGCTACTTTTTGCAATTATATTACTATTTTCTATCGAAGAAGTACAATGTGAGACATGATGTTATACAATGAAGAAATGTATAGCTGCCATTATTTTCATGTAATACTGTTCATCAGGGTAGGAATTTTAAAAAACTCATCATTTTAATTATGGCATGAGTCTTTGTTTGCCTTGATCTTTTTAGGCTGGAAAATGTCAAAGAAAAGGGAATACTACAAAGCTATGCATATTAAGGTTTTACTTTCATTCTGAAATGTCATGAGTGTATCCTCTTTCTGGAAAAGGTCTCTTACCTTTCTGCAAAGTATAAAACCAGCAAAGCCAAAGGAATGTTATGTTACCCAACCTGGAAATACATCCAATAGTGTGGCTTCTTCTCAGGGGCAGGTTAAATTGCAAAAGTCTACAATTTCAGCAAAATTTGGATATGTCCCAATATAAATGCTTTGTATTTTCAGGATGGAAGAAGGGCCCAACTCTTCTGTCTGGGCAGCTATTCTGGGAGTTTGGAGAGGACAAACTTTCTAATGAAGGAGGAGAGCCTGTACAGGCTAAAGTCAAAGGGATAAAGTGCCAGAAACCCCAAAGGATTCTGAAGGTCCTTCAGTTCAGACTTCCATAAATGTGAAATAAAGATTCGTAATCCTTTCCCAGCTAACATAAATTCAAGAAGAAAGGCTTTCCAGAAATAATCTCATAGACTTCTGGAAAAAGGAATCCCTTTACTTATTTATTCAAATGTTTACTTAGTATTTGCCATGTGCTGGGTACCATTCTAGGTACTGGGGATATAGCACTGAACAAAATAGGATTCCTGCTTTATGAACTTGTATTCTACTATGTGATGAAGAATCTTTGAAATTTTGTTGTTCCCTTCCTTAATCTCTCCTGACAAAGCAAGCTATGGGGCTCCAATTACCTTTGCTACTAAAGGTTTTCATGAGTCACAATTTTCAGGACATGTTGCCAAAAGAAACAAAGTTGAGACTGATGTCATGTCAAAGATAACACATCAAAGATTACTTTATGATTTTATCTTATTATCAATAAAATGATAATGCCATCTATTTATTTCTGAACAAGATTAACATTTATATTTCTGAATAGATAATTTGGATTAGCTTCCCTATTTTTCATGAACTAGACATTAATTTGTACAAAAAAAGAAATATATTATGGTAAAGATGTTTTAAATATTCTATGTGAAGACAATCAAGTTTCAATTCAATGAAATAAACTTTATGCAAAACAGTATGTGTGTGTACATATTTGCATTTTCCTAAGGAGGGAACCCATAGATTCCATTACAACCTTAAATGTATCTGTGAGTCCAAAGGGGAATGAGGGAAGATAGTTAAGAAACTGTGCCCTAGGAATCCCCCTATCTTGCAAGGTGTAGCAGCTTCTAGTGAAGCTACTCATCACACTTTTTTCATCTGTCACATTCAATAGGAGGCGCACAGTCTACGGTTGTGGAGTAACTAACTTAGGGTAGGTTAAACTATCAGCATGACGTGAGCGCCTATTTTTCCAGGAAATTATGGCTTTTGTAATGAGTGATACGGGAAACTAGCAAGACACATCAGCAATGATCTCCACTCTCATAGGATTTCTAGTATAGGTCAAAAGACTGGACCTAATCATAAAAAGGAAATGTAAGAAATGCCATATAGCAATTTCTTAAAATATGAGTGGCACATGGATATAATGCCATGGAACATTTAAACTCAATAATGAGAAAGACATCCTTTTTCAATTCTCCTCAACCTCTGTATACGACAAGAGTCTCAGTTTGGGGCTAATATGTCCTTAAGACCCCTCTCCCTTACTAATCTCCTTTTTTACAGGAAGCAGATCTCAGACTCAGAGATTTCCAAGCTAAGAGTCTTCAGCTGGAATTATTTTTAAGATCTCATCACATTTCACTTGCATTTTTACATTTATATGAAGTGTAATATGCATAACTTGAACTAATCCTAAACTCACAGCTTGATACATTTTTATATACATATGGATGGATTTATGTAACCATTGACAGATTAAGATACAGAATGTATCTATCATCCAGAGAGTTCTTTTGTGCCCTTTTCCAATCAATACCCCTCTCTAGTTGTAACTAGTATCCTGACTTCCATTTCCATAGATTAGATTTTCCCATTCTTGACTTTTACAGAAATTGAATCATATAGTTCATATCCTTGCCTCTTTTATCTATCATGTCTTTGATATTCAGTGCAGTTGGATGTTATAATAGTTTGTTCTTTTTTTGTTGCTGGGTAGTATTTCATTGTGCAGGTACACCACAACTTATCTATTGTACTAGTGTGGACATTGGAGTTGTTTCCAGTTTGGGGCTATTATAAATAAGGCTGCCATAAACATTGTTTTCTTTTCACTAGAATTTAAGAACAACGTTTTTCTTTCATTGCATTCATTATGATTGCTTCTTATTTAAGGCAAGTAATTCTGGTTATCTGTTTCGGGTGCATTCAGGGTAGCATGGCTGTAGACTGGTTATCTATTTCAAATAGCAATAAAATAGTTCATTTTAAACTTAATTGATTTAAAAAAACAAAATTTCTAGAACATTGTAAATAAATAATTGTACATTAAGGAATATATTTGTTCAATTTCATGAATGCAGCAGCCAAAAGACCAGGGAACTGTTCTAAGACAGCTTGGGAAATTTTTCTAAGACAACAATAATTGGTTAGTTAGAAACCGAAAGATTTTGAAAGTAAATGCTGTGGGAATTTAGCAAACAAGTGGGTTCCAAGGGGTTGGAATAAATGCAAAGCCTTTGGAGTTCACTAAAGTGTGAATACTTTGAGGGAGGGAACGACATCCTATTCACATTGATATGCACATCACTCTGAAGAAAGTACCCAGTCCCAAAGACAGTCTTCATTAAAACTTGTTTCATATGAACAAGCTATATAGCTCTCCGTACCTCAGGAACAGTGCAAGATAGCCAGGAAGACACAGAGAGTACCCCAATCAGGGGAACAAGGCAGAGACAGCAAGTAATGTTCACAGAATATTAAGCAGAGCAAATGGACTCCAGAAGATCCTTATAGGGTAGCAGCAAGGGATAGAAGTGAGAAGGGAGGGGCGGGTCTGGGGAGGCAGGAGGTTGAGTTGCAGAATCCACCTCCGTGGGATTTAGCCAGACAGTTAATTTTGTAGACTACACACTTGAATGTTTTCCTCACTATGGGAACTTGAAAAACATAAGGTAGCTTATCAGTGAAAAGCAGCTTAAGAAAACTTCTAAAATTTCCATGGTGTGTGGGGGCCTAGTTTGCTCATCACTCTCTTCTTTTTCAGAAGGGTTTTCTGCAAAGTCCCAGAAGTTGATTACCCTTTGCATTCTGTTCTTCACGAGCAGGAATGTTTTCAAAATAAAGCACAAACTGCTGCTGTCTGAGCCGCCTGAGTTACATGTTCCAGAAACTTTGCTTCCAGACAAGAAATTTAGTCTTTGCTTTTTTTTTTTTTTTTTTTTTGTTCAGCAGAATGTGCCCATGCACATCTCATATTTCATCCAAATGGGAAAGTTTGCCATGAAGAGTTCTCCATAACACAGCTGACATTGGTTTAGATGGGACTAATTAAGTTTAAAGCTGGTCAGAGGTATAAGAAGCTATGGAGCATGAAATATCTTTTCATCAAAAATGTATTTTAAAAAGCAGAGAAGCTACAAAATTCTGCATCTCTCATTAGGAGTGTGCTTTATGATGCAAGCAGAAATCTTAAGCTCGCCTCACGGCAACAATTATTCTTGTGGGCCTTAAGAGTTATAATCAGCTTTGTCATCTTTGTGAAGCATAAACTTGAAAATATAACAAATAATTGCAGCTCATAAACCCTGTAATCTGATAGGAAACCATCTCATAAGCGCATCAGTGTTTAGGAGAAGCTCAGTCTAATACTGGCTCAGGGTCTCATCAGAGCAAAGTGTTGACTCATATGCAATGAACATGCCATGACCCAGAGCTACCATGGGTATTGCTACAAAGGCAGTACCTGTGGAGTTTCTATTTAGGAATTGCTGGGCTTCTCCTACTCTAAATTATATGAACCAAGGTAAAATATTTCATTTATACACAACCATCATTACACAGGTAAGGAAACTGAGGTGAGGGAGGTGCTTCAAAGGTTCTTCCAGCTTTAACATTTCAGCTTGTAGTCCTGCTTGTGTATTGAGAAAGTGGGCATCTCAAAGGAAGCTCCTTTAACTCAGTAAATATAAGTCGTTCAGAGATACATTTCTGAGTAATGTGATGGTTAGTTTTATGTGTCAACTTGACAGGGCTAAGGGACACCCAGATAGCTTATTATTTCTCGGTGTGTCTGTGAGGGTGTTTCTGGAAGAGATCAGTGTTTGAATTGGTGAACTGAGTAAAGCAGATGGCCCTCTTCAACGTGAGTGAACATCATCCAATCCATTGGACCCAGAAGGATCCAAATAGAACAGAAAGGCAGAAGATGGATGAATTTACTCTCTCTTCTTGAGCTGTAACACCCATTTGCTCTTGCCCTCAGATGTCGACATTCTGGTTCTCAAGTCTTCAGACTTGAACTTAATTATACCACCAGCCTTCCTAGTTCTTCGGCTTGCAGAGGGCAGATTGTGTGATTTCTCAGTCTCATAATTGCATGAGCCTATTTCTATAACATACATTATGTCCTTAATATATATTATTACATATTATATTAATTTATCATATTATATAATATATATTCATAAAAATATATATTAGTATTTCATAATAGTATTCCATATATATGCTATTGGTTCTGTTTCTCTGGAGAACCCTAATATACAAGTAATAATAATTATTATCATTATTTCATGTTTCACATGAAATGACGACGTTTCTGACACACCATTTGCAGGGCACGCATTTTGAGCTGATTTTTCAAACAGTACATGAAAGGTTGGCATAGGTCTAGTCTTACTGTTTGTTGCCATTTACATGTGACCATCACAAATGCAAAGAGGTTAAAAAAATGATTCTGTGATTAAAAAACAAGTTTGAGACAGCTTGCCTATTAATATCCCCCCCATTTCTTCAACCAGATTTTCCTCTCTTTTGCCACAGCCTTTGCCCCATCCAAAACCTCAACTAGCATTATTATTGTCCTGTCAAATTTTGAAAGTGCTGCTTTGCACTGTATTAAAAAAAAAAAAAAAAAAAAAAAAAGAGGAGAGGTCAAAACCTGTTGGAAAAGCCCGTTTTTCATACCAAATAATTTGTTTTGGTGCATAGTAGATTCCTAGTCTTTTCGTAAGTATCAGACAAGAAAAAACAGATTTAAATAAGGTAAAAACATAAAATTTTGGGGAAATTTTCAGATTGATTTACATAGCCAAAGGTAGTTTGAATTATCTCTAGAATTGTTAAATAACTAAATGAGGAAATCACATACACACACACACAAATGCAAATGGCTGATAAATACACAAAACTATATTCTGCCTCATCAATAATCTAAGCAGTACAAATTTAAACAAAAATGAGACACAATTACTTATTCTATCAGATTGGCCAAGATTTAAAAGAATCTAAGGACAAATGACTAAAGGGAGTGTAAATTGATATCACTATCATGATGGGCAATTGGGTATATGCATAAATGCCTCCAAACATGCATATTTTATTTGACCTAGACATCCTACTTCTTAGGATGTATCCTAATGAATTAATCTGACAAATGCACAAAGACGTATGTGCAAGTTGTTTATTGTAGTGCAATTTATAATATTAAAAATTGAAAATTTGGTTAAATTTTGTTATAATTGGTGAACCTACACTGACACATCATTATCATCCATTATACTATAATGGAAGATGCATGGCTTTACACATTTGTCTAAACCCATAGATGTACAACACCAAAAATGAATCCTAATGTAAACTAAAACAATTTGTTAATTTGTTAATTTTATGGACACTACAACATTCATTAGGAACTGTTAGCACTTCATGGCACGTTTTCTGTTCCTTGCATGGGGGAAGGGAATATAACATTATAATATGCTTTTTTGACAGAATAAGAGAGTTTATTGAAAAATAGTAGAACTCTTCTCTTTTTTTTTGTTGGTACATAATAATTGAACATATTTATGTGGTACATATGATATTTTGGTACATGTATACAACACGTAATGATCAAATCAGGATATTTAAGATATCCATAAACTCAAATATCTATTATTTCTTTGTGTTGGGAACATTTCAAATCTTCTAGCTATTTTGAAATATATAATAAATTATTGTTAACTATAGTCACCCTACTGTGCTATCAAACAGTAGAACTTGCCGTTTCTATCTAACTGTATGTTTGTGTCCGTTAATCGACTTCTTTTCACCTCATTCTCCACCTTTCCTGGTCTCAGGTAACTATCATTCTAATCTCCAAAACATCCATAAGAACCATAAGATCAACTTTTTTAGCTCCCACAGTGTTAGAATGTGCAGTGTTTTTCTTTCTGTGCATGGCTTATTTTACTTAACATAATGTCCTTTAGTTCCATCTATGTTGCTACAAATGACAGGATTTCATTATTTTCTATGGCTGAATAGTATTCCATTGTGTATACCACCACATTTTCTTTATGCATTCATTTGTTGATGGGGATTTAGGTTGAATCCATGTCTTGACTATTGTGAATAATGCTGCAATGAACATGGGGGTGCAGGTATCTCTTTGATATACTGATTCCTTTTCTTTGGATAAATACCCAGTACTGGGATTGCTGGATCATGTAGTAGTTCTATTTTTAGTTTTTTGAGAAAATTTCATACTATTTTTCAAAATGAACATACTAATTTACATTTCCACCAAGAGTGCATAAAAATTCCCTTTCCTCCACATTATCTCCAGCATTTGTTTTTCTTTGTCTTTTTGATAATAACCATTCTTACTGGGGTGATATTATTAGTTTTGTAGTATATTTTGAAGTCAGGTATTTTTATGCTTCTGGCTTTGTTTTCTTGCTCA
Organism: Homo sapiens; assembly: GCF_000001405.40. NCBI lineage: Eukaryota > Metazoa > Chordata > Mammalia > Primates > Hominidae > Homo > Homo sapiens. Next base: position 223,211,487 of record NC_000002.12, on the reverse strand, counting down.
CTATTGCTTTGGCTATTCAGGGTCTTTTGTGGTTCTATACAAATTTCAGGATTGTTATTTCTATTTCTCTGAAAAATGTCCTTAGTATTTTAATGGAAATTGTATTGAATCTGTAGATGTTAAAATTTAATAACACTAATTCTTCTGATCTATGAGCATGGGATGTATCTCCAATTGTTTGTGTCCTCTTCAGTTTCTTTAAATAGTTTTTTTGTAGTTTTTCTTGTAGAAGTCTTTTACCTCCTTGCTTAAATTTATTTATTTAACAAAGTATTTAATTTTTCTTTAGCTATTATAAATGAGATTGCTTTCTTGATTTGTTTTTCAGCTAGTTTGTTATTGATGTGTAGAAATGCAACTGATTTTTGTGGGTTGATTTCGGGTCCCACAACTTTACTGAATTTATCAATTCTAAGAGCTTTTTGGTGGAGCCTTTAGGCTTTTCTATATATAAGATCATGTTATCTGCAAAGAATGACAATTTGACTTCCTCTTTTCTAATTATTTCTTTCTCTTGATTGATTATTCTGTCTAGGACTTCCAGTACTATGTTGAAAAGGAGTGGTAAAAGTGGATATCCTTGTCTTGTTCTAATTTTTAGAGTAAGTCTTCCAGCTTTTCCCCATTCACATGACCTTTACTATGTTGAGGTACATTCTTCCTGTGCCTAATTTGTTGAGAGTTTTTATAAAGGGATGTTGAATTTTATCAAATGCTTTTTTTGCATCTATGGAGATGATCATATGGTTTTTGTCCTCCATTATGTTGATGTGATGTATCACACTTATTGATTTGCATATGTTGAACCATCCTTGCATTCCTGGGATAAATCCCACTGAATTATCCTACATTCCTGTTTTAATATATTGTTGGATTAGGCTTGCTAGTATTTTGTTAAGAATTTTGATGTCTGCGTTCATCACGGATATTGGCCAGCTTTCTTTTTTGTTCTATCCTTGTCTGGTTTTGGGATCAAAGTAATGCTAATCTCATAGTATAAGTTAGAAAAAAAAAATCTCTCCACTTCAATTATTTGGAATAGTTTGAGAAGAATTAGGGCTAGTTCTTCTTTATATGTTTGGTAGAATTCAGCAATAAAACCATTGGTCCTGTACTTTCCTTATTGAGAGACTTTTTATTACTGATTCAGTCTCACTACTTGTTATTGGTATGTTCAGATTTTCTTTCTTCCTGGTTCAATCTTGGTAAGTTGAATGTGTCCAGGAATTTATACATTCCCTCTAGATTTTCCAATTTATTAACAGATACTTGTTCATAGTAATCTCTATGTTCCTTTGTATTAGTATCAGTATCCGCAGTATTAGTATCTGTATCTGTAGTATTAATTGTAAGGTTTCCTTTTTCCTTTTTCATTTTATTTATATGGGTCTTCTGTCCTTTTTTCTTAGTATAACCAGTGCTTTCTCAATTTTGTTTATGTGTTCTAAAAGCAACTCTTTGTCTCATTGATCTTTTGTTTTGTTTCTTTATTCTCTAATTTGGGTAGTCTTGTTTTGATCTTTATTATGTTTTTCCTTCTAGTAATTTTGGGTTTGGTTTGTAATACCCTTCCTAATTCTTTGAGGTATATTGTTAGGTTGCTTATTTGAAGTCTTTCTGCTTTTTGATGTGGGTGCTTATTGCTATAAACTTCCCTCTTAGCATTGCTTTTGCTGTATCCCGTAGGTTTTGGTATGTGATGTTTTCATTTTTTATTTTTTTCAAGAAATTTTTTTATTTACTTCTTTTTTTTTTCTTTTTCTTTCTTTTTTTTTTTTTTGAGATGGAGTCTCACTCTGTCACCCAGGCTGGAGTGCAGTGATGTGATCTCAGCTCACTGCAACCTCTTCCTCCTGGGTTCAAGCGATTCTCCTGCCTCAGTCTCACAAGTAGCTGGGACTACAGGTGCCCACCACCATGCCCAACTAATTTTTGTATTTTTAGTAAAGACAGGCTTTCATCATATTGGCCAGGCTGGTATTTACTTCTTAATTTCTTCATTGACCCAATGTTATTCAAGAGCATGTTGTTTAGTTTCCATGTATTTGTATTGTTTCCAACATTTCTCTTACTACCGATTTCTAGGTTTATTCCATTGTCACCTGAGAAAATGCTTGACATAATTTTGATTTTTTTTTTTTTTACCTTAAGTTCTAGGGTACATGTGCACAAAGTGTAGGCTTGTTACATATGCATACATGTGCCATGTTGGTGTGCTGTGCCCATTAACTCGTCATTTACATTAGGTATATCTCCTGATGCTTTTCCTCCCCCCTCCCCCAACCCCACGACAGGCCCCTGTGTGTGATGTTCCCCTTCCTGTGTCTCACAAGCATTCTTATACAACAATAACAGACAAACAGAGGGCCAAATCATGAGTGAACTCCCATTCACAATTGCTTCAAAGAGAATAAAATACCTAGGAATCCAACTTACAAGGGATGTGAAGGACCTCTTCAAGGAGAACTACAAACCACTGCTCAACGAAATAAAAGAGGATACAAACAAACGGAAGAACATTCCCTGCTCATGGATAGGAAGAATCAATATCGTGAAAATGGCCATACTGCCCAAGGTAATTTATAGATTCAATGCAATCCCCATCAAGCTACCAATGACTTTCTTCACAGAATTGGAAAAAACTACTTTAAAGTTCATATGGAACCAAAAGAGCCGGCATTGCCAAGACAATCCTAAGCCAAAAGAACAAAGCTGGAGGCATCATGCTACCTGACTTCAAACTACACTACAAGGCTAACCAAAACAGCGTGGTACTGGTACAAAAACAGAGATATAGACCAATGGAACAGAACAGAGCCCTCAGACATAATTTTGATTTTTTCAAATTTGTTGAGACTTGTTTTGTGGCCTAACAGATTGTCTGTCCTGGACAACACTCCATGTGCTGATAGGAAGAATGTGTATTTTGCAGCTGTTGGATAAATTGTTCTGTAAATGTCTGTGAGGTCTACGTGATTTATGGCACAGTTTAAATTCAACATTTCTGTGTTTATTTTCTGCCTAGATTACCTGTCCAATGCTAAGAGTGAGTGTTGAAGTCCTCAACTACTATTGCATTGTAGTCTATCTTTCCCTTTAGATCTAATAATATTTGCTTTATGTATCTGGGTGCTCTGGTATTGGATAAGTATATATTTAGAATTGTTATAACCTCTTGCTGAATTAATTACTTTATATAGTGATCTCCTTTCTCTTTACAGATTTTGACTTGCATCCTGTTTCATCTGATGTAAGTATAGCTATTCCTGCTCACCTTTTGTTTTCATTGGCATGAATGTAGTTGGTTGCTGCAAAAGTAATTGTGGTTTTTGACATTACTTTTAATGTCATTATGCTGCAAAAGTAATTGTGGTTTTTGCCATTAATAGCATTAAAAGTAATGGCCAAAATCGCAATTGCTTTTGCACCAACTTAATTTTTTTTCCTTTCTTTGCTTTCAATCTACACGTGTCTTTACATGTGTAGTGAGTGCCTTGTAGGCAACATATAGTTGAATCAGGTTTTTTAAAAGTCTATTTAGCCTGTCTATATTTTTTAAGCATAAAATTTAATCTATTTACATGCAAAGTTATTATTGATAGGTGAGGACTTATTCCTGCTATTTTGTTAATTATTCTCTAATTCTTTCATATATCATTTGCTCTTTTCTTCCTCTCTTATTGTTTGTCATTGTGATTTGCTGGTTTTCTGCAGCAGTAATATTTGACTCCTTTCCTTTTCTCATTTGTATATTTATGTACATGAGTTTTACACTTTTATGTGTTTTCATGATAGTAGATATCTTCCTTTTGCTTCCAGGTGTAGGAATCCCTTAAACATTTTGTGTAGGGCCAGACTACTAGTGATGAATTCCCTGTTTTTGCTTGTCTGGGAATGACTTTATTTCTCCTTCAGTTTTGGAGGATGCATTTGTTGGGTTTGGTATTCTTGCTTGCAAAAGGATTTTTTTTCAGTACTTTGAATATATCATCTCATTCTCTCATGGCCTGTAAGGTTGCTGCTGAGAACATCTGCTGTTAGTCTGATAGAGATTCTCTTATATGTGACTTGATGCACTTGTCCTGCTTTTTTTTTAAATTCTCTCTTTGTCTTTGACTTTTTACAGTTTGACTATAATGTGCCTCAGAGAAGACATTTTTGGTTGATATATTTGGGTATATTTGAGCTTCCTGTATCTGGTTGTCTCTAACTCTTGTAAGGCTTGGGAAATTTTCAGCCATTATTTTATTAAATAGGTTTTCTATGACTTTGCCCATCATTTTTTCTTCTGGAACTCCCCAAATTCATATTAGGTTGTTTTATGATGGCCCATATTAAAGTTATAAAATTATTATTTTTTCTTTTAATTTCTCTTTTGTCTGACTGGGTTATTTTGAAAGACCTGTCTTCAAATTCAGAAATTCTTTCTTCTGCTTAATATGGTCTGTTGTTGAACCTCTTGTATTTTTATTTTATTCATTGAATTCTTCACTTCTAGAATTTGTTTGGTTCTTTTTTATGTCTATCTCTTTGTTGAATTCCTCATTCGTATCATACATTGTTTTTCTGATTCTTTGTATTATTGATCTGTGTCTTCTTGCATCTCACTGAGTTCCTTTAAATATAACTATTTTGAATTTTTTTCAGGCATTTCATAGATTTCCTTTTCATCAGGTTCTATTACCGGAGAATTACAGTGTTTCTTTGAAGATGTCATATTTCTTTGCTTTTTTTGTGTTTCTTGTGTCTTTACATTGACATCTGCACACCTGGTGTAACAGCTACTTTTTCCCATTTTGTGGATTGGCTTTTGTAGGGAAGAAGTTTTTCCCATAGATGTACCTGTAATTAACATTTGACTTTTATTCTGGATGGGTTTAGTAGTGTCTTCTCTATATGATTTCTTTGGCTGTAATCAGTATCAGTAGTGTCTCTGAGTTCCCTAGTGGCTTAGGCTGTGTTTTTTAGTGGAGGCTGTGGCAAGGCTTTGCTGGGGACAGGGATGCCAGGTGTTCCAGTCCTCAGGTACCAGTGGTGGTGGCAGTGGGTTGGCCATGCTAGTTCTCAGGCACCTAAGCAATAGATGTGGGCACCTGTGGTAATAAGGCTGGGCGGGTCAGTCCTTAGGTTTCCAGGCAGCTTGCTCAGTTGCCAGTGATGGCCAGTTCCAGGTGGTGCACATGGGTGATTGCCAGTGGCAGTAGTAGCTGCAAGCAGGGCAGGCCAGTTTGTAGTCCTCCAAGAACTCATGGGGCCCCAGCAGTGGACAGGGTAGCCCTATCCCCAGGCCCCCAGATAACATGCACATGGGGTGGGGGCAGGCAGAGTGGGTCCATCCTCAGGCCCCAGGAGGCTTGCATAGACACCAGTTGGGCATATTAATCCCCAGACCCTGGGATGAGGTATGTAGGTGCCAGCACCAGCAGCAGGCAGTGCAGACCTGTCCTTAGGCCCCTCAATAGTGTGCACAGCCACTAGCAGTGATGAGCAGGGCAGAGCAGTTTCCAGGCACACAGACAGTGCATGGAATTACCAGCAGAAATGGCAGTGGGTGAAGCGGGTCTGTCCTCAAGCTGCTGGATGGCCTGTGCAGGCACCAGCAGTGGTTGGCAAGGAGGCCCTCTTGTCAGGCCCCCTGAAGATGTGCGTGGGTGCCAGCAGCAGTGGGTGGAGAGGATTAATCTTCAGTTCCCCAGATGATGCACTGGAGTGCCAGCAGCAGTGGCAGTGGGCTAGGCAAGACTGCCCTCAGGTTTACAGATTCTGTGCATGGGCACCTGTGGTGGCAGAGAGAGTAGGACAATCCCCAGACCCCCAAATGGCACACTTGGGCACTGGCAGTGGTAATGGTGCATGGGATCGGCCTGTCCTTAGTCCCCCGAATGGCACATATGGGCACCAGCAGTATTGGGCAGGGTGGCTTGATCCCCAGACCCCCAGATCGCATACTTGGGTGCTGGTGGAGAAAGGTGGTACAAGCCTGTTCTCAAGGTCTCTGGGTGGCGCTGTCAGGAGAGGATGTGAGATTTGTCCTCAAGCCCCAGGACAGTGTCTGGGAAGTTCAGTCCCTAGGTTCCATGAAGGCACATGCAAGCACACAGGAGGCAGGGTTGCAGTTAGTGGCAGCAGCCCAGAAGAGGCAGAGCTCTCAAGCTCTGTTGAGCCCATGCTTTGGTTCCCTTTGTCCCAGGGGCAGCCTCCCTGTTGCACTGCATCGCCTGTTTACCAAGGGTTAGCACTCTGAGAGGGCTGGAATGCTGAGACCTGGCTGCGCTGCTAGGTCCAGCCAGCATTGGAATGCTATAGTTCTTTGGATGGACATGGGGGGATGTCAGAGGGGCTTCATGGATGTGGAGATGCAGGGGTTGCTGGGGCCCAGGGCAGCATGTAGTCTGAGAAGTGTTGGGCTCCCAAATGCCAATGCACTGCAGCTGCTTAGGTCTTGGGAGGTGATGTGGGATGTGGAGAGAATGTCCTGTCTGTAACAATGTTGTCTCATGGACCCCAGGCAGTGCCCTATACTAGTCTTAGGGCCCATGAGGTCTAAGGGACTCTCTCATAGCTAGGACTGCAGGAGTCTGTGGTGGGAATGTGGACCACTAGGGATCTCTCACTTACCTTTACCCCACAATGGAGCATTTCTCCCAGCTCCAAGCCAACCCCAGCCAGGTCAGCTGCATTGTTTCCCTTTCCTTCTGTGCCTGGGAGGTTCCCTGTCACTTTCCTGCTAAGTTTCAGTGTTCTCTCTTAGACACCCTAAGCCCCTATTCAATGCGTGTTTACCTACTGGCTGTTTCAGTCCTTCTTTGTGGAGGAGGCTAGTGCTAGGTGCCTCTAGTAGTCATCCTGACTCTTTATGTTTAAAGACCCTTTATTCCTAGCACATTAAACACCTTTTGAGTTGTATCGCATTCTAAAATGGTCAATTAACTAAGTACATTTAAAAAGAGAAAGGAAAAAGCATTTTCGTGGACTTTCATTTGCTGGAAGCTGATGGACATGATCCTATTGACTCATAGATTACCCCATCCCCACCCTGCTTTGTTTATGTAAATATGTTTCTTAGGGAGGGGAGTTGGGGGTAGTGAACAGAGCTCTCTCTTCTTTTACTCTTGTTAGTATCTAGAGCCACTTTCTGATTCAAGTTTCTCCAAAAACAGAAATTAATTCCTCTTGTTCAAAATTACATAACTTTCTTAAATTCACTTTCTCTCTCAGCAATACTCAGAAGTGTTTATCTCAGCTGTGTCTTATGTGGTTAGAAAAAAATGTGCTCCCGATGTGCCTGTAGAAAAAAATTCAATAACAAAGGAAGTATTTTCTCTTTCTCTGCATGTGAATTTGATTCTCTGAGCATGGCCTTCAGGAGCAAAATGGGTTTGGTGAATTTGAGTCACTGAGTGTAAGAGCCTGGATCACTCAAGTTTGACTCACCAGTGTCTTGATGGCCCTGTCACCAAATATGCTCATCCTTATTTATGCCTTCCACATTTTTTTGGAGTCTCCAAAATATGCTTTGCATTGCTGTAATGGCTGTCACCATTGGAAAACAATGAATATTTTACAAATAGAAGCAGTCCCATTTCTGTCATTGGACTATACCTACTTCTGTTGTGTCAGGACGAGCCGCAGACAAAACTCCTCAGACACCGAGTTAAAGAAGGAAGGGGTTTATTCGGCCGGGGGCATCAGCAAGACTCCTGTCTCAAGAGCCGAGCTCCCTGAGTGAGCAATTCCTGTCCCTTTTAAGGGTTCACAACTCTAAGGGGGTGCGTGTGAGAGGGTCGTGATTGATTCAGCAAGCGGGGGTACGTGACTGGGGGCTGCATGCACAGGTAATTAGATCAGAACAAAACAGGACAGGGGTTTTCACAGTGCATTTCTATACAATGTCTGTAATCTATAGATAACATAACCGATTAGGTCAGGGGTCGATCTTTAACTACCAGGCCCAGGGTGCGGCGCCAGGCTGTCTGCCTGTGGATTTCATTTCTGCCTTTTAGTTTTTACTTCTTTCTTTGGAGGCAGAAATTGGGCATAAGACGATATGAGGGGTGGCCTCCTCCCTTACTGTGACAAATTTCTGCTTCTGTATTAAATCCAAAATCTCAAAAAATAACTTAGAAACTTAGGCTATCCCATCAAAATCAAAACACAGAAGAAAAATGAGGTAGAAATATTCTAGAACAGAATATCATGGTTACTGAAATGTTTCTTGCTGATTTTCTGAAGAAAAGTTTTAGTAATTCTTTCATTGTTAAGATTAACTTAACCATACAATTCTGACTGCTGTCTTATTTCCTAGGGATGATTTCACCTCACTCTTCCATTTCTGAAGCATGTGGGATTTTCTAAAATTTAGGGCAAACAATCAGTCAAAGAAAGAGAAAGCATTCCACCAAAGGAGAAAACACCAAGGATCCGCTTTCAGGGTAATGTTGCTCAAAGGGATAAAAAGTGAAACTTAGACTGAAATCGCTCATCTTTATTCAGATTGAAAAAGACAGGTTTTAAATCTTCCAAATTCAATGTGTTATAGAAAGACTATGAGTTTGCAAGTCAGCAAATGTGTATCCTCTCAGTTATTTAGCTGTCTGACCTTCAGCAAGAGATTCAAACTTTCTGGGTCTCAGTTTCTTTTTCTTTTCTTTTCTTTTCTTTTTTTTTTTTGTAAAAGAGGAAAATTAATGCTTGCTTCATATGGTTCATACAAGGAATGAATAAGAGTTAATATTTACCCCCATACCAGTTATCTATCGCTAAGTAACAAACACCTCAACATCATTTCTCACAAATCTCTGGGATGGCTGGGTGGTCTCACACGGGCTTGCTCTTGTGGTTGTATTCATCTGGTGGGTCAGCTGGAGCTGGAGAGTCTGTGTTGACATCGTGCATGTGTCTAAGGCCCTGATGGGAATGGTTGGAAGTCTGGGACCTCTCTCTTCACATGGTTCCTCATCATTCAGTAGATTAGCCCACCTTTATATGGCATCTAAGTTCCAAGAAAGTGAAGGCAGAGGCTTCAAGGCATCTTGAGGCTTAGGCTCCAGAGCTTCCAAAACATCATGTCAGCCACATTCTACTGGTTAAAGCAAGTTAGAATGTTAACTAGGATTCAAGGTGGAGAAATAGTATCTACCACTCAATGGAAAGTGCTCTGTTCTCAGTGTTTGTGTCCCATCAAATAGATATGTTGAAATATTAATTCCCAAGGTAATTGCATTAGATTGTAGAGACTTGAGAGGGTTATTAATTCTTGAAGATCATGCCCTCTTTGAGATTAGTGCCTTATAAAAGAGACTCCAGAGAGTGAATTCACGCCTTCCAAAATGTGAGGACATAGCCCAAAGGTACCATCTATGAACCAGGAAGTAGGATTTTGTCAAACACTGAATCTGCTGGCACCTTGGTCTTGAACTTTCCAGTCTCCAGAACTGTGAGAAAAACATTTCCATTGTTTATAATGATATTATGATATTTTGTTATAGCAGCCCAACCAAAACAGGAAGAATGGCAGTATTATATTGCAAATAAGTGTGAATATAGAGAATGTTATTCATTAAGGCCATTATTATAATACACTCCCTCTTGTATTATAGTCTGTGGGCCCTGTTTTCCAGTGCTGTAAAGTTTAGGAGAGTCTTTCATAATTCTATTGATTGGAAACTATGGTAAATTATTACAGTAATGGCACCCAGTGAATCACATGCCTTTTCATATTCGTGCCTTTATGTATTCCCCTTCCAAGTCGACATTGGACTTGGCCATGTGAATTGCTTTGGCCAACGGAACATCAGCAAATGTAACACAAATAGAAGCTTCAGAAGGGCTTGTACACTGGGGCTTGTTCTCTTGAACACCTTGAAACTGCAATGCCATAAAAATCCTGGGATGAAAAGCCACTGCAGAAAGAAGAGTGCAGCTGGGCCCAGGTTGCAGTTCTACCAGCCAGATACAGCTACATGAGTGAGCCCAGGTAAGACCAGCAGAAGGGACACCCAGTCAACCCACAGAATCATACATAAATGGCACTTGTTTTAAGCCACTGAGTTTTGGGGTACATAGCAATATATAACTGAAATATGGACTAAAAATATTCTAGCCAAAGGGTAGCCTATAACAATTGCCAAATACTAGCTTCACTACAAAATCACTAAGTCATTTCATGGTTTTAGACATAACATAGAGATAATATAATTAAGTGGTCTTTAAAATAACTTTTAACTATAGAATTCTTTTTTAAAACAACATCTTATCAGAGATTTAAAACAAGGAGACATCTTATTAGAATAAATTCATTTTATTGGTTCAAATTTATGGCATTTTGCTTAGAAAGCCAATTAATGAAAACACAATTCCTTTTTCTTTCATACAAAAATATAAATCCAGGCTCATAAATGGCAGTGAAAGACTTCTTGCAGTTTTAGCTTACAATTAATTTATATGTTTTCCTTTAGCAATATGGCATAAAGAAAATCCTCATTCAAGACAGACAAGTACTTATAAGTGTTAGGGTCATTTCACCACTTGCCTTGGAGTCTCAGGATATTGAATGGTCAGGAGAAGCATTATAACTTACTCCTACTTGGAAAAATATGAACCCATCAGTCCAAGCAAATACATTGATTGAAGTCCTCTGATGAGTTTATATTTTAAATATGTGACATTTAACTATTTAAAGATTACCATCTTTAAAAAGTTTAAAATCTATGTAGAAACTTAAATTCAAATTGATTGTTTGTAGAGCCCTTGAAGAACCCTGATGGTACTCTGCCATTCTTTGCAATTTATTTTGCGAATTACTATAACACTTGAAAACTGGTTTTGCTTTGTCGTTGATTTTGTTCAAAACTGAGGGAAGCGGATTGGGCATTTTAAAATAATGATTTCTCCCATGTTTCAAGTGTCAGTGCATTCTCAAAACCATTTCTTGGGCTCTTTAAAGAACATTCCTGCTGGTTTCATTTTTTATTCGTCAAGAATTTTTGTAAAAAATCAAAAACAAAAACAAGAAAAAAGCAAAAACCCAGTGAAAGGAACTGCCTCGCGAAAGAAATGTCACAATTAAAACTGAATGGTATTTTTCAGCTCATTTGTGTGAACTGGCAATCTACTTGAGACTTCAGCAGGGGGTCTGCACTTCATTAGTTCAGCCGGCAAGAACATGCTCTCTTCAAGAACACGCTCTCTTGAAAGCTTTGGTTTGCCTTCACCACTGTTTTTGCCAGGGTTGACAGTTTAACAACTGGAAGCTGTGTGCTCTTCATCTAATTTTAATGAAGCTTTTCCTTTCAGAAGGAAAACCTGACAACAGAGAAGTCTTCAAGGAAGCCAAGTAATTCAACCACCTGACTAAATTTTTGGAGGAAAACAGAGGGTTCTCTTAAGGGTGTGGAATAATCAAAGCAGCCATTGCTATGCTCCTGCAAAACAAGTCCCAGTAGCACAATGGAAATAACTGGATTGTTTAGCATTTCAACACCCATCAACAGTAAGACATATCACAAATATGTGGGAGAAATTTGCATCTATAATCTAGGAAAACTGGGATTTTTAAATTACTTCTGCCTAGGTAGAGGGGGAGTAGAAGAAAAGGCAGAATGGAAAATGTCAGGGTTTCCTTCCTTCCTTCCTTCCTTCCTTCCTTCCTTCCTTCCTTCCTTCCTTCATTTATTCTACCAATATCTACTGAGCTACTATTGATGTGTAATCACCAGGCTCAGCACTCAGGATACAGCAATATATGAGACAGACACAGTTTACAGCCCCCTGGGGAGTTATACCTACAAAAGGACAAAGAGTGGAAAAAGCAAGAGGAAGACATTCAGAGGAAAATTTTTGGAATTCTGAGGCCCACTCTGGATGATATATGGACTCTGACTGTTTGGGACACATTTCTAATTTCTGTTTAATCCTTACTCACATCTACTACATATCAAAGGTCAAATAGAAGTTATAAGGTGAGGTGAGGATGTCACTGAGGTACTGCTCTTTGGCCTTCTGGTAAGGTGCCCCCACAGGTGAATTCATGGATATTCAGATAGGATTTGCAGGCTAAGAACTCTGAATTGTTAGCATCTTGAGAAGGGAAACTGTCCATAAGGACAGACACTTCTTACCAAGATCACAGGGGTAATGTGTAAACCAGAATGGCAATTAATTAATTAATTTACACTGAAATACAACTGTTAGACAAATCAGCTCAAATAATATATTATCTTGCAGCAGACAGAACTATATGAGAAATCAGACTATGATGAGAAAAATTCTAGGTAGCATTCTCCACTAAGTCAACATGAGACCAACTTTCTTACTACAAGGCCAGTCTTACCTGTGAGATTGTATAGTAGCTCTTTTTTTGGTTTGTTTTTTTGTTCACCACCCATGACATCTTTATTTTTTAATTTTTTATTATACTTTAAGTTCTGGGATACATGTACAGATGTGCAGGTTTGTTACATAGGTATACATGTGCCATGGTGGTTTGCTGCACCCATCAACTCATCATCTACATTAGGTATTTCTCCTAATGCTATCCCTCCCCTAGCCCCCTCCCACTCCCTGACAGGCCCAGGTGTCTGATGTTCCCCTCCCTGTGTCCAACTGTTCTCATTGTTCAACTCCCACTTATGAGTGAGAACATGCAGTGTTTGGTTTTCTGTCCTTGTGTTAGTTTGCTGAGAATGATAGTTTCCAGCTTCATCCATCTCCCTGCAAAGGACATGAACTCATCCTTTTTTATGGCTGCATAGTATTCCATGGTGTATATGTGCCACATTTTCTTAATCCAGTCTACCATTGATGGGCATTTGGGTTGGTTCCAAGCCTTTGCTATTGTGAACAGTGCTGCAATAAACATACGGGTGCATGTGTCTTTATAGTAGAATGTTTTATAATCCTTTGGGTATATACCCAGTAATGGGATTGCTGGGTCAAATAGTATTTCTGGTTCTAGATCCTTGAGGAATCACCACACTGCCTTCCACAATGGTTGAGCTAATTTACACTCCCACCAACAGTGTAAAAGCATTCCTATTTCTCCACATCCTCTCCAGCATCCGTTGTTTCCTGACTTTTTAATGATCACCATTCTAACTGGCATGAGATGGTATCTCATTGTGGTTTTTATTTGCATTTCTCTAATGACCAGTGATGATGAGCTTTTTTTCATATGTTTGTTGGTCACATAAATGTCTTCTTTTGAGAAGTGTCTGTTCATATGCTTTGCCCGCTTTTTATGGGTTTTTTTTTTTTCTTGCAAATTTGTTTAAGTTCTTTGTAGATTCTGGATATTAGCCCTTTGTCACATGGATAGATTGCAAACATTTTCTCCCATTCTGTAGGTTGCCTGCTCACTCTGATGATGTTTCTTTTGCTGTGCAGAAGCTCTTTAGTTTAATTAGATCTCATTTGTCAATTTTGGTTTTTGTTGCCATTGCTTTTGGTGTTTTAGTCATGAAGTCTTTGCCCATGCCTACTTCCTTAATGGTGTTGCCTAGGTTTTCTTCTAGGGTTTTTATGGTTTTAGGTCTTATGTTTAAGTCTTTAATCCATCTTGAGTTAATTTTTGTATAAGATGTAAGGAAGAGGTCCAGTTTCAGTTTTCTGCATATGGCTAGCCAGTTTTCCCAACTGTATGGTAGCTCTTGATTCTGGTCTCCAATGCTTGTGCTATCAGCCCACCTCCTACCTGGTGACAGAAAACACTCCCGTTACCATAAACGTAGGAATAGCCATGCTTAGCTAATCAGGGCAGTCCACGATGGGGTGAGTGGTGGGCAATGAGATTGTGGAGTGCCTGGCTGTGACCCCTGTAGGATAGTGAGGTGAAGTTGGTCATATAACCACATTTGCATGTTTAATGATCCCTTTACATTTTGGGGAGAACAGACGAGAGCAGGGCCAGAATGTGTGAAAAACCCTTTGACAAGATATAATGGTCACCTGGCATATGACTGTGGCAATGAGCATGAGAGAAATAAAGATTCCAGAGCTAGAGGGTAAAATCCCTAGGACTTGAAGAAAGTTGACTGTAGGAGGCAAGCGCAAGAAATGTCAGGGGCAGATTCTAGGTTTCAGGCTTGTTTGTGGAATTGGTAAAGAACAATTCCATTGAGTGAGAGAGGAAACTGGAAGAGGCCTGGGTAAAGAACTGTCAAAGGCACTTGAACCAGAGCAACTGCATCTTGAATAGGGGCTGGGTAAAATAAGACTGAAATCTACTGGGCTGCATTCCCAGACAGTTAGGCATTCTAAGTCACAGGATGAGATAGGAGGTCGGCACAAGATACAGGTCATAAAGACCTGCTGTTAAAATAGCTTGCAGTAAAGAAGCCAGCCAAAACCCACCAAAACCAATGTGGCAATAAGAAGGACCTCTGGTTGTCCTCACTGCTACACTCCCACCAGCTTCATGACAGTTTACAAATGCCATAGCAACATCAGGAACTCACCCAGTATGGTCTAAAAAGGGGAGGCATAAAAAACATATCCCTTGTTTAGCATATAATCAAGAAATAACCATAAAAATGGGCAACCAACAGCCTTCAGGGCTGCTCTGTCTATGGAGAAGCCATTCTTTATTCCTCTACTTTCTTAATAAACTTGCTTTCACTTTACAGATTGACCTGAATCCTTTCTTGCACAAGATCCAAGAACCCTCTCCTGGGGTCTGGTTCTGGATCCCTTTCTAGTAAGAGAACAGCTTTCCAGTAACAGAACAGGGAACTGGGGAAGTGTCAGATAAAGGATCAACAGACTCATGGTGGTTGACAGTTCAGGATCTAGAAGACACAGAAATCATGGAGTCTCCTAAGGTCTCAACACAGACAAACTCAAGTTCAGTCCTGACCCCTCCTAGAGGCCAGCTTTGGGTCCTCAAAGGAGCCTCCTGTGAAGAATGCTTCCTGCCGCTGCCTCCCTGTGGGTTCACTTACACAACAAGGCATTCCTTCAAGAAAGCAGGAGTCCCAGATTCCAGGGAGCAGCGGGGGACTGTGTGAAATGTCCTGCCCCAGGAAAAACGATGTCAGAAGAAGACGCTGGGGACCCAAAGGGAGCTTTCACTGGCCAACCCGTTCATGTACTGTTCATGACCTTTCATGAAGGTTCCCAGCAACCTTCATGCCCTCAGGGCCTCTGAAAGTAGTCAGACACCCTGAATTCTGACCCTGGGGAAAGCTGAGGCCAACCTGGACTACTAAGATGGTCAAATATAAAATATAACTTGAAGAAATGCAATGTTATTATGTTTAGGTATAAACCATTTATTGTTTTACCAGAATAAGTTAACAAAATGTTGCCTGGTGAAGCACCAGATTAAGATTTTAAGAAATGGAAAAATAATTATTTGAGACTAGCATATCAAGATTTTAATGAAATGGAAATTATATAGGACATTCATCTCAAACTGGCAGCCTTAGATAATTTAGCCCCCAAAGTGAGTTTTTAAAAACAATTCAAATTAATTGCCAACATTTAAAGATCCATAAATTCCAGGCGAATATCAAGATTTTTAGCTTTTCTTTAAAATGGCCACAACTCTTTGGACCCCTCTGATAGAAACTTTAAAAGTTTACATTTCCATGCTAAAAATACAGCTGAGATACATCTTAATACAATGATTCTAAAGGGACAGACACTGGACCGAGATTCTCTGAGTTTGAATCCTGGCTGTGCCACCTCCTGGTTGGGTGACTGGGCAAGTTATTAAACCACACTGACCCTTGGTGTCCTCACCTGTAAATCAGTGATAATTATAGTACTTATCTCATAGGGTAGTTACTATGTGCCTGGCATATAATTATCATATTTAGTATAATATAATAATTATGACAATATACTTATGACAATAATAAGCACTGCATGTTATTGCTATTGTGACTATTTTCCCTTGCAAATCCTTTCTCCACTGGCAACATAAAGCTAATTTTATAGCCCTGCTAACTTAAAACAAACTCTCTATGGTAGAACCTAAACAAATTGTCAGGCCTCTGAGCCTAAGCTAAGCCATCATATCCCCTGTGACCTGCATGAACACATCCAGATGGCTGGTTCCTGCCTTAACTGATGACATTCCACCACAAAAGAAGTGAAAATGGCCTGTTCCTGCCTTAACTGATAACTAATTATCTTGTGAAATTCCTTCTCCTGGCTCGTCCTGGCTCAAAAGCTCCCTTACTGAGCACCTTGTGACCTCCACTCCTGCCCACCAGAGAACAACCCCCCTTTTTCCTTTACCTACCCAAATCCTATAAAACGGCCCCACCCCTATCTCCTTTCGCTGACTCTCTTTTTGGACTCAGCCCGCCTACACCCAGGTGAAATAAACAGCTTTATTGCTCACACAAAGCCTGTTTGGTGGTCTCTTCACACGGATGCGAGTGAAATTTGGTGCCATGACTCGGATCGGGGGACCTCCCTTGGGAGATCAATCCCCTGTCCTCCTGCTCTTTGCTCCGTGAGAAAGATCCACCTACGACCACAGGTCCTCAGACCAACCAGCCCAAGAAACATCTCACCAATTTCAAATCTGGTAAGTGGCCTCTTTTTACTCTCTTCCCCAACCTCCCTCACTATCCCTCAACCTCTTTCTCCTTTCAATCTTGGCGCCACACTTCAATCTCTCCCTTCTCTTAATTTCAATTCCTTTCATTTTCTGGTACAGACAAAGGAGACCCAAAACTCCGGTGCCGGTCACGGACTAGGGAAGGCAGCCTTCCCTTGGTGTTTAATCATTGCAGGGACGCCTTTCTGATTATTCACCCAGGTTTCAGAGGTGTCAGACCACGCAGGGATGCCTGCCTTGGTCCTTCACCCTTAGCAGCAAGTCCCGCTTTTCTGGGGGAGGGGCAAGAACCCCAACCCCTTCTCTCTGTGTCTCTACCCCTTCTCCACTTTTCTAGGGGAGGGGCAAGAACCCCTCAACCCCTTCTCCTTCACCCTTAGCGGCAAGTCCTGCTTTTCTGAGGGAGGGACAGGAACCCCGACCTCTTATCTCTGCGCCCTGATCCCTTATTTCTGAACCCCAACCTCTTATCTCTGCACCCCAACCCCTTATTTCTGTGCCCCGACCCCTTCTCTGCTTTTCTGGAAGGCAAGAACCCCCACCCCTTCTCCGTGTCTCTACTCTCTTTCCTCTGGGCTTGCCTCCTTCACTATGGGCAAGCTTACACCTTCCATTCCTCCTTCTTCTCCCTTAGCCTGTGTTCTTAAGAACTTAAAACCTCTTCAACTCTCACCTGACCTAAAATCTAAGCATCTTATTTTCTTCTGCAATGCCACTTGACCCCAATACAAACTCGACAGTAGTTCCAAATAGCTGGAAAATGGCACTTTCAATTTTTCCATCCTACAAGATCTATATAATTCTTGTTGCAAAATAGGCAAACGGTCTGAGGTGCCTGATGTCCAGGCATTCTTTTACACATGGTGCCTCCCTAGTCTCTGTTCCCAATGCAACTCGTCCCAAACCTTCCTTCTTTCCCTCCCACCTGTCCGCTCAGTCCCAACCCCAAGCATTGCTGAGTCTCTCTAATCTTGCTTTTCTACAGACCCATCTGACCTCTCCCCTCCTCACCAGGCCAAGCTAGGTCCCAATTCTTCCTCAGCCTCCGCTCCTCCACCCTATAATCCTTTTATCACCTCCCCTCCTCACACCAGGTCCGCCTTACAGTTAAGTTCCGTGACTAGCCCTCCCCCACCTGCCCAGCAATTTACTCTTAAAAAGGTGGCTGGAGCTAAAGGCATAGTCAAGGTTAATGCTCCTTTTTCTCTATCCCAAATCAGATGGTGTCTAGGCTCTTTTTCATCAAATATAAAAATCCAGCCCAGTTCATGGCTCGTTTGGCAGCAACCCTGAGACGCTTTACAGCCCTAGACCCTAAAAGGTCAAAAGGTCATCTTATTCTCAATATACATTTTATTACCTAATTTGCTCCCGACATTAAATAAAATTCCAAAAATTAAATTCCAGCCCTCAAACCCCACAACAGGACTTAATTAACCTCACCTTCAAGGTGTACAATAATAAAGTAGAGGCAGCCAAGTAGCAACATATTTCTGAGTTGCAATTCCTTGCCTCCACTGTGAGACAAACCCCAGCCACATCTCCAGCACACAAGAACTTCCAAATGCCTAAACCGCAGTAGCCAGGCATTCCTCCAGAACCGCCTCCCCCAGGAGCTTGCTACAAGTGCCAGAAATCTGGCCACCAGGCCAAGGAATGCCTGCAGCCCAGGATTCCTCCTAAGCCATGTCCCATCTGTGTGGGACCCCACTGGAAATTGGACTGTTCAACTTACCTGGCAGCCACTCCCAGAGCCCCTGGAACTCTGGCCCAAGGCTCTCCGACCGACTCCTTCCCAGATCTTCTCAGCTTAGTGGCTGAAGACTGATGCTGCCCGATTGCCTCGGAAGCCCTGTAGACCATCACAGATGCTGAGCTTTAGGTAACTCTCACAGTGGAGGGTAAGTCCGTCCCCTTCTTAATCAATACGGAGGCTACCCACTCCACATTACCTTCTTTTCAAGGGGCTGTTTCCCTTGCCTCCATAACAGTTGTGGGTATTGACAGCCAGGCTTCTAAACCTCTTAAAACTCCCCAACTCTGATGCCAACTTAGACAACACTCTTTTAAGCACTCCTTTTTAGTTATCCCCACCTGCCCAGTTCCCTTATTAGGCCGAGACACTTTAAATAAATTATCTGCTTCCCTGACTATTCCTGGACTACAGCTACATCTCATTGCTGCCCTTCTTCCCAATCCAAAGCCTTCTTTGCTTCCTCCTCTTGTATCCCCCCACCTTAACCCACAAGTATAAGATACCTCTACTCCCTCCTTGGTGACCGATCATGCACCCCTTACCATCTCATTAAAACCTAATCACCCTTACCCCACTCAATGCCAATATCCCATCCCACACCATGCTTTGAAAGGATTAAAGCCTGTTATCACTCGCCTGCTACAGCATGGCCTTTTAAAGCCTATAAACTCTCCTTACAATTCCCCCATTTTACCTGTCCTAAAACCAGACAAGCCTTACAAGTTAGTTCAGGATCTATGTCTTATCAACAAAATTGTTTTGCCTATCCACCCCATGGTGCCAAACCCATATACTCTCCTATCCTCAATAACTCCCTCCACAATCCATTATTCTGTTCTGGATCTCAAACATACTTTCTTTACTATTCCTTTGCACCCTTCATCCCAGCCTCTCTTTGCTTTCACTTGGACTGACCCTGACACCCATCAGGCTCAGCAAATTACCTGGGCTGTACTACTGCAAAGCTTCACAGACAGCCCCCATTACTTCAGTCAAGCCCAAATTTCTTCCTTATCTGTTACCTATCTCAGCATAATTCTCATGAAAACACACGTGCTCTCCCTGCCGATCGTGTCTGACTAATCTCTCAAACCCCAACTCCTTCTACAAAACAACAACTCCTTTCCTTCCTAGGCATGGTTAGATACTTTTGCCTTTAGATACCTAGTTTTGCCATCCTAACAAAACCATTATATAAACTCACAAAAGGAAACCTAGCTGACCCTATAGATCCTAAATCCTTTCCCCACTCCTCTTTCCATTCCTTGAAGACAGCTTTAGAGACTGCCCCAACCCTAGCTCTCCCTGACTCATCCCAACCCTTTTCATTACACACAGCTGAAGTGCAGGGCTGTGCAGTTGGAATTCTTACACAAGGACCAGGATCGCGTCCTGTAGCCTTTTTGTCCAAGCAACTTGACCTTACTGTTTTAGGCTGGTCATCATGTCTCCGTGCAGCGGCTTCTGCCGCCCTAATACTTTTAGAGGCCCTTAAAATCACAAACTATGCTCAACTCACTCTCTACAGCTCTCATAATTTCCAAAATCTATTTTCTTCCTCACACCTGATGCATGTACTTTCTGCTCCCTGGCTCCTTCAGCTGTACTCACTCTTTGTTGAGTCTCCCACAATTACCATTATTCCTGGCCGGGACTTCAATCCGGCATCCCACATTATTCCTGATACCACACCTGACCCTCATGACTGCATCTCTCTGATCTGAAGGGGTGGGTTGCCCCTCCACACCTGTGGGTGTTTCTCATTAGGTGGAACAAGAGACTTGGAAAAGAAAGAGACACAGAGACAAAGTATAGAGAAAGAAAAAGGGGCCCAGGGGACCGGTGTTCAGCATACGGAGGATCCCGCCAGCCTCTGAGTTCCCTTATTATTTATTGATCATTATTGGGTGTTTCTCGGAGAGGGGGATGTGGCAGGATCATAGGATAATAGTGGAGAGAAGGTCAGCAGGTAAACACGTGAACAAAGGTCTCTGCATCATAAACAAGGTAAAGAATTAAGTGCTGTGCTTTATATATGTATACACATAAACACCTCAATGCCTTAAAGAGCAGTATTGCTGCCGGCATGTCCCACCTCCAGCCCTAAGGTGGTTTTCCCCTATCTCAGTAGATGGAATATACAATCAGGTTTTACACCGAGACATTCCATTGCCCAGGGACGAGCAGGAGACAGATGCCTTCCTCTTGTCTCAACTGCAACCAGGCATTCCTTCCTCTTTTACTAATCCTCCTCAGCACAGACCCTTTATGGGTGTCGGGCTGGGGGACGGTCAGGTCTTTCCCTTCCCACGAGGCCATATCTCAGGCTGTCACATGGGGAGAAACCTTGGACAATACCTGGCTTTCGTAGGCAGGGGTCCCTGCAGCCTTCTGCAGTGTTTTGTGTCCCTGGGTACTTGAGATTAGGGAGTGGTGATGACTCTTATAGAGCATGCTGCCTTCAAGCATTTGTTTAACAAAGCACATTTTGCACCGCCCTTAATCCATTTAACCCTGAGTTGACACAGCACACGTCTCAGGGAGCACAGGGTTGGGGGTAGGGTTACAGATTAAAATGGAGTCTCTTATGTCTACTTTCTATACAGACACATTAACAATCTGATCTCTCTTTCTTTTCCCCACACTGATCCACCCCAACCTGATGTTCACCCCATTTCCCCACATTTCCTTATTCCCTGTTCCTCACCCTGATCACACTTGGTTTATTGATAGCAGTTCCACCAGGTCTAATCACCACACACCAGCAAAGGCAGGCTATGCTATAGTACAAGCCACTAGCCTGCCTCTTAGAACCTCTCATTTCCTTTCCATCATGGAAATCTATCCTCAAGGAAATAACTTCTCAGTGTTCCATCTGCTATTCTACTACTCCTCAGCGATTGTTCAGGCCCCCTCCCTTCCCTACACATCAAGCTCAGGGATTTTCCCCTGCCCAGGACTGGCAAATTAGCTTTACTCAACATGCCCCAAGTCAGGAAACTAAAATACCTCTTGGTCTAGGTAGACACTTTCACTGGATAGGTAGAGGCCTTTCCCACAGGGTCTAAGAAGGCCACCACGGTCATTTCTTCCCTTCTGTCAGACGTAATTCCTCGGTTTGGCCTTCCCACCTCTATACAGTCTGATAGCAGACTGGCCTTTATTAGTCAAATCAGCCAAGCATTTTTTCAGGCTCTTAGTATTCAGTGAAACCTTTATATCCCTTACAGTCCTCAGTCTTCAGGAAAAGTAGAACAGACTAATGGTCTTCAAAAAACACACCTCACCAAACTCAGACACCAACTTAAAAAGGACTGGACAATACTTTTACCACTTTCCCTTCTCAGAATTCAGGCCTGTCCTCAGAATGCTACAAGGTACAGCCCATTTGCGCTCTTGTATGGACGTTCCTTCTTATTAGGCCCCAGTCTCATTCCAGACACCAGACCAACTTGGACTGTGCCCCAAAAAACTTGTCATGTCTACTATCTTCTGTCTAGTCATACTCCTATTCACTGTTCTTAACTACTCATACATGCCCTGCTCTTGTTTACACTGCCGGTTTACACTGTTTCTCCAAGCCATCACAGCTGATATCTCCTGGTGCTATCCCCAAACCACCACTCTTAACTCTTAAAGTAAATAAATAATCTTTGCTGGCAAGGCTATGCTGAACCTCCTTAGGCACTCTCTAATCAGATGTCCTAGGTCCTCCCAATTCTCAGTCCTTTAATACCTGTTTTTCTTCTTCTCTTATTCCGTTTAGTCTTTCAATTCATACAAAACTGTATCCAGGCCATCAACAATAATTCTAAATGACAAATGTTTCTTCTAACAACCCCACAATATCACCCCTTACCACAGAATCTTCCTTCAGCTTAATCTCTCCCACTCTAGGTTCCCACGCCCCCCCAATCCCGCTCGAAGCAGCCCTGAGAAACATAGCCCATTATCTGTCCATACCATCCCCCCAAAATTTTCTCTGTCCAACACTTTACCACTATTTCATTTTATTTTTCTTATTAATATAAGAAGACAGGAATGTCAGGCCTCTGAGCCCAAGCTAAGCCATCATATCCCGCGTGACCTGCACGTACACATCCAGATCGTGGGTTCCTGCCTTAACTGATGATATTATCTTGTGAAATTCCTTCTCCTGGCTCATCCTGGCTCAAAAGCTCCCCTACTGAGCACCTTGTGACCCCCACTCCTGCCCTTCAGAGAACAACCCCACTTTTTCCTTTACCTACCCAAATTCTATAAAACAGCCCCACCCCTATCTCCCTTCGCTGACTCTCTTTTCGGACTCAGCCCACCTGCACCCAGGTGAAATAAACAGCTTTATTGCTCACACAAAGCCTGTTTGGTGATCTCTTCACACGGACTTGAGTGAAATTCATGAAATTTATTTTTCTGCCCCTAGAATCACATAATAATCCCTTCTGCAAATTCCAGAAAAATGAAACTAGGTGCAAAATATATCTGAAGCCCATGTATAACTTTTCAAATAATGTTCTATGTTTCAACTCCCAAAATAGGGGTTTAAATATAACATTTTTATTTAACCAGTGAGTGACTAACAGTGTCAAAACTCTCTGATGTAGGGATTTCCTCCATCTTTTGAAGCAATTAACAGAATTTCAAAATCTGTAGATTAACTGAAAGCATTTCCAACAAATCCCCAGTTAGACACTGCTGATGTTTGGATCAAATTTTGAATAAGAAGGACCTTCAAATATGAGTTGGAGAAAAGGAAAGCCTCATGCTAAGCAAGAGGGCAGTGGCACATTGAGCCAGAGTAGATAATTAGGCAGACTTGAGCAGGGCAAGAGAGGCCCTCCTCCCTTAGGAATGTCAGGTAACCATCCTGGATGATCAGGCTGTTGGTTGTTAGACTCTCTCTGTAAAATAATAATTTGTCATAGCCAGTGCCAGAAAAAAAAAAAAAAAGTCTCTCAATAGATAGAAAACACCTGAACCTGGTGAGCAGCAGCTTCCCAATAAGATCTCAAGACCAGGGCAAGCAGGCTCAAGGATGTGCATGAAGAGGTGAAATGGCAGAGTTTAACCAGTAGATGACCTTCCTCTGGGAACACTCACCTGGTAAGGGAAAAATGCCTCAAGTGAACATGCACACAACTGCAATAAACACACTGAACATGCAGCCCCTCCCAAGTGCTGGCAGGCCACTGTGGATGTGCACAGTCCACCCCAAGGGGAAAATCAAGGGAGGAGAAACAAACCCCAGAACCATGCCACTGCATAAAACCCCAAGCCCAGGGCCAAACAGGGCACTTGGATCTTTCAAGTCACCTGCTTGTCCCTCTTCCAGGTGTACTTGACTTCCTTTTGTTCCTGTTCTAAAACTTTTTAATAAACTTTCACTCCTGCTCTAAAAACTTGCCTTGATTTTTCCCTCTGCCTTAAACTTACTTCTGCCCATCGGTCAAATTCTCTCCTCTGAGGAGGCAAGGCTCAAGTTTGCTGCAGACTCCCACAGATTTGCCGCTGGTAACACTCGGAAGCCGGGCTGGAATTTGGTGAGAAAAGTGGCTGTCGTCCCAACAAAATCTCTCTGTGAAGGGCTCCAGCATCATGGGAATCTGCCTGCCTTTTTTGAGATAACCCAATCTTGTCAGTGGGACTGCTAAAAGAACTTGAAATCTGGCTTCATGCAGTCCCAGCAAAACCTAGAAAGATGACATGCCTAGACAAGCTCCTGAAGTCCTCTTCCTATACACACAAGCATTCTTCTAGTAGTTTATAACTCAAAGGTGAACCATTTACCACCTGCCTACAAATGCTTTGAGGATGTTTATTGATATTGCAGTCTGGGCTTAGGTACTTTCATGGTCTCCCCACCATCACTTTGGTTTGGGAAATCAAAAACTCTAACAGAACAACCAGAAGTACCACTGAAGAGAAGTCAAAGCCAGCCATTGCCATGGAAAGACAAAATTAAATTCAGGCATCTTTTCCTTCCAAGCTTGCTGACTTAAGTCTCTAATCAAAGACCTAAGCCATCATGGACCTGTTAGACCTGCCCCACTGACCCCTTTGATGCTGGATTAAGATAATCCAAAAAAGTAGCTACAGATTCAGTTTGTTCAACATATGCCCTGGTAGGAAAATGCCTTTTGAAAGTTTGGCTAAATACTTTTTCCTAATTTTTATTATAAATTAGCTCTGTAGCAGTTTCTAACTTCATGAAGAAACAAATCACATCAGTTTGCAGGAAATAAAACAAGATTGTCTGGGTCTCTTTAATGAAAAACACATATTTATTATAAGTGGGATACTATTTCATCAGTTCTACCACAGTTGGCTGGTTCAGAAATGATTGGCAATAAAGACATTAGTTTAAATGGAGAAAATGAGATTGTATTTGTCTATAATTTATCATGTATTGTTGGAAAATACAAGCAAGGGATTATCTGAAAGTAAAAAATCTGGGACGATTATGAAATCTAAGAACTACAGATAGTGTTAAGAATTCAAATTTTTCACGTTTCCCTCTCAGCCCCAAGGTGGAGTATAAGATAAAAGTTAGGGAACTAAGGTAATTACATATTGACCATTCTCAAGGTGTCTTCAAAACAAATCTTCCCCTGGGAAATTGAAAATCATTTAAAAATTTTAAAAGTAAACTATCATATATTCAGAATAGAAAGCACAAATTATAAGTATATAGATCAATGAATTATTACATGGTGAATATACCTGTGCAATCATCACCTAGATCAAGATATAGAACACTGACTTCCTCCTCCCCACACATAACTATGCACCTGACTTTTAGCTCCTTAGATTTCTCATGCCTAATTTTTGAAGTTCAAGTAAAGTCACATAAGATGTTTTCTTATTTGTATGACTTCTTTTGCTTAATACTATGTTTTGCAGATTTATCTAGTGGTTGTGTGTTCCTATAGATTAATTTTCACTGCTGTATGCTACTGCATTGTATTAACATATTACAGCTTGCTAATTCTTTTTTTTTTCTTTTTTTTTTTTTTTTTGAGATGGAGTCTCACTATGTTGCCCAGGTTGGAGTGCAGTGGCGGAATCTCAGCTCACTGCAAACTCCGCCTTCTGGGTTCAAGCAATTCTCCTGCCTCAACCTCTTGAGTAGCTGGGATTACAGGTGCCCACAGCCATGCCCGGCTAATTTTTGTATTTTTAGTAGAAATGGAGTTTCACCATGTTGGCCAGGCTGGTCTCAAACTCCTGACCTGAAGTGTTCCACCCACCTCGGACTCCCAAAGAGCTGGGATTATAGGCATGAGCCACCACGCCCGGCCAGGTCATTCTTTGTTATTTTACCTAGTCTGATTATTCTTTAGAGGTGACTCATTGAAATATCTCATCATGGTTGTCATTTATATTTCCTATTGTTAATGAGGGTGAGCACCTTTTCAAATGCCTATTGATTATTTTTAAACCCTCCTTTGTGAAGTGGCTGTTGACATCTGTTCCCCCTCCATTTTTGTTGGCTTGTCTTTCTTTTTTTGAATTTGTAGAAATTCTTTATTCATCCTGTATAAAGCCCATTGTTGGTTTATATATAGCAACTATCATCTTCCACCTTATTGCTTATTTTCTCTAACCTTCTCAGCAGCGTTCTTTGAAGAACAAAAAAATCATCTTTTAATGTAATTTATTTGATTTTCCCGTGATATTAGTGGTTTTGTATCCTATTTAAAAAATCTTTCCATGCCTCAAAATTAGGAATATGTTTTCCTATATTATCCTTTAGAAGCTTTATTGTTTTACTTTTATAATTAAATTTAAATGCATCTGTAATTGATTTTCTATGTGGTGTAGGGTTCAAATTTCCTTTTTTACATAAGCATATCTAATTCACTCAACACTGTTTATTGAAAAGACCATCTTTTCCCCATGATTCTGCCATGCCTCCATTTGTCATAAATTAAATGTGGATTAGCCTTTTACTATGGATTTTATATTATCTCAGTACAAGTAGAATAACTTTTCTGATTTCGTTTAAATATATTAATACATGCCAAATCCACTGCTGCTTTAAAAATGTGTTCCCAAAGACCTCCTCTATCTATTAAATATTAAACTCATCTCTTAATATCAATAAGGCCCAATTCCTTGGGCCAAGAGATTGGCATGTATTCATATGATTATGTTATGACTATAAAGATTCATATTTGGACAATATAAGTAGCATGTGAAGACATAATTAAAAAATAAAACAGTACATGTAAACATTATTTCTTTGTTGACATATTCATCTATGCTTTCCCATGAGGATGTAAACTGCACAGGGCAGCCCTTTGTCTTGATTACTGCTCTATCCCCAGCACCCTTTAGGTACTCAACAAATATCTATTTAATTAATCATGAAAGAAAATAGAAAACCCACATGTCTTCTATAATGTTTCAGAGTCCATAGCTAAGAATTAAGGATAGTTTTTTAAAGATATATATTGATAATGTTTTCCATGAGCTATCAAAGACCTGAGATAGTCAGTAATGGGAAATACATCTGTGATTACCCAGTAGCAAATTATCTATGGTAAAGGAAACAAACCAACCCCACTTATGTTTTCTTCAACTTTTATTTTATTTTAAATTCCGGGATACATGCTTGATGTGCAAGTTCATTACGTAGGTAAACATGTGCCATGGTGGTTTGCTGCACAGATCAACTCATCACCTAGGTATTAAGCCCAGCATCCATTAGCTATTCTTCCTGATGCTCTCCCTCCCCTGACCCCCGACAGACCCCAGTGTATGTTGCTCCCCACCATGTGTCCATGTGTTCTCATCGTACAGTTCCCACTTGTAAGTGAGAAAATGCGGTATTTGGTTTTCTATTCCTGTGTTAGTTTGCTCAGGATAACAGCTTCCAGCTCCATCCATGTCCCTGCAAAGGACATGATCTTGTTCCTTTTTATGGCTGCATATATTCCATGGTATATATATACCAACCCCACTTTTCTATTTTTACTGCGACTGACTTCCTCAGTAAGTAAGAGGATTTCCAATCCTCTCCATCGTCTATCTGGATTATTTCAATATTCTCCAATTAGTCTCCATGACTTTGGTCTTGCCTCTCTCTATCCACAAGCCTTCTGCCAAGTCTTTTCTGTTACACAGTTAGGGTCAAGTCACTGATTTCAGACTTTAACATAAAAGCGATGAGCTATCTTCTAAATCCTTAGTATGACACTCAAGGTCCTCACAAACTGGGATAGGAGTGTGGCTGATAGGAAGTATTCAATAGCCATTGCTGAATGACTCATCTCTGCTTACCCATCTAGTGTGTCCTACTTCACCCTACCAAGTACCATAATTGCAAGGCAACTCACTGCCCTAAACAATTTGTGCCTTTTCATACCTCTGTTTTTGTAACTGATGCCCAAAGTCTTAAACCAGCATTTCTACTGACTCAATCTTCAAGGCTACTTTATCCCCAGATCTCCAGTTAAGATTAATTATTGCTTTGGACACTGGCAACATTTAAATTCTCTTTGGACTATTTAACTATCTTGTCTTATTATATCACATATTGTATTATACTTGTTTGTTCAATATTCCTCCCATTATATTCCTAAACTGTTTAATAATTTTTATCTTAGAATCATGTTTAAAGTTTATGTATCCACTCCCTGTGTTATTAACTGTGTATAGTCCTAGCAAACATTTAATGAATGGTTGTTAAATATATAAATTAAAGGAGGATCTCACACAGCTGTTCTCAAACTTATCCAGGCAGTGGAACCCCTGAAAATTTTACTATTCTTTGTTAAATACCACAAAATATTATTAATAAAACTTAAAATGACAAACTATATCACATTGTGATAAATGAGGATTATTAGTTCTGAGATTTTTTGAGTAAAGTAATCAGAAACATTTAAAGGGAAAGCATTATGAGATAAAAAGTTAATGAAGAAAATCTTTTCCAGTAACTCCGTGTTTCTCTGGTCAGAAAGGGACTCCCCTTGTGAGTGTCATGAGCAGGATGCCTGGCTCCAGTGTTCCAAGAGATTGCAGCTGAGAGTCCCTCATTCCACCTGTACCACTTTTTGACAGCTGCTATTCTGCAGCAAGGAAGAATGTTAGTGAGATGAGAGATTTTGCATTCACTCCTATCTACAAAATAAATACATCTCACGTATGATCACCTTTCAAGAGTTGCTATTTTCTAACTCGCCTTTAGGCTTCAAGAAGTTAATGCCATTGTACATCACAGTGAACAACCTATCACACCACATCAAATCAACGTGGACAACTAAAGGTCTCTAAAAATCCATGTTTTAACAACCATCTTAAATCATTCTTAACTCTCCAGACAGAATAAGGCAGAAAATGATCCTGACACAAACCAGAAAAACACAAATACAGAAAATCTGTTTCAAACACCAGCTCACCTCCACTTCTGCCATTGTAAGGTTGGCTTCTGGAAATAACCAATTCAGTCTGGTTGGGAATGAGGACTTCATGGCATCATGTCAAACAACATATTGCTCAAGAATCCCCTCCGGATTTCTAGGTCCTTTCCTTTAGGATGTACTGTTAGGCTCAGTACCAAGCTTGCAGCCCAGGGAGTTTCAGATATATGCATACATTGGTCATTTACGAAGACACAGGACCAGAAGAATAAATAAACTCAGAGCTGGAATTGATTTTAGAAAATTTCCAGTAAGCTATTATCAGATGCATCTAATTCTGACTCTGTTTGAATATTTCCAGTAAGGAGGATACCATCACACTCTTGAAAACCCACAACATTTTTGAAGGAGTCTAAATGGCAGGATATTCTTTTATCTTACACCAATATTTTGCCCACAGGCTTTTCCTTGATGCAAATTGTCCCAACAGTCTTTCTTTCTGATAACTGTCTCACAGCCTTGACTCACCTATCTCAGCCTGGGTCAGTGCCCGATTTATTAGCAATCACTTACTAAATGTTACTGAATGAATGAATGAAAGAATGAATGAACAAATACAAGAATTTTAAAGACCTTTCCTCTCCTGGCTAATTACTCCACCTCCCCACCAAATCTTATAGCTATTGCCTGTGTGAGCATGAAGCAAGTCAGGGTCTTTAATTTTCATAACATTTATGCATGAGGGCAGGGAACATTGTTTATTTTGTTCATGAATGTAACCCAAGTGTCTAGAACAGTACCAGACATATTGTAGATGCTCAATAAATACTTTACATAAATAAATAACAAAGTGTCATTTGTCCCCAAGTTTTCGTGTTTAGCACAATATACCAAATTTCTCAATACTTTCCAGATAGTTTAATCTCAAAATAAATGCTAAATGTCTTTGAAATCATTTATATTTGAAGGCTAAAGGACATGCTAACCATGTGTTCCTTCCCAGGAATCTCTCAGTTCTATTCCTGTATATGTTGAACAGCAGGAAGCTACTAGACTACATTATTTTTATATCCCATGTAAATGTCTTCTCAAAACAATAATTAACATAATACCATCTGCTTCTATGCAAATTTGGAATATGAAATGGTCATAGGAAAATTGTGTTTAAATCTTGTGTAAAATTGCTATTGAAGAGATTTTCAATTAAATTGGTCATTGTAAACAAACCCACCAAATAAATTTCTTTTGGAATAGCATGCTATAAAAATATTTAACTCATCTAGAAAATCATATGCTTTGTTTTTCAGACAATAAGAGCTATATAAGCCATTATGTTTTGTTTTATTTTGTTTGTTTGCTTGCTTGCTTTCCTGTCTGCCAAAAATCCCAGAGCATAAGTTAATGTTTAATTGTAGAAATTATTATGAGTTTCTGGTATAAATACTCACATTGTGTCTCAAATACAGAAGTCCTGATTTTTTACGCTTGTTTTAAAGATCTGATTGTATATATGTCACTATCATTAGTCATGGCAAATGGATTTCTTAAAGGGATAATTTCCTGCTACCTTTTGATTAAACTCCCTTCTTCAGTATAGAAGGAGACTTCAAAAAAGTTCACAGAAAATGAAATTAAAAGATAAAAATGAAAAACATAAACTTTATTTCTCAACCTAAAACCTATCAAGGTCAAGACACTTTTATGCATGATAGTACCAGCCATTTAGTCCATCCCTACAGAACTGAGGATTCAGGGAATTTAACCTCATCAATGCTTAAATTCTTTTCTATGTTCTCTTTTACATTATAAACTGAAGAAAATGGGTCCCCTGTATATATTTTTAAGATTAGAAAACAAGTCAGAAAAATCCAGATCAAGACCGTACATCAGATGCCTAATGATTTATCATTGAAACTCTCACAAAATTGCTTTTGTTTGATGAGAGGAATGAGCAGGAACATTGTCATGGTGAAGAAGGACTCTCATGTGAAACTTTCTTGGACATTTTTCTGCTAAAGCTTTGACTAACTTTTTCAAAACACCCTCATAATAAGCAGATGTTATTAGTGTTCTTTGGCCTTCCAGAAAGTCAACAAGCAAAACGCCTCGAGCATCCTAAAAACTGTTGCCATGACCTTTACTCTTGAAAGGTCTGCTTTTGCTTTGACTGGACCACTTCCATCTCTTAGTAGTCACTGCTTTGTGCTTTGTCTTCAAAATCATACTGATAAAGCCATGCTCTATCTCCTGTTAAATTCTTTGAGGAAATGCTTCAGGATCTTGATCTCACTTGTTTATATTTCCCATTGAGGGTTCTGCTCATGTCTGCAGCTGATCTGGGCACAACAGTTTTAACAATCTAGCAAGTAAAAAGCTTGCTCAACTTTAATTTTTCAGTCAGAATTGTATAATCT
This sequence comes from Homo sapiens, assembly GCF_000001405.40. Lineage (NCBI taxonomy): Eukaryota > Metazoa > Chordata > Mammalia > Primates > Hominidae > Homo > Homo sapiens. Next base: position 223,180,386 of record NC_000002.12, on the reverse strand, counting down.
GAACCAATCGAGATGTCTATGGTGTTGGCTATTGTTTCTGCTGTTAATCATCAGTTCTGTTCAGTTAGAGTGCAAATAAGATGAATTTTTTTGTCACAAATTAATGTGGATGCTCTGCCACTGTGGACTTCATCTTCAACCTCATTTTATCCCTTCTTAAAATGAGCTGTCCATTTGTAAACTGCTGATTTCTTTGGGGCATTGTCCCCATAAACTTTCTGTAAAGCATCGATAATTTCATCATTCTTCCACACAAGCTTCACCATAAATTTGGTGTCTGTTCTTGCTTCAGTTTTAGCAGAATTCATGTTACTATGATAAGGGCTGTATTCGAACTGATACATTACCCTCCTCAGGCCCTCAAAGTAGATTCTCTTCAGACATATTATAACAAGTTAGTACAAGTTATTTAAGTTTATTGTGGTGCAAAAAAAAGTTCATCCATGCATAGTTTTTTCATAATGCACATTTTCCATAAACTTTTTGAGGTCCCCTGGTATGTAAAGTTCTACAATAAATCACAAAGGAGATCTCTCTTCCTTTCTCTTCTGAACTCTTTCCCTCCTGCTGTGTGTTCCACCTTAGGAATTTGGTTTCCTCTCTGAGCCTTGTTCCATCCTCTCTTCCAAGAAACTATCAAATAAGCTGATTCACAGTAGTGTTAGTAGCTTACTACTGACCCTTTTCCATGTTACAAGTCAATCTCCCAATTTCCAAGATAATTGTTTCACACTTTATATTTCTCATAAAATCCAGGAGATCCCCTGGCCACTTCTCACTCTCATCTAGTGATCTTGTTTCTTATTTCACTGAGGAAATAGATGCCATCAGAAAAGAACTACAACTTCTGACCATGAAATCTAACCATCTACCTGCAGTGGTACCACCAATTTTTTTTTCTCTCTTTCTCCTTGATATTTCCATAGCCAGGCAAACATGCTAAGATATCTCCCATGACAAAGATACATATTTAAGACCTTCACATTTTTCATTTACTCCTCTAGTTCTCTGATTCCTTTTATAGAAAAACTCTTTAAATAATTATCTACCCTTTTCTCCATTTTTTTTAAATTCCACTTTTTCCTGAATCCCCTTCAATCAGACTTATCCTCACTACTTCTGCCCATCACCAGATCCCATGGACCTCATCTTTCTAGACCTCTCAGCAGCATTTGACATACATGATCACTTCTTATTTAAAACAAGTTAGTCACTTGGCTTTAGCAAGGCTGTACTCTTTTGGTATGCCTCCTATCTCTTTGGCCATTTCCTCTCCATCTCCTTTTTGGGTCTTCTTTCTCTTCTCAGCTGTAAATTGTTAATGTGCCCTTAGACTCAGCCCCCCACCCCCACTCCCCAGCCTTCTTTTACCCTCTATTTACATGCTGTCTTTAAGTGATCTCACCCTGTCCCATGGTTTTAAATACTGTCTATCTGCTGGTAAGTCCAAATATTTATATCTGAGCCATTTCTCCTATAAACTCCAAACTAGCATATCCCTCTGTCCACCAAACATCTCTTCTTGGATGTCTAATGGATATCTCAAGCTTAACATGTCCAACCAAACTCCTGTCGCCCCTACACAAACCAGCTCACTAACCTCTCATCTCAGCAAATGACAGCGCTATTTCTCCATTTACAACAGCGAAAAACTTAGGAATCATCCTTGACTTCTTTCTTTCTTTCGTATTTCACATAAAATCCATCAGCAAATATTATTTTATCTACCTTCAATATCTTATGGATCCAAATACTCTCTTCCCACCTCCACCTCTACAACTGAAATCTAAGGCACCATGATCCCTGGCCTTGATTACCACAGCCCCTACCTGTCTGGTCTTTCTGCTTCTTTTTTGCTTCCTTGCAACCCACGCACCATAGAGTAGTCAAAGAGATTCTTTTAAAATGTAGGTGGGAATTGAACAATGAGATCACATGGACACAGGAAGGGGAACATCACACTCTGGGGACTGTGGTGGGGTGGGGGGATGGGGGAGGGATAGCACTGGGAGATATACCTAATGCTAGATGACGAGTTAGTGGGTGCAGCGCACCAGCATGGCACGTGTATACATATGTAACTAACCTGCACAATGTGCACATGTACCCTAAAACTTAAAGTATAATAATAAAAGAAAAAAAAACTTAAAAAAAATAAAAATAAAAATAAAAATAAAATAAAATAAAATAAAATGTAGATAATAAAATGTCACCCTCTTGCACTCACCCTTCTAATGACTCCTCATCATTTTCAGAATAAAATTTTATTGTATTCTGAACGGGCTTTCACAATACAGCACCTGGATATTCCTCTGACTTATTTCCTAAATATCCTTCCTCTGTTCCTTTCTTTGTGGCCACATGACCCTCCTCTGGTTCCTGTAATAACACAAGCACACTGCAGCCTGGGGCTTTGACCATTTGTTCTCTGTTCCTAACAGGCAACTTTTTGAGTCCATCCCTCACTTCCTCAAGTGTCTGTTCAAACATCACCTCTTCCAAAAGAGCTTTCCTGGCCACTGTTTCCAAGCTGGCACACTAATAATGCTCTCCTCTTCCTGCCTGGTTCTATGGAAAGTATATAACTACTTGACATTATATATTTGTTTGTTCATTGGCTAGTTTTTTTGTTATTTTACTCAAACAGTAAGCTTAAGAATTGAAGGTGTTCGTGCCTTGTTTGCTGCTGCAACGAGGCCCCAAACTACTCAAACTAAATACTGCTGAAGTCTAAAATGATCCACTAACATGAAATCCTGTGACTTTTTCTTGGCTCCCATTCTCCTTGACTTCTCTCTCTACTTGGCAATGGAATTAACACTTCCTTCTGGAGAAATCTTTCTCTCCTTCTTGGGTTGCACTCACATCCCAAATCATTTCCTTTAGGACTCTTCATGGAAGACACTAATATCATAGATGCCTCTCAATATCCACTATTCTCCATTTCTTCCTTGGTAATGAAATTCTCAATTTTTAACTGTTCACTCAGATCTTTCACTATCCAGGAAAAACACTACAATTGCCAGACTCTCCTGCAGCCTCCCAAGTGACTAAATTTAGGCCAATAAGAGGTAAAAGAACATGTTTTGTGAAACTTCCTGGAAGTCTTCTTTAAATGAATATATTTGCCCTTCTTGCTCCCAGGAATACAGATGTAACAGCCACGGTTCTAGCAGTCATCTTAGACCATAAAGACAAATGCAGACACGCCCTAACAATAGGGAGCCATGAGCAGGAAGAATACTGGATCATTGCTTTATAGGACCAATATCCCAGGCCTGAACCTCAGTGACATGACAGAGACATAATCTTCTATTTTTCTTAAGCAATTATTTTATTGTTTTCCCAACTGATACATCTCTCAGCACACTTAGGGCATTAACATTCACCCTCAGCAGAATGACTTAACCTTCTTGTTCCATCCCTGTTCTCTCTCCTGAGTTCCAGTCCTGCACATTCTGAGGACATTGACTAGAACCTATTTCAAAGTGCAATTCATTCTTCTTCATCCTCAGTCAGCAGTCTTTCTGGATTTCAGTATTACTCTAGATTTGTAGTCCCCAACCTTTTTGGAAGACAATTTTTCCACAGGATCAGCGGGGGATGGTTTCAAGATGAAACTGTTCCACTTCAGATCATCAGGCATTAGTTGGATTCTCATAAGGAGCGTGCAACCTAGATCTCCCACATGTGCAGTTCACAATAGGGTTCGCACTCCTATGAGAATCTAATGCCACTGCCAATCTGATAGGAGGTGGAGCTCAGGCAGTAATGCTCGCCTCCTGCAGTGTGGCCCAGTTCCTAACAGGCCACAGACCGGTACCAGTCTACAGCCCGGGGATTGGGGACCCCTGCTGTGAATAATACCAAAAGCCCATAATCAACAGTATGTTAGCCGGCAAGCCTGGCTAACATACTGTTGTTTATATTTTAAAGACAGATATGCCTAAGATGCTGGAAATATGGGGGATTGCAGGTAAACAACTTATAAATGGAGATTATTTCCCTATATCCATGAACTAAGCTTACAACATTATTGGAGTGCGGGAAGACAGCAGTTTCTAAGATAGTTAAGTATATGCTAACCCAAAGCCATATTACGCCAACAGACTAGATTCCAGTATTTATTCTTTATAAGCCAACATTCAAACATGATTTGCTTAGTAGAACAACGAGGATTAAAATGGACTATTACAAAGAACAGAGCCTCTGTGAAATATTGGCTTAATACACAAATGCCCTCAAACAAAGCTTAGAAAACATGCTTAAAATTGGTGTTGGCTGGAGTCCCACAGAATTTATAATCCAGTAATCCAGTTTGTAGGGTTGATTCAGGCATAATCATGCAAGAGATGGAGTGGCTTCCTTGCTGTACCTTCATCTTTCCTTTGCAACATTCTACCATCACACCTGCCATTGCTAAGCACTTCACCTATGAACTCCCATTGCTTCCCATTGCCTCCCTAACTGAAAATATAAGCAGAGAACATCCTTTCTCAAAGCCAGGCTTATGGGTGCTCAGGAGGTCACAAAAGGCTTGTGTCTGTGTGCCTCTCCTCTTCCTTCCCTCCAACAAACCCCAGTCACTGGATCACATTTCCTTAGGGCCAGACTTTGTGCCTCTCCAAGTCTTGAGCAAACCAATCATGTCAGTAGGGTTCACGAGGGGAAAAAAAAAAAAAGAAGAAGATTCCCCAGATCTCCCCTTTGCTTCCAAATAGCATTTGTACTTTTTATGGTCTTCTGAAGACAACGTCCCCTGTCTTTGCTGCCTAACTCAGGGAAAGGCCATGAGGATGGGCAGCTGGGGAGAGGAGGGGATATACCACCAGTCAGGGTAATCACATCAGTTGTCAGGGTCTCATCAACTCCCTCAGGCAAATGGAGTCTACATAGCTCCAGCCTGATGTTTACAGAAAGCAGAGAGATCAAGAATGATTCCAATAAGTGACCCAACTAAACGTTAAGATTAACATAGAAACAATTGCATCAAATCCTCTGCAAATGATGCACTCTTGAAGTTACTGCAAGACTGGGGCTTGACAGACTTCGAAACCCCTGTGCTACATGAGTCTAAAGGATTTAGTACCAGTTTTGCACACATCAGAGGATCACTTTCTTATATCCGCATAGGCAGTGTCATAAAACTAAAGAGTTCCTGAATTCTAAATGCCCTATCTGAATTATCTGCAGAATACATCAACCACCCAAGAACAAAATAATAAATCTTACTAACATTTTTCCAGAGGTCAGATAAGAGGGACATGAATTTAAGAGCAATTTTTTTTTGCTACTTAGTATTTCTCAAAACTACCATAAATTATCCAGACCTCCTATAATTAATTGGCTTTAGAGTTTTATGAGTTCCCAACATGTCCTTTTAAGCTCCTATTAAAGAAGAGTTAACTTGTGAGAGATGGTGAGTTAATTAAAAACCTTTAAAAATATGAAATCTTATAGGGTGTTTCTTTATGTTTCCATAGATTTTTAAAGTACAAAAATAGCTAATAAAAATACTTCACAGAAATGTTTGTTTCAGAGACTTGATCAATATTAATATGGAGCAAATGCTGATGATGCTTTTAGCATAAAAAAATCAGAAAGACATTTAAATAATTATGTTGAATTATAGCTATCCTTATGATGCTTGCCCGCCCCAATGCCAAGTCTATGCTATAAGTCATTGTTGTTATGTTTTATTGTTGTTGGTGTTTTGGCATAGCTGTGTAATTTTGGAAATAGTTGCTCCCAAGCCTAGAGACATATAAATGATGAGAAAAAGTATTTGAAGAAGTAAATAAACCACTCCACTCAAATGGCCCATAAAAGCTACCAGTAACTTTTGGCCCATCTAAAATTGTTACCCAGGAGATCCTGGTTACATGAGAAAAAAATCTTCTTTTTTTTTTTTTTTTTTTTTTTTTGAGACGCAGTCTCACTCTGTCCCCAGTCTGGAGTGCAGTGGCATGATCTCGGCTCACTGCAACCTTCGCCTGTCAAGTTCAAGCAATTCTCCTGCCTCAGCCTCCCGAGTAGCTGGGACTACAGGTGCATGCCACCACGCCTGGCTAGTTTTTGTACTTTTAGCAGAGACAGAGTTTCACCATGTTGGCCAGGATGGTCTTGATCTCCTGACCTCGTGATGCACCCTCCTCGGCCTCCCAAAGTGCTGGGATTACAGGCGTGAGCCACTGCACCCAGCCTAAATTCATCTTTTAATAATGTGCAAAGAGGGTGTAAAACATTCATGTACAAAGCCTGAAGATTCTGATAGGCAAATATGAGGAGACCCCCCTACTCCATGTAAATAGTTTACTTGGAAATCCAGAGCTGTGATGAGTGGAAAGGTATGAATGCAATGCTCAGAACATTCTCACTAGTGCCAGTGTACATCCTGCTAATGTTGTGCCTTGGCCAGAAGGACCTATATTTGTATTGAATGCCCATGTAAACCCAAACAGTTTTTCTTCTGGCAACCCAGATGTAAAAGTTTCCTCTAACGAAAGCCCGCAGAAAGGTTAAATTCATTGGATAACAAGTAGTCTCCTTTCGGCAGCTGCTTCCCTCAGATCGGGCACACCCCAAGCAGTCTTCTGTGCCACACGATGCTCCAGGTATGGTCAAGGGGAGATGGGTCAGTGATCTGTGACTGCAGTTTAAGCAACTACCTGAATTGACATCTAAGTTAAATCCTCACTCATTGTCCACCAGAGGAGATACAGCTAGAACCATGCAAATGATCCTGGGAGCTGCTAGCCAAAGCAGGGTTGGTCAGCTCATTTAAGGCTCTGAGCATTCGGGGAACCTTTATAAAATCCATTTGCTCTTCTGTCCTTTGCCCAGAATCTCATTGCACCTGACATTTCAGTAGATTTGAAAGCCTTGAGGGAGACCAAATGCTTATTGTAGCTGATATTTACTTGCAAAAAGTCAGAGCGATGTTTATGCTTCCTTGTTGCTGCACACTAAATAATAGCTTTGTGAAAAGCAGTGAAATCAGATAGGAAAATAGAGCACTTCATCAGTGCTGTGTCAAGGACCCAGCAGCTCAGCAGCCCAAAGCTGCTGAAATATGTCTGCTTTGCTTTGTGACACATGCTGGGCCAAAGAAAGACACCATTTCTCCGAGTTCCCCTCCTGGGGTGAGAGCCAAGTCCACACAGGTCTGAGGAAGGTTGTGCCCTGCCACTTGTGGGAGCATACCTTTAGGCTGGTGCAAAAGTAACTGCAGTTTTTACCATTACATTAAAAGTAACCAACATCTAACACCTCAGGCTCTGGAATCAAATGACCTGGGCTTTAGATCCTGGCTTTAGTACTTGGTGCTCTGTGACTCTGAATAACTCTAACCTCTCTAAGTCTCAATTTCTTTCATTCATAGGAATATCAATACTTAAATTGTAGAGTTGTTATAAATAATACATAAGAAAAGTTTTACACAAGATAAACACTAAAAATGTTTATGGCTGGTTTGTCTTTGTTTTTGTTTTTGTTTTTTGAGACAAGGTCACACTCAGCTGCCCTGGCTAGAGTGTAATGGCGTGATCATGGCTCACTGCAGCCTCAACCTCTCTGGCTCCAGAGATCATCCCACCTTAGCCTCCTGAGTAGCTGGGACCACAGGTATGCACCAGCATGCCCAGCTGATTTAATTATTTTTTGTAGGGGCAGGGTCTCACCATGTTGCCCAGGTTAGCCTTGAACTACTGGGCTCAAGCAATCCTCCCACATCAGCCTCTCAAAGTTCTAGGCATAAGCCACCATACCTAGCTCTGATTTTCAAATAAGATGCACATGTATGTTTATTGTGGCACTATTCCCAATAGCAAAGACTTGGAACCAAGCCAAATGTCCAACAACGATAGACTGGATTAAGAAAATGTGGTACATATACACCATGGAATACTGTGCAGCCATAAAAAAGGATGAGTTCATGTCCTTTGTAGGGACATGGATGAAGCTGGAAACCATCATTCTCAGCAAACTATCGCAAGGACAAAAAAACCAAACACCGCATATTCTCACTCATAGGTGGGAATTGAACAATGAGAACACATGGACACAGGAAGGGGAACATCACACACTGGGGCCTGTTGTGGGGTGGGGGGAGTGGGGAGGGATAGCATTAGGAGATATACCTCATGTTAAATGATGAGTTAATGGGTGCGGCACACCAACATGGCACATGTATGCATATTTAACAAACCTGCACGGTGTGCACATGTACCCTAAAACTTAAAGTATAATTAAAAAAAATAAGAAGAAGAATGAAGTTAAAAATGTTACCTAAATTTTCTCCAGTAGGCTTATGGCAACAATTAAGTAAAACTAAAGGTGAAATGGTACTACTTCTCTCAACTTTTGAGGTCAGTACCATGGAGATGAGCCGTACTCGTTCACAACAGTTCACTTAGCCCCACAAAAACAAAACATTCAGCTTAATGACCTGTGGTTCTGAAATCTTACATTATATATATATAATAAATTCATTTGTGTTTGCTTTCCCACAAAGAAAATATCCATCCAAATGAATGGGAAATATAATACCGCATTTATTGATATTGATCGAGGAAACCATGAGTAGATATGACTGTAGTACAGACCCCGCTTCATTGGAGGTCCTTGGCACATCTGTCTTGTTATTGCTGGCCTTTAGGCATGCCTTCATGGTTGTTGAAAGGACACCCATTAGCGATCAGCAGGCCTGGGTCTGAATCATTTGGGAAAGTTATCAACCTAAACCTCAGTTCTTGAATCAGTGGAGTATCATGCCTCCTGATACGGTTTAGCTGTGTCCCCACCCAAAATCTCATCTCGAATTGTAATCCCCATAATCTCCATGTGTTAAGGGACCAAGTGGAGAATTAAATCATGGGGGCTGTTTCCCCCAAGCTGTTCTCATGATAGTGAGTGAGTTTCTCAAGATCTGAGGGTTTTATAAGTGTCTGGCATTTTCCCTGCTTGCCCTCACTCCATCCTGCCACCCTGTAGAGAAGGTGTCTGTTTCTCCTTTACCTCTCCCCATGACTGTAAGTTTCCTGAGGCTTCCCTGGCAATGCAGGGCTGTGAGTCCGTTAAGCCTCTCTCCTTTATAAATTACCCAGTTTTGGGGATTTCTTCATAGTAGCATGAGAACAGACTAATACACCTCCCCTGTCTATCTGCTGGAGATTGCGTAGTACTCTCTCAAGTGAGACAGTAGATCATTGAAAGTCCTTTGGAAATCTCAATGTATACTGATTGTGTAAAGCCTTATCATACATGCAATAAGAATTCAGAGAAAGGAAAGACCAGTTCAAGAGCAAGCTTGTCTCCAAGTATAACAGTGTCTTCCTGTTTAACCCATATCATAAAAAATGTAGCATGCACTGTGTGTGACAACACTTGGCATAACTTGGATATCACTAGGGCTGAAATTAGTTTCAGAGGGCTCCCATAACAAATGGCTTTAAACAACGGAAATGTAGCCGGGAACGGTAGCTCATGCCTGTAATCCCAGCAATTTGGGAGGCCAACGCAAGTGGATCACTTGAGCTCAGGAGTTTGAGACTAGCCTGGGCAACATGGCAAAACCCTGTCTCTACTAAAAATACAAAAATTAGCCAGGTATGGTGGTACATGCCTGTAATCCCAGCTACTTGGGAGGCTGAGGTGGGAGGATCACTTGGGCTTGGGAGGTTGAGGCTGCAGTGAGCTGAGATGGCACGACTGAATCCAGCTTGGGTGACAGAGTGAGGCCCTGTCTCAAAAATAAAATAAATAATAATAATAATAATAAATTTTAAAAAATAACAGAAGTATATTCTCTATTCTCTCACAGTCCTGGCGGCCAAAAGTCCAAGATCAAGGAAGGTGTTAGCAGGGTTGTACTCTCCCCTAGGGCTCTTAAGGATAATCTATTTCTTGTCTCTTCCAGCTTTTTCTGTCTCTGGGCATTCCTTGGCCTAGGGCCATATCCCTCAAACTCTGACTCCCTGGTCTCTTTGCCCCATCCTCTGTGTATCTCCTTTATGTGTCTCTTACAAGGCAGTTGTCCCTGGATTTGGGGCCCGCCCAGATAATCCTTAACTTAATCACATCTGCAAAGACTCTTTTTTTGAAAAAAAAATAAGATCACATTCACATGTTTGAGGAATTAGGACCTGAGCATATAATATTTTTTAGGGGGGCACTATTCAGCACAGTATGAGGCTCCATGACACATTTAAAAGTGTTAAGCTACTTAGGTGTAATCTTCTTAACATGTGAAATGGCCACAATGCAGCCAGCTGTTACCCAGTTTGACTTTCATATGGTCAGATATAACCATGGCTCTTCATAAGACAAAACAAACAGGAAACAGGAGTTATGCTATCTGAAAATGAGTGAACGGACATTAACCACGAGGCTGGCATTGGCAAAGACCAGAAAGCAAAGGACTTTCTGTGGGTAGATGTATTCACTTGCTAGCACTGTCATAAGAAAGTACCACAGACTTGGTGGCTTAAACAACAGAAATTTACTGTCTCAGTGCTGGAGACAGGAAGTCTGAGATCAAGGTGTCGACACAATCGGTTTCTTCTTTTCTTTTTTTTAATTTTTATTTTTTTTAAATTTTTTTAAATTATAATTTAAGTTCTAGCACACATGTGCACACTGTGCAGGTTTGTTACATATGTATACATGTGCCAGTTTGGTGTGCTGCACCCATTAACTTGTCATTTACATTTGGTATATCTCCTAATGCTATCCCTCCCCCTTCCCCCCACCCCACAACAGGCCCCAGTGTGTGGTGTTCCCCTTCCTGTGTCCAAGTGTTCTCATTGTTCAATTCCCACCTATGAGTGAGAACATGCAGTGTTTGGTTTTCTGTCCTTGAGATAGTTTGCTGAGAATGATGGTTTCCAGCTTCATCCATGTCCCTACAAAGGACATGAACTCATCCTTTTTATGGCTGCATAGTATTCCATGGTGTATATGTGCCACATTTTCTTAATCCAGTCTATCACTGATGGACATTTGGGTTGGTTCCAAGTCTTTGCTATTGTGAATAGTGCCGCAATAAATCGGTTTCTTTTGAGGCCTCTCCCCTTGGTTTGTGGATGGCTGTCTTCTCTTTGTGTCTTCACATGGTCTTCCTGTTGTATATTTGTGTCCAAATTTCCTCTTCTTATGAGAACACCAGTCTTATTGGATCACAACCCATCCTAATGACTTCATTTTGCTGAAATATCTTTTCTTTTAACCTTTATTTTAAGTTCAGGGTTACATATGCAGGTTTGTTATATAGGTAAACTTGTGTCATGGGGGTTTGTTGTACAGATCCTCCATTTCATCACCTAGGTATTAAGCCTAGTTCCTGTTAGTTATTTTTCCTGAATCTCTCCTTCCTCCCAACCTCCACCCTCTGATAAGTTCCAATGTGTATTGTTCCTCTCTTTGTGTCCATGTGTTCTCATCATTTAGCTTCCACTTATAAGTGAAAACATGCAGTATTTGATTGTCTTTTCCTGAATTGGTTTGCTAAGGATAATCACCTCCAGCTCTATTCATATTCCTGCAAAGGACATGATCTCTTTCTTTTTTATGGCTGCATAATATTCCATGGTATATATGTATATATGTACCATATTTTCTTTATCCAGTCTACCATTGATGGGCATTTAGGTTGATTCCATGTCTTTGCTATTGTGAATAGTGCTGCAATGAACATATCAATGCATGTGTATTTTTGGTAGAATAATTTATATTTCTTTGGGTATATGCCCAATAATGAGATTGTTGTGTCCAATGGTATTTCTGTCTTTAGGTCTTAGAGAAATCGCCACACTGTCTTCCACAATGGTTGAACTGATTTACACTCCCATCAGTAGTGTACACGCGGTCCTTTTTCTCCACAACCTCACCAGCATCTGTTATTTTTTGACTTTTTAATAATAGCTATTCTGACTGGAGTAATACCTTTTTAAAGACTTTATTTCCAAAACACCATCACATTCTGAGGTATTAGGAATTAGGACTTCAACATATGAATGAAGGGAGGGGGACACAATTATGCCCAGATCTCTCAGCAAACTTTTTATTAAAGGACCAGATAGTCAGTATTCTCAGCTTTGTAGACCATATCATAGCTACTCAACTCCACCATTGTAGTGTGAAAGCAGCCATAGATGATTCAAACCAATGTGTGTGGCTGTGTTTCCATAAAACAAGCAAAGCAAAATGAGAGGGTGGAACTCGAGAAACAAAGGTAAGTGAGTAGTCTTCCAGGTCTAGTATCCACCCCTCCAATGGGATTTCTGACTTGGTGATGCTGAGTTCTCAGGAAGAGGTGCCTCCCAAAGACCATGTGAGTGCTTGAGTGTTGCTTTTTTGGTTTGTTTCGTTTCACTTTACTTTGCTTTATTTTTAAAATATCTTTTAGTTTTAAAAAAGTTTTGGTAGGCTGGGCGCAGTGGCTCATGCCTGTAATCCCAGCACTTTGGGAGGCCGAGGCGGGTGGATCATGAGGTCAGGAGCTTGAGACCAGCCTGGCCAACATAGTGAAACCCTGTCTCTACTAAAAATACAAAAAATTAGGTAAGCGTGATGGTGGGCGCCTGTAATCCCAGCTACTTGGGTGACTGAGGCAGAAGAATCACTTGAACTCAGGAGGCGGAGATTGCAGTGAGCAGAGATCACACCACTGTGCTCCAGCCTAAGCAACAGTGTGAGACACCATCTCAAAAAAAAAAAAAAAAAAAAAAGGTTGTGGTAAAAAGCATATAATGTAAAATTTACTATCTTAACCACTTTTTAGTATATAATTCAATAGTGTTAACTATATGCACATTGTTGTACGGAAGATCTCTAGGAATTTTTCTTCTTGAATGGCTGAAACTCCACACCCGTTAAACAACATCTCCCTATTCCCCTCACACGCCCTGCAACCCTTAACAACCACGATTCTACTTTCTGTTTCTGTAAGTTTAAATGTTTTAGATACCTCATACAAGTGCCTTTTTGTAACTGGTTTATTTTGCTTCGCATAATGTGCTCAAATTTCATCCTTATTGTAGCACATGACAAGATTTCCTGCCTTTCAAGGCTGAATAATATTCCATTGTATGTATATATCACATTTTTTATTCACTTATCTGTTGATAGATATGTATGTTGCTTCTACCTCTTGGTTATTGTGCATAATGCTACAATGATCACAGGCATGCAAATACCATTTCAAGATCCTGTTTTCACTTCTTTTGATCTATACCCGGAAGTGGGATTGCTCCAGTGTGGCTTTCTGGAAACCCCTGATACTCATCAGCAATAGAAAGATGCTGATAATAGATGCTACTTTGGAGACTAGGTTGTTTCTGTGTATTCCTGGGTAACAGATGTTGTGGCCTTCATGGTCTGTGATGCCAGGAAAAAGAAAAAGCAAAACAGAAAACAAGTGAAGAGAAACATCCTCCTAGAAACCCATTTTTCCTCCTGAGTTGTTCTAAATGCCTAATAACATCAGCAGCTTTTAGATGTGGAGTGGAATCATTTTTTAACTAGAAAAAATATCATTTTAAGAAAAACAAGAGACTATGAAGGAATTGACTCTCTAGGACCTTCTTAATGGAACTGGAAATTTTGCACGTACGCCTGATTTAATTTTCCAAGATCTTTGGGGGATCTTCAGTATAATTAAACTAGAAATAAGGATATGTAAGTTGGAGAAGAAAATAACATCTTCCATTTACTGGAGAAGAAACAACAACAAATAGAATTCCCAGCCCACAATGGCCTACAGTGTGAGATATATGAGAAGTGAATTTAAAACCACAGAAGGCCTGTTTGCAATGAGAAGTGAATTTAAAACCACAGAAGGCCTGTTTGCAAGGGCCTAGCTAGCCTCTGAATCCCATAGTGGTTAGGAAGCAATGGGAATTATTACTTATTGAAAAAGAGAGTAGAAACTAGATGATATCTGCACTATTAAGACTCTTTCAACTCTGAGGGAAAGTAATCTAACTCAAATTAGTGTAATCATGGCTCTTATCACTACAAAGTCCAAGAGCACAACTGACTCAGGTACAGCAGGATCAATGTCCCATATGGTGCCACCAGGTCTTGATCTCTCTCACTACCTCTTAGGGAAGATTTTTCCATATGGTAAGCACTATGGACACTAATAACCCAGTGCACAACTTAGCAGATCAACCAGAAAGGAAACACCCTCCCTGATGACTCTAGCAGGCAAGTTCCAGTGGCAGCCTCAATTAGTGCAACCTGGGCCATGTGTTCATCCTCAAACCTATCACTGGGCCAATGGCCAGTGGAGGAAATCAGAGTTCTGTTATCAGAAAATGAGTGAAGATATCTTAACCACAATGCTGGCATTGAAAAACACCAGAAATCAAAGATCTTTCAGTGATTTTCCACCAAGAAGGTAAGATGGGCTGGTCTCCACAGCCTCTTTTGGCTCAGATCCAGCTTCCTTAGCAAAACTACTCAAGGCCAAAGTCCCTGGCCACCATTACTTTATAATTGGAAGGAAACTGCTATGCAGCTTGTAGATTCCACTCGGTGAGAAAGAATAAGAGTACCTTGATAGAGGGAGCAGGTTTCTTTACATGGAAGCCACTAGTTACTTGCATAATACATGGATTTTCTTATTGTTGACTGTTATAATTTTATAAACTAAAGTGCAATAGTGTGGCAGTGGACCAGAATGATGAGAAAAGGCCTTGCTGAGGAGGTGGCATTAAAATTGAGAACTGCATGAAGAAAAGAGCGAGCCACACCTTGATCTGGGGGAAGGTTATCTAAAGTTCAGAAACAGCATATATGAAGTCTGAGATAACCATGGTGCATTTGGTATTGAAGGAAGCTGCAGGCCTGGAACACCAGTCAAAGGAGACCTCACAATTACAGTGACTTGCATGGTCCCAGATAATCTCATCATCTTTTCTCTTGACTTCATCACTTGTTACTTTGCCCTGCTCACTCCAAGTGAGCCATTCTTGCCTCCTTGTGGTCTTTCTAACACTCCAGACTTGCTTCAGCCTTGGGACTAGTCTGCAGGCTCTTCTCTCTGTCTGGAATATGCTCCCGTTGACATTTTCCTGTCTAACTCCCTCATACCTGCAAGTCTTTGCCAACATTTCACCTTTCAATGAGGCCTACCCTGACTACCCTATTTAAAACTGGATCCCTGCCAGGCGCGGTGGCTCATGCCTGTAACCCCAGCACTTTGGGAGGCCAAGGCGGGCGGATCACGAGGTCAGGATTTCGAGACTAAGCTGGCTAACATGGTGAAACCCTGTCTCTACTAAAAATACAGAAATTAGCCAGATGTGGTGGTGCACGCCTATAGTCCCAGCTACTGGGGAGGCTGAGGCAGGAGAATCACTTGAACCCGGGAGGCGGAGGTTGCAGTGAGCCAAGATCGTGCCACTGCACTCTAGCCTAGCTGACAGAGCGAGACTCCGTCTCAAACAAAAACAAAAACAAATACAAAAACAAAAACTGTATCTCATTCTCTCCCACTAACTCATGCTCACACTCTATTTTTCCACTCTATTTTCTTTCCAGTTATCTCCTTCTAATACACGATGTGGTTTATATAGTATATGTATTGCTCATTACTTTTTCCTCTAACAGTGTGTAATTTCTTTGAGAGTGGATTTTTTTCTTTTTGTCCAAGGCTGTACCTGGCACATAGTAGATGCTAAAATAAATAGTTTTTAGATATAAGTGTGGAGGGAGAAAGGAAGAAAGATTTGTCTTCCTAGTGTATTTTCTTATTGTGGAACTATAATACATACCTTTGTCCTGAGGCCCCTTATCCATCACTAGTCCTTATAGCTTGGTATGTATTTTAGCACCTTATGCCAAGGATCTTAGGCTTGAAGATAAATGGAACAAATTAGCCTGAGAAGAAGCCAAATTCCATTGGAACAACTTTCAGGGACTGTCCTTTTTCTTTTACTGCCCTGGAATATGCAGAATGCTACTGAATCAAAGTGGTCATTGGCTACTTTGGAAATAATTTTGATGTTGGCGTTGTTAAGCTGGGAAGTTTTAATATGATAGTATTGATTGTGAGAAGATTTGAGTTAATTTTTTTATTTAAAGATTTTATTTTGGGATAGCTATTACAACATCCTAACATAGATCGTAGCATCTGTCAAAATTTATACAAAATGTGAACACTGAAGTCCCAGGTTTACAAATAAGCCATAGTGTGCTTGTTCTATCTTATAGCTCCTACAGTTTTGTTTCTGACTTTTCCTACCTTACAGGATATGTATTTTCCAGAGAAATAGGACATTTTTATCTGTCCATCACATCGATATTCAGAAGGGTAGACCTTTCATTATTATGGGCTTTAACGTAAAATCAATCTTTGTAATATATTACCCCAAATTGCCTGAGAAAATTCCACATATTTTTATGTGTATTGGGGTTGGGGCAGAGGTTAACATAAAGTACATCTATAAAAGTTTATTGCTGTGTATACGTTGATCATGGGAGGGGGGAAGCTGGAAAACATATTCCCATGATCCTTAAGAACCAGAATAAGATGCAGGCACAGGGGCTTCCTCAGTCTCCAAATTGGAAACATCTGTGTTGTCCAAGTTCTCACTTTTTCCCATAATCAAAGGGGCAGCTCCTGGAACAGTGGGGTCTTTAGGAAAGAGTACCAGGCTTTTTGAAACAATAACACAGGATGTCCTAAATTTCCATTAAGTATTTTTGACTGTTTGGGGATATGGGTCTGGTTTTCCATCATTGGTGGCCCCAACCATTTTGGTTGTAGAAATTGAAACAATATATAAGTACCATATTTTGTCTAAAATGTGACAGCACAGATTATTATTTTGTTCACTTTTAAGAAAGAAACCAACCTACTGATTAAATAAGTATAAACGTTTATCATATATCATTTAATGCATATATATATTTACATATATATATATACACACACACTTTTTTTTTTTGAGATAGAGTCTGGCTCTGTCACTCAGGCTGGAGTGCAGTGTCATGATCTTGGCTCACTGCAGCCTCTGCCTCCCAGATTCCAGCGATTCTTCTGCCTCAGCCTCCTGAGTAGCTGGGATTACAGATGTGCGCCACCACACCTGACTAATTGTTGAATTTTTCGTAGAGATGGGGTTTCATCATGTTGGCCAGGCTGGTCTCGAACTCCTGTCTTCAGGTGATCTGCCGGCCTCAGCCTCCCAAAGTGCTGGGATTATAGGCATGAGCCACCGTGCCTAGCCATTTTAATGCATACATATTAAATAAAATGAAAGTGAAATAAATTGGTTGAGGTATTCCTAAAACTATTTCCTATTCAGACTTCAAGCTTCTGAATACATTTTCAACTTAAAGTGTTGATGGCAACAGTCCTGAAGAGTTTTCATTACTGTCTCTGGCTTTTCTGCCGATCCTCTGACAACCATTCTGTAAGCTTTGATTATTGATACTTCCTTCATCTCACCAAATTGTCAACTAAAAGTCTTCAGACGATAACTAGAATTCGGGTCCTCTGTCAAATCATCTAAATGATTTGTTGACAGTAGCTTCAAGGGACTGTACTTTTGTTTTCACCAAGTTTGTTTATATGCAAGCAGTGAAAACTGTATACTTTGGTTGACGGCAATTTTAAGATACTATCAGCTATAAGATGCATGCTGATTTTAAAGATGTTAAAATATAAAAGAAAAAAATGTGTACCTTTGAATCTATGAAACACAATAATTCTTCCATCACTCCATACTATCCTAACCACTTAAATGGCAAGATGGAAATAAAACATCCCCAAAACAATTCCAGCCCGTTTTCCTTTTCTTTTAAATAAAAATCAGCCTTCTGGGAGATATATACTGAATTTTAAAATTTGAATAAAATAATAATAAATTATAATCTGGAGGTTTTCAGAATATTAGTCCAAGGATGCCAAATTTCTATTTAAAATAACCCAGCTGGGCCACATTAACATGAATGCATACTTCATTGTATGCAAATTCAATACTAATGCTTTGGACTCAGCTTTCTCAAAATTGCAGGTCTCAGAAGCACTCATGTTTATTTTCTGAACCATCAGTGTTGATGAAAACCATGTGAAAATGAAGGAGCAATAAAATCACTTTTCAATCCTTACCAAATAAGGGCAGTTTTAGCCCATTAAACTTCCATTAACCAAATCATCTCCAGCACAGCAAATAACGATGAATTTCAATTGCAGCTCAAATTTGTTAGTACAGCATGTCCTTGAATAACACCATTCTGTTCAACGTCATTTCGTTGTAACATTGAGGGGAGAAATGGATTTCCAGCCAGGCCCACTATCTGGGTGGAGTTTGCACATCCTCCTTGTGTCTGCGTGGCTTTTCTTTGGGTACTTTGGTTTCCTCCCACATCCCAAAGATGCGCATGTTAGATGAACTGGTGTGTCTCCATTGTCCCAGTCTCAGTGAGCGTGTGTGTGTGTGTACGTGTGTGCATGTGTGTGTATGTGTGTGTGAGTGTGTCCCGTGATGGAATGGTGTCCTGGCCAGGATTGGGTCCTGCCTTGCACCCTGAGTGCCGGGATAAGCTCCAGCCACCCACAACCCTGAACTGGAGTAAGCTGGTAGGAAAATGAATGAATGAAAGAATGAATGAATGAATACAAATTATTGTCAAATAAAAACTTGTAAAAGATGTGATAATCCTATAGAGCTACCACAATAAACGATGTAAAACGAAAGTGTTCAGTAAGCCTGCCATATGTGTGATTGTTTTTGAGTTGCATGGTGGCAGATATTTATCCTTGACATTTTTGCTCTGCATTTATTCTTTGATTTAACCCACCAGCACTATGACTGCCTTCGCTCACTGATTTCCCAGAACTTGGGTAAACCATTTTCGTGTTCTTAGTCATCTTTTTTAAATATGTGTATGGTTCACATTTATCTTAATATTGAATATTAGAAGTGTTTTTATCTTTATTTAAAATTAGTTATATTTTTGTAACCAGAAATATGCCCTAGTAACTTAATTCTTGTTTATATAATTAGCCTGTGGTAAAATCAGCTTCTTCATTCATTGTTTTGCTTAAAATTCCAGATTCTAAGCACATATGAGTGACGTTAAGTGAGGACTCACTGTACCTTAGTCACCTGAAATCCATTTTAGAAGTAGGTAGAAATAAATTTTGAGTAAACTAAATAACCTCACATTTTTTCAGAACATTCTGCAGAAGTTCAAAATTGTATTTTGCATGACTAAAAAAGCCAACCTGTTTTTCTGTTAGAAGATAAGTGCTAACATTTTTATCACAATTCTTGACCCCACCTGAATTAAAATGGAATTGGGAGCAAGGTACATATTACCCAGCTAGAAATTTTTCCTTGAGCCTTGTAGTTTTGTACTACTTACCGCAGTCTTGGAAACAAGTTGAAATATTTACCAGCCCATAATTGTTAGTACCCTGTCTTCCCCAAAGGAGTAGACACACAGTAGATGAAATAAAACTCATATTCCTTTCTACTCAGTCTAGCACAAAATGTACAGGTATTTGAATGAGGAATAATAATCAAGGATTTCTTCACTCAAACATGTTGTAAATTTTAAACAGAACCAATTATCAAGTAAAATAACAGTGCCACATGGGTTTAAAGGGGTATTTTGCCAATACAAGGCTAGTATTTATTTTTAAATCCCAAAAATACCTTATATTCTATTGTTAATCCTTCTAAACTCTTTCAGTGATTTTAAAATGGTATCTATTTGTTTGTTGCTTATGAGCAGTACAGGATAAATCATAGCAAGATGTTATTAATCAAAACAACTAATGAGTATTGAAACTGAATAAATATTAAACTTAGTTGGTAGTAATGATCAGTCCTAATAAGCTGAAACTCTGGGATGTTACATCTTGAATGTTACCCAGGATGATTTGGTTGGAGAACTAAAACCAAATGCAGGTGTCTGGGCTCCCAAGCCAGTGTTCTTATCCCTTTACCACATATAATATGTGATGGCAAAACCTCAGAAACATATGCATTGCTGAACATTTCAATTTCTTTTTTTTTTTGAGACGGAGTCTCGCTGTGTCGCCCAGGCTGGAGTGCAGTGGTGCCAACCCGGCTCACTGCAAGCTCCGCCTCCCGGGCTCACGCCATTCTCCTGTCTCAGCCTCTCAAGTAGCTAGGACTACAGGCGCCCGCCACCATGCCTGGCTAATTTTTTGTATTTTTAGTAGAGACGGGGTTTCACCGTGTTAGCCAGGATGGTCTCGATCTCCTGACCTCGTGATCCACCCGCCTCGGCCTCCCAAAGTTCTGGGATTACAGGTGTGAGCCACCGCGTCTGGCCCAATTTCAACTTCTCTAAAGGTCTAACTTGACTCATCTAGAAAAAGTTTAGAAATGAAATTCTAGGGTTGGGCGCTGTGGCTTACACCTGTAATCCCTGTACTTTGCGAGGCTGAGGCGGATGGATCACCTGAGGTCAGAAGTTCGAGACCAGCCTGGCCAACATGGCAAAACCCCATCTCTACTAAAAATACAAAAATTAGCCAGGCATGGTGGTGGACGCCTGTAATTCCAGCTACTCGGGAGGCTGAGGCAGGAGAATCACTTGAACCTAGGAGGCAGAGGTTGCAGTGAGCCAAGATCAAGCCACTGCACTCCAGCCTGGACAACAGAGTGAGATTCTGTCAAAAGAAAGAAAGAAAGAGAGAGAGAGAGAGAGAGAGAGAAAGGGAATTCTGAGGGCATTGGATACTCTATCCTAAACACCAAGAGTCAAAATACAACTGAATCAAATTATTCCTAACAAATAACACAGCAATTCAGTACTTTCAGTAGCTCCAAAGTTCATAACTGACATTAATTAGCAATCCTACACAATAACCTGTTGAGGTAACGTATGCATTATTCGCTTTACAGCACTAATGAGGCATCCAGCTATACTGTACATTTTGTGTGCTTGTTATCTGGTGCCCTAGCTACTAAACCTCAGAAATATTCTCCAAGTTCATTAATTTCTAGGACAATAATGAGACTGTGAGAGCACAATCTCACATCTGGTTTTCACTATATTCTGTTGCCACAGTGCTTGTCCGCCACTGACTTTAGGGTTTCAGTCACGTCAAGCTCATTGCCTGCAAAGCTAGTCAGTCAAAAGATACCTCTCCTACTGTATGCCATCACATACAGGTGCTGGGTACACTGTGTAGGATGGTCTAGGAGGGAACCAGGTAAACCAATCCCTACCTGCCTGAAGCTTCCCAGGGAGCCCTGCCTTCATCATTGGTCAAACTTTTCTTGGTACTAACTTATGGATAAAAGAGATAATAAAGAGGAAAACATGTTTTTATGACTTATTGTCTCCAATCTTGACCATAAAACATCCAACCAAGATTTCCAAACAACCACCTAATAGGTGTCTTAGCCTGTGCAATATACCAAGAAGCAAGTAGTGCCTTTGGGTGGCTTACAATCTGGTGACCTGCCTTCTACCAGAAGTTTACTTAGAGTTAGTAAGTAGATTACTCACGCCTGTAATCCCAGCACTTTGGGAGGCCGAGGTGGTTGGATCACGAGGTCAAGAGATGGAGACCATCCTGGCCAACATGGTGAAACCCCGTCTCTACTAAAAATACAAAAATTAGCTGGTCATAGTGAGCACACCTGTAGTCCCAGGTACTCGGGAGGCTGAGGCAGGAGAATCGCTTGAACCCGGGAGGCGGAGGTTGCGGTGACCTGAGATTGCGCCACTGCACTCCAGCCTGGCGACAGAGCAAGACTCCATCTCAATAATAATAATAATAAGGCAGGTGGCTTGAATTCACAATAGGAGGTCATAATTGTTGAGTGTTTACTGTGTCCTAGAGAGTTTAAATGGATTATTTTATTTCCACAATCCCATATTGGCTTCATTTTATAAATGGGGAAACTGAGATACTGAGAGCTGAAATCACTTACATAAGTGGCAGAGTCAGGATTCAAACCCAGGCTTGTCTGCTACCAAAGTCCATGCTCTGATCTACTGCTGCTGTAGTCACAATAACAAAGACAACAGAAATTAGAAGAGAGATACACCCACCCCCACTTCCAGCTGCCTTTACCAAAATCAGACTAGTTCCTATTTAGCTAAAGCCGACTAAGAGAGGAACAATAATAGAAGTCAGGTTGAGTCTTGCCATCTTAAATAATACAAATGCGATTAATGCTAGAAACTTGTTTAGGCTAAACAAGAGAATCCAGGTGAAGGATGTGATAACGCACTACCATGAAAGCTAAACAAGATGGGAGAAGAGCTGTTGCCTGAAACAATATTTATAAACCTGCCAAATATTCTAAATGGGGCACTGGATCTCTATCTGTTGGCTCTACATTTGTAAGTAAAAGCCAAAGGACTTTTAAATCAATGTCACCTTTTCCTAAGCCTTGAATCACTAAACAATTTATTAAGTGCATATTGCAGTTTACACAGTGGTTAAGAACCCTGGCTTTAAATTCCAATTCTGCCACTTTCTAACTATGTGGCCTGAGGCAACTTAGTGAACCACTCTCAACCTCAGTTTTCTCGTATAGAATGGGTATTCAATTCTATATCCCCAGATTGCTGTGGGGATTTAATAAAATTATTATTTTTGTTTTGTTTTGTTTTGTTTTGTTTTGTTTTGTTTGAGATTGAGTCCCACTCTGTCTCCCAGCCTGGAGTGCAGTGGCACGACCTTGGCTCACTGCAACCTCTGCCTCCCAGGTTCAAGCAATTCTCCTGCCTCATCCTCTCAAGTAGCTGGAATTACAGGCACCTGCCACCACACCTAGCTAATTTTTGTATTTTCAGTAGAGATGAGGTTTCACCATGTTGGCCAGCTGGTCTCAAACTCCTAACCTCAAGTGATCCACCTGCCTTGGCCTCTCAAAGTGCTGGGATTACAGGTGTGAGCCACTACACCTGGCCAATGAAATTATTTACATAAAGCATTTGATAGTGTACCTGACACATAATCTGCACTCAGTAAATGTATCTATTGTTATCAGCCATTGCATGTCCATGTACAGAACGTAATAGAAGGGTGCAAAGGAACTCCAAGAGGTGTTCCTTTTCACCAAGGAACATTTAATCCATTTGAGAAGATGAGATGAACAGGCAAATCAGTTAGGAATAAGACAACCTACAAGGAAGGGCTAAGCCATGTTCGTGCTGCGGACCAGAGCTTCTCAAACCTTAAAGGGCACACCAGTCCTCTGGGAGTCTGGTTAAAAGGCAGTTTTTGATTCATTGAGTCTGAGGCTGGTGCCTGAGACTCTACATTTCTAACAAGCTTCCATGCGAAGTTTTACGTTACTGGTTTATGCATCACATTTTGCTTAGTGGGGCTACTGATGTTGAGGGTGAAAGAGGGCTGCCCAGTAAGAGCTAGGACTGTCAGGGAAGCTTCATGAGAGAGATAAAACCGAGCTGGGGCTTGAAGGATACATGAGACATGGACATCTCAGGAAAAAATAGGTGACTTTGTAGGCACAGGAATGCCATTAGAAGGCAGAAGGCAGGAAAAGCATGCGGGGCTGTGAGGAAATATTCAATTGGTAGATGAAGTCTCTAGTCTGGTCCCACTCTGTGGGGTTAGAGCAGCAGTACCTTTCATCACAGACAGTAGCTCTCAACCCTCTCTGGGCAACAGA
The DNA here is from genome assembly GCF_000001405.40 of Homo sapiens. NCBI lineage: Eukaryota > Metazoa > Chordata > Mammalia > Primates > Hominidae > Homo > Homo sapiens. The sequence continues at coordinate 223,156,744 of NC_000002.12, read as the reverse complement.
ACCACCAAAGCAGCTTAAAAAAAATACAGATGTCTAAACCCCATTCCCAGAAATTCTGATGAAGCTGATATGATTTAATTGAACATCAGGCATTCGTGCTCCAATTATGGAGGAAAAAAATATCACATGTAAACAGTAAGTAACCATGCATCGTGAAAATCAGATGTGCTGCTACCTTCACAAGCACCATCAATATCCCAGAATCATTTAACTGGGTAATTGATGAGACCCCAAAAGCAATAGAGAAATTGAGGCAGTGTATCTTCCACTCTACCCTTGTCTGCATTAGTACAGCAGAAATAGCTACTTAACTTTGGAAAGATTTACTAATGCCAAAGTTGTATTCTTTTTTATTTCTAATCATCTATGCCTCTGCAAGTAATGGTTAATTTATTGTTTGATATATTCTTTTGGTGTCTTTCAGAAATTCATACTACACCATTCAATACTAATCTCTTTCTTTCCTCAAACATGTAAGTCTTATAACATAAGTTTTATTCTTTTCTCTTTGCTAGTCTGGAGAGACATCAATCCCTTTCCACAATTTCTCAGAAATATTGGCTGTGGTCTCTGAAAATGTTAGAAAAATTCAGGGATTAGGTCACCAGATCCTGCTAATTTAAAGGCCTTGTTTTCCAGATATTCTGTAAGAAGTGTGTTCCTTCTTCTTACAGAATAACTGGAAAAAATAAGGTATTTAAATCAACATGATTTAATGATTTCTCATTCCTTCAAAACCAAATCAGTCCCCAGTCAATAATTCATCTCTGATCTTTCTGTAGAGGATAAAAAAGATATTAAGTGTGTCTATCTTTAAATCACCTTCTATAATTAGGCTATAATTAGGCTTCCCTTCCTCAATGGCAGGGATAAAAATTTTCTTTTCATTGTTCTCTTCTATGTAACAGTCTAAATAACTTTATGAGTCTCTGATGTCTCTTACCAAATAATCCCTATTATTTAGGAGTGCTGGAGCATGCCTAAAATGACACCACTTTCTTGACCCATGAAAGATATTGAATATCTATTTCCCAATATACTTTTTCTTTTTTTTCTTTCTTTCTTTTTTTTTTTTTTTTTGGAGATGGAGTCTTGCTCTGTCGCCCAAGCTGGAGGGCAGTGGCATGATCTCGGCTCACTGCAACCTCTGCCTCCCAGGTTCAATCAATTCTCCTGCCTTGGCCTCCTGAGCAACTGGGACTACAGGCACTCCCCACCATGCGCAGCTAATTTTTGTAATTTTTAGTAGAGATGGGGCTTCACCATGTTGGCCAGGCTGGTCTCAAACTCCTGACCTCAGGTGATCCACCCGTCTCGGCCTCCCAAAGGGATTACAGGTGTGAGCCACCATGCCTGGGTGTATTTCCCAATACACTTTTAAAATAATATTCCTCCAAAGTTTTTTTTGGTTTTCTAATAAGAATGAGACAACAGGGAAACCATAGAGAGGGGGGAAGAGAGAGAGAGAGAGAAAGAGAGAGAAAGAGAGAGAGAGAGGGAGGTAGGAGGAGAGAGAGAGAGAGAGAGGGGCAGAAGGGTGGGTTGATGGAGAAAAAAGAAGAAAGGCACAAGCAGAGAGAAAGAAGAAGAGAAAAAAAGAAAAGAAAAGAGAAAGATTTTTTAAAAAAAACATCATTAATTGTTTGAAAAGCAAGGATTAGGAGAAAAATTTAGGGGAAAAACATTTCAGCAGAAAAATAAATGCAGACTGACAAAACATTAGTAAATTCTTGCTGGAGATATTCATTTGCCTTTCTGACTTTAAACAAGGATAATAGCTCTTACCTCTTTAAGTTTCTAATAAAAAATGAATGGGTCCATAGGACACTGTAATACTGGAAAATGTATTATAAAAGCCATTAAACGGAGGATCCAGATTCTAAATGTGGCTCCTTGTGTACAAAAAGCTCTTCCATGAGGAAATAAAATGTGGTACCTCCTCAATCAACATTGACACAAAAAATATAAGGACTTACATTTGGAGACAGACATTAACACATTGTTTTATGTGCACAAAACTTTAGAAGATTTGTAAACCCTTCACACCATTGATTTTTCTCCATTTCAAAGGAGAAAAGGTAGAAGAAAAAGAATCCCTTTAAAAGGAATAGCAGTAGGTAAGACTAATGGAGTGCTAACCGTGTGCCAGACACACCATCACGATGGCCTCATGATGCTGGCACAATTTTAATTTTAGATTGAAGGCTTAGTAGACACATGGAGCAACTTGACCAAAATCAAGTATTTTGCTAGTTGTAGAACCACAATTTGATCTCAGACTGCCTGACTCCAGAGCCCATAATCTTAACCAATTTGTTAAATAAAATATATAGACAAGCGTCACAAGTCTTATATTTCAAATACCCTAATGCATGATGCTTATTTCTTTATATTTCTTTCAAGAAGAAAACACAAATAAAATCCATCCAAAAGAGTCTTCACTTGGAGAAGCACTAATCAATGACAAAGAAGAACCTCTGTTCCTGTGAATTTCAAATGCATCCACATCAAAACTAATAGTCAAAACAAAAACCCAAGGTCAGTATGTTTGAAGTTCACCTTTCCATTAGTTAAAGACTGAAATGTCCTTTAAGATGAATTTAGAATTCCTAGAACTGCCTGACCTTTAATATTCATGTCATAACACAAGTATACTTTGATGTCATTATCATATTATTATTGGTATATTTCCGTTATTCATCCTTCTCCATTCATTAATCAGGCAAACATCCTGTAAACAGCTAAATTTATACAGATATATAAATAGGATGGAGTTCATTGGTTACTCACTGAAATATCCAGAGATCCACAGGGAAAACATTATGTAACAAAAACTGTGGCTTGGGGAACAACCTCTCACAGGCGCTATGATTTTATCTCAAATAATTTTTTTTCTTATGTATACCATGACAATTAAGAGCTTGGAAAAAAAGATTAAGCATTCAAAAGGGCAGTGCATTGCTTCATGATATTCAACAATCCAGAACTTTTGAGATGAAACAGGAAAAGTAAGAGGTTATCCAATAGTAATAACATAGTGTTTGCTTTGTTGTATTTTTTAGTGTTTGCTATGTGCTAAATCCTTTACGTGAATTATATCTTGGTTTGAGTTCCTCAGAAAAAGACTCTAACAAAGATTCAAGGGCAAGTTGTTAATTTGCAAGATATAGTGAAAACTAGAAAAGAGGTAGAGAGATGAGACAGGGAAGGGAAGGAAGCCAAGAACGAGTGTGTGCATTATCAAGCCAGTTATCACTCCAGGAAACTGAAGCTTAATCCCACATAAAACATGGGTATTTATCTACCAATTCCCTTCGGTCATTATTTGGGAGATGCTCCTTGGCCATTCATTCCCTAGCACCTCAAAGGTGCAGCCTTCAACAGCTTTGGATAAAGCCTGACAAAGAGATATAGACAGGGATTAGTGGGAGTTGATCTGCAGACATGAAATAGGCAGACTCAATGGCTTTAGGTGGTACATCTACAGCATCTACACCAGGTGATCCAATTTAACTTCTCTATTAATTTCCCCTTCAAAGGATGAGAACATTGAGGCCCAGAAACATTGAGTAACTTACCCATGACCACACAGCAAGTATGGGGACAGAGCTTGCTTCAAAGAAGGCAGCCTGACTCCAGGGCCTGCAATCTTAGATAGCTCTCTGTACAGTTTCCCAAAAGTTACCATTTAAAAGGTAACTCCACTAGCTTCCTGAGGAAAAGATACGTCTATCCTGTTTCACCAGCAAAGAAAATCTGATAGAGGTTTATTTTCAACACTTTTCATTGTGAAACTACTGTTTTTAAAAAATACTTCTAGCATGATTTTCCGCATTTACAAAACACTGAATAAATGTTGAAGGAATGAATGGCTCTATAAAGTTATTCATAAATACGTGTGTACATAATCCCTATTTCCAAAGGATCCTACCAGCTTCCAGTTTGAAATTATGCCACAAAAATTCCATCACTTAGCCATATTTTCCTGACCTTTCTCTCCATGTTCAGAACCACAGCTTTCTACAAAGAACCCCTAAAATTTACTGGAAGGCTCTAAGAAATTTCTTCCATGAACTGCCAAGCTATTCCAATCACAGACTATGTGACACCCACTATTTTTCCTTCTCTTCATCTTTTCTCTGCTGAATACTCCACATCCATCAGGTGCCATTGCTTCTTCCAGGCATTTCCAATGTTTTCAACAGGCACCACCACTAATGTGTTGCAGCCCCACAGCACCAAGCTACATGGCATTGATATGGAAGCACAGGAGGGCAGACACAGTATTGCCCTGTTTCCCAATGCATTGTATGGAGTAGTTAGCGAAAAAAATTATCTGCATATTTACTCTGTTTTCTCTTTCCACAAGAGTCTAGAGTACTGGGCCTGCAGGCAAGATACCAAGCAGGCCCTATGATGACTATGGATCTGTTCCTTGGCCAGCCTTGGACTGCTTGACTCTTAAGATGAGTCCTCTCCCTGAGGCCTTTCTGTCCTTTCAAATTTTGGGGCACTCAGCCACCAGCCAGCCAGCTCACCCTTGTCTAGCCCCAGTGTTATAGTAATGTTCAAGCTGGGTCCCCTAAAATCTCCATTTATACTTGGTTGAATGTATAGAATTAATATTTTATATATGATATATATATGCAAATTATATGTAAGATTAGGAATGAAACCTACTAATGTTATTGCTGCCTGATATTTTCCTCAGTCAGTCTCTGACCTTCTAACTTGCCATTCACTGTGTCTACAATGTACTCAGAATATGTGCAAAACTAAGAATGAAAATTTTTAAGTTTAAAAAAAGTCTATCTTCAAAATTTGCCTAAAATCCATATTCTAGGAGCTGGAAAACCCACAAAATTTACTTTCTTGACCTAATAATCTGACACCAGAACATTCTAATGAAAGATACAAAGAGGGATAACGCCTTAGCCCAAAGGAAGGACTCTCTTATGATGCCGTACCAAGACTTGAGGCAAATGGAGGTGGGGGTTGTGGGGGGACATTTTGAGCAGAACTTTACCTAACATTTCTCAAATCTTATTGTGTTGCTAACCTCCAACTACAAAGTAAAGTTTAGCATGAATGGAGAGTCCTAATTTAAATGTTGATCAAGTCAAATGGCAATGAACTCTTTTGATAAATGATCTTTAAGTGCCAAAAATCAAAGAATATTCACAGAAAGTTCTAGGTTTCAGAAAGATTAGTCTCCAATAAATTATGTATAGATAGGTGACTACAAATACAAGTATAATTGCATTTAATTTTTCATCCATCTTTGGGGAAAAATAAATAAAAATAATTAACTGAAATACAAATTCTATTCTTAGAATAACAATTAGATTCCTATAATATCAGTTACATTCCTATAATATAGCTACTCAAGAGGCTGAGGCATGAGAATCGCTTGAGCCTGAAAAGCAGAGGCTGCTGTGAGCTGAGACCATGCCACCGCACTCCAGCCTGGGTGACAGAGTGAGACTCTGCTAAAAAAAAAAACAAGGGGGAGATAGTGTAATCCAGTGCTTACAAGACAGATATATAGTTAAGACAATCGAAATTCTAAAAAAAAGAAATCTCTGAAACCATTAGGTATCTAATGATCACTATTGGACAGACAACAATTGTGATGAAATGAATGATCACTGCCTGTGCATGCACATTGAACCTTATGGTTTAGAAGAAAGTCCTGGGGGCACCATGGAGCAGTCTTTTATGAAATACTGGATCACAGACACTCTTGTGGAACAAGAGGGAAACACAGACTTTCACAACTCTAAACTGAAAAGGGATTCCACATAGTATGACCATGAATGTGGAGAAGTTTTAGGTTTACCTTAGCCCATTTATTTTACTCATATCGTCCTTTTCATGTATGAAAAAGTTAATTTATATAATTAAAAAACCTATGTTTAAGTAAGTCTAAAAGCACTCTTTTAATGTTTAAATTAAAAATTTAAGTGATAAGTCATCATATCATAGTTCAGTTGGTGTGTTTTTTTTCCTTTCCTAATGATACATAAAACAGTAGTGTGTCTTACAATCAATACTATTTTGTTCATTTTTTTCTTTCAGTGAATGGAAGTTCTTTTTTCATTTGTATAAATTTAAGGGGTACCAGTGCAATTTTGTTACATGGACATATTGCATAGTGGTGAAGTCTGGGCTTTGAGTGTATCCGTCACTCGAATAATGTACATTATACCCATTAAGTAATTTCTCATCACCCACTCCCCTTCCACCTCCAGCCACCATTCTGAGTCTCCAGTGTCTATCATTCCACACTCTATGTCCATGTGTAAACATTATTTAGCTCCCACTTATAAGTGAGAACATGCCATATTTGGCTTTCTGTTTCTGAGTTGTTTCACTTAAGATAATGGCCCCCAGTTTCATCTATGTTGCTGCAAAAGGCATAATTTTATTCTATTTTATGGCTGAGTAGCATTCCATTGTGCTTCTATACCAAAGTTTCTTTTTTTTTAAATTTAACTTTATTTTAGATTCAGAGGGTACATATGCATGTTTGTTATATGAATATATTGTGTACTGGTGGGGATTGGGCTTCTAGTGTACCCATTATCCAGATGGTGAACATTGTACCTGATAGGTTATTTTTCATCCCTCATCCTCTTGCCACCCACCTCCCTTTTGAAGCCCTCAGTGTGTATTATTTCCATCTCTATGTTCATGTGCATCCGTTGTCTAATTCTCACTTACAAGTGAGAACATGTGGTATTTGGTTTTCTGTGTTAGTTCACTTAGGATAATGACCTCTAGCTCCATCCATGTTGCTGCAAAGACATGATTTCATTGTTTTTTGTGAGTGAGTAGTATTCCATGGTGTATATTTACCACATTTTCCTTATCCAGTCAACTGTTGATGGACACTTATGTTTTATACCACATTTTCTTTATCCAATTATTCATTGATGGACATTTAAGTTGATTTCATATCTTTGCTATTGTAAATTTTAGATTTAATTAAATGCTGTACTGAACACTTTAAATAAATCATCTCATGCAATTTTATTCTTGAAATGACTCAATGCCACACAAGGTAACTGAGTCTGTTAGAAATCCTTTGGTTGCCAGACTAAACTAATGGACCTGAGTTCATGATAGAACTCCAACTTATTGGCTTAAATAATAAAGGGAATTTGAAAGTTCATATTACTCAACAATCCAGAAGTAGTTCTGGGCTTCCAGCAAAGTTTAATCTAGAAGATAAAACAATGTAATTTAAAGATGTGGTTTCCTTCTATCATTCTGTTGTATCATCTGTAGGGTGAGCTTTATCCTCAGGTTGGTTCTCCTTACAGCAGTGAAATGGCTGTAGTAATTGTCTTTACATCTTCACCCACACTAACTGAGGTCTTATGGGATAAACTGTGGCCCTTGGAAATTTATGTGCTGAAGCCCTAACCCCCAGTACCTCAGAATGTGACTGTATTGGACGATAGGACTTTTAAAGGGGTGATTAAGTGAAAATGAGCCATTAGGGTGGGCCTTCATCCAATCAAACTGGTGTCTTTATCAGAAGGGGAAATTTGAACACACAGTGAAACACCAGGAATGGGAAAACCATGTGAGTACACAGTGAGAAGGCAGCTACCTGCAAGGCAAGGTAAAGGGGCTTAGGAGAAACCAAACCTGCTGACACCAAGATCTTGGACTTCCAGCCTCCAGAACTGTGAAGCAAATTTCTGTTGTTTAAGTCACTCCGTTTATGGTATTTTGTTATGGCTGCCCTAGAAAACTAATACACAAGGCAAGAGAGAGACTCTGGTAGCTTCTGCAAAAGAGAGGAATTGTCTATTCTCAAGAATAACAGCAAATGTCTCCATCATATTACATTGGTTCTGATTCATTAACAAAAAAATGGAATCCATTCATTTTCTTTTGCTAATCAAGGCCCATCCCTAGAGAGAGGTAAAGTCAACATTACTCAAACCATAATGAAAGAGTTATTTCCCATGAGTGATTTCTCAAGTGAAATTCGTACTGAGTATGGTTCCCAGAAGGAGGAGACGCAGATGCTGAGCACCGAGGCTTGGCAAGGCTGAGTAATTTTCCCAGGACCATAGGAGTCAGTAGCAGGTTGGTTTTTCAACCCAAGTTTCCTGACTCCACTGTCTAGTGTTTCCATGCCTCACACTGCCTCTGTCTTCTGGAGAAGCATCCTCTTCCTCTTTCCCCCAGTGTAAGGAAGATTTCTGCATAAGGAACTGGCCTTAGAAGGAAACAGACTTGTGAATGAAGAAAGAAGGACTGTGTTCCCTAACTGCACCCAAACGTTTTTTAAAGCCGAATAAAATATTAGGAGAAAAAAAAAAACAACTCCCCATACATCACAATTAAACTCCCCCCCTCCCCCGCCGCCGCCAAGCCACCTGCATTTTATAAAAGTTCCATACTGTGCAACACGGTACAGAACATTTTAAAAATTACCCTCTGGGAAAGTAATGTTCTTAAGTAATTCTAGGATCAATACAGCATTCCCTCTGTGTTCCCCCATCCTTCTTTCTTTCCATCAATACAAGGGAGAAGAAAGGACTTTGATCAGTATATTTGAGATAGGTAAATGAATATATTCCTTTTGAGCTACAAAGCTCATAGAACCTTTTCAGAGCAACAATTTTCACATCAAATGGAACCCCTCATCCAATCTCTTTTCCGGATCACTTACCAGGAAGGTTTTTAAATTTCTGTACTGACCAAAGGATGTTACTGATGATAGCCTGGAGCTCTTGTTGACGTTAAAAGATTAAGAATTATGAAAAAGTGATTCATCCCTTTCATGCATGCTTAGATTGTCCAAAAGCTAACTCCAAATGAAACTCAGAATGAAGGGAGGGTGAGCCTCTTGTGACTCTCCCTCCTAGGGAAGGTAAACCTTTTGTATCACTTTTGTGGGAAGTGACCAACCTGGAGACATTATGTGAGTCCCATTGTGCCACAGCTGCTTTTAGATTGCAAGTGGTGTATAACTCAATCTGTTCATCTCTAATGAATGGAAGTTTTCTTACCACTGCTCACAGAGCTTTGAAACAAGGCTGTGGTTTGCTTGGTTCTATCTTCAATAACACCAATTTGTCTTTGAACACAGCTATTAACTCTCCATCAAGCAATTGTCAGTAATGGGCATTTTTCTCGATCTCTGCAACCTCTAACCCTCCCTCAGATCTTTTTGAGACAAGCTATGAATCATTTTACTGCTGTGGGGTGAAATAAAACACGCATTGACCAAATGTTAGCAGCGGCATATTGGAATTGATCCACCTACAGGTGTATATGCCTGCAATGGCTCTAACGAGGGTGTTTGCTTTGTCTATTGAAGAGTTATAAACATTTTGGGGGAGAAACTTTTTGTTGTTGTGCAAAATAGGTTTTCACTCTTACACCAATACCATTGAAACATAAAGCAGCATGAAGCAGTGGCAACAGATATGGAATAGAAATACGGAAATATGATTCTGACCTGGCTCTGTACTAAACAGCTGGACTCAGGTTCTTTATAGTAATATGGGAGAATCTATTCTGGCTTTTAGTCTATTAAACAAATGTTCATTGAGTTGCTATTTCATGTCAGACATTGTGCAACGCATCCAAACTGTGAAAATACATCTAGCACTGACCTGGAAGAGTGCACTGTCTCATAGGAGCAGGTAGGTAAACAGACAACGGTGATATCAAGACATAAGTGCTATGACATTGTTTAGCATAGAATAGGTGATAAACAACTTATGTTATTGAGAATTCTGTCAATATATAAACAACACTTCATATATGCCATTAATGTTCTTATCTTAATTACAGCTAAATCGAGTGTGGATTTCCAAGTAGTGTAGGTTCCAGGACCTTTGGTTAAGCACAAGTACTATTATTTTAGTGCTCTACAAAATGTAACTTTCTAAAGAAATTTAAATGTTGAAAAATGTATCAAAATTTATCAAAATAGAATGTTTATCAAATATAATTTAATATATCAAATTAGAATATTTATCAAATATAATTTAATATATCAAAATAGAATACTTAATTTTTTTAAAAAACTGGAAAATGTAGTAGATGTGATACTTAAACCATATCCTAGAGTATAAGTGGAAACTTTTCTACAGATTCATATAATTTTCAGATTGAGTCCTTTTAAAAAACCATATCATAAAATATATCAGATTTTTAATTATAACATTTTAATTGTAATACATTTTCATTGAAATCCCATGTTTTGCAAAAGATTTACCTAAAGTCAGCTATTTACTTTTAGCACAGAAATCCAAACTCTGGCATGTAATTAAATTTGCTACACCCCTCATTCTCAAATTTTCATTCTGTAGTAACTGTATTTCTCACTCAGAATAAAATACACACACATTATTTAAATTTTAGATAAATAATGAATATTCCAGATTTATTATGCAGGGTTTTTTTGTTACTATTAGCTTTTGAAATTTACATGCATGTCCACTGCACACTCTCAACTACCCCAAAAGAATCCCACAAATTGGTGATAAATATTTTAGCAGAAAAAAAGTTATATCTTCTCTCCTGGACTTTTGCTATTATATAAGATTTTAATTTTTTTTTTAATTGTCTAAGCTCTGGCTCAAGCCTCTCATCAGTTGCTTGGGGTGTGGGTTCTTTTTTTTTTTTTTTGAAAAGGGATCTCACTGTGTTGCCCAGGCTGGAGTGCAGTGGCACAATCTCGACTCATTGCAACCTCTGCCTCCTGGGTTTAAGACATTCTCATGCCTCAGCCTCCCGACGTAGCTGGGATTATAGGCATGCGCCACCACCCCCAGCTAATTTTTGTATTATCAGTAGAGATGGGGCTTCGCCATGTTGGCCAGGCTGGTCTTGAACTCCTGACCTCAAGCAATCTGCCCAACTCGGCCTCCCAAACTGCTGGGATTCCAGGCATGAGCCACTGCGCCCAGCTAGGGTGTGGCTTCTTATCTCAAGATAAATTTCTTTTTGAGCTGAATATTCTGTCAGGTGGTAAAAGAAGAAGAATTGCTTTAAAACAGTTTGATGCATTTTATTCAGTTTAAACATTTGGTGTCATTGTCTTCAAGCTAAAAAAATTTATAAACACATTCTATCAAAATCTTCAAATACAAATTGGCCACATTTCTTTCTTTTTTTGTCTTTTTGCCACATGTATCTTCATTACTTGTTTGGAAGACACCTTTTTAAAAAGACTGGTTTTAAGACTATACATTTGAGACACTCTAAGCTAGCTTTTTCTTTTCAAATAATAAAGCTTTTTTAAAAATCTGCAAACCAGTACTAGTTAAAACAGCTGCTTACATTTCAGCATCTACTCAATGTCTCTTGCTAAATTAAGATTCTTTGTTTGAAAGAGAAATAATTATTCTATCTTTGGGCTTTCTGTAATCTAAGTTTACTGTGAAAAAAGAGAATTACTCCATTTTGGTCTGTGATTCAATTGCTCAAAAGTTAAGGATTGGAAAGTGAAGGAGTGAATTTCAGCAAATGGACTTTCTCTGGGAAGAAATCTTTGGTCCATTTACCATAGGTAGGCAACCGCTACTGGCCATTATTTCTAAAGTAGCCCTGCTCAGGGCTCAGAGACTGCAGTGGTAAAGCTCTGAGAGCTTACTCTGTCACTGAGGCAATCTGATCGAAGACTCTCTGCCACCTCAGAGGAGAGAAATCCAGTGCTCATGCGACCTTGGGACAGGGATAATTTTAAGTATGGAAGTAAAATATGGAATTTTCTGAGGTTTGTTTGAGCGTTCACTTTCCCATTTGCCAGGGATTATTTTGTGTGTTTATTTTTACCATAGTTACATGTCCATGACTGTGGTCCTATGGAGGAGCTGGGGCACATACCTCCTCTAAAGGGTAATGATGTTTTTTTTTTTTTGGTTTTTTTTTTTTCTGAATACTTGAGTTTTCATGGTCCTTAATGAGTATGGGTTACAACTTCCCTTGAATGTCTCTTGATCCTCATAACAACCTTCTGGGTCATGCTGTTTTTATTCCCATTTTACAGATGAGGCAACTGAAGCACATGGTGTTAATTATTAGTAATGATTAATTATTAATAACTTTCCCATGGCCTCACAAATGATGGTGATAGGTTAGCAAATCTAGGCTGTCAAACTCCAGACCCTGTACACTTAAAAACTAAGGGTAATTCTACACATAGAGTGGACCATTCTTCTCTCATCCCAGAATATTCAGAATATCAACCCTCTTCCCAGTACAGGCCAGAATAGCCAAAGCAGAAAACTGAGGACTCTTCTCAGGAAAACCTGAACTCTCCCAGATAAAAGTCCCTTATAAATGGCAAATTGAGGAATAATCCTATAACCAGTTAGCTCTGCCCAAGTGCACAGAACTGCAAGTCAGGTTTGTAACTCTGACACTTAAATATACACAAATAACCAAAGATCACTGATTTTTTAAGGAAATACACAAATGTGAAAGATAAAGCCCAGAAAAAGCAAAGCTAACATCTTAAGTTGAAGAAAACTTCAGAAATATAATTCATCTTCTTAGAGTGATAACAGAAGACATTTCATTCATAAAGTCAAAACAAAGTGCTATGAAAAAGGAACTATCACACCAAACAATATAAAAAAATATGGACATCACAATAGAAGAGAAGGCAAAGACTATAAATCAGCAAACAAAAAAAGAGAAAAATATAAATGGCAAACGTCGCCATTAGTGAGAGAAAAGAGAATTAAAACCACTCTGCAATACAACTTCACAATCATTAAGTTGGAGAAAAAGTTGATGCAGCATGACAGAAGTTCTGGTAGTGGGAGGGCAAATGTTTCAATTATCTTTTGAAATCAATACCAAGTTAGAGATGAGCACATCGTATGACTTGCAATATTACTTTTAAGTATGAACCCTAAAACATAGTAGAACTATAGTAACAAAATGAAGGAAAGTAAACTGGGTATGGGTGACTTAAATGGAGCTAAATCTTCAGCGAACATAACAGGAATCCAATAAATAATGTCTAAAATTGAAAAATCATGAAATAGAAAATTTAAGCACTTTATTATAAATTTGGAAGAAAATAAAAACAATTTGCTGAAAGGTTACAAATGTTTCTTCTTGAGATTGGAACTCACGGGTTGAGAAGAAGTGAAGCAAGGAGCTGCTAATTTTTTCATTATAAGCCTATTAGCACTATTTGATTATTTTGTTTAACTAGGTGCAGCTATCCCTGTATACAAAATTATTTTTAGTTAAGTTAAAACTAATTAAAATAAAAATGTATAGAAAAAAGTTTTGCCATATAATGATTATTATTATTATTTTTTTTTTTTTGAGATGGAGTTTCACTCTTGTTGCCCAGGCTGGAGTGCAGTGGCGCGATCTCGACTTACTGCAACCTCTGCCTCCTGGGTTCAAGCAATTCTCCTGCCTCAGGCTCCTGAATAGCTGGAATTACAGACGCGTGCAAGAAGTTTTGCCACATAATTTAAAGGTGTTGACAAATCACCGGAAACATATTCATAGACCACATTGCCAACCATGGGCTACAGGTAAAGGAGAAATAAACAGAGGTGTCAGAGAGGCTGCAGGAGATGGCATCCAGGACTCGGAGGGGACGTCGTGTGTGTGAAGGTCAATAGCACAACATCAATGGTCACAAATGAAAAGGAATCAGGGTGGTTATGGATGCAGCTTCGATGACAGAAGTCCAGGGAATCCCCATCTGCAGGTAATGTCAGGGAGGAAAGTGGGGGATGAGAGGACTGAGGTCTTGAAATAGTACAAAAGACAACCTTAAAATCAGAATTCTCCTTTCTTTTCTGAAACTGGCCTTGCATTGACTGCTTTTTGTTCTGTGTTACATAAGTCGTGGCCACCATTCAGAGCAGGGTGAGATGGGGAGTGGAGCTTTAGCCCCTTCACTGTAATCTCTTTCCAACGTCATCCTAAATAAACACTCAAATAACCATCTACAAATAAAACCCTTTAAAATTACATTGTCTACACCTTCAAGACAAGTCCTCTCGCTCTTCCTTTCAGACTGTTGCTCTAAGCCCATCCTATTCAGAGATGTTGAAAAACGCATTGATTAATACAATCAGAGCTTGGAAACATGTGTTCGAAAAAGGAATCTGACCTTTTCAAGAATTGAGAACGAAGCAAAATCTAGCTCATACACAGTGGCTACTCTCCCCCAGGTTCTCCTGTACACTCACTCGATCAGAATCCTGCCGCCAAGTAAACAAAGATTTCAACTGTGAGAAGGGCGAGACTTTTGTTGCTTGGCCATTGAAGGCACAGGAATGGTCCAAAATGTGCCCCTAGCGTGCACTGATAAAGGGCCCCTTCCCAGAAGAAGGACGGGTTACACTCAGTCAAGGAGCCCTGTGTAGATCAATCTACATGACAGAACTGGGCCCGGAGACACGGTGTCCCATTGGGAAAACCCCTCGGCCTGTCCTTTGATTGAAAATTCTTCACCCTCCCAGAGGGGAGGAAGTTGAGTTCAGCGTGTTACAAATCTTCATGACACTTATTGAATTGGATAGGAAAATAGCTTCATCACTGACCTTTGCTATCATTCTCCATTGAAATGTTAAATGAATCTAAAGTTGATTGAATGGTTTAGGAAAGAAACATGGAAATGAGAAACTCTCCATCCTAGGTCATGCCATACTGAGGGTTTTAAAAAAATCTTTGTACCCCTCTGTGCCTTGCACAGTGCCAACAAGGAGGAGTGCTCGGGAAGATCTGCTCATTAATGACAACCTTTGAAGGAGGCAACTTTCCATCCTCAGTGACTGAAAGGACAAAAGGCTCAGCAAGTTCAATTTGCCAGCAGAACTGGTTGGTGACAAGTGTTAGAGGGGGTGTACTTTTTGTAAATCACTGACATTGCTGATGGAAATTCTTAAACATAATAAAAGCAGCCCTTGAAAACATTTGAACGTTAGGAAGTCAAAACAATCTGTCTACGGACTTCGGTTTCCAAAGGCAGCCATCCAATGACAGCTCTTGTATTCTTATTTCACAACTCTTCATCTTTCTGTTCTTGTTATTGAGACTTTTTAAAGAAACGATGAATTTTAATCAGCAAAATAAAAGATGAATGATTTCAATTTGAGGTCTTACAAAATCATTTGGAACATAGAAGGCTAAGTGGAATTTCACAGGCAGCAAACGAGAGAATATAAGATCAGGTAAATGCAAATTTTTCCCAACACATTCAATCTGCAAATATTTAAGTTCCTACCAAGTTCCAGGTACTGTCTGAGGCACTAGGCATGGTGTTTGTCTCTAGGCAATATGATAAACACTGAATCTATACTGGACAATAGGCCAAACGACCTACCGTGGAAAAATTTACAAATATTTATATTTCTTCCATGTCTTTCTTTGCAGTTGTTGTATAAACTCCAGCCATACGCAGTGATCACCTTAGTTTTATAACAGTAGAGACAGCAACAGGACACTGGTAAGTGCTTCTGGCAATGACAAAAATTCTTTTGATCTTAATCTCAATGTCTTCAAATTGTGACTTTTAAGTCTTTTTAATCAAACTGGCTTTAGAAGTATTCTCCAGGCAACATTCAGAGATTCTCTGCTTTCTGATTAGTGTCCACTGTGTCCACCTTTTAGCCCTCTCAGTTGATGACAAGACTGAGCCTTAAAAGGGGAGCAGTAAATGAGAGCTGACTTGGGGACCCCAGGTGCTACTTATGCCTCATTGATGATTTACTTCTCCTCCTCAGTCACCTGATGAAATCTAGCCCTCTCCCTTCTTCCCCTCTTTCCCAAGATATTTACCCCCTTACTAAGAAGGGGTCAGGAGCTGGTCTGGCAGGAGCCACCGGAGTCTGGTCCAAGTGGGGCTTCGGGGGACACTCGGGTACAGAGAAAGCACTGGGGTTTGGAGTTACACAGGCTTAAATTCTGCCTTTATTTCTTACTGGCTGTATTACTCCAGGCAGGTCAATTGACCTCTCTGAGACGCAACGTTTTGTTCCACGAAATGTGGATAACAAAGCCCATCTCGTAAGACTGTTAAAAATACCCATAAGTCAATGTATGTAAAGCACCTATCGCAGTGCTGCATTCATGCCAGGTGCTCAGATAGTTTCTTTCTTTTTATCCCCACTTATCCTTTCTCCTGATGCCAGCAGCCTCTCTGGAGATCAGGAGCCCTCTTCACCCTGAGTCATGTTCACCCCGCTGCCTGCGCCTTCTAAAATTATATAGTATAGTATTATATAGTATGAATAATAATACAGAAGTATTATTATAGTATAGTACTATAATATTATATTATCATATATACAGTATAATATCTACTATATAATAGTATTATAACACTATAATAACAAAAAAAATATTATTATTACTACTACTTTTGCTTAAGCCATCTTTTCCTCCTCCTAATCTAGGCATTCCAACCCTCAAAATATGTTTCTTGTGTTTTCCTATGCCACAATCATCTAAAAAATAAAAGGACTGTCTATTCCTGTCAATGATTTGACAGAATCCTCAGGCATTGCTCATGAATAAGTAATCTTAGTTGTGATATGGCATCTACCATTTCCCTTCTGCCCTGTTCAGGTGCTTTTGAATTCTCTGTTCCTCTCTTCTGCAGGCTTGTCACCCAGGGTATCCATGCCAAGGGCGCTACTGGCAGAAACATCAGTGTGGCCGGTGGGCTTAACCTCTTACAATACCATTAACTCTCCATTGCTCACCAGCCTTACGTTTTCA
This sequence comes from Homo sapiens, assembly GCF_000001405.40. NCBI lineage: Eukaryota > Metazoa > Chordata > Mammalia > Primates > Hominidae > Homo > Homo sapiens. The sequence continues at coordinate 223,140,007 of NC_000002.12, read as the reverse complement.
CGCAGCCACTCTATCACTGGCATTCATTGCCTCCGAATGAAAACAGGTACATCCTGCAACCAAGGGGTCATTTGTCAAAGAGATTGTGGCAAAGCTCACATTTTAAATCCACTAGCAAGCAATATGCCTGAAATTCAGGTTTCCTAAATTTCTTTTTCATATCATGAGCAAAACTAGAAACCTGTTTGTAGAGGTTAGTAAAGGATATCTGGTGTAGAAGGAATGAAGACAATGACATAAAAACAAAGTACTTTGTTCATTCAGATGATATGCTACAAAGTGCCTTACACTGATAGGTAAGGGAAGCTGAATTTGCATCCTGGTGATTTAAATAAACAGCTTTGTGGCTAGCTAACCAACTAAGGCCAAATTCCCACATAGTATTTAATCTGATTATACCCCAGTGTTTATAAAATGAAATAGATTCCTCTATTAGATTTTCCTACCTTTCTTGCTAAATCTCATAGTTCCCCTTCGTAACCATTTGACATGAAAAAAATAAAAATTCCTTTGTCATCAAATTGCTTTACTGTAGAACCTGTCTTTATCCAAAGTAAATAAAAACTACTAAGTTTGAGTAAATGTCAAGTTTATGAAGCATATTTGAATAATTGTGGCAAGTCATAAAACGTGATTATTCATAAATAATACCTATTGTTATCACTTCAGTTATAACTGAACTGAGAGAGGAAAAGCACAGAATTTCTTTCCTCTTTTCCCATCTTAGACTGAATTTTTTGTTTTTAACTCACTAAAAACTCAGTACAAGTTCTAACATTTTGAAATATTGGCTAATATTTTTCTTAGCACCTGCCACAATTCAGGGTAATTTGTGGCTTGGATTAAATAAAAGTGCCTTTGACAATTTTTAAACTTAAAACAGAACTTAGAGCTTTTTTCTTTCACGGCAGATTTTTTCCAAGTTTTGAAAAATTATTTACCTAAACATTTGAATTAAGAAACCTGGAAAAGAAGTAGTAATTTTTTTAAAAGTAGAAGGAAGGAGATAAACACTGTAGCAAAAATCAATAAAATAGACAACAAACCAAAATATCATTTATTTTCTAAAACCACTTTTTAAAAAAAGTATAACATAGGCAAACCTCCAGTAACACTGCACAAGGGAAGAAAACACAACAAGGTTTAGAATAAAAAAATAGATCAAAACTCAGACACAAGTCAATTTTGAAATAATGAGATCACAATGAAAAACTACAGTCTGGGGCTTTATAAATCTTAAATTAAATAAAAAGAATTTAAAAACTAAATAATGAAATTGACTCAACAAGAAATCAAAACCCCAAGAAACCAGAAACAAGGACATTGGATTAATAGTCAGAAACCAACCTCCAGAAGGCAGTAGGCCTAGGTTTTGGAGAAGACTTTTCCAACAAGGAAGAGAAAATTTCAATGTTATACAAATTAAACCAGCAAATAGGTGAAATAAAGAGAAGAAATTCAAAATACATTTTATGTGGCTAGTATGTTCCTCAATAAAGGGACGAGAAAGAGAGAAAGAAACACAGAGACAGAGAAAGGACAGAAAGAACATTAATGCAGGCTCTGTTAGGGGGACTTTGTGGGAAGGAGGCTCAGTAAGCCAGTTAACTGTCAAGGGTTATGTGATGAAAGACGAGGCAAGAAAAGGGAACTTTTCCTCTTAGTTACAATCTGGATTTCATTTATGTATATATGTATTGAGAGCTCCAAGTAAAACACTGAATTCATTTTCAATAGCTTTTGGCTACTGGAATTTATTCCTTAAAAGTGACTATATAGGCCAGGTACGGTGGCTCATGCCTATAATTCCAGCACTTCGGGAGGCTGAGGTGGGCAGATAACTTGAGGTCAGGAGTTCCAGACCAACCTGGCCAACGTGGCAAAACCCAGTCTCTACTAAAAATACAAAAATTAGGCGGGAGCAGTGGTGCATGCCTGTAATCCCAGCTACTCAGGAGGCTGAGGCACGAGAATCACTTGAACCTGGGAGGCAGAGGTTGCAGTGAACCTAGATCATGCCACTGCACTCCAATCTGGGCGATAGAGCAAGACCCTGTCTTGAATAAATAAATAAATAAATAAAAATAAAAGTGACTATACAGAGTGATCGACAAGTTGGAGGGCCAGGAAGATTTATGCAGGTTATATAACGCAATATTCTGATGGAAATAGTGAGGATTCTTTATCCTTTGTGAATTACTCTTCACATTGCCAAATCACATTTACCAAATCCCAAGAATCACTGTGAAAATAATCTCATCACCTTAAATTTTTAATCATAAAATACATCTCAAAAAATATACATATACACACACACAGTGTACACACTACCAAATTTAGGAAAATCTCAATGTAAATATCTTGTAGCTGGCCTGTTTTTCCCGTATCTCTCCTCCTCATTTATTGAGTTTTGATCTCAGGTGTCATGCTTTCCACTGTGGTTTACCATTCTCCCTAAACAATGTGTTGGTAAGTTCTTCACATTTTTGAACTCCATATAAAGTGAATCTCTACCTTGATTTTTTCAATGATTGTTTTTTGAAACATAGCTAGACTGGTACAAGTAGCCATGATTCATTCATTTTATTGCTGTATAGTATTCTACAGTTTAAATATACTACAAGTTATTTTTAATTCTAATGATGAACATTTGTCATGTTTTCAGTTTTTAGGTGTTGTGAATAATCTTGTTATGAACATTATTACATATGTATCTGGAAGTGCTTGGGCACAAATTTTTCTTGGGTGTAGACTGGAAGGATGAAGTTCTATGTCAATAATCATGTAAACTTTAATTTTCACAAAACAATGCTAAATGATTTTCAAAAGCAGTTTTACCAATTTATATTCTCACCAGCATTCTATGAGTTCCCATTGCTCTTCATTATCAGATGTTTTAATTTTTGTGAAATTGATAGTTATAGAATTGTAATGTTGCTTGCATTTCCCTGATTCATAGTAAGGTTGGTTTATTAATCAGCATTCTCCAGAGAAACAAGCCAATAGAATATATGCATATGTGGAAAGAAATGTACTATAAGGAATTGGCTCATGTGATTATGGAGGCTGGCAAATCCGAAGTTTGAAGGGTAAGCCAACAGACTGGAGACCCAGAAAGGCTAACACAGCAGTTCTAGACTGAAGGCTGGATGGCTAGAGACCCAGGAAAGCCAATGTTCTTGTTCAAGTCCAAAGGCAGTCAGCAATAGAACGAGAAAGAGCCGACATTGTAGATAAACTTTAAAGGCAGTCCACTCAAGAATGATTTCTTGCTTGGCAGAGACTGGCCTTTTTGTTCTATTCAAGTCTTTGACTGATTGGATGAGGCCCCACGACATCATGGAGGGCAATCTGCTTTGCTCAAAGTCCACCAATTTAAATGTTAATCTAATCCACAAATAACCAAATGAAAACACTCAGAATAATGTTTGACCAAGTGTCTGGGCACTCTGAGGTCAAGCCAAGCTGACACATAAAATTAACCATCAAACTTGGCATATTTTCTGTATCTTTTCTTGATATTAAAAGATAATGCCAAGGTCTAGTTGAGAAGAATTTCTTTGGAAGGAGGTCTTCCCTAGAAACGTGCAGCCATTTCTCAGTGCCCAGCCAAGTGAGGAATTGTTCAGCTCAGGCTTTTGCACCAGCCTCCATCTTCTCACAAAGACTCAGGGAGCTCCTCCAGGTCATGGCTTCCCCAGAAACTCCACTTCACATTCCTACAGAACCTTCTTAACATAAAGTAGAGCCTACTGTGTCAACACCAAGAGCAGATGAAGAAACCAATAAGCTGAGGGAAGTGCTTCTGAGAATTTCCCCGACCCTGAACAACAGATGATCAAGCAGATCTTGATGCCACGTAAGCCTATGAAAGATTGACAGTACTCTCTGCCACAGTCCTAAATCAAGACTGCATAAAGAAGCCTGAGCTCGGGGCTAGCCAAATGAAACTTGAGCTTTGGTGTCTGTACATCAGAGAAAGTAGTCCAACAGTAAGACCTCTATTTCACAATGTAAAACTCTGTTGTGTTTACAAAAATGACACCTTTACAGATTTAACAATTTCTGTACAAGGAAAATCTACATTTTCTGCCTTTTCAAAACTCTATTCAGTAGCAATTTATTCTCAGAAATGTTTACATGATCATACTTTTATTTTGCTATAAGAACTATTTTTTTATTTTAAATTGTTATTTCATTCTGTTTATTTCTTTTTTAAATTTTATTATTATTATACTTTATTATTATTTTATTATTTTATTATTATTATTTTCTTATTTATTATTATTTATTATTATTATTTTATTATTATTTATTATATAATAATTTTATTATTATTATACTTTAAGTTTTAGGGTACATGTGCACAACGTGCAGGTTTGTTACATATGTATACATGTGCCATGTTGGTGTGCTGCACCCATTAACTCGTCATTTAGCATTAGGTATATCTCCTAATGCTATCCCTCCCCCCTCCCCCCACCCCACAACAGGCCCAGGTGTGTGATGTTCCCCTTCCTGTGTCCATGTGTTCTCATTGTTCAATTCCCACCTATGAGTGAGAACATGCGGTGTTTGGTTTTTTTCTCCTTGCGATAGTTTGCTGAGAATGATGGTTTCCAGTTTCATCCATGTCCCTACAAAGGACATGAATTCATCATTTTTTATGGCTGCATAGTATTCCATGGTGTATATGTGCCACATTTTCTTAATCCAGTCTATCATTGTTGGACATTTAGGTTGATTCCAAGTCTTTGCTATTGTGAATAGTGCCGCTAGAAACATATGTGTGCATGGGTCTTTATAGCGGCATGATTTATAATCCTTTGGGTATATACCCAGTAATGGGATGGCTGGGTCAAATGGTATTTCTAGTTCTCGATCCCTGAGGAATCGCCACACTGACTTCCACAATGGTTGAACTAGTTTACAGTCCCACCAACAGTGTAAAAGTGTTCCTATTTCTCCACATCCTCTCCAGCACCCGTTGTTTCCTGACTTTTTAATGATCGCCATTCTAACAGGTGTGAGATGGTATCTCATTGTGGTTTTGATTTGCACTTCTCTGATGGCCAGTGATGATGAGCATTTTTTCATGTGTTTTTTGGCTGCATAAATGTCTTCTTTTGAGAAGTGTCTGTTCATATCCTTTGCCCACTTTTTGATGGGGTTGTTTGTTTTTTTCTTGTAAATTTGTTTGAGTTCATTATAAATTCTGGATATTAGCCCTTTGTCAGATGAGTAGGTTGCAAAAATTTTCTCCCATTCTGTAGGTTGCCTGTTCACTCTGATGGTAGTTTCTTTTGCTGTGCAGAAGCTCTTTAGTTTAATTAGATCCCATTTGTCAATTTTGGCTTTTGTTGCCATTGCTTTTGGTGTTTTAGACAAGAAGTCCTTGCCCAGGCCTATGTCCTGAATAAAATCTTGACATTAGTGAAAGCAAGACCTAAAAAAAAATAGATAATACCAAACTTCTAAAAGTCATCGTATCAATTTTCATTTCCATCATTGGTGGTGAAGTTCCTGTTGCTCCACATTCTCCCAAGTCTTAATAATGAAATTTTATTTTTCTTTTTTCTCTCTTTTTTTTAATTTCCAGCTTTATTTAGTTATGATGGACAAATAAAAAATATATACATGTAGGGTGTACAATATGATGTTTTAATATATGTATGCATTGTAAAATGATTACAACCAGCCAGTTCACATCTCCATCACCTCACATCATTACCTTGTGTGTGTGTGTGGTGAGAACATTGAGATCTACTCTCTTAGCAAATTTCAAGTATATAGTATTATTTTATTTTTGCCAATTCCAATAAGGAATATTTCATTGTAGTTTTAGTCTGCATTTTCTTGATTACTAAGTTTAAGCATCTGTTCATGTTTTTAGCCATTTACATGTTTTTGTCTGAAGTGCTTTTTGAAGGCTTTTATCTATTTTTTTATTGAGTTGCTTTAGATCTTTTATTAATTTGTAGAAGTTTTTCACTTATAAACATTGCAAAATTTTTCTCCTTTTCCTCTTATAGGGTTCATAAATAAATAAATAGATGGGCTTCCTTTTCATGTAATATTATTCACTAATTATTTTCCTATGATGTTTATTCTTTTGTGTCTTATTTTTAAAAAAAGTGTTTCCCTACTCCAAGATATTCTTTCTATGATTGTTCCCTAAAAAGTCTTAAAATTTTCAACTTTTGCCTCACTATGTGTCTAATCTGTCTGCAAAATATTTTTTGTGTATTTTTGTGTTAGAGGGCCAATTGTATTTCTTTTCAGCATAGGTAATCCATGGTCTTAGCATTATCTATTAAAAACTCAGTTTTACCTGTTGATCTGCATGCTGCTTCTGCCTTATATCAACATTCTGTTAGTTAATATGTTTATCTTTGAGCCAATAATCATTAAGAATATAATCATTCTTAAGATACTTAACATCTGGTAAAGAAATATCTCTACTTTTATCTTCTTACTTGAAGTGCTTTAGCTACTCTTAATCCATCTGGTCTTCCAAATACATTTTAGAATTAGCTTAAAAGGTACCAGGAAAAAAAAAAACAACAACTATTGATTGAAATTTTGAAATGCATTAAATTTATAAATAAATTTAGAAAGAATTGATGTATCTATATGTAATTGCTTTGTCTCTCTCTTTCTCTATGTGTGCATATGCTTGTGTGTGTATCTACAAAGACCTTGCACATCTTCTATTACATTTATTTATAGGTACATTTGTTGATGCTTTTGTAGATATCTTTTTAAAATTTAATTTTCTAATTTTTACTTGTTTTGCAAATGTGATTGATTTTGAAAATTGACCTAGCCATCTTTCTAAATATTACTAATTCATAACTTTGTAAATTTATTTAAGTTTTCTACATAGACTATAATGTCAGTTTTGTTTCTTCTTTGTTTATATACTTATTCCTATCTTTATCCATTTACTGGGACATCTAGTATAATGTTGGATTTAGGCAGCAAGAGTAGATATTTTATCTGTTTTCTGATTTTGAGTTTTTTGAGAATACTTATATTGTGTCACAATTTACTATACAGTGTAATGAGGATCTTTTGGATATGACTTTTAGAAGTTCAAAGGAGTTTTAAGGTAACTTTTTTGTTGTTTAAAGGTTTTATCATGAATAGTATGTGAAAACTTTGGGAGCAAAAACCCTATTTACTCTCTATCGTTCTGGGTCCTTATGCTTTAGCTGTACCTCGGAAATAGTTTATAGCTGGATTATATAACATTTTGATCCCATATGACAAATTTTCATTTAAACTAGTAGTTTATTTACCTACACTGTAACAAAGGACATATTTTGTTTATTTCTACCATCAGATTTGGGGCTTTCTATGAGCCACACCTTATTATGCTTCCTTTGCTCTCCATTCTTTTGTTTTTCTTATTCCATCTTTGCCCTATACTAGTAGGGAAGTTAATTTAATTTAATATTTATCCTTGCAATTATCCATTAATTTAATATTTATCCTTGCAATTATCTTTCATACATTACTAGGTTTAAATTTAAACCATATTTTAATCTTTCTCCAAAAATATTCAAAAAACTTTAAAAATACCATTCAGTATTCATTTGTTGGGGGAAGAAGTCTTTATTTGGCCCTCCTTCTTGAAAAACATAATCCTAAATTGATAGTTGTTCTTTTATAGAGTTTTAAAACATTATCCCACTGTTTCTGACTTCCACTGCTACTTACAGCAGTGAGAAATCTGCTGTAAATATTTTTGTTCTTTTTTTGTCTATGCCCTGCCTTGCCTCTGCCTGCCTTTAAGATCTTGTTTCCTGAAGTTTTGATACAGTATATCCAGTGTATTTTTTTGTTAACTTTGCCAAAGATCAGTTGATTGTAGGTATGTGGCCTTATTTCTGGATCTTCTGTTCCATTGATCTATGTTTCTATTTTTAATGCCAGCACCATGCTGTTTTGGTTACTATAGCCTTGTAGTAAAAATTCCCATTTTAGCAGAAGAGGAAATGGGCATTCAAAGAGCCTAAGAACTGTACCCAAGACCAGTGGTAGTCAATGATTTTCTTTCCACTATCAGATTGGCTCTAACACTAAAGATAATCCTTTTAGGTTTTCTCCTACAGTAAATCTTTAATACAGTATATTACGGCTGGTGTTGATAAAATGAATTAAGATTCTTAAGGCAAAGATGCTAAAATCCAAATATTTCTTTTTGTCTTGGTATTTAAGTTACAAGAAATAAAAAGTTCTTTATCAAAAAAATTGAACGTAAAATTGAGTTTTTGTACTGGTCACAGCAGACAGCAATCACAGAAAAGCAAAGTAGCATGTGAAGTGATCTTTAATAAATTTGGCATGTTTTCTCAAGTTTATGGCTTTGCTCAAGGGTCAGATGCTTAGGTTTTAGAGTAGTAACCACAGGAAGCTCATTTAATCAATTATAAATGATAGAACAATATATTCTACAAAAAACGTTTTTGAAAGTGTGCAAAATCAAGTAAATGAAATGACACAGCAATGAGTAGAATAAGGTTGAATTTAATTTGCTACAGAATAAGAGTATACAAGGTTCTAATATTACCTTGTAATTCTAATTTTATTATTACTTCAAAAAATTCAAAAGTGGAAAAGCATCTTTCTCAAAGTGAGAGAACTTCAGAAACCATCTTTGAAGAAGCTAAGGGTAAACTTTGGAACTTCGTTCAATGCTTTTTACAATTGACTTGGAAAATTTGCCTTGCAGCTCTCCTTTTTCTTGTGTTAATTTCCCGTTGTAAATGTAAGCAATATGAGACCAGGGTTTTGATTAGATTTCATTTCCTCAGAAATTACAACTTTAGCTTTAACTGCTTGAAGAACTTTCTCGCTATTTCATGGTTTTAATTTTTTGGCCTGTGTTTTAATGCCTTAGTTCTTCATTCAAGATTTTTATATATCAATTTTTGGAAATGAGAAGCTTGAGAGAATCTGCTGCCAGTACTTCTGAGACTGACTGATCTCTTTGTTCACTTTGTTAGAAACTTGGCGAGATCTCCTGAAGCTTATTTTTTTCCTTCAATAAAACATCTAAACTTTGATATTTCACACATTAATCTAAAGCATTCCATTTGGGTAATTAGGATCTTAATATAGACTCTATACTGAGTAAATCAGAAACCAAAATGTTAATTAAATATGACATAATCAAATATTTATGGCTAGCTGTTGAGTATTTATCTTAAATAGTCCATAATTAGAAATGAAATAAAAATCCTGTACAGAACCATCGTAATACTTATTAAGAAAAGTTAGTAATCAACTATTCCTACATCCTGCCATAGCAAAGCCTGTATCAAGATTTATATGTGCGTAGGTCTGCCAGAGAGCCCTACAATAAAAAAGACAGGCTGACATTTAGAGGCAATAAAGATAATAAAAATTATCAAAGTGAAACATCAAATCAGGAGCTTTTTGGCCTCAATGACTTTGGAAATAAGGGGCCTCTGGAGACACGCCATACCAGATCTTGTAGTAGTTTACGTGGTTGATCTCCACGTATCCATATAGCAGATATTTGCAATGTTATACTAACTTAAGCCCAAGAGAGAATCCTGGATCTGAAGCATTGCTGATCTATCTCACAATTTTAAGAGGTTCCACAGTACCTGATAAAATAGCATTAAGTAAATACTCACTGAATGTATCAGAGGATCAGGTTTTAATTTTCTATGGAAAATTCTAAGAAGACATCTCAGGATGTTTCTGTATTTTCAAGCATCTGCCCTAGCATTATGGCTCAGTTTCAAGATAAATTAATTTTACTGGAAAAAAATTCGCCCATGTGTCCATTAAGACTCATTATGTTGCAAGTAAAATAGGATGAGCAAAAAACACGGGAGAGGAGGATTCATTCTCTCTTCAAAGCAAAGTCCTCGGCTTGACGGCAATTGGACTGTCACATGACCATTCCTATGCCAATGGCAGCAAGGTGATTGTGCCACACACTTTAGCCAATCAGGGCCCACCCGAAGCTAAGGTGGCGGCAATCTCACCCAACTGAGGGCTCAAAATAGGGAAAGGGCAGTGCTCAACTGGAAATTTTGGTGCTGATAAAAAAAGAGATGAAGATGGAAATGAATAGGCAACAAAGAAATTTTGGTACTGATAAAAAAGATATGACGATGGAAATGAGTAGGCAACAAAGAAGTGTTCCACTGATTAAGGCAATGTTTATCTCTTGTAATTTCTTATTCCAGAAGGCTATATTCTAAACAGCGCCTAGGATGCCTGAGCTTTCTTAAAGTATTTTTGTTTGCATGAAACTCCTGAGTTAAGAACTAAGAATCGTTAGAAATTTGAGTTTGGAATTAGAATTGAGAGACATTCTATGTGAATACAGAGTCCTACAGTCCACATCTCAAAAATTGTTTAATACTGGTATCAGTAACTCACTCGCCAGTAATCACTAGGGCTACAATCATGCACATTTGTACAAATAAAGTTGATAAACTTTGTAAGTCTATTACTAAAATTTTACCTTTCATTAATAGGCTATATTTCACTAACGTTGTGAACAAATAGATATCTGCAAGACTCGAACACATACCCGTCATGTGGTTCAGTACTAAGAGCAGTTTTAGATACTGGTAAGTTTCAGGACCTCTGACTATTCTAGGAGCTTCATGGAAGGGAGGTCTTGTCCATAGGAGTGATTCAGACTTGATCTTAAAAAGACATGCCTATGGTTAAGGCTTCTATGATCTGCTTCATCTGGAGAAATGTGCCAAGGAAATTTGTAGATTCCTCTTTCCTAAGATTCTGAAATCTAGCTGGGGTGACTTAGTCAGGTTTTATCATTCTGTACTCATTGAAGAGCTGGTAGACAGAGGACCTGAAGAGTGGGTTTTCTTACTATTCTTATTTTGATGAAAAGAATATCTGAGCCTCCCACTGTTCAAAGGAGTTCATCCACATTCCTGGATCAACACAATGAGAAACTAATTCTAAGCGATAAAGAGATGATGGTACCATAGACCTCGCTTAGAAAAATCACTTATCTTTGTAGTCCAATCTACATAATTAATTGAAGACATAAAGATTTCTCCTACCTGTCAGAAGACGTATTTTCTCCCAAAAGAGTTTGCTGATAAATTCTTTAAAAACTAGTTTAGTTTACTCTTGTACATCTTCTGCAGTCAGTAAGATCATATGATAGATTCTTGGAAGATTAGATGAATGTGACATAACAATACTGTCATCAATTTCAAGCTAGCTGTTCCATGAAATAAACACATTCTGATAGAAATAACTAACCTGACTCTGGTTGAATTGTGGGCCAAAATCTCATTTATATGGTCAGGATGCTTGTCTAGGTCAGGATCTAAATCCTCAGAAATAAGACCTAACCGTGTTTGGTCAAGTTTGAGTATCAAAGGATCCAAATACCATTATGCAGCCATATAAGTATGCAATGACATCTCAGAACATCAAAGCTGAGCTTTCTGAGATGACGTAAAAGAAGAATTAAGGAAGAATTTCAGGCCTTAATAATCTGCTTATTTTCTGTGCATGACATTCTCTGTAATTTGAATTTTCAGGATTTTCTTATCAGACAAATAACTCAATGACATATGCATGTATGTATAAACGAATTACCTTTCTTGTGGCTTTTGTAGAGAAAAAGTTCCATTATTAGCTTTCTCCAGGCTAAATTCTCAATTTCCCTTCTACTTCTCAAGACCATTGCTTGCAGAGTGGATATTAGAAAGAACTCTGGAGAAGTAGCAGTGAGGATTTCAGGATTCATAGTTCTATATTCTAGCTCTACACTGGCCTGCTGTGGGCCAGCTCATAGGGCAGTCAACCTCTCTGCCTGTGTTTTCTCACCAATAAACAAAAGAGAGTCCAGCAGTGCCCCTAGTTCTTCTCGATCCTTGCCATTTTCTTGGGTTATGAAACTTAGCTCCCCAGCACTGAGGCGACTATGTAATCCCACTGGTGTGTAGATGTGTAGATGTTCTTCTCTATGATAGCATAGTGTGAGCCATCTCAGACCCTATCTCTGGCTGGAGGGACAGCCATTAATCCACTTCCTTTCTGTCACCAAAAGACCTTGAAAATAATTCCATGCTTGGCTGTAGATTTTATGGAGGAGACACATGAAAGCTTCATAAAAATTCTTTCTAAACATTTCTCATTTCCCCCCAAATTTTTCACCACATAACAACGGCTTCATTCTCTTTCCTTTCTCCATGTACTCACTCACCAGTGGGAGGCACTCTCACTCGTTTCTTCCACGTCCTGCTGTGCAGCTCCTGCCACCTTCCAAGAGCTCAAGCTCCTGGCCAGGCCCCTCCTCACAGCATGAAGTCCTCCAGCAAGTTTGCTTCAATTCCTTTCTTCTTTGATGAGAAACTGCTTTTAATGTACAAATATATCTCATATTTTTATATATATGTATATCACCATATCTTATTGTCAGAGGTGTTCCAACCAGAGTGACTCCACCTTGCATAGGGACTGGGTAAAATAAGGCTGAGACCTGCTGTGTTGCATTCCCACGAGGTTAGGCATTCTTAGTCACAGGATAAGATAGGAAGTCGGCACAAGATACAGGTCACAAAGACCTCGCTAATAAAACAGGTTGCAGTAAAGAAGCCGACCAAGGTGGACGTGGTGGCTCACGCCTGTAATCCCAGCAATTTGGGAGGCTGAGGCAGGTGGATTGCCTGAGGTCAGGAGTTCAAGACCAGTCTGGCCAACATGGTGAAACCCCGTCTCTACTAAAAATACAAAAAAATTAGGTGGGCATGGTGGTGTGCATCTGTAATCCCAGCTACTCGGGAGGCTGAGGCAGAGGAATTGCTTGAACCAAGGAGGAGGAGGAGGTGGAGGCTGCAGTGAGCCGAGATTGTGCCACTGTTCTCCAGCCTGGGTGACAGAGCGAGACTCCGTCTCAAAAAAACAAAAAGAAGCCAACTAAAACCCACCAAAACCAAGATGGCCTCAAAAGTGACCTCTGGTCGCCCTCTCTGCTCATTATACACTGACTGTCATGCATTAGCATGCTAAAAGGCATTCCCACCAGCACCATGACAGTTTACAAATGCCATGGCAATGTCAGGAAGTTACCCTACATGGTCTAAAAACTGGAGGAACTCTGCCCACCCCTTTCCCAGAAAACTCATGAATAATCCACCCTTTGTTTAGCATATAATCAGAAAGTAACCATAAAATAGCCAATGAGCAGCCCATGCTGCTGCTCTGCCTATGGAGTAGCCATTCTTTTATTCCTTTACTTTCTTAATAAACTTGCTTTCACATTACTCTAGGGACTCACCCCGAATTCTTCCTCACGCGAGATCCAAGAACCCTCTCTTGGGGTCGGCTTCGGAATCCCTTTCTGGCTACATGGGTGCTATTTAGAACCCTTTTTACCTGTAAAGCTACCAAGAGAAGCACTTACTTGAAGTCTCTGTTCTCAGGATTAGTTCAATGTGATGAGTTGCTAACAACTTAAAGCAATGTTCTGAGTCCCGAACACTTTTATCTGTTGGGACACAGAAGAGTTATTGTGAATATTTTAATTTTGATTATGCTTTTATTTTGACTGGATACAGTGCCACTCTAAAAATGACATCAGACATAAGAAAAAATACCTAAACTAATACCCAGTGACTCTGTGTATTGTGGGTGTCACTCTGCCCAATTCGTTCTCTGTGTGATCTCTATGCAGATATCAAATTCTACTGAAATTAATCTGAAATTCCAGAGGACACATGCTGATTTATAAAAATTTCCGCTATCTTTATGCTTTAGGAGATTGGAGTTTATGGCATTGAATTTAAGATATTTAGGTGTGTTCTCCTCTGTTTATCCAATTTTAACCCTGGTTCAAACTCCTCAGATGAGGAAACTGAAACCAGCAAGGTATCTTCTCAAGTAATTTCTAATTATATGACTGTGTGATGCTGCCATTTTTCTTGTGTGTGGATGAAAAACCTCAAGTGGTAGAGGCAAAATAGTCCTCCTTTCATTCAATTTCTGCTATGCTGTCTGGCACACAGTCTTTAATCAATAAATATTTGCTCAATGGGTCAATCCAATCAGCCCATCAATAAACACTTTTTCTTACTGATGCAAAATTCATATTGTTAGTAAAAATCGAACAAGGATATTTATTCCCAAAGAATAAGGACAAAGAAAGCAAACCCACTTAACTTAGAAAATCATCGTTTTACATCACCTTGTCATTAACATGTCAACCTAAATGCAAGAAGATCAATGTTGAGCTTTAGGCAGAAATGGTCTCTGCTCCAAAATCTCTCAGATGCCCTCCTGTGTTAACTCCTGGAATTTAGAGGCAGCTTGCTGCAGTGGAAAGTGCTCAGGCCTGTGCTGGAACTCTGAGCTCAGCACTTGCTGCAATGCACCTTGGCCATGGCCTGTCAAGTCACATTGCTGCATCTGTGAAAGGCCTTACCTGGTTAACCAGCGCATTTCTGGGAAGTGTCATGAGAGCGCACACCTGAAAGTGTTTTCTAACCTCTAAAAAACCCTTAGGGGATTCTTTTTAATTCTTTCTTTGAAGTATTTATTGCAGGCACATTCCTCCAAGATTGTATTATCATCCTCCAAGCAAACACAAACACCAATATTTTTTTAAAGAAAATTCTTATCCCATCACTGGTCTCTTGGTAAGGAAAATGAGAATACCAGGGATGGATGCAGAGTGAGGAAGTGAGGGCTAAAAACTAACAAGTTCTATTCATGAACAAGTATGACTCAGGCAGACCCTTTCTAGAAAGTGGTAGTAGATGATGGTCCTGACTTGATCCTGTCCAAAGTGTTTGCTGCTGTGGCTGTCCAGATCCTCCTTACAGATGGGAACACTCACCCTCTCAGCTCCTGGTCCAAGTAAAACTTTGGAATTTCTTTTCAACAAAAGGACTCACTCCTTTGGCTGTCTCTCCCAAGGTCCTGCCCTTGCCCCAGGAGCAGCCCACATCTAATGGTATTGGAAGAGAGAAGAGGATAAGCCCTCTTACCACTAAGTGGAATAATGAAGGGCCATCTCAGCTCCTTCGCTCTGGTGGGGTTGGCTGAGGCCTCTGTTGCTGCTTCATCACAGCTCAATTTCTCCCCCAGCCCAATCCTGCTTCCCTCATTCTTACACAGTTGTTGCTGCTGAGCACACACACCAATAAATTTTTTGCATGCAAATTTTGGTTTCAGGATTTGTCTCCCTGCAAACTCAACCTGAAGCACCATCTAAGACAGATTGGTGGTCATCTAAAGATGAACTGAATTCTCTGGGAGCCTCAATGGAACTCAAGTGACAGCATTATAAAAAGATGGAAGTGTGCTTTCTATGTTCATTTAAAAGCCAGAGAGAAATCAGAAAATGTAGTCCATGCAGAATCTAGAAAGTTCCTGGCACATTGTAGGTGTTCAGTAGATATTTGCGGAGTGACTGAATTAAACATCTGTTCACCATATCAGTGGGTTAAAGGATAAACTAAGGTTAAGCCAGAGAGCCCTAGCCAATGGCTTTTTACTTTCCTCCAAGTGCTCTTCAATCCCCCCCTCCCTCCCCCAGGGTAGCAGGTCAGAGCACAAGTCCAGGCATCAGAATCAAGTCCTGAGGGCCACACCCACTGCTGATAGAACAATTGCACCACCAACTCAGGAGCCACTTCGGACTCCAGAAAGAGCTCTTTTTCAGGAAATAAAATAATTTGAAGAAAGCTCTTTGTTTTTCCAAATAAAAGTACTAAACCTTTGTGGGTGTGTTTGTTTAAATTCAGAAATATAAATCTTGAGATTTAGAGGAGAGGAAGGTAGGAGAGGGAGGAGAAAACAGAGAGGAAAGGGAGAAGAGGGTTTGGGTGGTGTGTGCCTTTTCTTTTTTATTATTTGGTTTCGACAGGAAATGCGTGCATCTAATGATTGGAAGCAGCTGTGGACTGTGACATCTAGGGCAAGATTGGAGCAGAAGTTCCTGCAGATGCAGCCCTTGAAGCAACTCCCTTAGCTCTTCCCCCTTCTACTATAAAATTCCCCGCACACTCTGCATTTTCTTCCCCTCTGGATTCCGGGCTTCTCCCTCTGAGTGGCAGCAACAATGTGTGAGTACTGGATGTGTGCAGGAGACTAATTTCACTTGGGAAAGTTCCAAAAGGAAAATAACCTGTTTGAAGTGATAGTGCAGCTCAGGTGGGTCCTGAACAGGGTGGGAGTTTGCCAGGAAATGATCTTTCCTAGCAGTGCTGTAGCTACAGTACTCCCCTGCAGCAAGAATGAACTGTATCGGTCAGCAGAGGTGAGATTCTGCAACAGTAACAAAAGACTCAAAAATCTCAAGAGTATTTCTTCTTTTCAATGCTCCTTGGCCATCAAGTGTCAGCCCTGGTCTGCCCTACCATTCCTGGACCTAAATGGAAGGAGCAACCCATACTAGGAACATTGTTGGGCTCACCAAAGAGGGAAGAGAGAGAGAGAGGTGTGGCCCAAGAGTGGCTCTTAAAGCTTCCATGTGGAAGTGCTGTGTGTCCCCTGTGCCCATATTTCAGTGGTCAATACAAATTACATGATGGCTTCCAAGTTCAACACGATGGGAATGGATAGTAAGCAGGGGGACTAAAAGTCACATGGCCAGCTAGAGGGGATTAGAAAACCAAGGCTAAGAATGGCCAAGTGACTGTCCCAGGGCCACCCAAATAAGAAGCAGCAGAGTGAGGACTGCCCAGATTCTCTGTCAGATCTCCGTGCCTAACAAAGTGCCTGGCCAATTACCTCTCTGCACTGAGAGAGGTATGCATTCAATAAATACTCCTCTGAATGAATTAAGTAAACAAACGAGTGAATGACTTACTGAATGACTATTGAAACTCAACTCTGCCAAGGTTTTGTCTTGGCAATGCTAATTTACAGGAAAGACCTGTTGGCATAATTAAGTTGGAAAGTGCTGTTTGCAAAGTAACCCTGGAAGTGTCACCTTTCACAGCTCTCATGAGAACAAATCATCACTGGCAGCCATGTCAACACAAATAAGCCAAAGGAACCTTGTCAACACTGACGGTCTCCATTTTTATATTTAAAAAAAGGCACCAGAGAGGCTGGCCAGGCTACGCTCTGAGCTGGAGCCAAAAAGCTATTGCAGTCTCCTGCATTGAGACTTTGTGTTCTTTTCCATTGTGAGCGATTGAGCTACTGTGTAATATTTCCAGCCTGTCCTTCCTGTGACAGTTCAACCAAAGTTTAGTAATTTGTAAGAAAAATCTTAAATGATACCTCTTAAGTATACAATACTCTTTAGCCACAGGCTAAACTGCCTCACCTTAACCCCAATAGAAGACAATAGAAAAATCTTACTACAGTACTGAGTAAGATGAAAATAGGAATCTGCTAAGGTAATACAAAGATAGTTCATCTTTCAGCTTATTCTGAAATGATTTGTTTACTTGAGCAATTTCAACTTTTTTTTTTTTTTTTTGAGACACAGTCTTGTTCTGTCACCGAGGCAGGAGTGCAATGGCACAATCTCGGCTCATTGCAACCTCCGCCTTCCAGGTTCAAACAATTCTCCTGCCTCAGCCTCCAGAGTAGCTTGGATTACCGGTGCCCACCACCACACTTGGCTAATTTTTGTAGTTTTAGTAGAGACGGGATTTCATCGTGTCAGCCAGACTGGTCTCGAACTCCTGACCTCAAGTTATCCACTCGCCTTGGCCTCCCAAAGTGCTGGAATTACAGGCGCAAACCACTGCACCCGACCCACAACTTTTGAAGACAGTATTAAACATTTAAAGCTTAAAATAGTAAAAATCAGATGAAAAAGTATTCTTCTACTCCCATGTGAAAGTTTCTTTTTTCTCTAAAAAAAAGAAGAGGAAGGAGGATGAGAAGTCCATTAAAATGTTTTGTATGACATATTTGATGCAGTAGTGCATGACCAACAAGAAAAGAGTGGATAAAAATCTGTTACAGGAAGTGAATCAACTTTACACAACTCTTAAACTGTCCAATGATTTTTATTTAAGCATATGAAATAAACTTGACTCTCACATTTTATATATGTTATGGATCAATATTATAAACTCAATAGAGAAGCTTAGGTTTTTTAGTTTGTATGTCATCCATTGGGTCTCCCATGAAGACCTACACATAATAGGTATGTACTTATTGCAAATTAACCTGCACTAATATCCTCATCAAGGAAGTATAATTGGCAAACGTCCTTCCATTTTTGTCTATTCTTGAGGGCTCCATTATTCATCTGAAGTCTTCTTCCAAGACCTGGGGGTGTTAACAAATACAGAAGCATTTCAATTTCATAAGTCTGACTTTCTCATTTCAGAAGCCAGTGCCAATAAACCTCTTTTTGGAAGGCAAACATCAAAGGCCCACCTTTCCAGTGCTAATTACCCAAATAGAAAGAGAAACACAATTCTTAAGTGGATAACTGTTCCCAGCAGTTAGAGATCTAATCCTGGTCTTTGGTCAGGATATGATTAGTGTGTGAGTGTTGAGATATTCTGTTTATGTATTCCATGTTTGATCTGGTGTTCAGCCATGTGCCAATAATAACAACAAAAACAGTAGCATTTGTTGTGTATCTTCTATGTGCCAAGTAATCTTCTGAGTACTTTACATGTATTAAAACATTTAATGCAGCCTCTATGTTATGTCCCATGGTTCTCAGCCTTGCCAGCACATTAAAATTACGCAGGGAGTTTTTAAAACAAGAAACCCATATGCCCAGGGCACACTGCCTTGACCAACAAAATCAGAATCTCTGGGAGTGGACCCAGACTTTATAAATCTTCCCCAAGTGATTTTAATGTACAGTCAAGGTAATTAAAAAGTTTGACCTAGTCTAAAAACAAGGGACAAATACAGTCATGCAGCTTTGGTTAATCACTTAAGACATGGTCTATAAGCAGAAAATCTAATAGTTCCTTCTTAAGACATGCTCTCCATCTAAGTATTCAAGTGACTAGGGACTCATTTGGTCCAACTTTGGGAGTAACTGAGGACCAGTCTTACTTCCAAGTGCCAGGTAGAGCAAGCCCTGGATCCTAACAGCCCTCTGATGGCCCTGCATCTCATTGCCACAGGCATCTATGCAACACTCTAGGGGTGCAGCTTGGTTCTTGTTGCATTGATTTTTTAATCTTGCAACTTTACTGAATGTATTAGTTCTAAGATTATTTTTGTAAAGTCTTTAGGGTTTTCTACATATAAGATTATGTCATCTGCAAACAGAGACAACAAGCTTTGGAGAGGATGTAGAGAAACAGGAGCCTACACAGTGTTGATGGGAATGTAAATTAGCACAGCCATTATGAAAAATAGTATAGAAGCTCCTCGAAAAAAAATGGAACCAACATGTAATCCAGCTATTACATTATATTACATATAATAGCCAATTCTGGCTATACAGCCAAAGGAAAGGAAATCAGTATGTTGAAGAGATATCTGCACTCCCATGTTCACTGAAGCATTCTTCACAATAGCCAAGACATGAAATCAAACTAAGGGCCCATCAACAAATAAATAGATTAAGAAAATTGTCATATATATTCAGAGTGGAATACTATTCAGCCTTAAAAAGAAAAACAAGAATCCTGCATTTGCAAAAACATGGATGAACCTGAAGGACATTGTGTGAAATTAAATAAGCCAGGCACAGAAAGACAACTACTGCATAATCTCACTGATATATGGAACCTGAAAATGTCAAACTCACAGAAGCAAAGAGTAAAATGGTGGTTACCAGAGGCTGAGGGGTGGGGAGATTTGGGGAAACAAAGAGAGAGAAGCAGGATCAGAGGGCACTGGAGGGTCATACAGTGACCTGAATTTGACACCAAGTGAAGGCAAAGGGTAAGAGTCAAAGGGAAAAAGAGAAGAGCACCAAGCTTCCACCCTCGTCCTAGTGTCTGAGGCCAGGAGTTGAAGGCGTCTCTCTGTCTGCTAGTGCCAGGCACACAGTGCAGCTTCAGAGGCCCCCATGGCTAGAACTGGATAGATTCTGCTAAACCCCCAAGGGTCCAATTCACTTTCCAGCCAGAATCCAGCCCAGTGGCTTTTTTTCTCAGCTGATTCAACCCTTCTTCTCATTACCCAAAGCTCCAGTACCCTTCCTACTATTCCTGCAGAGATTAATTTATCTCCAATAACCCCAGTAGGAACCAAAGCTTTCCTGTTACACACAATCAAGATGTAATTCCAAGTTATGTTTGAGTATATAGGAAGAAAGTTCAGCCATATGTACAGAAATGGCAATGATTTTAACCTGTAACTCTACCTACTAATAGCCATTGGAAGGCATCTAAAAGATGTGGATAGATTTCCTCTAAGGAGGTGCAGGCCATACCAACAAACTGCTCAACATTGCCATTTTAAAGGTGTGGGAAGTAAGAGCTTGTTTCCACATACCCACCATGAGCTGAGTGAGAACAACAGGATTATGAATTGGATTCACATGTCTAAAATTGGGTCCTGCACCAAGTCCCTCGTGATGAGTAAAACTGAGAAAAAGAACCCAGAAACACATCCATGACAGCTTAATAGGATTTAAACAACTCTATCTCATTAACTTTTCAAGGGAACCCTGGCAAAGTATGAAATTTAAGCACCACTCCAGGCTGAGAACAGTTATCTGTTGTTCATGTCACTGCACCTGCCCTATACTCCAAAGACATGGGCCACAGCTGCTTCTCCCAAATGTGCCCTAGAATATCTAAAGGGTTGGCTGGCACACAGCAGGAGGGCATTCTGTTAGTGAGGGATGCCCCTTTTGAAGCTGTGTGTGCATAGCAAGTGCCCAGTTTTTATTTAGATTGCATATTTATTTGGAGTAGGATGGGTAGAAATTCCAACAGGGCTGAAGCCCTTCCAAGCCATATTTTTGCTCCAACGTAGGTATATCCAAAGTGAACACGAACCTCAATGGCAGAGTGAAAAGTGGCCCAATATGCTCTATCTATTGCAATGTGGGAAGCTTCTTTTTCTTGTATTTTCCTTTATTTTGATCTTTTTTTTTTTTTGGCAAAAGTAAAAGGATAGAGAAGCATGAATAGAAAATTTTCTATAATAAGAATACTATCAAGAAAATCCCCAAATTCTTAAGTTGGTTAAATGTTGTGAAAGAGATTTATCAAGAAATTTAATCATCTTTAAGTATTTCTCAGAACAGATACACTTTCAGAGAATCAAGAGATGCTTACTTTCTTTTCTCAGAACTGTTGTATACCACTTAAGCATTTTCCTGAAGGGAAACTGCCCCAACCAAGGGAAGGTCACCGGTGCACGCCATCTTTGACATAAATGTGACTTGTTTGATTTCCTGAGAATGAAAAGCCACCAATCCATCTTATCAGCAACACATTTTGTGAATGATACAAGCATCTGCTTCTTGACAAGACTGGAGTGATTAATACCATCCGAGAAAGGGTTAATTAAATTACCATCTATTTTCAAGCCATCCTGAAATAACCTTGTGGGAATTCTTTGAACCTGAGAAAAGCCACCAAATAAAGAAATTTGATGCGTAGTTCCCCTCACAAGGATAGTTTTGGCTATTTGGCAACAGGAAAGAGTTCTGGCAACAAAACCCTCTAAGGAGGACACTCCCATAGTTGCCAATTAACAGAAAGTCATCTGGGGAGAATGCACTATTCAGAGAATACAGTTGGCAGAACCTGTATCAACATATTTGCAGGTGAATTACTGTATGCAGTTGTTCAATGGTTTTGCCTCTGCTCTTTGGCAAGAAGGGAATTAGACGCAGGATGTGATTACTACCTTTAATATTCAACTTGGAAAGTTTCAGTCGTATGCATCATCTCATGGATGTCCGCATTCAGTTTCTTAAAAGTCTTTCAAAATGAAAGTACTATGTTAATTGATGTAAGACCACTACCCACCCTTTGGAGATACATCACCTGCTCCAGAAATTCCACTATGTACCCCCTCCCTGCACCCCAGGCTCCACACCTCCTTCAAAGCACACCCATGGTAACGAAGTCCTCCCTGCATCACAAATCAGATCACAGTGTGGAGGAATTTCCTGCTTAGACATCTTCTTCCATAATGGACCGGAAGCCTCTCCAGACTGGGAACTGGATCTCCTCCTTCTTCCTGTGTCTCCATCTGGAGCACAGTGCCTGGTACAAAGCAGGTTCTCTGCAACTGGTAGCTGAGTTCAAGTGAACTGAGACCCTTGGGGACGGGATTTCCCAGTGCTTTTAAATGTGCTTTTAAATGTGCTATTTAACCCTCCTTCCTATGTGAAATAAAAGGGGACTTTTTACAGACATTAAATTTCCTATGAGCCATTTCTCAAAACTAAAATATGTTTATATGTGTTTTCCGCTATGCTAACCCCTGGTGTTTTCCGGTCTTCAACCAGAGCTCTTCTTCAAGCTGTGACCCATTCCTTTGTTTCAAGTGTTTTAATACTTGTTTTTTTTTTTTTTTTTTCCATCTCCATGGTGTTTTTCCTTCTGCAAATTATTTTTCCCTTTGGACCTCCTTCCTCCAGCAGTGTACAGGCCTGTGAAAGTAAAGTTTGAAGAGTCTTCCTGATTTTTACAGGAAGCTCTAAGAAAGAAGTAGATGAATATTATCCATGTTTAAATAGGATTCATTTGTCTGGTGTTTACCTACTATTGTAGTGTTCCACTAAAATTTAATAGAAAAAGTTTCAATGGAATACCTTGCCTTTTAATTAAAAGCCACAATTTTATTTGAATGTCAGAAATGCACTAAAGAAAATTGGCTGGAATATTTTAGGGAAGTGATTTGGAGACCTAAAAAGGTGAACAAGGTACAAAGGGGAAGATGTATGATAAACTCAAAACATACTCAAAATTTAAGTGTGCCTTACAATTGTAGATTTAAATGATTCTTAATATCATATGAACCTCATTGTGTATATAATAGGAAGTTAGAATTCAAGCCCCATGACGGCAGGGTCTATGTCTGACTTGCTACTCTCCCTAGTACTCATCAAAGCACCTGGTGCATAGCAGCCTCAATATTTGTTAAATTAATGAATATTTCTGAGTAATTAAATAAGTGGGGTTAACAGAAGTGAGTCCAAATGGATGAAAATACTACCTATTTCCCTCATACACCTCATTATACCTCATTATAGCACTGGGAATAGAAAATTGACTCAATCCAAAATAAGTCTACCAACAATTATTCAACTAACCACTGAGATCATGCAGAAGTTGTGCATAAAATAAAGATAAAAGATTTTGCCCTTGTCCTCAAGACAATTATTCTCAAGCTATGGGCTCCATACGCACACGAAATTAACAAGAGGAAAGGCAACAGATTCCTCTGTTTTTCCATTTTAAGCAGTGAGCCAAGAAAAACTATACATAACTGTTTACCTACAGGATCTGTGATATTTTATATAATGCCTATGAGGAAAAATGACTATTTCCACAGCTTTCGGTTTAAGAAATGAAAAGAGGTGGTTGGGCTTAGGATATTAGAGATAAGAAAAGCCCCAAAATTGGAATCTCTGATTTGAAGCATTTTAGCTGTATAATCTGGAATACTACCCAGTGGTAGCAGAAGTTAATGTTTATTAGGCCTAATATGAACTTTCCACTGTTCTACTATAATATTTCCACTATTGCAAGCACTTTCCACTATTCACGCACTCCTTTAACAACCCCGTTAAACAGCTGTCATTACTGTATGATTGGCATTTTACTGATTTAGACAACTGAGGCTCAGAATGCCTAACTTGCCAAAGGTTGTGCAACCACTGAGAGGCTAGCTCAGGATCTGACCACAGGTGGCCAGATAGGAGAGCCCACCCTCAGACCACCATGGATAGTGGTGACTATGGCTTGTGCTGATTCTCAATCAGTGATATCACTGTCATTTGGTGATTCTCAATCACTGAATCTTAGTCAGTGCTAATCAGTGCCATCCCTTCTGGAGGTCCACTGAGCCTCATAACAACTTTGGGAGGATCCTTTTGATCCTCAGTTTATTGATGAGAAAACGAAGGCTCAGGGAGGTCAGGTAACAGAAGATGTAAATTACAGAGTGTATAGCCGGTGACTCCAAATCTGGCTTCTTTCACTATAGCATGGTGCCTCTCAAATGACAAGTATGTGTCATCACTCTGTCACAAAATGTGGGGAAGGTCTATGCTTCCAGAAAGTTTTGGTCTTCAAGATGCTCGCATGAACCAAAACAAAGAGAACCACAGTTGCGGCTTACTGAGACTTTTTTTTTAATTTATGCGAATGAAATCTCTCTGGCTACCTCTCTTGCAATGCTTGATGATCTTTGGCATCTGAGCTGCCCTATTCTTGTTCCTACAGGTTTTCTAAACACTGGTAATAAGTGTGAAGAATCTAGCAGTGTCTTGGAGCACAGCAAACATTGGTGACTACATTTTGCATCCCAATGGCTATCTTAAATGTGAAGAATTTTTGGTAATCTCCCTCAGAGGTTTTAGACATTAAGTTTTTCATTATAGAACAAGATCAATGCGGCTACTTTTTACATAATTCATATCATGAGGACCTGATAACATTCCAGTGACTCTTTGTAGTACCTCAAAAGAAATGAAGTTCCTTCTAAAATGCATTAGCCAGTCAAGAATACAATGTTCTGGTAAGGCTGCTGAAGGCTGCCATGTGATATCAAAGATTTCCAAAGAATATCTGAGTCATGAATCCTTCATTTAGTGATTTAAGATTATTATGAAGCATCTGACCCCCAATCCAAAATGTAAAACACTAATAAACTCTTTAAAATATTCAAGTTAAACACAATTTATTATCTTAATATCCTCCTACTAATTATGCAGTTGTCATCATTCTCAAAATTAAATGACTGCTTCCTACAGTGCTGGGAAAAGAGGAAGTGCCTGACCTCAAGAAACTTAAACCACAGCAGGCATGATTCCTTCTACCTCAGTTTCCCTACATGAGAAGACTTCCTTAAAGGTGAAGTTTGGATTGGAAACCATATCGGACAGGTCCGGCTCCAACCAAGTCCCCAGAGAACTTCTTCTTCTTTTTTTTTTTTTTTTTTTTAAGGTGGAGTCTCCCTCTGTCGCCAGATTGGAGTGCAGTGGCGCAATCTCGGCTCACTGCAATCATCTCCGCCTCCCAGGTTCAAGCGATTCTCCTGCCTCAGCCTCCCAAGTAGCTGGGATTACAGGGGCATGCCACCACACCCAGCTAATTTTTGTATTTTTAGTAGAGACGGGGTTTCACCATGTTGGCCAGGATGGTCTTGATCTCCTGACCTCTTGATCCGCCTGCCTCGGCCTCCCAAAGTGCTGGGATTACAGGCGTGAGCCACTGCGCCCGGCCAGTCCCCAAAGAACTTCTACAAGCTCACCCCTCCACTCCCTACTCTCCAGTATGT